>NC_000016.10:87021959-87663236 GCF_000001405.40 Homo sapiens | reverse complement strand
CTTGGGAGGCTGAGGCAGGAGAATTGCTTGAACCTGGGAGGCGGAAGTTGCAGTGAGCCGAGATTGTGCCACTGCACTCCAGCCTGGGTGACAGGGCGCGACTCCATCTCAAAAAAAAAAAGAAAGAAATTAACCTTGAAACAATACAACCAGGAAATCTGTAGCCCTGGATCAAAACTTGCCGACTTATCCTGCCAACCCAACATGGCGTTTTTATGGTCCAAAGAGACAGGCTGGTGCCCAACAGCATGTGACGGCTGAGATTAGTGAGCTCAGGGCTTACCAACCAGGCAGCAGCAGCCCCGAAGGGGTGCTGGAAGTCCGTGAAAGGAGCCGGTGCTTTTCCCTGCAGGCAGTGGAAGGCCTGAAAGGTTTCAGGTAGGGAGGGCCATCCCAGGTCCCAGGCTGCCCCCTGGAAGGTGGATTTCACAGGGAGACAGACGGAAGAGGTTGCAACCCTGCGTGGGGGCTGAGGAGGGTCTGAGCTACATTTTAACTTCAAGATGAGCCAGAGGAAAGCAGCCTGCCAGTCAAGCCCCCAAGGCAGGTATGCACTTCTCCCAAACTCTCCGCATGGCTCAGCGGGGACTGGGGTCCATGGCCGGGACAGACTCTGGAGGGGCCACCAGGGGGCCAGGAAAGGAGGGCAGAGCCTCACTCAAGCCTGGTTCTCCCGCCTCATCCACCCCAAAGACCCTTGACCCCAAAACGAACATCCTGGAAAACAAATCAGGACACTACACCCAATTCCACTATAAACAACCACAAAATAAACCCAGGCCCTTATGCTGACGGTGCTAAAAAAAAAAAATCAGACGCGAGCCTAGTGAAGTCAGGCAGAGGGGAAAATCCGGCTGTCCTTTTGGTTTTGGTTTTGGGAGATGCAGAATGTGCTGCTGACAGAAACCATTCATTCGGCGCCCACTGACCCTTAAACATCGACAGAGTACACCGGGTTCCTCACACTCACCTCCCCAGGCAGAGGGGCTGCTATCTCGGCAGCGTAGGATATCTTGCCTCAAGTCACAGAGAAACAGCAGCAGAGCCCAGGCTCTGGGACCGGCGCTTCGGGATGTCCCTGTGCCCAGGGCAGGCAGGGGAGGCCTACGGATCCCTCTTGAGGGATGACCGTAGGTACAGAAAATAAAAGGTGAGGGGTTACAAGGGAAACCAAGTATTTTGAAATGTTAAATTCCTTAAAAATCAAATTTGTGAGACAACCATGCATAGCCGCCTGAATTAACATACTAAATAACAGGACGAATCTGTGAGCGTAAAATCAACTGCCACTCAGGAGTAGTGGTGGCGTACGTGCCCCTCAGCAGATGGGACGTGAGTGTGAGGCAATGAAATACCCCAGGCTTCCTGCTGGGGGCCAAGGCCCTGGCTTCGTAATTGGGGAAATGCTGAGTTGCACCCAGAGGCAGTGAAAACCACAGCATTGTATGTTCCCCTTCTAAGTCGAAGCCCCATGAATTCTCTCCCCGCCCCGTGGCGGCCTGCGGGGAACTCTCCGAGGTGCTGACCCTGCTCTTGGACGGGTCTTTGCTCTTGGACAGGGCTGTCCCGTGACTCTTCGTCTCTGAGCAGACATGGCTGGCCTTCCGGATAAAGTGGGGTGTGTTCTCGGCTCTCCCCCAGTCAGACCCTCGGCTGTTTCATCCCCCAGCCTCCCTGGACAGTCACACATGGTGGTGACCTACAATGTCGACCCCTCCCCAGTCCTGGACCCCCAAAGTCCAGCCCATGCTCAGAGCGGGAGGCTTTGCTCCCCCTAAAGAGAGTCCACTGCTATCTGCAGATGCAAAGGGCAGGCCCAGAGGAGAGCGTGGTCAGCAGAAACACAGCCCTCAAAGATGTCCCTGTTTTGATCCCCAGAACCCGTCTGTGAATGTGTCCCCTTATGTGGCAAAAGGGACTTTGCAGATATGACTGAGTTAAGGATCAGGAAAGAGAGAGATGACCCTGGATTATCTGGGTGGATAATCAGATGACCCCGAACCACAAGGGTCCTTGTAAGAGGGAGGCAGGAGGTCGGAGAGGAGAGGAGAGGCTGCCCCGCTGGCTCTGAAGGTGGAGGAGGGACCTCGAGCCAAGGAACGCAGGCGGCCTCTGGAAGCTGGGAAAGGCAAGGAACACATTCTCCCTGGAGCCTCCAGAAACTTATGTATTATAAATTTCGTGTTTAGACTTGGGTCCCATCCTCACGATATCTCATTATGTGCATACAAATATTCTACAACTTAAAGCCAAGATCCGAAACACTTCTGATCCCAGTCATTTCAGATAAGGGATTCTCACAGCCTGTACCATTGTCATTCCACTGGACAGATGAGAAAACTGAGTCTTGGAGGAACCATGATAGGCTATGAGAGATCCACTTGGATGTGTCCTGGATGGCATGGGACTCCCATAACTGGGTGGAGCTGTTTGTCTCCAGCCTTATATGGATGGCCCAAGAGGAGGTGCCCCCTCCTACAGACTAGCACAGTGAGGCTCAGACAGGCGATATGACAGTGTGATTGGGGGTCCATCTGTGGAAGAGGCAGCTGGTGGGGAGGCAGAGACTCACCTGTCCACTGCGAGGTGCGGCTTTGCCCCGAGCTGTGGCTTCCTCTACAAAACGGGGAGACTGGGAGGGCTGCAGTGACTACAACGGACATGTGCCAGACCCTGGTGTACTGGTCTGTGCTATCCCAGGACAGAAGCATGAGCAGTGGCGCCCAGTCCAGCCTGTGGCCTCTGGTGGGGGTGGGCAAAAGGGGAGCACGGAACCGAATTAGCTTGGCCACTTGGGGACAGAGCCCTGGGAGAGGCTCTCTGGGGAGGCCCCTTTCACTCCAGCCCTACAGCAGGGCTGGGACTCAATCCCAGGAAACCTCACTCCCAGGAAGTCCTCTGTGCCCTCCCTGCAGCCCCCTCTGTCCACCTGAGACAGTTTCAAAGCATCTGCTCTGGGGAAAAGCTCAACTCTCTGAAACAGAATCCAGGGAGAGTCTTTCTCAGAGGGACGCCATTGGCCTGCAAAGTTCTCTCCGTATTACTGAGACGCACAGCTAGTCCCTGTGCACTGCCGTCTCTCCCCAGGCTCGGAGGCAGGTCCTGTCCTCAGCTCCCCTTTACAGATGAGGAAACTGAGGCACAGGGAGGTGACGCTGCTTTCCCAGGGTTTCCAGGTGGCAGGGCTGGGGCTTGGTACCCCCGACCTCCACACTAGGAGTGACAGGGACAAGGAAAGGAATCCCCTTCACAGCAGAGCTCAACGGGCCCAGAAGGGACGGAGCAGGGCCATGCTATCCCTCTCCAGACAGCAGCTGCTAGATGCCTAATCCCCAGGCTGGGGGAGGGAACCTGGGAGGGGGAGTTAGTGTTTCAAGGGTCCAGGGTGTCATTTCTGCAAGGTGAAAGGAGTTCTGGAGATAGATGGTGGTCATGGTTGCACCACATGCTTAATGCCACTTACGGTACACTTAAAAATGGTTAAAAATCATCCTTTTTTTTTTTGAAATGGAGTCTTGCTTTGTTGCCCAGGCTGGAGTGCAGTGGTGCTATCTCGGCTTACTGCAACCTTCGTCTCCTGCGTTCAAGCAATTCTCCTGCCTCAACCTCCTGAGTAACTGGGATTACAGGCACCTGTCACCACACCCACTAATACACTACTAATTTTTGTATTTTTAGTAGAGATGGAATTTCACCATGTTGGCCCAGACTGGTCCAGAACTCCTGACCTCAAGTGATTCACCCACCTCAACCTCCCAGTGCTGGGATTATAGGCGTGAGCCACTGTGCCTGGCCAAAATCATACATTTTATGTTGTGTGTATGTGTGTGTAGTTTTCTTTTTTTTTTTCTTTTTTTTTTTTGAGACAGTCTTACTCTGTCACCCAGGCTGGAGTGCAGTGGCTTGATCTTGGCTCAGTGCAACCTCCGCCTCCTGGGTTCAAGTGATTCTCATGCCTCAGCTTCCTGAGTAGCTGGGATTACAGGTGCCTGCCACCATACCCGGCTGAATTTTTTTGTATTTTCAGTAGAGAGGGGATCTTGCCATGTTGGCCAGGCTGGTCTCTAACTCCTGACCTCAAGTGATCCGCCTGCTTTGGCCTCCCAAAGGGCTGAGATTACAAGCATGAGCCACCACACCCGTCTGTTCCAGCAGCCGTCGCGACAAAGCCAGGCATGGGGCAGGCTGCATGGCTTTCGCTGTGGCCGCCGCAGCTGTCCCAGACTAAGTGACCGCCCAGGTCTGCAGCTGCGACCCCGCCTCCAGCAATTGCACCCTTATTCAGCTGCTTATTGCTCAGCAAGACACCAGCCAGTCAAGCTGCCCTGCTGGGCAAATAATTAACTGGGATGGCTGGGTTTGGAGAGGAGGAAATAGGGGCTGGGGGGCCACCCACCCCTGCCTCAGCACCAGCCCCACAGCAAGCCCCAATCCACCTTGTCCCTCTCAGCAGGCCCCAGGTGAGGGGTGGCTGGAGGAGAGAGGGGCTTAGGAAAGGCAGCTCTTCTTGACCACCCACTGCAGGGGGGTGAGTCCTCCTGCTCCACCTGCTGGGGCCTCCTGCTTTACAAATGCCCACACGGTGTCACCTGGACGCCTCTGGGGCCTGCCCTCCACGACATCATGCCCTGGGTCTGTTTCAGGAATTCACAGGTGAAGAGATAGAGAAACAGGGGGGTTGGGGAGAGAGAGAGAAGGGGGAACAAAAGCAGAAACGGAGTGACAGAGAACGAGAAAAAGAGACAAGGACAAAGAGTGATGGAGAAAAATAGGACAGAGAGACAGAGAGCAAAGCAGATAGGGAGATAGAGAGGAAAAGAGAGGGAGGGACAGAGAGGGAGGAAAAGAGAAAGGGAAAAAGAGAGGGGGAGAAGCGGGGAGAAGGAGAGAGAGAGGGAAACAGAGAAAATTCCTGTCCTAACTCTCCCACCCTTTTTTCAAAGGCAGACAATGCAGAATCCCTGCCGGGACGCCTGAGCTGGGGTGCAAATGCCGTGCACTGTTTGGTAGCCCTGCGACCTCAGGAGGTCGCTATAGTAGCCAGCTCCCTGGTGTCCATTCACTGTTTGCTGAATACCTGCCCTGCACCCAGGTTGGTGTTGGGCCCATTAACACACAGGTGGTGTCTTCACACTGAAGCGTGGGCCGCATGGTGCCTTCCGGGGTAGGAGACCATCTTGTGAAGACCAGGGTGTGGGCCCCCAGTCCCCTCCACACCCAGGAAGTCTTTGCTGCAGAGGGGACATTTATGTCCTGGAGCGTGACCACTGTGAGGCCAGGTTGGTAGAGACAGCTGTCCATCCCCTGGCAGCCACCAGCTCCTCCTCTCCCACAGCACTGAAGCCCCATTGTCAGCCAGGCACATGCCCCCAGACTAAGGACTACATTTCCCAGCCTCCCTTGCAGCTAGGTGTGGTCACGTAACCGAGTTTTGGCCAACAGAATGTGAGCACAGTCCTCGGGGCAACTCCCAGGTTGCATCCTTAAAGGACCAGCTCATGGTCTTCCTGTGGTCATGGGGGTAAGCTAGGGTCACACCCCAGAGATGGACTGGCTCAAGACAGAAGAGGCCTGGGCACAGTGACCTCAAGAGCAGTCTCCACAATGAGTGACTGGTACTTGAGAGAAATGAGTTTTTCTCGTTTAATACAACATCCTTTCTATATATGATTTTTTTAATATAACATAAAACTTGCCACTTTAACAGTTTTAAAGTTCACAGTTCAGTGGCATTCAGTACATTCAACGCTGTGCATCGGTCACCGGTCCACTTGCAGGGTACTGTCGTCGCCCTCAACAGAAACCCTACACCCATGAAGAAGCCACTCCCCGTTGTTCCCACCCCAGCCCCTGGTAACCCAGTCCACTCCCTGTCCCCATGAATCTCCCTGTTCTAGAGATTTCACATGCCACATTTGTCCTTTTGTGACAGGCTTCCTTCACTCAGCATCACTTTCTCTGGCTCATTCATGCCGTGGCAGGTGTCAGACCTTAAGATACTGTTTTTTTAGGTCTGGTCAGTTTGGCCTCCTCCTTTTTATTTATTACTGTTGCTTGAGAAGCAGGGCTCACCCACAGGCAGGGTGCTCAGCGCTGGCCTGGCCTCCTCCTAACACACCAGGTGCTCCAGGCTGAGTCCCCCTCAGGTTCCTATGTGAAGCCTCCGCTATGACAAGGGCCTATATGTGGAGATAGGGCCTTTAAGGAGGTAATTAAGGTTAAATGAGGCCATATGGGTGGGGCCCTAATCTGATGGGACTGGTGACCTTATAAGAAGAGGAGGAGAGGGAGATCCTCTCCATGCACCAAGGAAAGCCCCGTGAACAGAGCGAGAAGGAGCCCGAGGAGTGATCCCCTGTCGGAACACCACAGGCACCATGCATTTGGACTGTCCAGTTTTCAGAACGGGGAGAAAATGCATTTCTGCCACCCACTCTATCGTATTTTGTTATGGCAGTCCAAGCTGAGCCACAAGGCAGAGGAGAAAGGCGGACACCAGGAGAGAGACGAGCACATGCCCATGGCACGTAGGGGCCCCCGTTCCTCCTCGTCCTCTGTCCTAACTGCCCCTGACCCGCCAGCTGCACGTTTTTCCTGCAGGCTTGAACCCAAGCCAGGGCCTCGAATGTTCCCAGGCACTGACTGATTCATTTATTCAGGGTGTTGCCCCCAAACACTGCAAGATCAAGCCTGGAAACTGGGCCCGGCCCTGAGCCGAGTTCCTTCACCCTCATATGAACTCCGTAATCTGATCCCGTCGTTGCAGACATACCGGGGCAGAACGTGGCTCATCTCCCCATTCCCACAGGAAGCTGAAGCCCCCTCTGTAAGTCCCCCAACAAATGCCATGGACTGGCCACTCTGGTGTTTAGAGCTTCCTTTGCTGGAATCCTAACCCACCCCCCGTCTCAGGAAGGTGTGCATCCAGTCCTTTGTGGGAACTCTCCTGCCTGCGGCTTCTGGAGTGACTCCAGCTGAGGGTTCGGCTGGAAGGAACAGCATGAAAGACTCTGTTTCCTGGGCTGTAAAATAGGTGTCACGGCACCTGCAACACAGAGTGTGCTCTGAGATAGGCGGGCAGAGACGCCCTCAGGGCTCCTGGCTCACAGCATACACTGGGCTGACCAGCTCAGGAAGGGAAGTTCACGCCATGCACCCCGATCGGTTAACTTTCAAGGGGTGCAGCTTGCCAATAATCCCCCAAGAGACCCACTATCGAGGCTCCACTGCCACGCAGCAGTGCCCCACTCCCAGCAGTCCCACTCAGGACATCTATGCAGAGACCAGGAGGGCATGTGGGCAAAGGGAACGGCGCAGTGACAGCAGCAGAGTGGCAAGTGAGACCCCTGAGCGGACTCAGGGCCAGGCTCACAGTCAGCACTGTCGAACCTCATTCAATCCAGAGCCTCCTACGAGGTGGGCAGAGCAGACGCAGGGACCATGAGATGGCCAGACTGGTTCCCCACACGGGGGGCCGAGACGTGGGCTGGTGCCTGCACTGCACTCATTACGTGTTCTGAATATCGCCCTTGGAAACGGTTATGACTATTTAGGGAATACAGGAAATTAAAATAGAACATTATTGGCCAGGCATAGTGGCTCACGCCTGTAATCCCAGCACTTTGGGAGGCTGAGGCAGGAGAATTTTTGAGGCCAGGAGTTGGAGACCAGCCTGGTCAACACAGTGAGACCCCATCTCTACAAGACATAAAAATGTTAGCTGGGCGTGGTGGTGCACGGCTGCGGTCCCAGCTACTCAGGAGGCTGAGGTGGGAGGATCGTTTGAGCTCAGGAGATCGAGGCTGCAGTGGGCTATGATCGTACCACTGCACTCCAGCCCGGGGGACAGAGCAGAACAACACCCTGTCACAAAAAATAACACCCTGTCACAAAAAATAAAATTATTTGTTTTGTAACCAGGGAGACAGAGGCTCAGCAAAGTGAAGCCATTTTCCCTGGTGGCCACGCAGGGAGGCCGGAGGGCCTGGCAGGCTGCGCGCCTCGAATATGCAGCCCAAGGGCCCTGGCGGGGGTGGCGGGAAGGCCCAGGAAGCCCACAGCGGCAGACTCGGCTCTCCCATCTCCGCGGTTACTGCCGATGCAGGGTCTGACCCTGCCAGACCTTCAAGGAGAAACCAAGCAGAGCCCCACTCGAGACACTCGACTCCCAGGCGCTGCCCACTGACCCCAGGCAAACTGGCCCCTGGCTAAGGAAACTTGCCGGGCCATGCCCCCGGGGGACTGCAACAAAGAGGAGCTGGTTTGCGGTGACAGCGTTTTCCCGGAGCCGCACTCCGGCAGGGATTTATCACACGTTCTTGTCGAAGGCCACCAGGTGACCAGTGGACATGCGTGGTTACGCCGGGCCGAGTGGTCGCTGGTTCCTGTGAGAAGAGGGCAGAGCGGTGGTCAGAGCCCACGGGAGCAGCATCTCCACGTGGTAGGCAGGCCTCAGAGGTGCTGCTGGAGAAGCCCCTGCAGCTTACTGCGCAGCGAGCGTGTGGGGTTTGCGTCCTGCCCCTGCAGACCCCAAGGAAAAAGCAGCGAGGCTGAGGTGCTGATGGTCATGACTCTGGGGACATTCTGGTGGCAGGGATGACCTGAGCATCCCAGGGCTCCTTCCCATCCCATTCCCCAGCTGCCACCGGGAAGCAGAGTCTAGCAGATTGTCGTGCCTGAGGCTCAGATGAGGAAACCGAGGCTCTGAGAGGTGAAGGTCTGCACCAGGTCGCACAGGCACAGGCTGGTCTGACCTAACCACAAAGAGGTGTTCATCTTTATTAGGAAGTTCCTCTCCTTCCCTCCTCCCCCACCGCCTGCTGAATGCTGAGAAGGAAGCTGACCTAGCTTCAGGGAACTCACCATTCCAACAGTACAGAAAAACTCTACTATCAGATAAATGCCCACATAAAGGGGGACAAGTAAGTGTTTCAGGATCTGAAAAAAGGGAGCAGCCAACCCCGTCTGGGAGTTGGGGATGAGTCCAGAGAGGCGCATCTGAACTGAGTCTTGAGGGATGCATTGGAGCTCACCAAGAAGGAAGGGCATTGCCAGCAGAGGGACCAGCATATGCAAAGAGGAAGGCACAATGTATTCGTGGACCGCCCAGAGGACGGTGGGCAGATGTGCAGAATATCAGCCAGGCAACAGCCGAAAACAAGGCCAGAACTCCATGAGGGCCGCACGTCCTGCTGGGGAGCCTGGTCTTCATCCTGGAGACTCTCACACAATGGAGTAGAGTGATCAGACTGCCACTCTGCCATTCTGTTGCCTGCAGAGATGACCGCACCAAAGATGGGCAGCTGGCTGCCTTCCTGGAGGCGAGTGTCGTGGGCAGGGGTCATGCCCCACTCTCCTTGTTGTCTCCTCTGCACAGGTGTAGACAGCAGGCCTCTGTCCCACGTGGCATTCTGTGTGTCCGTGTCTCTTCTCCTCTAAGGACACCAGTCCCACTCGACTCCAGAAGGACCTCATCTTAATTATATCTGCAACGACCCTATTTCCAATTACAGTCACGATCACATTAACTGGCATGAACTTTAGGGGGACACTAAGCACACCCGTGATGAGAACTGTGCTACCTCCTTCATATACATAACCCCTGACACATCTGTCTCGCTGTTTTAATATTTTTACGAGGCTGTGTTATAATTTTAATGAGAAATAAATTTTAAAAACTAAAAATATCCCCCTCCATTTCAGGTCCTTAAAGGCTGCATTTCCTAGACGGCCCACTAGAGTGTCCCAGGCAACTTTCCTGTAGATAATGCACCCTCACTGGGGCCTACCTGTGGGGCTTCCTGCTGGGCCTCCCTCCACCCTCAGCTCCAGGCATGGCCAGCAGGGATCCCTCACTCACTGGAGAACCCTGCAGCCAGCAAGCCACAGCAGAGAGCAGAGCGGGGACAGGCAGGGGCCCCAAGGCACAGCTCACAGACCCCAGCTTGGGGCAGGCACACGGCAGGTGCTGGAGACACAAAGGGATCTGGAAGCCCCTTTCAGAGCAGGCATCACCCTGGGTTTTACACACCCCCAGAGCCACACTGTTCAGAGGACATTTCAAGGCCATCATCAACAAGGATCCCTGAGCCCAGCCTGGGTGTGAAGAATGTGAGAGGAGGAACAGGACTGAGAGCAGAGGCCTGGGTGAGAATTCTAGTCCCCCCCGCAGGCACTGACTGGCTTGGAGACCACGCACTGCCCTCCTCAGCAACCAGGCCCCAACTTCCCCCTGCAGTTCACTTCCTGCTATGCCCGCAGGACAGTCCTGAGCCGACAGAAGAGCCTGCCTGGTGACAAGATTCTCAACGCAGCCACCAATTAGCTGTGTCTGTAGTGGGTGCAGGGCAGGAAGAAGAGTGGCAGAGGTGCCCAGGACTTGTCACCTCTGATCTACATGCCCAGTCAAGGCTGCATTCACACGGAAAAATCACAGACAGGGACATCAGCTGACAACCAGCACACCGGCTGCCACCACAGTCCTGCTGACTGCCAGAGATCCAAGGGCCTCAACTCACGAGAGTAGGCACCATCATCTAGGTGGCCACCTCCGTAAGCTCCGCACCTGCCTGGCCTCCAGGACAGACGGGGGCTGACCCCAGCCAGGCCATCCTAGCCCAGCTGCGTGCACCCTCCCCACACGCTACTCGGAAGGCGGAAGCAGGAGGATCACTTGAGCCCGGGACGTGAAGGTTGCAGTGAGTCGTGATGGCACCACTGCGCTCCGGCCTGGACGGCAGAGTAAGACCCTGTCACGAAAAAGAAAAAAGTTATGTTTCTACTATATTGTAGTCTATTAAGCGTGCTATAGCATTATATCTTAAAAAATTGCAAATCTTAATTTTAAAATACTTTGTTGCTAAAAAATGTGAACAATAATCTGAGCCTTCAATGGAGGATCTTGGCTTGGCTGTGGGTGATCAGCGTGGTGAGTGCCGAAGGCTGAGGCGGCAACTTCTAACAGGCTGGGCGCGGTGGCTCACGCCTGTAATCCCAGCATTTTGGGAGGCCGAGGTGGGCGGATCTCGAGGTCAGGAGATCGAGACCATCCTAGCTAATACGGTGAAACCCCATCTCTACTAAAAATACAAAAAAATTAGCTGGGCACGGTGGTGGGCGCCTGTAGTCCCAGCTACTTGGGAGGCTGAGGCAGGAGAATGGCGTGAACCTGGGAGGCGGAGCTTGCAGTGAGCCAAGATCGTGCCACTGCACTCCAGCCTGGGCAACAGAGCGAGACTCCATCTCAAAACAAAACAAAAAAAAAACGACAACAATGTTGGCTGCATCAATGAACTCTTCCTTTCACAAAAGATTTCTCTGTAGCATGTGATGCTATTTGATAGCATTTGACTCACGGTAGAGCTTCATTGGAAACTGGAGTCAATCCCCTCAAACTCTGCTGCTGTTTTATCAACTAAATTGAAGGAACATTCTAAATCTTTGCTGTCACTTCAACAATGTCTGCAGCATCTTCGCCAGGAGTAGATTCCATCGCAAGAAACCATTTTCTCGTTTCACCCCTAAGCAGCAACTCCTCAGTCTTTCGAGTGTGGTCGTGAGCTTGCAGCAATGCAGTCCCATCGGCAGGCTCCGCTTCTAATTCCAGTTCTCTTGCTATTTCCACCACATCTGCAGTCCTTCCTCCACTGAAGTCTTGAGCCCCTAAAGCCGTCCATGAGGGCTGGAATCAACTTCTTCTAAATTCTTGTTAATGTGGATGTTTTGACCTCCAACCTTGAATCACGAATGTTCTTAATGGGATCTAGAATGGTGAATCCTTTCCAGAAGGTTTTCAATGGACTTTGCCCAGATCCATCAGAGAAATCACTATCTATGGCAGCCTTACTAAATGTATTTCTTAAATAATAAGACCTCAAAGTCAAAATTAGTCCTTGATCCACAGCTGCATGCTGGATGTTATGTTAGCAGGCACGCAAACAACATTCATCTTCCTGTACATCTCCATGGGCGCTCCGGGGTGAGTAGTAATATTTTAAAAGGAATCTTTTTCTGAGCAGTAGATCACAACACTGGGCTTAAAACTATTCTGGAAACCATGCTGTAAGCCGTGCAGCCATCCAGGTCTTTGTTGTTCCATTTCTAGAGCACAGAGTGGATTTTACACAATTCTTATGGGCCCTAGGATTTTTGGAATGTTCAATGAACACTGGCTTCAAGTTAACATTTCCAGCTGTGCTGGCCCCTAACAAGAGAGTCAGCCTGTCCTTCAAATCCAGCCATTAGCTTCTTCCTAGCATGAAAGTCCTAGATGGAATCTCCTTCCAATAGAAAGCTGTTCCATCGACACTGAAAATCTGTTTAGTGTAGCCACCTTCATCAACAATCTTAGCCAGATCTTCTGGGTAACCTGCTCCCTCACCTTGCACTTTATGTTCTGGAAGCGGCTTCTTTCCTTAAACCTGATGAACCAGCCTCTGCTCGTTTCCAGCTCTTCTGCAGCTTCCTCACCTCTCTCAGCCTTCACAGCATTAGAGTTGAGCCTTGCTCTGGATCAGGCTTGTGGTTAGTTTGATCTTCTCTTCAGACCCTAAAATTTTCTCCATATCAGCAATAACATTGTTTCACTCCCTTATCATTCATGTATTCACTGGAGTAACACTTTAATTTTCTTCAATTACTTTTCCTTTACATTCAAAACTAGGCTGCCTGGTGCATGAGGCCTGTCTCGGCTTTTGACACACCTTCCTCTCTACGCTTTATCATTTCCAGCTTTTGATTTAAAGTGAGAGATGTGAGACTCTTCTTTCACATGAACACTTAGAGACCATTGGAGTGTTATTAACTGGCCTAATTTTAATACTGTTGTGTCTCAGGGAATAGGGAGACCAGAGGAGAGAGAGGGATGGGGGAGCGGCTGGTTGGAGGATTGGTCAGAACACAGAGCATTTATTAAGTTCACTGTCTTATATGGGTGCGATGTGTGGCATCCCAAAATAACCACACTAGTAACCTCAAAGACCACTGATCACAGATCACCATGAACAGATATAATCATGAAAAAGCTTGAAATACCGTGAGAATTACCAAAGTGTGGCACGGACACACGATGTGAGCACGTGCTGTTGGGAAAACGGCACCAAGAGGCTTGCCCCATGCACGGGTGCCACAAACCTCCAATGTGTAAAAACACAGCGTCTGCAAAGCACAATGAAGCGAAACCCCCTGAATCAAGGTGGGCCTGCCCCCAGAACAATCCCTTCTCCTCCTCTCAGCTTGGGTTTCTGCTTTGCAAAACCCCTTGGCATCCCTTCACAGCAACGTTTGCACGAGACGCAGCAGAGAGGGGGTCCCAGCAGAAACAATCCCATCAAATCCTGGCTGAGCTTTTGCAGGCTTTGCGGGGCTGCAGGAGGCATAGCTTTCACATGGGCCACCCCGTCTCTCCCTCTCCCGCAGCAGAAGCAGCCAATGGGTCACACTTGAGATGTCTCCTTCACCCTGGGGTTCTGAGCAGGTCCCAGGGGCCAAAGTGGGGAGGGGGACGGGAAGGAGAAACGGGCTACAATCTGCCCCATCGCCCCCAGCTCGGCTTCCACCAGAGCTTTCTGCTTTTATTTGGTTTCCACGGCGGGTGGGGATGAGGGGGCTGTGAGAGTTGTTGTGGCAGAGGGTCTCAGCTGTTGAAAATGAAGCCATGTCACACTGCAGGACTTTCTTCTCTAGGATGGGTGACACATTTACATTCCGATTCCCAACCCAGGGCCTCTAGTGAGCAGCAGATCAAGGACAGCAATTGAGTTTCATCTTCTAGAGCAACCCGGGCTTCGAGGAGGACTGTGATGAATTCCTATGTCCACCCGGGGACAGCGAGGCATTCAGGACAGGCAGCGCCGTGCAAAGGTGCCCTGTGTGTGCCCTCCTGGCAGGAGATGAGTCATGAAAACGTCTTGAGTGTGTGAAGGCAGGAGGGGCCGAATGCCCTGTGGTGCACTGCTAGGCGACACGGCAGGATGGGGCCATCTCAGACTTTCACTAGTGGGAGTTCCCACTGGGGTGAGGCTGACCCCACAGGAGAATGACACAGAAGAGACTGCAGCCCCTTCTCACATGACCTCAGCTCCGCGGGGCCACTGGCTCCCGCCCCTCTCTGCAGCAGAGGGTCTCACCCAGACGGAACCTCCTGGAACCACCAGCTTCACCCCTCCCTCGTCTCCACTGCCACACCCTTGCTGGGCTGGACTCTGCCTCCGACCCGTGTTGTGGCTGCGTGTGTGATGCCTCATCTCCCCGTGGGGCCAAGGCCTCCCGGCGGCAGCACCCACACCAGACAGGAGACAGCCGGGGACGCTCAGGCCAGCAGCATCTGCGTCCTGGGGACCAGGTCAGCATGCAGGTGCTGGGGCCCCCACCTAGACATGATGAGACAAAGTCTGGGGCGTGGGGCCTGACCACCATTTCTACAAGCCCTCCAGGCACCTGGAGAGCCTCGAAGGCTCCGAACACTGGGCGCATCCCAAACAATGATGTCACATGGCCGAGGAGGGTATCCATCCTGTGCCTTAGAACCCATGGTGACTCCACCCTGGGCTGAGTCCCAGCTCCCCCTCTCCCAGCCCAGGGCCGGGGCCAGTCCCCTTAGCAGTGCAGGACCTCAGTCTCTCCGAGCTCCACACCTCCCGCCCCGTTTTCCAGGAAAACCCACTTCCCTTCCCTGCAGAGCTGCTCTCCGGGGAAGGGCCCGGCACTCCGCGGAGGACACCGCAAACCGTTTCTCACTTCACGCGGCCTGACAAGCCCTGCCGGCCGGGGCGGGTGAGGACAGTGCCAGCTGCCCTACAACTCCCTCGCATCTCTCGACTGTGATAGTGGCAGGAGCCCGCCCGGGGCCAGTCACTCCTCAGCCCACGTGGTGCGGCCGCTCTCATGCTCCAGTGGAGGGTTGGCCCTGGGGCTGTGGGCGCCTGAGCCAGCCATTCATCAGCTTCACTCTCCAGGGCGGCAGACTCTCTTCCCTCCTTTTTTTCCTTTTTTTTTTCCCCAAATTCTAAGTCCATTGAGAAAGCACAGCTCCAGGCCCTGCAGCCCAGAATGCAGGCTCATCCTCCATCCTCTGATGACCAAAAATACTGTGTAGCCTCCCACCTCCAAGGGTCGCACCAGTGAGCTCACAAACACACCTGCCTCCCATGCCTGTCACAGCAGGGCTGGGGGAGGATGACACCAATGGAGATGGTGCAACCACAGGCCCGGCCCCACGCCGAGGCCACTACAGGGAGCAGGGAGCCCCGCCCCCCTTCAGCAGGGAACCCAGCCCAGAGAGGGGAGGCGACCGGCCTGGGGCACTCAGCCACGACAGCCCAGGCTGGATGTGGGTCTGCGGGTCTCAGAGGCAAGGGTGAGACGCCAGTTCCTAGTGCCCCTTTGAGGCCTGACACCTCCTCTCTTGGACACTTTAAGTTCCAGTGACCTGGAGACCTCCACCTAGGCGCACCTGTGCAGCCGTACACCCTGGCTCCACAGGTGCGCATGGACGTGCTGGCTGTGCACAGCGGTGAGGAGGCCGTGAGTGGTGTGCAGAGCCGTGTGTGTGGACAGCAGGACATGGCGGGTGAGCCAGTCCCTTTCTCACAAAGGAGCTACGATCCAAGACCCCAGTTGTGCGCATGCGGAAGCAGGAACCACCTCCCTCCCCGCGACGCCCGCTCGGGCGAAGGGACGGAGTCAGCTCGGACTCCGCCAGTGCAGAAGGCAAGCCGCAACCTGCCAGGGAGCATGGGCTGCTGGGCCTCAAAGGCTGTCGGGGGGTTGGCAGGGGGTGGGCTCCGTCAGTTTCACAGCTGCACCAGCCTGCAAACCCATCCTTTCCCTCTCACTCCCTCCACCCGTCTGTCTGTCCTTCTGTCCATTAAGTAAAATGCCTCCCCAGGAGACACAGGGATGCTGGCCATGCCAAGGCTGGCTGGCCAGCGTCCCAAGGGCTGGGGACTCAGTAGGAGCCGTGCCCACCCCACCCTGGCCCCGGCTCCTTTGCATGGGTCTCAGGTCTCGCCCTCCCGGCCCAGCCCCTGGGCTTTCACCCCAGCATGATGCCCACTTATACGTAGGCATCTCCCCCAGCAATGCTCCACAGAGCCCCTGGGCCCCCCAAAACCCCAGGAAGAGGTTGGATGCCCCAGGAAGGGAGCTGTTACCACCTAAGCTTCACAGGCCTTCAGAGATTAGAAGTTGAGGTCCAGAGAGGCTGACAACCTGCCTTGGAGCAGCTCCTCACCTGTGCTGCCCCCAGCCCTGTCCATGCCACCTGGGCTCCTTAATGGGAACCCGCTTCTCTTAATGTCTAGGGGAATTCGTCTGAAAACTATCTCAGGTCGCAGGTCCCCCCAGTCCTACAGACATCCACCCAGTGCCAAGGCTGTGAAATAAGCTCAGTCCTGCAGGGCACTGTCCACTAAGTCCTCGAGCTGCTGAGAACTCATGAACCAATGAACTCATGAACCAATCTGCAGGTCACACGGAAGCTGCCACGAGCTTCCTCAATTCCGTGACGCCGCTGTCCCCCAGCCCCCAAAACTGCTTCTTGTCCACTAGGGTCAAAAAAGCAACTATACAAAATAGAAAGGGTCGAAAAACAAAACACAGAGGAAAGAAATTCACCAAAATGCCAAGGAGAGCGCTCGGCCGATCCATCAGACCAGAGCTAATGCTGCTTTCTCCCTTCTCAGTGTTATTTATTTTCCTGTGGAACAAGTATTACATTTATGATGGAAAAAATAACTACTGATTCTAATTTGTTCTTAAAACCCCAGATGAGTAGTCACACGTGGGCTGCTGTTTATTTCCCTGCCTGAACATTTCTGAGGGAGCAGGGAGGGGCAAACAGCGAGTTTGGACCTCGGTGTCAGGTAGTAATTCCATGTTTCTTTCAGCTTCTTGGAATCGATCTTGATTCCCTCTAAAACAATAGAAGTCGCGAGCAACATATTCTGCCAACAAACCGCAGCCACCATTTTTGTTTTTCACTATAGATCAAAGGTCACTGAAAATCAGAACCAAATGGGCTGAACTTTAATTAGCGACAGGTCGGGAAGGGCTGAGCCGCACCCAGGCTGGGAGCTTTCCTGGAGGAACTCCAGGTCTGCCCCTGGCTGAGAACACAAAGCCATCCAGAAAGACGCAGGGGAACGTGCCCTGGGAAGCCTCCTGCCTGGGCAGCCCATGGACTCCCCCGCAGCTCCCAGATCCCTGCCCCAAGACTCTCCGGGCTACCCCAAGGGCCCTCGTCTGGCCCAGGAAAGCAAATGCCGGTGGAAAGCAAAGGCTCTGGGTTTTCTGAAATGCCTTCCCAAGTCTTGACAAAGCCCTTTAGTAACCTCAGTTACTTTAGAACCCAAATGCCTACCTGTGGGGCCCGTGGCTTTCCACAGGGGAACTTCCTCCAACCTGCAGCAGGTGGCTCCTGCCAGCCACAGCTTGGCGGGGACCAGCCCCTGGCTCACACACTCACCTCCACAGGAGCCAGACCCTGGGCACCTTCCTCCAGCCCTAAAGGCCCCATCCTGCACCCACCCCTAAAGGTACCCAAAAGCCACGTCGATCCCACCCACAGTCACCTCTGGACCCATTCCTTAGGGCCTAGAGGCCCCACTGGACCCCAAATTCCGTAAGTCATGCAGCCGATTCAGAACAGCGGCTGCCCCCAAAGCACCAGGCCTGCATGAGCCCCTTGCCAGGCACTCGGAATTGGCCTCCCAACTGCTGCCATCTCCCAGGGTCCCGGAAGAATCTAGATCGCAGGTCTGGGTAGCTGAGGCAGCTCCTAGCCACCTCCCACAGCCCTGCAGTGCTGGACCTGCCACCCCCACCTGGTGGTGTCACCCCTACTAGCTAGCACAGCAGCACTCCAATGCATTGTACTAACGGAACAGACCACCTTCTTTATTCACCAATATTTTACACTAAACATCAGCATATAGAACAAAGAGACACTGCTCAGTTTAAGGAGGCTGTAGGCCTCTACACCCCCACAAATCAACCATTCCTCTGCACCAATCCTGACCACAGTCACCTCTGAGAACCTCCAGGGAACCCTAGGGTTCCATGGGGGCATAGTTTGAGAAACACCAGTGTAGGCCTCAAACTGGGCCTAGCCCAAGGCCTTGAGCGACAGCAGGACTGAACAGACTGGGCTCACAAACACCTTCTGGGCACCAAGAAGGGCCCCCCGCCCCCTCGCCCTCCTACCTGGAAGCCGCGATCTCAGCCTTCTGCTTGGCGATGGTGGCGGCCCGCTCAGCGGCCTCAACGGCGCGGTCCACCTTCTCGCGGATCTTGCTGGCCCGCAGGGGGATGAGGTTCTTGCGCTTGCCGCCGACGAGGATGTTCTGCTTGTACTTGCCCTCCTCCTTGGTGCCGTCCGGGAAGGTCATGCAGCCGTAGCCATGGCGCCGGTTGCTGGCCCACTCGCCCTCGTACTTGAGCCCGTCCGAGCGCTGGCTCACGCCGAAGCCGGAGCGTTTGTCGTTCTTCCACTCGCCCACGTAGGTCTCGGTGGTGGTGGCGTCGATGTCGTCCTCGATGACCGCCAGCTCGGCCTCAGCCTCGCCCAGGCTGATGGTGGAGTGGATGTCGCTGGCCGTG
The DNA here is from genome assembly GCF_000001405.40 of Homo sapiens. NCBI lineage: Eukaryota > Metazoa > Chordata > Mammalia > Primates > Hominidae > Homo > Homo sapiens. Next base: position 87,644,639 of record NC_000016.10, on the reverse strand, counting down.
GAGCTGACGGTGCTCATGCCCGCCTCGCTGCGAAAGGAGCTCTGCTTGCTGCGTTGGCTGGCCAGGCTGCTCTTGGACTCCGACTTGCGCAGCTTCAGCCCACTCAGCAGCGAGCGCCGAAACAGCCCCTTCTTCTTGCTCTTGAGGATCTCGGAGTCACTGTGGGCCACGAGCACGAAGCCCCCGCGGGACACGGCCGGGCTGCCGGCCACCGCCGGAGAGGCGTCGGGATGCAGCGCCGTGCCGTTGGTGTGCTCGCTGCGCAGGGAGTTGATGGACGTCCTCAGGGGTGAGCGGATGACCGCGGCCATGCCATACGGGACGCTCTGCCGGACGCCGTAGCCCTGGCGCATGCCACCGACCCACTGGCCCTGGTAGGTCCCTGGGGAGAAAATGAGAGAGGGGTGAGTGCCCAGCGACAGAGGAGGGGGCACAGCCTGGCCACGGACAGGGTTGAAGCAGCCACAGTCCTGTCTGAGCTTCCTGTTGTTTTGTGTTTTTTGAGACAGGTTCTCGCTGTGTTGCCCAGGCTGGAGTGCAGTGAGACCATCACAGCTCACGACAGCCAGGAACCCCTGGGCTCAGGCGATCCTCCTGCCTCAGCCTCCTGCGCAGCTGGGACTACAGGCGTGCACCACCATGCTCCACTACTTTGTAAATTATTTGTAGAGATGGCAGTCTCATTATGTTGGCCAGGCTGGTTTCTAACTCATGGGCTCAAGTGATCCTGCCTCAGCCTCCAGAAGTGCTGTGATTACAGTCATGAGCCACACCACTCCTGGTGTGCTATCTTGATGAAACCTGGTGAGGTTTGCGTGGAGGCAGACAGACCATGGTACCTTCCTACAACTTCTATCACCAGTGGCTGTTTTTGAAGACACCTCCATCCTGCTTCTCATGGCTAGATCTTGTTCTCTCTTGGAAATCGGGGAGGGAGAAGGGAGGCATCAGAGTCTGTGGTGCAGAGTGAGGACCACAGAACCCAGAGTGAATACGGAGCCCCTGCCAAGGGCACAAGGAAACGCGTCCTGGGTTAGGAGGCTAATGAGTGGCAGCTACAGGGACACAGGTGTGGGCTACACACTAAGCCCTGAATGGGCTGCTCTGGGAGACAGTGAGCTCCCCATTGCTGGAGGTATCCAGGAAGACCACACAGTGGACACACCATGGAAGAGATTCAAGGGCATAGGGAAGGGACAGTGGCCCATGACCTTCAGACATAAAATCAGCAGACCTGATATCCCCAGAAGAAGGGAGGGTGGGGACTGCAGCAGCTGCCTGTGCACCTGGGTTCTCAGCAGCACTGTTTCCATGGCTGGAAAGGGAAAGGCAACCCACAAGTCCATCACCTGGTAAATGGACAGACGCCATGCGGTCCGTCCATACGATGGAACATCATTCAGCCTTGAAAAGGTAGAACATTCTCACACAGGCTGCAATGTGGATGAACGCTGAAGACATTACACAGAGTGAACTGAGCTGGGCACAAAAGGCCACATATCGGATGATTCCATGTACACGGGGTCCTTAGAGTAGTCACGCTCAGAGATGCAGAAAGCGCGGTGGGTGCAGGGGCTGGGGAGGGTTGTGGGGTCAGTGTTGAATAGGGACAGAGTTTTGCAGTAGGATGATGGGAAAGCCTTGGAGGTAAACAGTGATGACAGCTACCTAACACCGTGAAGGTAATTAATACCACTGAATTGTATACTTAAAAGTAGCTAACGTGGTACATTCTGTATTTCTCTTACCACAATAAAATAAAAAGGAAACCCGGTCAGCAGACCTGGGCCCATGTCTTGCTCTGTGAGCTGTGACTCAGGGAAGTTTCTGGGCCCCGCTGGCCCTCAGTGTCCTCGTCTGTAGAGTGGAACCAGGACTCCTCATGCCAAAGGTCACCGTGAGGACGGCTGGGCCTCAGCACGACGCCCAACGCGGCAAACCTCAAGCCTCATTTGTCATTTGAGCTTCTCCCTGCAGCCGGGCACTAACGGCGTGGATGTGCCACCCTGGAAAGGGCTTTTGCGGGGAGAACAGAGTCCGTCCACCACTCTTCCAACTCACGGTGGCACAGGCTGCAGACCAGAGGCCTGGAGGCCGAGACTTACTGATACGTAGGTTTTATTCGTCCCACCGCTGTTTTCATAAAACATTGGAATTACCTGCTAACAACTCAAAACCAAGAGATTTGACATAAAAATTCAGCTCTCTTCTGTCTCCTGAAAAATGAGGACCTGGCCACCCCGACCTCTCTTTTCAGAGGACAAAATGGACAGGAGCTGGCAGCAGCTGCTCCTGTTCTGCCAGTCACTTTTTAAACGGAGAGGCTGCAGCGGGTGGCAGGTGCCGCCATCTCTCGGAGCGAAGCAGCCCTCCACTCCCCACTGCCCCCCCCCTTTCCCTAGCCAGGCCCCCTCCACTCACACGCCCCACACCAGAGGGTGGGATCCAAACTAAGTGTGGAATTCAAAGTCCTGTAGCCTCAAGTGACCTGTCCGTCCCCAGGGTATCCCCACACCCCGCCACCTTCACCCGCCACCCCCCAAAGGGTCCTGATCCTTCCAGGCTTTTCTGTCCAAGGCTCTGTTCACGCTCTCTCCTCTCTCACACTCCCACCCTCCAATCGAATCCCATGGGCTCCAAGCCAGCCCCACCCCTCCTCCACAGCACCTCCAAGCACCCCAGGGCCCGGGCCCAGAGCCCCCATGCCCGGCACCCGCGGCATCCAGACTCAGGACAGTGGCTGGGGTCTTAGATGTTCCAGAATGTATCTTCCAGCTCAACCACATCACGAGCCCCCAGAGGGACTTGTGTTGCAGGCCCCTCACGCCCCATGTGGCATATGGCCCAGCCAGGGCAGAGAAGGGGCGTGCAAAGATCACCAATCAGGCTGCAGCCCCGGACAGAGCCCCTGAGGCTGCCTCACTCCAAGAGATGGTGGCACCTGCCACACGCTGCAGCCTCTCCGTTGAAAAAGGAATCGGCAACGCAGCCTCTGAGGGCAGCTTCTCCAGGAGCAGAGCCTGAGCTGGGGATCCTGTGAACGTGACTTATTTGGGGCTGGAGAAGGGGGGTACCAGGAAGAAGGACGTGGCAGCAGAGGACGGGGCCGAATGAGGTGGTCTCAGCGAGAGGTCAGCTTCAGCCTCGTCCCACTTTCAGGCAAGGGGATAGGATGTTTGGGATCCCACACTGGTCGGTCATTCTGTACCCCCAAAGCTGCTTGGGGAGGCAGCTAACCTGGAGGCAAGTCCACTGCCATCAACGTCGGAAACAACCTCACTGCCATCAACATCAGAAGCAACCTCACTGCCATCAACATCAAAAGCAACCTCCGACTCCAGTGATGGGGCTCCTGCCCTCCCACCCACTAGGCTGTGGCACCTTCTCCTACAGGATGCCAAGAGCCGGGCAAGCAGGGATGTATGTGGACCGGACCCCAGGGACCCCACAACACCACTGCACACCTTTCCAGAGTGTCAGCCTCAGCCTCTTGCCCAGAGGTCCCAGCACTGGGGGCAGTTGTGATGGGCACGGGGAGGAGGCAGAGGGGGCAGCTGACTCGGAACCACCCGGCACCCCAATGCGAACCACACTGGGGGGAAACCCTGTGGCTTGCTCCACACCCGAACGCCCTTCCAGGCTGGGGTTGTGAGGAGGAAACTGGAACTAGGCTCGGTGGGTCTCAGGGGGTGGCCCTTTACCAAGGCCAGACCCGCCCACACAGTGGCCTTCCCATGGCCAGTCCAAGCTGGACACAGGCTGCCATCACAGGGACCCTCACCCCAAGACTGCACCCTCAGCGACTGCCCCTTCCGTGCCAGGGCTGTGGACAGGGTTGTCACATCAAACACAGGACGCCTGGTAACATCTGAGTTTCAGATGAACAACACATCGTTCTTTAGGGGACACGCTGCATGGGACATACTTATATTTAAAAAGCGTTTGTTGGCTGGGTGGGGTGGCTCATGCTTGTAATCCCAGCACTTTGGGAGGCCGAGGCGAGCAGATCACCTGAAGTCAGGAGTTAGAGACCACGCTGGCCAACATAGTGAAATCCTGTCTCTACTAAAAATACAAAAAAACTAGCTAGGCATGGTGATGGGTGCCTGTAATCCCAGGTACTCAAGAGGCTGAGGCAGGAGGATCACTTGAACCTGGGAGGTGGAGGTTACAGTGAGCACAGATCATGCCACTGCACTCCAGCCTGGGCGACAGAGCAAGACTCTGTCTCTAAACAAATACATAAATAAAAATAAAAAGCATTTGTCGATTACCTGGCATGCACAGGTAACCGGACAACCCTTTTTTTTTTGAGATGGAGTCTTGCTCTGTCGCCAGGCTAGAGTGCAGTAGCGCGATCTCAGCTCACTGTAACCTTTGCCTCCCAGGTTCAATCGATTCTCCTGCCTCAGCCTCCTGAGTAGCTGGGACTACAGGCATGCACCACCACACCCAGCTAATTTTTTTCTGTTTTTAGTAGAGACAGGGTTTCACCATGTTGGCCAGGATGGTCTCAATCTCTGGACCTCATGATCCGCCCACCTCAACCTCCCAAAGTGCTTGTTAAATTGGGCCCCCCCTCAGCTGGAACTCCAGGAAGGTGGGCTGCCCCCGCAAAGTGGAGGATGACCCTGGAAAGAGGAGAGGCTCACCCACTCCCTGAGATCCCTCCTCCATCAAGGGATGCTCCAGCTTACAGATACAGATGGGAACAAGAGCTGAAAAGTGAAGGCATCGGGGATAAAATGACGTGGTCCCCCCATGCAGTGGAATATTCCTCAGCCTTAAAAAGGAAGGAAAGCCGGGCACCTGCTGCTTCCTGGATGAGCCTTGAGGCCGTCATGCAGTGGAATAAGCCAGGCTGGAAGGGACAAATCCTGTGGGATTCTACTCTCCTGGGGTCCCTGGAGTCATCAGACTCATAGACACAGAAAGTAGAACGGAGGGTGCGAGGGGCCAGGAGGGAGGACAGGAGGGAGGACAGGCGGGAGGACAGGCGGGAGGCCAGGAGGGAGGCCAGGAGGGAGGACAGGAGGGAGGACAGGCAGTGAGCATTTAGTGGGACAGAGTTTCGGTTTGGGAAGATGAGAAAGTTCTGGAGATGGAAAAGTTCTGGTGACGGTTGAACAGCGTGAATGTGCTTAATGCCACAGAACGGCACACGTGAAGATGACTGAGACGGGACACTGTAGGTTATGTGTATTTTTCCCTCAACGTTTAAAGTGAAGGTGCCCAGTTTGCCCACCAGGAGCTTCATGCAGGGTCTGGTGGAGCCATGAGGTGCGGAAGGCTCTGGGGTCAGGAAGGGGCTAGGAGGCCTCAGACAGACTTGAGTTCGAATCCCAACTCAACACTTTCTCAATCTACAACCTTGGGAATGTCTGGGTTAACCTCTCTCTGACTCAGTCTCCTCATCTGCAACGAGGGGAGGGCGGCTGTGCAGATCACAGGGTAACTGCCTTAAGGTGCTGGAAAGTCGCTAATGCTCGATTGATGGTAACTATTATGATCATCGCAAAAGCCCTGCACCTCTCTTCCCAGGTGAGGCAACTGAGGCTGGAGAGGGGCTGTGGCCGCCCTAGGAACACACAGCCAGGAAGCGGAAGCGGCAGCGTTAGAACCCAGGGCTGTCACCTGAGGCAGAGTCTGGATCCAGGTTCACCTGTCCTCCCCAGGTGCCAAGGCTACCCTCCGTCCTGGGCCCACTGCAAAGGCACCAGGCTGGGGGCCACACTTCACATCCTGAGAGATTCGTAGGCAGATCCCTGCTTCTTCCCTTGGATAGAGGGTGACGCCAGGCTGGGGTCAGGAAGGGGGACTGGGGCACCTTCGCTGTGTCCTGTCCCTGAATTCTCAGCACTCTATGGCTGGATGTTGTCGTTCCCATTCTACAGGAGGGGAAGCAGAGAAGCCTCTCTACAGACATGGAGACCAGAGGCCAACACTGGCTCATTCTCAGCAGGTGAGCAGAGCAGGGACCCCGGGTCCCGGTACTCCTCACTCTCCTCACTCCCCAAGCCCTGCCATGAACCAAGCCGACCCACCTCAGCCCTGCCCCTGTCCCCTCCTACCTAACCCTTGTCCTCAGAGGGGAGCCAGGAGCCCTCATGTTCACTGTTCCGGCACAATTCTTGAGGCCGCCCCTTCAAGTGCTCTGTACAGTCCTGGTCTGTGGATCATGGTGGTCGCTCCTGTGTCTCCCCAGTAGCCTCTGGCGTTCCGGCCATGAACAGCACCCCCACCCTGTGCTCCACGGTCCAGGCACTTAGGTGTCCAGTGAACGTGTCTGTTCACCAGCAAAGGGCTGGAGCAAACACAAAACACAGCTGAGACAGGAGAATCATTTGAGGCCAGGAGTTCAAAGCCAGCCTGGGCAACATAGTGAGACCCCATCTCATTAAAAATTAAAATTTTAAAAGGAGGCCGGGTGTGGTGGCTCATGCCTATAATCTCAGCACTTTGGGAGGCCAGGCAGGTAGATCACCTGAGGTCAGGAGTTCGAGACCAGCCTGGCCAATATGGTGAAACCTCATCTTCACTAAAACTATAAAAATTAGCAGGGCATGGTGGCGGGCACCTGTAGTCCCAGCTACTGGGGAGGCAGAGGCAGGAGAATTGCTTGAACCCAGGAGGCAGAGGCTGCTGCAGTGAGCCAAGATTGTGCCACTGCACTCCAGTCTGGGCAACAAGAGTGAAACCCCATCTCAAAAAAAAATTTTTTTTTTAAAGAAAAACACAAAACAGCACTGCTCTGACAACACAGAACACCAGCAGCCCCCGCACGGGGTGCTGGTCACACCCCCAACTGGAGCTCGGCATGGGAACACCACCCAGGAGGCCAGCATCTGGAATCCTTGAGCAAGAAGCCAACCCCGGGGGCACAGGGAGTCTGCTTTCCCTCGACATTCGCCCAGGGCACCACGAGGCGGAATGGCCTTCAAGCATAGACTCCAGTGGTGGCTGTTATCCCAGGGTTGTCCCCGAGAAAGTCCCAGATCTGGAAAGGAGAGCAGAAGGGCCTGTGAGTCACTAGGGTCTCACCCAGCTTTGTCTTTACAACTTCGGACTCCACGTCAGCGCAGCACGTGACTGGGTCCCATGACTCCGGGGGTCAGAGACATGCACACAGGACACACTTCAGGCCCAACACCGGCGCAAAATGAGAACAGACCCCGTACCACAAGCCTTCATTTAAAACACACACACACACACACACAAACACACACACTCTCTCTCTCTCTCTCTCTCCCCCATAACATGAACAGGTAAATCCAGAGACAGACGGATGATGGCCGGGGAGGAGCAGGAATGGCTGCTCACAGGGCTGGGGTTTTGGGGTGATGAAAGTGGCCTGCAACCTGATAGAGCTGATGATCAGAACCCCGTGAATGTGCTAGTGCCACTGAATTGCATATTGTAAAATGTGAATTTTATACTATGCCAATAAAACAACGTAGTGAGGTGAGGGTAGCAGAGCAGGGGGCGGAAGCACAGCGAAATAAAAATACAGATGTAAGATTTCCGACTCCTAAGATAAAAGAACGGCTGGTCAAATCCTAGGGGCTTTGAGAACACAGTCAGGGACCCAGGATCTCGCAGCAAACTCCCGTGGCCGACAGGGCCTTGTGGAGGCCTGACCCCCGTCATGCTGGAGCCTGGCCGGCAGTGCTGGGGAGCGTGTGGACCTGAAACCAGGCAGCCGCGTCCAGGCCCCACTGCGCTGCGCGTACTATGGCCGGGGAAGGTCAGTCACATCTCGGAGCTGAGTTAGTTTCCACACCTGTAAGATAGGGTGACAATCGCACCCACCTCTAGGTTTAAGCGACGCATGAACTGACGGAGCTCTGGCCATGCCTCCCGGCACAGTGTAATGAGGGTCGCCGGAGTCTTTCCTGCCCCGTGTTTGCAACTGCACGGTGTTGGATTTTTGCCCCTGGTGGGAACATAGCTCTGATTTTATAACTGATATCAGTAAGAAAAGGGGTTTGGCTACACGAAAGCACACGGCCTTCAGTTCTGCCGTGACTGCCTGCGTAGCCTGACCTCATCACCCCACAGCAGAGGGCACCAAAGCGCCGGGAACAGGCAGTGAGGGACAGGGCTTCCCCCAGACGGGAGCTCTGCGGGCTGGGCCTCCACGCTCGCCGCAGTTGCTCCTCTCCCTCGCTCCCTCGGTTGCTCAATAAAGCGACAGCCACTGTGACGGAGCTATTGAGCGCACACGCCTGCACCATCAGCTCGGCCACCCCCAGCCCTTTGCATTTATGCTTGATTAAGTAAACAAAAAGTCTGGGCTCAGTTCCTTGGCTGTGCCAGCAACACCCTAGTGCTTGGCGGCCAACCGCGGCTGAGGGCAACTGAGCTGAACGGCGCAGATGCAGGACGCCCCCGCCCCCACCCCACCCCAGGGCACGTGGTGGAGGCCTCTCCCAAGGTCAAGATCCAAGGCTGTGGGGGGCAAACCCAAGCCGCTGATTCCCAAAGCCTGTCCCATCGAACCTAACTGGTCACCTGCAGAACAGGCGGCTTGTGTGCATGAAGACAGGACCCAGTGTCGGGGGGACAAAGCTGCCCCGCAAGCTGCCCATCTCTGTGGGCCGCCGCGAGGGTCTGGCTCGGTCAGCACGGCCCCCAGAGCTAGATAATGTCCTGTCTGCTCCAGTTGCCCTGGCCCTGGGGCCCCGGAAGACACCCCAGAGGAAGGTGGGTTCGCAGGGTGCCCTGCTTCCTTCCAGACCCTCTCAGGAGGGTGTGGCTGCAGTGGATGTCGGTGCTGCCTCCGCACACAGGAGCCCCCGGCTCTGCTGCAGCCACCTCACCCACCGATGGCCCAAACACTGAGAGAGGAAGTCGGAAGACGTGGGTGGACCCCAGCTGAGGAACAAACCCCCTAAACCTTGCCCGTGAAACGCCGACTAGAACCACCACAGACTCGCAGAGAGCGGATGAGATGAGGCCGCCAGCAGGTGTCACTCGAGCCACAGCTGCGTCCCCACAGGGCTGTACCCCTCCCTTCCTGTTCTGCCAGGCTGGCATGGCCTGAGAAGCTGCATTCCTAATGCTCAAGGGACCCTGCTCGGAGATCCGCTGGGACAGTCACTCAGCGCCTGGCCTGCTTGGTCAGCAGCATTGTCTGGGTCCGAAAGCCAGAGCCCTGGGCCAGCACAGCCCCTCAGCCGGCCTTGTGGGTAAGTATGGCTGGCAGGCTCTTGCTGCTGCCTGTCTCTCACCAGGGCCTGCACATCTCACACCCTTGTTTCTTTTCCTCCTCTGAAGCCCCACCCGTCAGCTGACACTCTTCCCAAAACTTTAGTTTCGGAGCCCGGGGTCCCAGCTGGAGAGAGCGCAGCCCTCACCAGGTGCTCCACCTCCTCAGGGCCATGGACAGATGCCCCAGGTCAACACCTCCAAAGAGCACCTGAGAGGTCCCAGGGTGGGGCAAGGTGAACGCTTTGCTGGGAGGAGCAAGGAGCCCACTAAAGACCTGAGCTCATGGCCACAGCCCTGCCCAGGAGACACTCACTCATGTGCGGCCCCGACCCATGAGTTCTGGCAGGCAAAAGCCCCCACCCAGGCTCCCACTACTGTCCCAGAGTCCAGTGGAGGGAAAAGGGGAAACATTTCCATGGCTCCATGCAGGCGGAGGTCACCTTTCATCCACACACTACCCCGGGAGCTCAGCACTCTTACTGTGTCCACTTAAAGAAGGAAACTGAGGCAGAGACAGGTAAAATAACCCCAGTGTCACCCAGCTAGAGCGGGACTGAAACCTACGCTGAGCTGATCCGAAGCCCACACAGAGCGTCTCTCAGCCAGTCCCATGCTGTGCCTGCCCACTCGGGGCTGAGGCCCAACCCCAAAGCCCGTCCTCTCCCACCCTGGCGGGTCACAGCCTCCGTTCTGGACTGGACCACTGATTCACTCTGGCCCGCCTCACCTGCCTCCTATAGGGCCCGTTTCCCATGGGTGGGCACGGGCCAGAGCCCCCCTCCCGTCACAGCTTACCAAATCCCAATTAGATCCACCAGCCTGGGCCTGGGGCAGGGGAGCCCAAGGTGGTGGCTCTGCGGCTGGGAGGAGACGAAGCCTGCAGGGACCCCTTCCCACCTGGAGGCAGGGACGCAGAGAAGCCAACCCGCAGAGAAAGGAAGAAACAGGCACCACTGGGAAGGCGGCCAGGCCTCCACCCTGAGGGAACTCAGAAGTGGCTCCTGTGGGCTTCCGATGGCCTCCCCATTCCCGGCTCTGACACCCCTCAGGCTGGCCCATATCGACCAGCACCCATCTTCCACTTGAGCCGCTTTGGCTGGGTTTCTGTCCCCTATACCCACTCTCTGCCCAGGATGCCCCGGAACAGACCCCTGTCTTTGGGGTCTTCGCCTGTTGTGCCCCCTCTGGGACCCTCACAGATCAGGGACCAGACCCTGGGCACAGGTCCAACGTGACAGTGAGAGCCCTGCGCTGGCCAACAGACGGCATTCACAAAGCTCCAGGGCTTTCTCCACGGGTGGCCCCCATGCCCCGTGCCTGTCCCTCCTGCCTCTCTGCACCCACTTTGTCCCCGGCTGCACGGAGCCCCATTCATTGCACGGCCGTTTCACAAGCACATAAATTACAAGCTAATCCTATGCCGCAAGGTATTCGGGTCGCTCCTCCGTTTTCACAGCTAATCTTCATATGACATTAAAATTTATCCTTAGGATAAATTCCTAGAATGAAATTGCTTGGTCAAAAGCAAGGGTTTGGGGTTATGGTTTTTCAGAAATTACCCTCAGAAAAGACTATAAGAGAGACCATGTCCCCTACATCGTTACTACCAACACCAGATTTTTTTTATTTTTCGCAATGGAGTCTCATTCTGTCGCCCAGGCTGGAGTGCAGTGTGTGATCTTGGCTCCCTGCAACCTCCGCCTCCCAGGTTTAAGCGATTCTCCTGCCTCAGACTCCCGAGTAGCTGGTACTACAGGCGCCCGCCACCACACCCAGCTAATCTTTGTATTTTTACTAGAGACAGGGTTTCACCATGTTGGCCAGGCTGGTCTCAAACTGCCCTCAGGTACTCCGCCTGCCTCGGCCTCCCAAAGCACTGGAATTACAGGTGTGAGCCACCGCGCCCCGCCCATCATTTAATATATATATATATAAATTTTTTTTTTTGGTTAATCTTAGTGGAGTTCTGAATAGTTATGTCTGCCGGAATTCACTATGGGCTTAATTGCGTTTCTCCAAAATGCATATGCTGCAGTCCTACCCACCCCCACCCCCGGCATCCTCTACCACCTTAGAATGTCACCTTGTTTGGAGATAGATAAGGTCTTTAAAGAGGTGGCTGAGTTAAAAATGAAGGCACTGGGGGTCCTCATCCAATAGGCCTGGTGTCTTTCTATGAAGGGACTCAGAGGCATACAGAGGGACAAGCCCACGAAAACAAAGAACAATCAACTCTCCCAGCACCTTGACCCTGACCTTCCAGCCTTAGAACTGCAAGGAAATAAACTGTGGTTTAAGCCATGCTGTCTGTGGTATTTTGTGATGGCAGCCTGAGGACACAGAATTCTCAGTCTCTAGCGAGGTGATTAACTATATAAATAATGAAGTAAAAGGACAGGAGAAGCGTGGAGGCTCACACCTATAATCCCAGCCCTTTGGGAGGCTGAGGCAGAAGGACTGCTTGAGCCCCAGAGTTCCAGACCAGCCTGGGCAACACAGCAAGACCCTGTCTCTACCAAAATTTTTTTTTTTTTTTTGAGACAGAGTCCAGCTCTGTCGTGCAGGCTGGAGTGCAGTGGCATGATCTCAGCTCACTGCAACTTCCACCTCCCAGGTTCAAGCAATTCTGCTGTTTCAGCCTCTGGAGTAGCTGGGATTACAAGTGCACACCTCCATGCCCGGCTAATTTTTGTGTTTTTAATAGAGACAAAGTTTCACCATGTTGGCTAGGCTGGTGTCGAATTCCTGACCTCAAGTGATCCACCCGTCTTGGCCTCCCAAAGTGCTGGGATTAGAGGCGTGAGTCGCTGCACCCAGCCAAAATTTTGTTGAAATTAGTGTGTTTAGTGGTGCACACCTGTAGTCCAGCTGCTTCAGCCCAGGAGGGGCTGGAGCCCAGGAGATTGAGGCTGCGGTGATCGTGCCACTGCACTCCAGCCTGGGTGGCAGAGCAAGACTCCATCTCTTAAAGTTAGGACAAACCAAGAAAAAGGATAAAAAGCCAGATTGCTGAGAAATATAAATAATGAATGAAAGGAAGAGAGTTTTCTCTCCTTCTGCAGAACCCAGGAAGAAAAGTTTCTAGGCCAACAATCAGACAAGCCCACCAGGCAGAGGAGGGTGGGGGAGGACTGCCAGGGAAGTGCTCTTTTTTTCGTCTTTTCGCCAATGCTTCAGCAGGCACTGGGAAAGTGCTCATTCTGAACCAAAAACCCTGCTTGCTACCCCACCCAAACAGGGAGGATTACTTTATCCAGGAGAGAGGTGGAAAATTCCTCTGAAAAAACAGACTGTAGCCAGAAGCGAAGGCTGCCACACACACAAGTTTCCACTCAGCTTTTTCGTACCTCACTTTAATATATGAACAGTCAACGGTCCTCAGACACAAGGAGAAGCCTTGGCAGGGACAAAAAAGACCAAAACTTACAAATAAGTGGGAAAAAAGAGGGGGAATCAGAAAATGCAGCAGGTGGGAGAAGACATCGAGGGACCAGAATTTAAATCCTCAGAGATAAAATACAAAATGAGAATAAAATGCAATTAAAAAGGAAAGACCAGGGATAAAGAGCTTCTGGAAATTAAAAGTATAATAGCTAAAAGAAATATTTTGGTAAATAAGCTGGAAGATAAAAATCAAGAAAATCTTTCAGAAACTAGATCAAAAAAAGAGGTAGGTAGGCAAAACAGTAAGAAAATTAAAGGACTCATCCAGAACACCCGAACTCTAAACAGCAGGAGTTCTAGAAAGCAGGGAAGGAAAATGGGCAAAGATTTAAACAGGAAAGTCTCCTGGAATGGAAGGGTGTGAGCGTCCAGACTGGAGGGCTCACAGATACCACACAATGAGGGGAGAGACACCCAACCAAGATACAGTGGCATGAAATTCAGAACTCAAATGACAAAGACCCTAAATGCTTCCAGAGAAACATAAAAACAGATCACAAATGAAGGACTGAGAATCAGAACAGCATGGGCTTCTCAAGAGCAACACTGAACCTAGAAGTCAGTGGGAAACTGCACCCCCACCGCCCCAAATTATGAGCAGAAATGATTTTCAACCTAGCATACTATGCATACCAATTTATCAAATAATCAAGCCACAGAAACTATATCTTCCATGCATCCTTTCTTAGGAAGCTACTCCAGGATGTGCTCCACCCAAATGAGGGAGGAAACCATGAAAGAAGACATGAGAAGATCAAACACAGGAGAAGTGAAGGAAATACCCAGGAAAATGGGGGAAGAATTGGGAAGAAGGCAATCAATCAATAAACAAACGTATTTGTACATTTGTGTGTATTACTGAATCTGGCAGGTTTGCTCAAGTGCAAGCTGCATTTGAGAGGTGTTTCACTGAGCAGTTGGAAGGTGAAAAAAGAACCAGTGATTTAAAGAAAATTGCAACTGAAAAAAAGCGAGACAATTACTAACTCAAGTTATGCATGAGAAGTGTACAGAATCAGACTCCATTGCCTGGCTCAGCAGTAAGCAATACTTACATAGTCATAATGAAAAACACTGAGTATGGATTTAACAACAAAAAATGCAATATAGCAATATTGAGATAGCTGGGAGTGGGGAGAATGGGGGTCTAAGGGATTGAAAATCTCCATCTACTACAGTAGGAGTCAACAGATAATGGCTAAAAGTGACCATGAGCTCAGGAAGCGGCAAACACACCCACTTAAAAACATGGTGGTCAGTCTCTGAAGACACACATGATTTTTGCTCCAAGCTCTATTTTGTTTTTAGCACCAAATGTCACCTTAAACTATGGGCACATAATAGCTCAATAAGGATTAAAAATTTTAAGGAGGAGGGGAAGGAAAGATGCGTTTATGAGAAGATTCTCACAATAGTGATATTAACCTCATTTTTCCAGCCACAGAAACTAAGGCTCAGAGGGGACTCGTACGTTGTCAACGTGGGTGTGGGTGAAGACCTGAGCCTGGCCTCGATGCACAGTCCTGCTCCCCAGGGAGGACTGGCTGGGGAATGCCAGGAAGGGGCAGGTTCGTGATCTCCCCAGAAGGACAAGGGGAGAGGGGTCAGCAGAGGTGGTGTCAGAAGGTCTGCAGATGAGGGTGAGGAAGATGATTGTGGCAGGGTGGACATGCCAGAGGCCAAAAGCACCGTTTGCAGACACCATCCCCCTAGGGTGGGAGGTGCCAAGAACAGCAGCTGGCCCCAGAGGTGGGCAGCAAATAGGACCCAGGTGCGTCTTGACCCCACTCAGGTGAGAAGGGATTCGGAAGGCCAGTGCCTCCAGTGTGGGGGCTGAAGGTCCACCAATCTGTGCTGTGGGGACAAGACTCAGACAGTCAACTGAGTGGAGCAGCCACGCCCCAACTGGCTTCCAGCATGGACTCTGGGCAATGTTTTGACTTTGCTTCTTCCACTCTCCACATGGGTTCATGTGGTCTTTTTTTAACTTTTTCTTTTTAAAAAATACTTTAGAGCAGTTTTAGCTTTAGAGAAAAATAAGTGGAAAGTACAGAGAGTTCCCATATACTGTATCCCCTCGCCCCCCACTTCCCCTGATATTAGCATCTTGTGGTACATCTGTCGCAATTGATGGGCCAAGACAGATACATTATTAACCAGAGCCATGGTTTTCATCAGGGTCCACGCCTTCCATGGGTGTGCACAAAGGCATCCGGACATATACTCGCCATTAGAGTATCTCAGAGTAGTATGACTGCCCTACAAATCCCCCGGGCTCCGCCTGTCTGTCCCTCCCTCCCCCCCAACCCTGGGCAACCAATGATCTTGTCACTGTCTCCAGAGTTCCACCTCTTCCAGAACGCCATCTAGTTGGAACCCCACGGGATGTGGCCTCTTCACACGGGCTTATCCCGCTGAGCACCAGGCATTGAAGGCTGCTCCGCGTCGTCACCGCTGTTTGCTTATCCACTTCCCTATTTAATGGCATCTTCGCTGCTTCCGACTTTGGGCAATTACAAATAAAGGGAATGTCTTTTTCACATCCAAATTAAAAAAAAAAAAACCCACAAAGATGGGATGGACCAAATCTCAGAATAAAGAGCATTCTTTTAAATCAAATATACGTTATCTTTACTAAAATATACATTATCTTTACTAAAACTCCTGCATCAGCTGCCTTTTGTTTTGTAGTGGGGACAGAAAAACCTTCATGAGCCACCGCAGCAGTAGCCCAGCAGTCAGGAACCCCAGCTGCCGCGTCTGAAGGACACGGTCTGCTGGCATTTGCTGAGCACTTGTGAAATACCGAGACAGCAGCAGGCATGGAGTCACTTCCCCATGACACACAGAGGCTCAGAGAAGTGAGTCACTTGCCCAAGGCCACACAGCAACAAGAGGTGGAGACCTGGGCCCCCCCCACAGCGTTAGCCCTGGAGCCTGGAAGGAGCCTTGGAGACTCCGGACCCAGCCCTTCTGTTCACCCCCATCCCTGACATTGAGGAAGCCCCACACCCAGTAACTCTGGCTGATTTGTGGACCCAGGGCAAGGCTAAGAAGTGGGGCTCATCTGTAGACCCTACCTGACACTCTGTCCACTGGGAGCACAGTGACTCCCAATGAACATTGGGAGTGACTGAGCATCCTCCCAGCCACACCTGCTGGGGACCGACTCTGCTTTCTCTTACCCCGACCTCACCCAGGACGGCAAAGCTCTCCCACCTCCCATGAAGGCTGACGCCTCCAAGGCCACTCACCACACATCCGGGCCACGCTAGGGGTTTCCACGGGCCACTGAATCGATTCTCGCACAGCCCCGCGAGGGAGACATTAGCATGTTATTGTGCCCATTTTACAGATGCCAACACCGAGTGATGAGGTTAAGCCACTTGCCCAGGTGCTAACGTCAGGTAAGCGTCTGAGCCAGGACCCCTACAGGCATGTCTGCTTCCAAAACCCACACTCTGTAGGAATATTCTTTACTGTCACCGGGCAACAGAGCAGGCAAGGCCATCACTCACGAAGGCCAGCTCCGGCTCTGATCACGATCCGGCCCCACCCGGCCCCTCCCTCACTCACTCAGGAGGGCAGACGCCAGGGATGGGGGCTCACTCTGAAGTGCGGCAGCTAGGGAGGGCACCGCCCAAGGTGGCAGCCCTGTGCCCAGCATGGGGGCTCTGGCCCCTGAGGGCTGGCTTGTCCTGGGCCGTGGAAGGGTCCTGCTGCTCCTTCTGACCCGCCCATGCCAGCACCATCGTCTCCCAGGTGAGCAGATCAGACGCACAGGCTCAGGAGACCTGGGCGTCCTGCTGGCTTCTGATTTTTAGCCTCTTGCATGCCTTGTGGGGCCTGGGAGAGCAGGAACTGTCCCTTGCCCTTAACCCCAGCTTCCTCCCTCCTCTGTGGGGCGTGAACAGGGGAGGCAGGAACAGGACACAGCACATAAGGGTGTCCCTCCCAGTCCTGCCCCTGCCAGACCCATGATCCCCTCACTGCCTGCTGCATAGCTCTGATGTTGGGAACGCTCACCCAGGAGGTGGTGGGGCCCACAGGCTGGCCTGGCAGACAGCAGGGTTAGTGGAAACCCCTGCGAGGGGCGGGGTGGCCTGCAGGGTGCCTGGCTGATGCTGTTACCTGTGCAGAGATGGCACCTCGGGGCAGGACTGGCCCCTCTCCAAGGAGAAAACCCGCCCACCGGCATGGGTGGAAGTCGGGCAAATCTGAGCTCGGATCCTGGCTGTTAGCTTCCTAGCCACGTGACCCCAGACAGAAGTCCTTGACTTCTCTGAGCCTCACCTTCCCCATACTGTAAGATGGGGATAAAAAATCATTCCCTCCAAGCTGCAAAGGAGCACAGCAAAGGGATGAGAGCCTGGGAGCTGCAGCCAGATGCCTGGCACCAACAGCGGTCACAGTCCCTTCACTGTCCCTGCCTGTAAAACAAGGACCACAATCTCCACCTCCAAAGGCACTGGGAGGAACGGGTCTGCACTTACAAAGCATGTTAGACAACACTGGGCACGAGGCCCACCCTGTGTGTCTACTACATAAAATCCATGGGTGGTCTCAGTGGTCTAACCTGTGAGCATGCAGAGGCCTACAGAAGGTTCTGGAGACCGCTGCTGTTATCGTTACAATAGCGCCAAGACCCCCTCAAGCTGGTGGCGCCACCTGGGAACCCTGAAATGCAGGCTCTGCAGCAGATTTTCAGCTCACCCCAACAGCTGCATCAGGAACTGGGGGCTGGGGCCCCACAACGTGGGTTTAACAACCTCCAGGGGCCCTAATGCTCCTCAAGCTGAGCCACGGCTCTAGGGCAAAGAGGCTTGAGTTGGAATCACCTGGAGAACTTTGGCAACTAATGACTGGCCTCGCCCCCCGGCCCAGAGACACTGATTCAGCGGGGCTGGGGCAGGCCCGGGCTTGAGGCTTTTAAGAGCTTCCCAGGTGATTCTTATTTCAGAATCAACCACCTTTTAAAATTATCTTTTAAAAAACTTTTTTTTAATAAATAGAGATGGGGCTTCACTATGTTG
Organism: Homo sapiens; assembly: GCF_000001405.40. Classification (NCBI taxonomy): domain Eukaryota; kingdom Metazoa; phylum Chordata; class Mammalia; order Primates; family Hominidae; genus Homo; species Homo sapiens. Next base: position 87,626,952 of record NC_000016.10, on the reverse strand, counting down.
TCCAGGCTGGTCTTGAACTCCTGGCCTCAAGAGATCCTTCCACCTTGCCCTCCCCAAAGTGCTGGGATTACAGGCATGAGCCACCATGCCCTCCTCTATTTACATGATCTTTTAGGACCAACACTCTTGCTGCTGAAGAGCTGTGCCTGAGTGAAGCTCACGTCTTCTCTTGAGAATCCCTTGGTCCCAGCCAGCACCCGCTCCCGCCACTTCCCCTTGGAACATCTGCATCTCCAACCATCCCAACCTTCCCAAGGGTCAGGGTTCTGGACATGCACCACCCCATAGGCTGAGTGGCTCTGAGTGTGGCGGCCTCAGGCCGAGGACTGCGTGGCAGGGAGGCCGCCCACTCGGGGTGTGGCTTGGAGCACCGGGCTCAGGCAGGCCCATGGGCATGTGTAGCTATGAGCCGGCACCTCGGGGAAAACCTGGGCACAGGGGCCCCCACACCACTTGGAGCCTGTCTCCGGGCCCCAGGTGAAACCTCACAGGCCTCGGTCTCCTGGGCACTGGGCTCAATGGCCGTGGTGGTGCTGGGAGGAGAGCCCCAGTCCTCCTGGAGGACTCGCGGTCGGAGAGAGGCAGGCGGGTGGGAGTTGTGTGCTCAGGCTCTGTGCTAAGCCACCAGGGTACAAATCCCAGCTCCATGGTGATAACTGTGCGGCCTGGGGTAGTTAAGCAACCTCAGTCTGCACGTGTGCACAATGAAATATCACAGGATAAAAATGATTCCCACCCCACAGGGCTGCCTTGAAGACCCAGTTACTAAGCACAAAGCAATGGGAGTGGCCCCACAGACATGAGACCCCGGCCGCTGTTGCTCTTGGCACCCCCAAGGAGGCTCCTCCCCCACCAAACACCTGTTGGAGGGTAAACACCCCCGATAGCAGTAACTTACGCATACTCCAAGAACAACCTGAGCTAAGGAATCCAGGAGTGGCCAATCTGGAGATTGCCTCCTTGGCTATGAGGAACTTCTGAGCCCCTGGCCTGTCCCGTGGAACGTGCGCTGTGCAGGGGCTTGAGGCCCTGAGTTTTGGGTTGAATGAAGGTTGGCAGGTGGAGGTCATCAGGGGAGGGTATGGGGTGAACATGCCATAGGAACTTTGCGCTGTCTACAAGCCGCTGCGGTTCTCCCGTCCCTGCACTTCCCTCCCCACCCCACGGCTCGCAGTAAACCCCGGGTCTCCTTTGCTAGCCCTGGGTCACTTCTTCAGCCCTTGAACCCTGTGCTGTACCCACTGGTGTTGACAGGGGTTTGGCACAACATTCATTACAGCTTGATGAAGGCCCCCCAGGAACCCCTGTTAGATCCTCACGTCTCCCCCAGTCTGCGCTGTGAGACATAGGGCAACAGGTGGGGCCAGTCCTCCTCCTCCTCCTCGCCACTTCCTTCTTGGGACCTTGGCTGCAGTGTGCATGCTGGCCCTGCTCCTCCTGCTCAGGGGGCCCCTCTGCGAAAATGGCAAGTGACCGTGCAGCACCAAGGGCAGGGTTCAGACCTCTCAGGTGGGTGCCCAGCGGCTGATGATGGGGCTGGGCCCAGGCAGCCTGCGAGCTGCTGGGGGCTGGTGTGGAGGAGGAGAGTGACTGGCCAGGACCCCCGAGGAGGGAAACACTGAGGGTTCAGGAATGACCCACCTGCCCAGCACCGACTGTGTGCTCCAATAGTCACAGCTGTCACTGTCACCCCACTTCCTCCAAACGCAGACCTCACCATGCCCAGTGGTCAGTCGCCAGGTGGAGCCCTGGAAAAGACTTCTCAGCTTCCAGAAGTCTCTTTTTAAAAGAAGCCATGGGCCAGGTGTGCTGGCTCACAGAGTGAGACTCCGTCTTAAAAAGTATATAAAATAAGGCCAGGTGAGGCAGCTCACGCCTGTAATCCCAGCACTTTGGGAGGCCAAGGCAGGTGGATCACTTGAGGTCAGGAGTTCGAGACCAGCCTGGCCAACATGTTGATACCCTGTCTCTACTAAAAATACAAAATTAGCCGGGCATGGTGGCGCATGCCTATAATCCCAGCTACTTCGGAGGCTGAGGCAGGAGAATCCCTTGAACCCGAGAGGTGGAGGTTGCAGTGAGCCAAGATCACGCTACTGCACTCCAGCCTGGGCAACAAGAGTGAAACTCTGTCTCAAAAAATAAAATGAAATAAATAAAAACTAAAAAAAGCTGTGGGGTATGTGTTCAACAGCTCTTCTCAGAGAGTTGGGCCCAGAGCGACCCAGCCAGGCCACCCCACAATCTCCACCCAGGAGGAAACGAAAGGACGCAAATGGTCACAGCAGCACGACTCAGGATAGCCCCCAGGTGGAAACAGCCCAAAAGTGACCCAGGGCTGGCAAACAGCCCAAACCTCTGCCAGCTTTAGGCTGTTTCCACCCATGAGCCATCCTGAGTGGTGGCAGATTCACACAAAACGCGGTGCCCCGCAGTGGAATATTACTCAGCGATACGAAGAAGTGGACTCATGCAGCTCCCACGCGGGTGAACCCTGAAAACAACGCTGGGCAACAGAAGCGACACACAAAAGGCCTCTCAGCGTATGACTCCACGCATGCGAAACGTCAGGAGCAGCAAACCCACAAAGACAGAAAATGGAGTCTCGGTCACCAGGGGTGGGGAGCCGTGGGAATGGGGAAGGGGTAGCTAGCTAGAGGGTTTCTTCTTGAGACGATGAAAATGTTCTAAAATTGATTATGGTGAGAGTGACACAACTCTGAATATTCTAGAAACCACTGGACTGTACAGTTTAAATGGGTGAATTGTACGGTGTGTGAAACATATGTCAGCAAAGCTGTATTTTTTAAAAGCCAGACTTACTGGAGCCCTTTTTCTGCAATCAGGGAATGAGGGGGACCCTCCATTTGGGGAGTGACAGCGACAACCTGGCCTCTGGAGGCTGCCCCAGCCTCAGCCCTGGGGAGGGCCGCACAGTTACCCTGTCCCCTCCCAGCTGACAGGGACACACCTAGACTTCTGGGCAACGCCAAGGCCATGTTTAATGGCAACACCCTCCATTCCCATTATGGGGGCTCCATGGTGGCTCTCAAAGGAGGAGGATCTTCCAGAAAGCTTGCTCTGCGGCCTCGGGGGACCCCACAGCTGGGCATGTGGTCCCCAGGGAGGACCCCACAGTTTTCAAGCTTTGCCCCTAAACCTCCAAAGACACCCCAAAATCTGCCCAGAGGGTCCTTGTGGCCCATGCGTTGTGGGGGAGTGTTCGGGCCAGGACCAGTGCAGGACTCAGAGATGGGGCCTCAGATTTCAGGCACCACTTTGGCTCCGAAGGAGGAGAGTGAGGTGAGGGGGTCCGGAACTCGGGGTCTGCAGCTCCCAAGGGGTTCACAGAAGGAAATAGAGGTTGTTTTGTTGGGGAATGAAATTGCATCCTTATTTTCACTAAGCTTTACTTGAAATTTAACATTTCCTTAAACTAGAAGATGCCTCAAGCCCACAGTGGTACTGGCCACATCGGTGACTCTGTCACTCATGGAAACGGCATGTCCCCCACACAGCGGGAGCAAACATCCCAGGATAGGGTTACCCCAGGTCCTGCCCTGGCTGGGGAGCCCCCCATGAGCCTCACGCCCACCCTGCTGGACATCAGAGCAGCCAGCCAGGGAGGAATGAGCCAAGGACATCAGTGTCCACCCTCGCCTGCCCCTGCAGCCCTCTATGGATACTGGCTCCGAGTGTCAGCCAGGCCTTGGGGGAGGGATGCTCAAAGCAAGGAAGGTGCTGAGGTCCTTGCAGGACCACACAGCTCCCAGGAGACCAGGACGAGAGCTTGGCCCACGCTGGAACCCAGGCTGGCTGGGCAGTATCCGGGGTGGGCAGAGTGGACTCCTCCATTGAGGCCCCCACTGCTGCCTCAGAATCTGTGGGGCTGGCCTGGGAGGGGCCTGGACACTCCTGTGGCTCCCCTGCCCACAGCCGACCTCCACCAGGTCCCCCTCTGAACTTACCCCCCTGTGGGACCCAGGTAGTAGCGGCCATCGCAGAGAAGGCAAGTCCTCTGAGACCCTGGGACCCCAGGGCCCTCTCATACCCCCAATGCCTTGCCAGCCCTGGAAGGGTGACCAGAGGCTGAGTTGGGGCAGGGCACTGGCTACACCACCTCCCCAGCCCCCCAGCCCCAGCCCACGCTCCCCATCCACTCCAGGTTTAGAGCAGGACCAGGCCTCTCAGCGGCAGGGTGGGGCGGGGGGGGGTCTGATTTATCAGGAGGAGACCCTGACCATCTCTGGGGCTCCCCCAGACCCCATGCACCCTCAGCTCCTCCTGCAGGTCCCAGCCCTCAGTTCCTCATGGAACTTCTTCTGAGCCCGCCTCTGGCAGACTTCCATCCCAGCCACAGCCTCGCAGAAGGGAGAGCTCTCCTCCTACCCCAGCCACAGCCTCACAGAGGGGAGCTCTACTTCCCGGCCCTGCCACAGCTGCTGCTTCACAGGAAGGAGAGGCTGCCTGCACGCCCCTCTGCAGCCAAGGGCCACAGCACCTGGTAGTCACTGAGAAATGGGAACACAGCTGGAGACACCCTCCCACCGCCAAAGGTCAGCAGCACCCGTTCTCACTCCAGCCACTCTCTGTCCTTGCTCACGGAGGCTTGGGTGCCCCCTGGGAAGCTGACCTCAGACCCAAGCCCAGGAGGAGAGGAGGAAATGGCTGGGCTTTCTGGAAACTTCCCCTGAGCCATCACCCAAGAGTCCTGGAGACGCAGGGACGCACAGGACCAGCTGAGGCCTCGGAAGGCAGGCAGCTCTGGGGCAGACGGCGGCAGAGAGGTAGCTTGTGGGGTGGCATGCGGCTGGCTCTGAGGCATCCCCTCCACCCCAAAGGGGCCCCCCCCTGACACCTGGAGCTCCTGCCAGGCTGCGTCGTTCTTCTGTTGGATATAAACCATCTCCCAGAACACCCCAGTGACCCCAGACAAGGTCACTCTGAGATCACAGTAGAGTGAGATAGAAACAGGTCACTGTGCCACCCACGATCACCAACCATCCCCCCTCTCGACTAAGGGGAGGGGCGGCTGCTTCTTGACCCATCTCCGCATTATTTTGGTGCAGGTCTCCCATGTCTACAGGCGACAGTGACCAACGCACCCACAGGAGAATCGCCCCCTTTCCAACAGCACTTGGTCTAGTGAGCCCTACGTCCCTAGACTGTCCCCTCCCCACCACCCACCCAAACCCCAAACCCTAGTGGGGCTCTTCCCAACACCCTCTTGCCCCGTGGTTCCTGGGGGAGTGTCCACCCTCATTGCAGGGAGGAATAAACCCGGCCCTTCAACCGGAGCCTTCCGGGGGCTTGGCTGCCTGCATCCACCGTCTGAGACAGTCCCGGGTGTTTGCACAGCAATTGCTCCTGGCTGGCGGCTGTAGGTGGGTGTGTTTCTCTCAGAGGAGAATCACGAGGGGAAGCCCTGGGGCCTGGGGGGTTGGCCAACGCTCCTGAGAGCAAGAAGGCACTGGTGGGGATTCAGAAGCCCCCAGGCCCAGTCCTGTGGCCTTGGATTCACAGGGCTCAGAACCAGGCCCAGACCACCCTGAAGCCCCTTGCGCAGCCGCGGATCCCAGGTCTGGGCTGTTCCTGTCCCGAACCCCCTCCCCCGGACTCCGTCTATAGGATTTTGGAGTGGCCACCTCCTCCTGCCAGCAGCCCCTCCCGACACAGAGCAGATGGGGGCACTGGCCCTGGCACTCTGGGCCAAGTCGGGTCCAGCTGCCAGGGCGAGAAGTTAGCTGCTGACCCCTGCGCTCCAGGGGACCAGTTTCTTTTTCTTTTTCCTTTTGAGACAGAGTCTCGCTCTGTTGCCCAGGCTGGAGTGCAGTGGCACGATTTCGGCTCACTGCAACCTCCGCCTCCCGGGCTCAAGCAATTCTCCTGTCTCAGCCTCCTGAGTAGCTGGGACTACAGGCGCCCGCCACCATGCCTGGCTGATTTTTGTATTTTTTGGTAGAGATGGGGTTCCACCATGTTGGCCAAGCTGGTCTCAAACTCCTGACCTCAAGTGCTCAGGCCTCAGCCTCCCAAAGTGCTGGGATTATAGGCGCGAGCCACCGTACCCAGCCCAGGGGCCCAGTTTCTTTCGAATGCTCCTAACAGTTCCAAGAGACCTCTTCACAGGGCCAGACTGAGGCAGGCGGGCAGGGAGGCCCAGTGCCGCCCCAACAGCAGAACCGTGTGGCCTTGGGAAATTTGCCGCATCTCTGGCCTCAGTCTCCTCCTCCGGGCAGCAGGAGGACAGCGCCTCACAGGGCTGCTGTGTGGAATCCAAGGAAAGACGCAAAAAGAGCTGTGGTGTAAACGCAGGAAACAGCACCATCAAAACCTGGAAGGGAGGGGCGAGGAACAACGCACGTCCCCCCCATGGCAGGACTGACGTTCCCCCTCTGCAGCCCTTCCCCTCCCTCTCCTCACAGCCCACCCCTCTCCCTTTTCTCCTTCTTCCCCTCCCCCTCTCCCTCTCTTCTCTCCTTCTCTCCCTCTCTCTCCTTCTCTCTCTCTCTCCCTCCCCTCCCACCTCTCTGCTAACCACACCCCCATCCAGGCTCAAATGCTCCTTCCCTTTGCCCCCCGTCCCCGCTCTGGCCCGCTCTGGCCCATGACACCAGGACCCTGCCCCTATGGGTGACTCCTGGTCACTGTCGCTGCAGCCCCACCCCCCTGGCCTCTGCTGTACTCTTCCACACAGGAATGCACCATAAACTTGCTCACGATAGGTCTCTGCAGTGTGGACATAGCCACCCAGGCTCAGCCTGCGCTGGGATCCCAGTCCCCATTGCTGGCCTGAGGGACCCCAGAGCCCAGGTGACTCCCACACTTCTCCCTCCCACGCAGTACTGTGGGCTGGGACCTCTGTTTCCCAAGGGGTTTACCTCCGGCTCTTGTTTTTCTTAACAACTGGACTGGCTCTGGCACACCCAAGGGTGACGTGTGAGGGCCCTTGGGCTCCTTGCGCACTGGGTCCCAGGGTGGCCCTGTTCCTTCTGTCCCTGGTGCTCACAGATGCGCCTCCTGAAGTCTGGGAGGCCCCATGGTTCCTCCCCAACCCGCTCACCAGCCTCACTCCCTAGAAGGCATCTCCAGCCCCTTCCTTGCGCCCCATCCGTGCCCCGCAGGAAGCTGTGCAGGGCTGACTGACGGGTCCTATTCCCCCAACCAAGAAGTCCTAGGGCTCTTTGTTCACCACTGTCCCCAGGGCCAGCTTGTTGCCTAGCACACAGTCGGCGCTCAGTAGATACTTGTGTGGCCCAACATCCCCCCAGACTCCGTGGCTCCTCCCTCTGCCTGCAGCCGTCGTGGTGTCCGAGGACCGGAGCTGGTAAGCAGAGCCAGATAGTGACAGCCGGACCCCAGACCCCTCCAAGCCGCAGACTGAGATCCTGGCTTTGTCCTGTCGCCGCTTACTGAGCACCTACTGTGTGCATGGCACTGTGCCTGGTACTCTGGAGCCAAGAGACAGACACCCAGCGCAGTTTATCTCAGAAGTCCAACCTCCAACGGAGCAGGCAGCCTGCAGCCAGGTGGGCTGGGGTGCAGGGGAGCCGGTGGCTCACAGTGGTGTCTACAGCCTACGAAAATGTCACAACTCAACAGTAAGAAGACAAATAATCCTTCTTTTTTTTTTTTTTCTTAAGACAGGGTCTCGCTCTGTCACCCAGGCTGGAATGCAGTGGCGTGATCATAGCTCACGGCAGCCTTGATTTCCTGAGCTCAAGTGATACTCCTGCTTCAGCCTTCCTCATAGCTGGGACTACAGGCACCACCATGCCCAGCTAATTTTTTGCATTTTTTATAGAAATGGGGTTTTGCCATGTTGCCCAGGCTGGTGCGCAGTGCCCCCCCTTTTTTTTTTTTTTGAGACAGAGTCTTACTCTGTTGCCCAGGCTAGAGTGCAGTGGTGCAATCCTGGCTCACTGCAACCTCTGCCTCCCAGGTTCGAGTGATTCTCCTGCCTCAGCTTCCGAGTAGCTGGGATTACAGGCGCCTGCCATCACGCCCAGCTCATTTTCCCATTTTTAGTAGAGATGCAGTTTTGCCATGTTGGCCAGGCTGGTCTCAAACTCCTGGCCTCAGGTGATCTGCCCACCTCGGCCTCCCAAAGTGCTGGAATTACAGGTGTGAGCACTGCGCCCGGCCTGAAATAACCCAATTTTTAAATGGGCAAGGATCTGAACAGGCATTGCTCCAAAGATGTACCAATGGGCCGACAAGCACCTAGAGAGACTCAGCACCAGCCTCCAGGAAATCCATCCCAGAAGTGGCTGCAACCAAAAAGACAGGCGATGACAGGTGCGGATGAGGACGCAGAAACACCAGAGCCCCCATGCTGCTGGCGGGAACGAGTAAACAGTGTGGCCAGGTGGAAAAAGGCTGGGGTGGAGTTAGTGCCGAACACTGTCAGTCTGTCTCCCAGGCCTGAGCTCCACCGTCTGTAAAATGGGCACGACACATGGACGTACCTGGCCTCTCGGGGCTGTAGGACAGCAGGGACGATGGCCAATGGCCTAAGGGATGAGGTGTTTGCCACAAGGCCAGGCACAGGCCAGTGTTGTGTCCTCATCCTGCCTTTGCTCCTTTTCCCGGCCTGTCCACGCCCTCCTCCCCCAGCTGCTGCCCGGCCTCCCTCCCTCCTCCTGCCTCCTCTTCCTCTGCCCACTTCTCGAGTCCTGGGGCTCCCCTAGGCTCCATCCTGTGCATTTCTCCCCTCCCACTTTCTGTTTTCTTTAAATAATATTTTTTGCCTTATTTCCAAGTTTTATTATTTATTTATTTATTTTTTTGAGACAGCGTCTCATTATGTCGCCCAGGCTAGAGTGCAGTGGCCCAATCTCAACTCACTGCAACCTGCACCTCCCGGGCTGAAGTGATTCTCCCACCTCAGCCTCCGGAGTGGCTGGGACTGCAGGCGCAGGCTGCCATGCCCCAGCTAATTTTTGTATTTTCTGTAGAGACGGGGCTTCGTTATGATGCCCAGGCTGGTCTCAAACTCCTGAACTCAAGTGATCCGCCCACCTCAGTCTCCCAAAGTGCTGGGATTACAGGCATGAGCCACCGCGCCCAGCCACTCCCCTCGCACTATTCAATGCCACCGGGAGTGGGAGATGCCCCGCCCCTTCCACCCAGACACACCATCCCCACCATGGACGCACCCCTGCCCCGGCTGCGCACAGCTTCTCTGCTGAGCATGTTTCACAGGTGACTCTCAGCTCCTGCACCTGCACCTGCTCCTTCTCCAAATTCCCTCAAAGACAGGACCACCCAGTCCCAGACTCCTGGCCTCTGCCCTACCATGCAGCCCCCCTACCTCCACAGCCCCCACCAGACCCAGCCACTATCTCCACTCCTTGGACACAGGCACCCCTCCCTAGAGGTGGCATCCCTCCCATGACCCCCAGCTTCCTCTCTGGCCCCCCATTTCCCTGCCCTGCCAGCACCAGAGTGACCACGTGAACTCAGCCATACAACTTCCACACGGCCCAGCACCAGCTCTCCTGGCATCCACTGGGGGAAAGCGAAGACATCTGTGCACAGGAAAACCTGGACCTGAGAGTTGGCAGCAGCTTTTTAAATTCACGACATCCCACGCTGGAGACACCCCAGATGCCCTTCAAGGGACAGATGGTTAAACAAACGGCCCATCCACACCGTGGGACACCGCCCAGCAATAAGAAAGAAAGGACTATTTTATTTGGTTTTTTGGTTTGTTGTTTGTTTGTTTTTTGAGACAGAGTCTCACTCTGTCACCCAGGCTGGAGTGCAACGGCGCAATCTCGGCTCACTGCAACCTCCGCCTCCCAGGCTCAAGTGATTCTCCTGCCTCAGCCTCCGAGTAGCTGTGATTACAGGTACGCACCACCGCACCCGGCTAATTTTACATTTTTAGTAAAGACGGGGTTTCACCATGTTGGCCAGGCTGGTCTCGAACTCCTGACCTCAGGTGACCCACCCGCCTAGGCCTCTCAAAGTGCTGGGATTACAGGCGTGAGCCACGGAGCCCAGCCTGGAACGAACTATTGATATAGGCAACACCTAAGAATCTCCAGCAAATGAGGCTGAGTGACGAAAGCCAGCCCCAAAATGACGAACTGTACTTTTCCGTTTACAGAGCATTTTGGAAACGACGAAACTGAAGGAATGGAGAACAGCTCAGAGGCTGCCAGGGCAGCGGGTATGGCTACAAAAGGGCAACACAAGGGACCCCGGGGCGCGGGTGCTCCCCATCCTGACTGTGTCCACGTCAATATCCGGTTCCGACATGTCATCAGTTGCACAGGATGCCACCTCGGGAGAGACCACATGAGGGGGACACCGGATCTCTGATCTATTCCTCACCACTGCCTGGGAATCTACGGTGATCTCAAAATAAAAAGTGTAATTACAAAAATACAAAACCTGGCTGGGCACAGTGGCTCACACCTGTAATCCCAGCACTTTGGAAGGCCGAGGTGGGCGGATCACGAGGTCAGGAGATCAAGACCATCCTGGCTAACACGGTGAAACCCTGTCTTTACTAAAAATACAAAAAAAAAAAAAATACAAAAACTTAACCAGGCGTGGTGGCGGGCGCCTGTAGTCCCAGCTACTCGGGAGGCTGAGGCAGGAGAACGGCGTGAACCCAGGAGGTGGAGCCTGTAGTGAGCTGAGATCGCGCCACTGCTCTCCCGCCTGGGCAATAGAACAAGACTCTGTCTCAAAAAAAAAAAAATACACACACACACACACACACACACACACACACACACACACACACACAAAACCAGATTGCGTTGCTGTTCTGCTTAAATCAGACAATGTCGTTCCCGGGCCCTGGAGAAAATTCAAAGTCCCCCAACCCTGGGGCCTGGAAGCTGTCTGTGCTCAGACCCCGTGCCCTTCTCCCAACTGCGGCAGCCACAGGGCTCTCTGAACACCAAGCAGGCTCTGGCCGTGGTGCCCCTGCACGCACCGTCTCCCTCCTGCAGGCTCTTCTTCCCTCTCTCCACACCACCGGCCCCTCCTGTCGCTCAGAGCTCGCCTGATTGACCACTCATTGACCCATCCAGCCATGATTTCCGGAGGTCTCCTCTGCTGTCGGGTGCTGTGCCCGGGGCTGACCCCAACAGACCCGGTCTCTTCCCCCACTCGCCTCCCCCTAGCAATGCCTCATTGCAGAGGAGGGAAGGCGACTGGAGCTTCTCAAGGCGTGGTCCCAGCACCACCTGCATTGAATGGCCCTGGCTGTGTGACCCTCCCCGGCATTCCTGGGCTCCCTTCTGGGCAGCCCGGGTCAGGGAGGCCGGGTCAGGCGACCCAGATGCGCACAGAGTTTGAGACTCGTGACTGGAGCTATGGAGTCCCTGCTCCATCACTTCCCACTTCTGTTGCATCTCTGAGCCTGCTTCCCATCTGGAAAATGGGGGAGCCATGCTTTCCCCACAAGGAGACGAAACAAATGAACAGGGAAAGCTCCAGGGCCCGGCCCCACTCACTGGGCAGGAAAGAAACACAGCAGCTGTCACTCAAGTCCATGCCGAGCTGGGAGAGAAGGGCTCAGGACAAGAAAGAAGGTTCTGGGTATCCCATGTTGCCTGGATGCTGACCCCAAGGGTACGGGGCCTCCGGAAGGGGGCGAGGTGAAAGACCAACTCTGCCTGGGTCTACTCCAGCCCAGGCCTCCACCAGGTCTATAGGAATCTGCTGATCCCGGCCTATTTTTCTACTCACTGGGCAAACTGAGATCAATCTGGGCACGCTTAGGCCCCGGGGAGGATGGACAGGTTCTTATCTGGGGATCTGTGGATGGGTCCCCGGGAACCTGTGAACCCTCAGGAGAGCCACCAACCCTCATGTGTGCAGGGACCTTCCTTTATTCTGGGAAGGGACGCACAGCTCCTCACGTGTGCAGGGACCAGCGTTTATCCCGGGAGGGGACGCGCGGCTCCTCGTGTGTGCAGGGACCAGCGTTTATCCCGGGAGGGGACGCGCGGCTCCTCGTGTGTGCAGGGACCAGCGTTTATCCCGGGAGGGGACGCGCGGCTCCTCGTGTGTGCAGGGACCAGCGTTTATCCCGGGAGGGGACGCGCGGCTCCTCGTGTGTGCAGGGACCAGCGTTTATCCCGGGAAGGGACGCACAGCTCCTCACGTGTGCAGGGACCAGCGTTTATCCTGGGAGAGGACACGCGGCTCCTCGTGTGTGCAGGGACCAGCGTTTATCCCGGGAGGGGACGCGCGGCTCCTCGTGTGTGCAGGGACCAGAGTTTATCCCGGGAGGGGACGCGCGGCTCCTCACGTGTGCAGGGACCTGCCTTTATCCTGGGACGGGGAGGCGCAGACCCCCTTGTGTGCAGGGACCAGCGTTTATCCTGGGAGGGAACAGACAGCTCCACACGTGTACAGAGACCTGCCTTTATCCTGGGAAAGGACACGCAGCTCCTCCTGTGTGCATGGACCTGCGTTTATCCTGCGGGGGACGCGCGGACCCTCGTGTGTGCAGGGACCAGCACTTATCCTGGGAGGGGACGCACAGCTCCTCCTGTGAACAGGGACCTGCCTTTATCCTTGGAGGGGACGCACAGCTCCTCCTGTGTACAGGGACCTGCCTTTATCCTTGGAGGGGACGCACAGCTCCTCCTGTGTACAGGGACCTGCCTTTATCCTTGGAGGGGACGCACAGCTCCTCCTGTGTACAGGGACCTGTGTTTATCCTGGGAGGGGACGTGTAGCTCCTGTGTGCAGGGACCTGCCTTTATCCTGGGAGGGGACACGCGGCTCCTCGTATCTGCAGGGACCTGCTTTTATCCTGGGAGGGGTCACGCAGCTCTGTGTCCACACCACGCTGGCAGTCCCCCAAGCTTACAAATTGCTGGGAGTGAAACCTCTCTGCCCCTGCTTCACTGTGAGACCTGGGGCAGGGCCCCTCCCTTGGTGGGCCTCAGTTTCCTCATCTGTAAAGCAAGTGGGCCCCTGGAATGCTGGCTCCATCAAGAAAGGCATCTCGGAGCGCCGGAAACAATTCTGCGGCCAGAAACAAGTTTGCAGCGCTGTGATCTCAGCGAGTGTGACCCTGTGAGCCTCACCTTTCCTGTCTTTTAAATGGGAGCGGAATGCCTTATCTCAAGGCATTATCTTAAGGAATGTAAGATATAACGTCTATGATAAAATGCCCAGCACAATACTTGGAACAAAATAGATGTTTTAGAAAGAAAAAGTGTTTTTCTTTCAAAGGAATTCCCTGGCTTTGCAGTTCTAGGTTATCATACACAGTCAGCCCTCTATAGCTTCAGGTTCCAAGTCCACAAATTCAACCAACTGCAGATCAAAAATATATTCAAAAACAACACAATAGGCTGGGCTAGGTGGCTCACACCTGTAATCCCAGCACTTTGAGAGGCTGAGGTGGGCGGATCACTTGAGGTCAAGAGTTCAAGACCAGTCTGGCCAACATGGTGAAACCCCGTCTCTACCAAAAATACAAAAATTAGCCAGGCATGGTCGTGGGCACCTGTAATCCCAGCTACTCGGGAGGCAGAGGCAGGAGAATGGCTTGAACTCGGGAAGCAGAGGCTGCAGTGAGCTGAGTTCACGCTACCTGTAATTCCAGCACTTTGGGAGGCCGAGGCGGGCGGTTCACGAGGTCAGGAGATCGAGACCATCCTGGCTAACACGGTGAAACCCCGTCTCTACTAAACAAAATACAAAAAATTAGCCGGACGTGGTGGTGGGTACCTGTAGTCCCAGCTACTCGGGAGGCTGAGGCAGGAGAATGGCGTGAATCCGGCAGGCGGAGCTTGCAGTGAGCCGAGATCGCGCCACTGCACTCCAGCCTAGGCGACAGAGTGAGACTCTGTCTCAAAAAAAAAAAAAAAAAAAGAGAAAGAAAGAAACGTAGGTATTGTGCTTGGAAAATTTCTAGTCTACTTTATTTTACTTTATTTTTTTTGAGACGGAGTCTCACTCTTTCACCCAGGCCGGACTGCAGGGGCGCTATCTTGGCTCACTGCAAGCTCCGCCTCCCAGGTTCATGCCATTCTCCTGCCTCAGCCTCCAGAGTAGCTGGGACTACAGGTGCCCGCCCGCCACCAAGCCCAGCTAATATTTTTTTTGTATTTTTAGTAGAGACGGGGTTTCACTGTGTTAGCCAGGATGGTCTCAATCTCCTGACCTCCTCGGCCTCCGCCCGCCTCGGCCTCCCAAAGTGCTGGGATTACAGGCATGAGCCACCACGCCCGGCCTCTAGTCTATTTTAATGTACTATATTAATTTCATGAACCACTTGACCCAGAGTGTGAAAAACTCTTATCTACAGCTGCAACTCTAGGCCCTGCTTGCTGTGACCAGATACTCAGGCTGAGACCCCCGCCTTAAAGTTTCCAGTGTCAGTGGTCTTGGATGGACCCCGGCATGGGTCAGTCATCAAAGCTCCCAAGTGATGTCCAGCTACAGACGCTCCAGATGAGTGGTCCTCAACCTGCGCTGAACGTTAGAATCACCTGGAATGTTTAAAAAATAATCTCAGGCCAGGTGCAGTTGCTCACACCTGTAATCCTGTAAAAAAGTTGCTCACACCTGTAAAAGCACTTCAGGAGGCCAAGGTGGGCGGATCGCTTGAGCTCAGGAGTTTGAGACCAGTCTGGGAAACACGACAAAACCCCATCTCTACAACAAATAACAAAACTTAGCTGGGCATGGGGGTGCATGCCTGCAGTCCCAGCTACTCAGGAGGCTGAGGTGGGAAGATGGCTTGAGGCCAGGAGGCAGAGGTTGCAGTGAGCCACGATCACACACTATTGCACGCCAGGACGACAGACGGAGCCAGCCCCCGTCTGAAAAAAATTAAAATAAAAAGAATCCCAATGCCCAGGCTGTACCCAGAGGACCTCAATCAGCACCTGTGGGTGGGGCCCGGGCATCTGCATTTTCTAAAGCAACCTAGATGAAGCTCATGCACAGCTAGGGTTAAAGTGAGTGCACCAAAGCAGGATCTCCTGCACTGCAGCCACCTGAGCATCTCCAAACACACATCCTGACCCTGGAGGTCAGGCAGGCCTGACACGCTGCATTTCTAACCGTCTCCCAGGGACATTCTTAGTGACTCGAATGTGTAGCCAGGCTTAGGAGGCACAAGCCCAGGACTGTGGTTCTTAATGTGAGGTCCCCAGATCAGCAGCCTCAGCATCGCCTGAAATTTGTAAGAAATATAAATTCTTGGGTGGCATCCCAGGCCCAGAGACTCAGGGGTGGGGCTGGAAATCTGTGTCTTGACACACCTTCCAGGTGGTTCTTGTAACACTCAGGCTTGGGAAGCACTGGCATAGAGCAGCAGACAGAGGCGGGCCCATGTCCTGCCCAACTCAGACTCCACCAGCAGCAGAGAGAGCGACTCTCGGTGTTTTTGGAAAGCATTTGCACCAGCGAGCCTTCCCTGGGTCCAGAACAATACCCGTGACATTCATAGGTAGGAGGGAGATGGCACATGTTGAGAAGGAAAAAAATGTCATGACTAAATCATAGAGATGGGGAAGCTGAGGCTGAGGGAGACATGGCCTCGAACAAATCTGCAGCCTCAGGCTTGGGATAACAACTCTCACCCTACTGCCCTTCCAGACTCAACTCAGGCACTGCCTACCCCCAGAAGCCTCTGCCGCTCCTTCAGGGACACACACACCTGCCCTGCCCCTCCTCAGGTCCCTGCCCTGTGGTGCTCCCATTCAGGACCCCCACTGTGGCATGAGAAACCCTGAATTATTCCATATATCTCGGTTTTGCATCCCTGTTCAGACTCCTTATTCTTCCTGGTAGAACATAGGACATCCTATTTCTTGCATTTTCATTTTTATGTGTTTGTTTCTTTTTTTCCAATCTTCCACGTTACCACAAACTCTGTACTGCGTACATACTCAATGCTCAGCAAATACTTAAGGCTGATTCACTGAGGTTGGACCTGAGCTTTTCTGTCTTTGTGCCTTGAACACGGTCTGAACTTGGCAAATGCTTCTCCAATGACTGAACGAATCAAGCCAAGGAAAAGGGAGCAGTAAAAAGATAGTGAGGAATTAAGCAGACTGGAGGGTACTCATCTTTCCATGGGCCTTTCTTTGCACTTTGCAATGAATGCTACTCATTAAATCGTGGTCCAAAAATGCCTCCCAGTCATGACTGCTGGTATCGCTCCATTATTCACTGCATTCAACACCATCATCTTTCTCATATGAAACACTGGCAGTCTCTTAAGGAGCAATGACAAAGCCAACCACAAAACAAAACTGATCAAGGAATTAGAACAGGCATGTTTTAATGCTAATTGTAAAGGGAGACTGACCTGTGGACATGAGGGTCTCACGGAAAAACTTTCCTTTAACTACGTCCAATTCTAAGGTCTTGCAATGAAACAGGCATACGAAATAATGACGGTAAACAAAATTACCAAATACTACCGCATTTACTTGCACAGGTCATTCATTCCACAAATATTTATTGACCACCACGTGCCAGCACCATTTTAGTCACTGGGCACATGGCAGTGACCAGCATGGACACAAACCGCTTCCCATATGGAACTTACACTCCAGACCAGTGCTGCCTGCCCAATAAAGCTTTCTGCACTGATGGAATGTTCTGGATTTACATTGTCCAATATGGTGGCGACTAGTCCCAGGTGGCTGTTGAGCCCGTGAAATGTGGCTGGTACTGGTTCGTTGCCTGTTAGGAACCCAGCCACACAGCAGGAGGTGAGTGGCGAGTGAGTAAGCAAGCAAGTGAAGCTTCGTCTGTATTTACAGCCGCTCTCCAACGCTTGCATTACTGCCTGAGCTCTGCCTCCTGTGAGATCAGCAGCAGCATTAGATTCTCATAGGAATGCAGAGCCTACTGGAAACTGCTCATGCCAGGGACCTAGTTTGCACACTCCTTATGATAATCTAATGTCCGATGATCTGTCACTATCTCCCATCACCCCCAGATGAGACCGTCTAGTTGTAGGAAAACAAACTCAGGGCTCCCACTGATTCTACATGATGGTGAGTTGTATTATTACTTCACTATATATTACAATGTAATAATAATAGAAATAAAGCACACAATAAATAGAATGCGCCTGAATCATCCCAAAACCATCCCTCAACCCTGGGCGGTAGAAAAATTGTCTTCCATGAAACAGGTCCCTGGTGCCAAAAAGGTTGGGGACCATTGGTCTAGAGGACTCACCCATTGAGGCAGATGTAAAGAGAATGGTGGTGAAACAGTTTCACTGACTGGTACAGACAAATCATTCCTCTGCCTGCCTTCGGCTGTGCACCTATGACCCCTGTTATGCTCCAAGAGAAGTGAACACACATATCCTATGGCAGGAATACACCTTAGACTTCAGAGCAACTTCTATACATCTTACTAAAGTCTCACCCTAGGCCGGGCACAGTGGCTCACACCTGTAATCCCAACACTTTGGGAGGCCGAGGCACGCAGATCGCCTGAGTTCAGTTCAAGACCAGCCTGGCCAACATGGCAAAACACTGTCTCTACTAAAACCCAAAACATTAGCCAGGTGTGGTGGTGTATGCCTGTAATCCCAGCTACTCGGGAGGCTGAGGCATGAGAATGACTTGAGCCCAGGAGGCAGAGGTTGCAATGAGCCAAGATCACTCCACTGCACTCCACCTTGGGCTACAGGGTGAGACTCCATCTCAAAACAGATAAATAAATAAATAAAAACAAAAAAATAAAGTCTCACCCCCAAACCCACCTCCACAAGCTGGGAGCTGCTCTCCCAGTTGACCAGCAGAGGATGTTACCTCAGAAGACACTCACTTCTTCAGGAAGGACTGACAGGGTAGGGGTGAAAACATAGGCAGGCATGCCAAGTGGCAGCCCTTCCTGGAGCATGGAATCCATGCACCGACTGAGTAGGACCAGGCACACTTCTTCTTTTTCTTTTGAGATGGGGTCTGGCTCTGTCAGCAGGCTGGAGTGCAGTGGCACCATCTTGGCTCACTGCAGCCTTGACCTCCGGGGCTCAAGCGATCCTCTCACCTCAGCCTCCTGAGTGGTGGGACCACAGGCGTGCAGCACCACACCTGGCTAATTTTTGTATTTTTTGTAGAGACGGGGGTCTCACAATGTTGCCCAGGCTGGTCTCAAACTCCTGGGCTCAAGTGAACCTCCCATCTCGGCCTCCCAAAGTGTTGGGATCGCAGGCGTGGCCCCCACATCTGGCACAGGCATAGGCACACTTCTGGTGGTTGAGTGTGCTGGAGGGTCCGGGACCAGGCGGTCACTGGCAAGGAGAGATGGTTTGGCTTGAAGAGGATGCCTAGAGCGAAAGTGAGTCCAGCCGTCCACCCAACCCAGGCAGGCAGCCGGGAGCGCTCTCCAAGGTGCTGAAGGGACTGCCTCTCTTCTCTCCTCCTCTCCTCTCCAGACTTGGAAGACAGCACCTTACTCAAGTTCGAGCCAGGACCCCAGTGCAGCGGTGGCTCCATCCACCGCATGGCCTCTCACAGCCATGAAGCTACCAGCGGGGGAAGCGGCCAGTCCACGGAGACACGGACCAATGTGGAAAATTCACACCAACATCACCCTCTCCTCTAGTACTCACAAGTCTTTTTGTCATCTAAGGACACAAAGGGCGTTACATTCAACATTATTAGCTCACAGTTGAGAGCTCGTCATATTTAGAGTTGTGGAGGCTTGGGGAAAACAGGAAGAAAAAGTCTTGGAAAGGAACAGCAGAGGCTCCTGCCCCCACCCCCACACTCCACCCCTTCTTGCTCTCTCCGGCTGGGTGTCCTCAGAAGAGAAGGGGTCAGAGTTCTCTCTCTCCTTCTCTGTGTCAGCTGGGGCTGCTCACTCACTACTCCAGATCGCTGCTGTAGGCGGGTGCCGGTCCTCACTCCCCGGCCAGCTCATCTCAGGATTCCTCACACAAAGCCCATCAAACGGCCTCACGGCCAACGTGGGTAGGGGTGCCCTTCAGCCACATTTGTTTCTCAGCTATAACTGGCAACAAAAAAATAGCTGTTTGCTTCTTCCTTTCTCTTTTCACCTTACGGAGCCTTTCACCACCCGCCCCCCGAAGTAGCGGAAAGAGAATCTCGGAGAAAACGCTTTCGTCTCCAACTGCTCAGGGCTTGCTTCTTGTTTCTGAAATGAGTTTCTGTTGGCATAATCTCCGCACCAATGAACCTGATTCCTTCTAACCTGGGCACTCATTTGAAAAAGAAATTACTTGTTGCATAGTCATAGTCATAGCCAAGCACAAAGCATACGCCCCATGGTAGTTTATTTTGTTGAGATGAGGGATTTTTCTCCCTAAAAGGGCACTAACAGCATAAACGTGTGTTTAAAATGGAAACGAAGCACACCACTGCCTCTGTCATCTGAGCTCCCCGTTTACAGGCCTGGTGGAGATTCAGAGTCCTTGGCCAGTGGAGAGCAAGCAAGGCCGCAAGGGCGCAGTGGCTGCGTTCTGGGGGACGGGGTGGAAAATGTCTCCGGGTGGCAGGTGTTTTGTGCGCGTGTGTGTGCGCAGGCGCCTGGGGGGATCTGAATTCCGACTGTGGGTGTGTGTGATTTGTGTGGGTTGAGGAATCTGGGCCGGTGAACGGGACCTGAGTATGAGGGGGAGAGGCTTGGGCGTGAGATGACTCATATCTTTCAGGGTGTAGGAGGGCTTATTGGAGGGGGTAACTTTCGATTCGAGGGGTTCTGTGTACACAGCACCCGAAGGAAAGATCTATACCTGTGCGGTGCAGCACCGGCATGCATGGTGGGCCTCAGGGGGCCAGGGGTCCTGGGCAGTGTATGGGTTTGCCCGTCTGTGCATGGGCATTCACCTGCAATTCTGGGCCACTGTACGCACAAGAGAACGAGAGATATAAACGAGAGGAAAGAACAGGAGGTGTTTTTGCACAGGGGCATTTAGAGAGCGACGTACCTAGCAAAGGCCCAGGCTCTGGGATGGCTGTCCTGAGTGTGACGCCTGCTGGTTCCTCCCAACCCACACCCACTGGGAGCCTCCACTTCCCAGTGTGGAAAATGAGAATAACAAGAAAATCACCCTCTAGAGGTGTAAGAATTAAGGGCTGTAATTCATTTAACACTTGCCACATGCTTGGCAGACAGTAAGTATCTAATGTTGCTATTTAACATCATTTACATGATCACCAGTCTCCTGTCCAGATGTTGGTTCTAATAATGATCATTGTAAGTGACATGCATTGCCTGGAAACTGTAATGAAAAAACTAACGGTAAATAATAATGTATGCTTACTATATTCCTGGCATAGCCACGCACACCATTCTCAATTAATCCTCACCCACCTTACAGGTATTGTTATCAACCTTTTGTAAAGATGAAGAAACAAGCTCAGAGAGGTTAAGTAATCCAACCAGGGTCACAAAACAGGGCATGTAGGGCAGGGATTCAAGCCCAGGATGCAAGCTGGGGTTGTGACTGGAAGCAAGTGTGCCTGTACCCCACACCCCCAGGCCTCACCATGCAGACGGTAGGAGCTACTCAGCTCAATCAGGGAGTACCCTAAGGGGAGGACACACCTGGAGGAGGAGGAGTTGGCACAGGTGTCCCCAGCTGAAATTCCACACCAATTCCAGCTACATGTGGAATACGCTGGCCGCTGGTGCATCATTCATGAAAATCGCCATTTCCCCAAGTCAGCGCCCAGAGCTGGGCTGAGGTTCCAGAGCTTCGCTGATGGCTGCCCAATATTCCCCCACTTCTTGTGCAAAGGAAAAGTCAGAGTGGAGCTGGGGCCATTAACTCCTTCCTCACTGCGACATGGCTGTCACCACCCACCAGTTGACTGGGAAGGAGGCATGGAGGTCTCTGCCCCATTCTGGCGATCCCCACACCCTGCAGGCTCCTTCCATGGGCTGCCTGGGGACACTCAGTGCCATAATCACCCCCTTCCCAACAGGAAGCTGGGAGCCCTCCAGAAAAGTGGCCCAGATGTCCAGGCCCGAGTCCTCAAGACCAGAAGGGTCAATTCTATTTCCTGTCATGCCATGTTGCCAACCAAAAGGGAGAGCCGGCCATGAAGCTCCCCATCTGCATCCCTGCCTGGCTTTGCTTATGGGAGAGCTAAGAACCGCATACCCCTTGAGAGGATGTTGACAATCTGGGCTTCTTCCGGCAATGTGATGCAAGAACGAGGGGGGTTTGGTCCCAGACAGATCGGGGATCCCTGCAGCCAAAGGCTGGGACTCCTGAATCACAAAGCCCGGGCCTTACTGGCCTCATCTGTAGAATGGACATGATCAGGCAGGACCACAAGGAGGGGAAGGGCTTAGGGGAGCAGGATGCTGAGGGAGCTGTCTGGCTGGAGTGGAGAGCCCAGGGAAGTGGACCTATAGAGAAAAACATCTCTCCCCTTAACCCGTCAGATCCTAAACTACACGGCCAGCCACAGAATCAGATCCTTTCTTCCCTAAAAAGTCACAACATAATCGCCGCTCCTTCTCCCTCAAATGTAAGCTCCGTGAGGGCAAAGATCTGTGTCTGCTTTGCTCAGTGTGGTTTTTCCAAAGCCTAGGACACCTGGCTGTCTGCTTTGCTCAGTGTGGTTTTCCCAGAGCCTGGCACACCTGGCTCATAGCAAACATTCCATCAGTATTTGTTGAATGAAAGAAATGATTCCTCAGGACTCTGGAGATGTCTGAGGAGCGTGGGCAGAGTGGGGTGCTCAGCCTCACCCCCAGATATTCTGAGGAGTTTCAGAGACAACGAAAGCCCTGGCTCCTCTCGTCCCCATGCCCTGCGTGAGCCCGGCCTGCACAGTCCTCCTGGAGCAGGCTCAGCCAGGAGCACCTCTGGAGGACAGGTCTGCAGAGCCTCCTGGCCAGAGCCTGGGGGTGATAGCAGCCCCTGGGCTCCAAACAGCCCAGCTGGAAGCGCCAGGCTGCCTGCCTGTCTCAGCCACCCACATCTGCTGCCCGGGCCTCCCTGTGCCTGCACGCGCGCGCACACACACACACAGGCCCACAGCCTGGAACCAAGGGAGCACCGTCTGCTCCCGCCCGGCCCTCAGCGCCCCAGGGTCAGGGAAGCTCTCCAACCTGCTCCATGAAAACAACAACGGCACAGAAAAGGCCGCCTGAGACCGGGGCTGGGCACGGCTTTGACAGGCAGGAGCATTATATAATTAACTGCCCCAGACTCCTCCTCCTCTTCGGGTAATAACGAACCCTGCTTTTCAGTTGCATAAGCCAAAATAATAATTACTCTCCAGCCCCCTGCCACTCCTGGATGTGGCCGTGGAGCAGGTGTTCCGAGCTTTCTTCATGAGACTCGGAGGCAGCGAGCGGGCGGGGAGGACTAGAGCACACGTACGCTCAGGATTTTTATTCTCGGCAGAAGCACAAGTCATTGCTGCGTCTCACTCCCTTCCCAGGCATCCATGCCTGAAACAGGCGAGCCGCCCGAGGGAGGCAGAGGACCCAGTGCCTCTGAGGATAAGCTCCCACATGGGAGTGGACTGGTCGGGGAAGCCAGTTTGTTTGGGGTCTGGCTTCCAGGAAAGGACCGGCTCCATGCGTGTCAGGTGCACTGAGGAGTGGATATCGGAGAGTCCAGGCAGGCGGGCAGCTGCAGAGCCGGCCAAGGTTCCCTGCACAGAAACCATCTTACAGCAGCAGCAGCAGCAGCAGCAGCAGCAGCAGCAGCAGCAGGCAGCTCCCTGGCTTCCGGCCCCGGCTCTGCCCCGAATGCGGTGGCATCTTAGAATGAAGGCACAGATCGATTCCCTCAACTAATGGTGAAAACGATGCAGCCACTGAAAGACGAGATTCCTGGGCTCTCACTGAGCAGATGGGCCTCCCTCCTCCCTCCAGCAGCCTGCTTCGACAGCGCTAGTCCGCGTCCAACCACCTAGAAGTGTACTGCCTGGCTGTTTTGGTTCGGGTTGGCATCCCCCGCCCCTAGCGCTCCCCATCACTCCCTTTCTCTCGGCTTGGGCAGATTCGGGGCTGAGGAAGGCCCTCGGGCGCCGCAGGAACACCAGAAGCGAAGCTGGGGCCTGATCGAAGGGCGGCCTCCAGGGTGGGGGGCAAAGCCAACAAGGGGAGGGGCCCTTCTCCCAGCCCCCTCTGCCCTTGCTGGGTTCCCCAGGGCCGCGGGCCCAGCCTGGCCCTTCCCGCAGGTCTCCGGCCTGCTGTGTCCGACGCACGGAGGCTCTGCTGGGCCCCGCCTGGCTCTGCCCCTGGAAAGCCCCCAACACCCTTCAGCTGGCACAGGGGCACTGTCCCCACCAGGCAGCGGGGCAACCTGTAGCCAGGAGCCGCCGTGGCTTCCAGGGAAGCCCGGGAAAGGCCCCTGGTGCCCACGGCCCAACCGGAGGACGCAGCTCAACTTCCCCAGAGATCCACAGAAGGGGCGCGATCGGAAGCACGTCCCTCCCGCCCCGGCCCGGCCCGGCCCGCGGCACCTACCTCCGTCCGAGTAGGTCTCGGTCCCGTAGCCGTCCTGCAGCCCGTTGCTCCAGGTCCCTTCGTATTTGGCCCCGTTGCCCGCGCACTCCCGCACCCCGTAGCGCCCCTTGAATCCGTGCGTCCACTCGCCCTTGTACACCCACTTCCCCTTGCTCTCCAGGCCGATGCCGTGGCGCTTGCCCTGCGCCCAGGTGCCCTGGTACGTGTTGCCGCTGGGCCAGGTGTAGACGCCCAGCACCTCGAAGCCGTGGCTCCACGAGCCGGTGTATTCGCCTTGGCCCTTGGGGCCGGTGCAGACGCCATGGCCGTGCGCCTTGCCGTCCTCCCAGCCTCCACAGTAGGACCCTCCGTCGTCAAAATTAAACCTGCCCCCACTGGACATGCATGTAACTCGGTTCCAGATCCCGCAAACGGTGAAAACGGACTCAGGCGATCGACACAGCAGAGTCGCGGCCGCCGGCGGCCCTGGGTCGCGAGCGTTTTCCGGAGGAGAGGAGGACGCGGCCCCGGAGCGCGGTCTCGGGCGCGGGCGGCCGCGGCGCCGGCTCCGGAGGAATTTCAGTCAATCGGGGGCGATTATTCCTTTTCGAGCTGCGCCGCGGAGCCTGACCAGCGTCTCGCGCTCCCGCTGGAGACAGGACCGGAGGGGAGGGGGAGGGGAGGAGGGAGGGAGGGGGCAGGAGCGGCGGCGGCGGGGCCCGCGGCTCCACCTCAGCGGCGAGAGGGCCCCTCGCCGGCAGCCCCGCGGGGAGGGCGCCGCGCCGAGGCCGGGCGGGGGGCAGCTCAGGCCCGGGCCGCGGCCCCCCACCTGCGGCTGCCGCGCTGCGGGCGCCCGAGGGCGGCGGCGGGGCCCGCGGGCGGCGGCGGCGGCACGGGCGGCGGCGCTGGCGGCTGCACCATATTGGGGGCCGCGGGCCGGGCGCGGGGCGGCGGCGGCAGCAGCAGCAGCAATGCGGCGGCTCGGGCGGCGGCGGCGGCGGTGGCGGCGGCGGCGTGCGCTCCGGGCCCGGCTCGCGCGCTCGGGCCGCGCGGCGCGCGCCCGCACCCCGCCCGCCCGCGCGCCCCCGCCCGCCCCCCGCCCCCCGCCCCCCGCCCCCGCCCCCGCCCCCGCCCCCGGAGCGCGGCGGTCCCAAGAGGGGCGCGGCCCAGCAGGCTAGGGCGCGGCGCGCGGGCGGGGACCCCGGGCGCCCCGCCCTCCGCGCCCCCAGCCCCGCGCTCCCCGCCCTGGGCTTCCCCGGGGCCCCCGCCGGACTGGAAACCGGGGTCCAGCCGGGGCGCCCCCGCCCCCTCCGGGAGTGGGATTTAAAGGCACAGGAACTGCGTCATGGGAAGGCGCGCAGCACTCAGGGCGCCCTCGGCCCCCTCCCGGGAGCTGGGCGGTGAGGCCTGCAGAGCAGGACCTGCCAGCTGAGCGCCCCTACCCTCGCCCCTGCCCGCCCCCGCGCCTCGCCCCTCCCGCCGGGCTCGGATCTGCCCCGCCTGCCCCTGACTCGACTGAGGCCCTTTGCAAACCACAGGTGGTTTTCTCCGGTGACAAACAATGCTTCCTTCTTCCTTCCGGGCAGCTTGGGTCCAAGAGTGGGGGGAGGGGGGCTTACCCCAGAAAACAGGGATTTGGCGAGTCCCTCTCCCCTATAAATTGAGTGAGAGTCGGGACACACGCGTGTATCTTGGAGCAAAGTCACCCGAATTCCGTGCGCCCTGCGCCCTGGCCAACAGGTAGCGCCCCCCCACTCGGGGAACGGTCGCGCTTTTGGGGAGCAAAGTGGGACCGCCATTCGGGCGTTTCTAGGTCTCTCTCCAGACATACTCTCACCCTCCGCCCCTCTTCCCACGCACAAGAGAGAGTCTGATTCTTGGATCCGAGCATCCTGGGATCCATTTAAAATGCATTTCCTGGACCATAAATCCTCAGGCAGAAGCCGGCGTCCCCAGCCCTCCTGAAATGCGTGCGGGAAATGGCAGCAGACCGGTGCAGTGGGCTGATGGGGGTGTGGAGGCTGCCCAGGGTCCTCGCTCCTGGGAGTGTGGGCCGGTGACCGCAGCGCGGTGAGCCAGAAACTGCAAGCCAGGCCTGGAGCCTGAGATTAGGACAGGAGAAGAGGTGCGATTCGGAGCCTCCAATCAGCCAGGAGCCCTGCTCAGATCTTCCCCTGTCCGAGAGAATCAGGATGGTCCCCACTCTTGGCTCACGGGGCTCTCAGAAAAATCAGCCCCTCCTGGGAGTCCCAGAGTTCAACCTCAGTCTCTTGCCTTGGGCACCAAAGCTCCCTCCCCAGAGTACCAGCAGCCAGGAGGACAGTCACCTCCTCATACACCCACTGTCAATGAGGAACATTTAGGGCGGTCGGCTTTGTTTTGTTTTGTGCAGTTACAGTGATTCATTGAGCTTTCTAGCGCTGTCTCCCTGTGCCCCTCTACAGAAGTTCTCTAAATGTCTGCGGTGGCATCATTGGACCAGCTACGTCTTGGACTTTATTGGAAGCTGCCAAATTGCTTTCCAAACACCTGGAGCAACTGACCTCTCACCCTTCAGTGTGCCTGGGTTTGTGGTTCTCTATTTCCTGGCCAGCACTGGTGTCCTCAAACTTCTGATTTTCTTTCCATTTATTTTACTTTGTTCATCTAAATGGGTATGAAATAATATCTCTGGGCTGTTTCATGTCCATGGAAATTTCTCTGTTGTAAATGTGTGGGCCAAAGGAACTGCACCTTGTCCTCAAGAGATTCGGGTCGAAACCTTGGCTCCGGGGCCCACCAGCAGTATGGCTTTGGGCAGTCACCTAATGTCCCTGAGCTCAGTTTTCTCATCTGTAAAATGGAGATGGCAGAGTTCCCATAGGGTTACCGTGGGAATTCAAAAGCTAGGCGCCCAGCACTCAGTAAGCGCTCGGGAAGTGGGAAGTAATGTTATTGGAAGCCAGCCCCCCAGGGAGGGTCATGGATTCCTGCATGGAGACACCCAGCCCTCTGCCTGTTGAAATAAACATTGCCACCACTCGTATGTTCTACTTTTCATTTCTTCCATTTTATTTCCAACCATTTTGCTGCTGAATCAGCAGCCCTCCTTCACACAAGCAGTGGATTGCAACTGAGATCCTATTGAAACACGGTGGTTGCTTCCAAGCAGTTACTGGTCAGCACCTTCCACCTTTGGCCAGTGTACACTCCGCTCCCTTGCAGTTCCAAGACCCCCACCTCCAACTGACCCTCTCTCATCTCCTGCAGTCAGTTACTCCAGCGGTGACAGGCTCTAGTCTCTGAAATGCAGATATTACAGGCATTTGTTCTGTGCAATTTGGAAATCACCGCCCTCCCGATAAAGTAGGGCTGGCAGTATTGATTTCACTTTGGAGGAAACTCTCCAAGCCTATAAACGTAGTACCACCCAGCCGTTTAAAAACAAAAACCAGGGAGAAGGGTAAAAAAGCTGTAACCCACATGTGAGCCAGGCACTAGGATGAAGACAGCACATTAGTCATCTCATGGACTCAGGTGATTTGGAATTACACTCTCCTTTTTAAAAGAATCACTTTTCCCCACCAACGTAAAGTGCCTTGCCAGAGGGAAAATAATGACTGGGCAGGATTCGAGCCCAAGTCTGCCTGGCCTTCCAGCCTGCACCCTTTCTGGCCTCCAGGCATGGGTCCTTGCTGTCTCTTTTGCCTGGTGCCTCTTCCCATGACAGTAGAGCTTTCTGGTCTCAGCTCCAGAGAGGCTTCCTGACTAGTGCAGAAAGAAAGCTCCCCCTGCATCCCCACAAAAGCCTATTAATCTCCTTCAAAGAACTGAGCCACGATCAACTTATCTGTGCTTGCCTTCTTGTCTTTGCCTGTGTTTACCATAACACTGTGAAATGTCCACAAGATCCCCCATTCCACGTGATCTTCTTCCAGTGTGGTGTTGACACCCCTCCTGTTGAGGGAGTGCTTTGGGGGAGCAAAGTGGGACTGCCATTTGGGCGTTTCTAGGTCTCTGTTGAGAGGTGGGCTCTGCATTCCCTTCCCCTGAATCTGGGCCAGTGTGTGATTATCACAGAAGTGACAGGATGTGACTTCAAAGGTCAGTTCATAAACAGCAACACAGCTTCTGCCTCATGCTCTTGGGGTGCTCAAGCTTGGAACCAAGTTGCCATGATGTAAGGAAGCTCAAGCAGCCCCTGGACGTGCCAACAAGGAGAGATACAGGGTCCTCCAACCCACAGCTCCAGCCAGACTCCCAGCCAGCAGCCAGCAGCATTTGACAGCCATAAAAGTGTACCATCTTGAAAGTAGACCCTCCAGACCCCAGGCAGGTCACCCCAGCTAAAGCCACATGCAGCTGAGACAAGCGTTCCCCATCACATCTTGTCAGAATTTCAATTTTCTGAAAAAAAAAAAAAAAAAAAAGAAGATTGTTGTTTTAAGCCAGGCATCACACAAACCATAACCCAGAGGCCAAATCTAGTCCACTGCCTATTTTCATAAACAGAATTTCACTGAAGCACAACCATGGCCATTCATTTGTGTGTCTAGAGTGGCTTTTACACTGCAACATAAGAGTGGAGTCGTTGTGACAGACACCATATAGCCTACAAAGCCTAAAATATTTACCATCTTGTTCTTTACAGAAAACGTTTACCACTTTTTGCTCACGGGGCTCTCAGGAAAATCAGCCCCTCCTGGGAGTCCCAGAGTTCAACCTCAATCTCTTGGCTTGAGCACCAAAGCCGCCTCCCCAGAGTACCAGCAGCCAGGAGGACAGTCACCTCCTCATACACCCACTGTCAATGAGGGACATTTAGGGCGGTTGGCTTTGTTTTGTTTTCTGCAGTTACAGTGATGCAGTGAGCTTTCTAGCACTGTCTGCCTGTGTATTAGTCTTCAAGGGCCGTCATAACAAAATACCGCAGACTGGGTGACTTCAACAACAGAAATGTCTTATTGTTTTTGAGGCTAAAAGTCCAAGATCAAGTTTCTGGCTGATTCAGTCCCTGGTGAGAGTTCTCTGCCCAGCTTGCAGATGGCCACCTTCCCACTGTGCCACGACCCAAGCCTCTCTCTTTTACTGGGCCCTACATCTCTGCTCTCAGCCAGCCTGCCTTATGTTTCTGCCCTCCATAGACCAGCTTTCTCTGCTGCAATCTGCTCTTCCCATCCTAACAGTCACTAACCTGGACTCTGGAGATCCTGATTCCTGAGTCTTAGGAGAGACATTCAGCCTGGGTCAGGTGTCTCTTTCTGACTCGATTAGCTGTGGTCAAGTAGTGGGGTCCAGGGTCCTCCCTTGTGATGGCAGAAAGATATGATCAGCATTTCTAGTACAAGTAGAGGAAGCAAACTGAGCCAAAAATTGGGATATGGGGTCTGTCGATAAGACATGATTTAACATTGAGAATGGAAGAGCTTTGAAAAAATGTTGAGCATGATTTTACTTCCTTACTTACTAAGATCTAGAACTATCCATGACTCCAGATAGCACTGTTACTGGTCATTCAATTTCCAGATGAAGATAATTATGAAAAGAGAGGTGGGAGGAAGGAAGAAGAGGGGGATAAAGCAGAAGTAATTTGGATGGATTAGCAAGAAGGAAAAATAAACTTTGTGATGGTGATGATGATATAAAGGATAGTGAAGATGATGATGTGTTAGTGATGATGATGGGGATGATGGCGGTGATGGTGATGATGGTGGTGATGATGGTGTTGGTGATGGTGATGATGGTGTTAGTGATGATTTGATGATGGTGGTGATGGTGATGATGGTAATAATGGTAATGATGATGATAGTGATGGTGATGGTGGTGATGATGGTGATGATGGTGATGGTGATGATGGCGATGGTGATGAGGATGGTGATAATGTTAGTGATGATGGTGATGGCGATGGCGGTGGCGATGGTGGTGATGGTGATTGTGATGATAGTGATGATGACGGTGGTGATGATGGTTATGGTGATGATGATGATGGTTATGGTGATGATGATGATGGTGATGATGGTAATGATGACAGTGATGGTGATGTAATGGTGGTGATGGTGATGATGGTAATGATGGTGGCGATGGTGGTGATGATTATAATGATGGTGATGGTGGTGGTGATGATGGTGATGATGGTGATGTGATGGTGGTAATGGTGATGGTGGTGATGATAGTGATGGTGATGATGGTGATAATGGTAATGATGATAGTGATGATGGTAATGGTGGTGATGGTGGTGATGATAGTGATGGTGATGATGGTGTTGGTGGTGATGATGGTGATGATTATAATGATTATAATGATGGTGATGGTGGTGATGATGATGGTGATAGTGATGATGATGGTAGTGATGATGGTGATGACAGTGATGATGATGAGGATTATGAGAATGGTGATGATGGTAGTGATAATGATAGTGATAATTGTTACATGTATGTGCCTGGCTCTGTGCTGAACCTACATTATCATATCATATTTAATCCTAAAGCAACTTTATGAGGCTGGTAGTATTATTATCCTCATTTTACAGATGAGGAAATCTGAAGCTCATAAAGGCCAACTCACTTATCTAAGGTGGAAGTGAAGAAGCAGTTGACAGCACAGCACAGGCTTGCAGCCACCACACTCTTCTGTCTCAAGTGTGTAAATGTCCCCTCGCTGGGAAAAAATGAGTTATCTGTGGCCAATCCACATATTTGTATAATTTAATGAATACTTAAATAGTAAATGCCCAGATAATGACCACCCAGGTCAAGGAATTAGACATTATTGGAACCCCCAAAACCCACTGTGTGTCCCTCTCCAATCATAACCTTCTCCTCCCTCCAGACAGAGCCATTCACCTGAATTTTTCATCAACTTTGCTTTTCTTTATAATGTTACCACCTGTCTATGTGCATCTTAAGCACTGTGGCCTAGTTTTTCCTGTTTTTGAGCTTCGTGGGACTGGAATCATACCAAATGCATTCTTTTCTGCCCAACATCATGCTTGAGATTCACCCATGTGGCTGGGTTCCTTAGGTTCATTTGTTCTCTTTGCTGTATAATATTCCATCCTATGAATATCTCCAATATGACTGAGCCCTTCTAGTGTAGGTAGACATAAGAGTTCCTTATGGTTTGTGGCTGTTTTTATTAAAAACAACTGCTTTTGGCCAGGCGCAGTGGCTCACGCCTGTAATCCCAACACTTTGGGAGGCCGAGGCGAGCAGATCACGAGGTCAGGAGATCGAGACCATTCTGGCTAACATGGTGAAACCCCCGTCTCTACTAAACCCATAATACAAAAAATTAGCCGGGTGTGGTGGCGGGCACCTGTAGTCCCAGCTACTCAGGAGGCTGAGGCAGGAGAATGGTGTGAATCCAGGAGGCAGAGCTTGCAGTGAGCCTAGATCGCACACTGCACTCCAGCCTGGGCAACAGAGTGAGACTCTGTCTCAAAAAAAAACCAAAACAAAACAAAAAACTTTCACTTTCTTGTCTGTGTATTCTGGAATGTGTGCACACATCTCTTTACCGCAGAACACTCATTGGCTCTCAGCCTTCACCATAAACACCCTCTCCAGGGATCCCCTGGAGACACTTTAGGTGTCTCTGAGCTCTGTCCGCACCCTGTGCACCCCCATTATAGCATATACTGCTCTGCCATGTAACTATCTTCTAACTCATGGTCTCGTCCACTCAAGTGGGGAGAGGGGGGTGCTGCCAGATTTCTCTTCTTCTCTCTCCTTCTCTCTTCTCCTCCTCAGCACCTGGCACAATGTCCGTCACACAGTAGGGATGCAATCGTTACATTTTTGAGTGAATGATAAATGAACAAACAAATACATGACTGGGAAGTCAGCCTCCTCTGAACATTTGTTGAATCAATGCTTGTCACATAAAGTGAAGGGTGCCGTCTGAAAGTGCTTTTAAGACACTCAGCTGTGGCTATTTCTCTGATCTATGTTTTGACCTTGTTTGACATGAGCTGATATTGCCAACATGGCACTTGGGGACGGCTGTAGAGAGAGTTACAGAGGTCCCACTCACCCCTTCCTGCTCAGCAGATGATGCCAAACACATAAAGACATCCAGACCGGGCGCGGTGGCTCGCACCTGTAATCCCAGCATTTTGGGAGGCTGAGGCGGGTGAATCACCTGAGGTCAGGAGTTTGAGACCAGCCTGGCCAACATGGTGAAACCCCGTCTCTATTAAAAATACAAAAATTAGCCAGGCATGGTGGCACGGACTTGTAGTCCCAGCTACTCAGGAGGCTGAGGCATGAGAGTCGCTTGAACTCAGGAGGCAGAGGTTATAGTGAGCTGAGATGGCACCTCTGCACTCCAGCCTAGACGACAGAGTGAGACTCCATCTCCACAATTAAAAAAAAAAGAAAGAAAGAAAGAAAGAAAAGAAAAAAGAAAAAGACATCCAAAGAAACGCTTCCCCAGATGGATTGCTTTTATGTCTTCCCTCCTCCTTGGTGGCTCCCAGGGCTAACAGGTATGATTAAACTTCATTAGAATGAGGCTGCCAGTGGTTTCCTCAAGCCTTTATCTTACCTACCGTGGATGTGACTCCCCCTGGAAGGTCACTTACCTACCGTGAATCCGTCCATCCCTGTGGAAGGCCACTGAGCAGTGTGGGCAGCCGGAAGAGGTTCGTGAATCTGCTGCTTCATCCAGGAAGGCAACGACAGTTGCAGAGTCTGGGCAAGGCTTTGGGAAGGGGCTGAGCTACTCCAGGAGGGTGGGTGCACCCAAAAGTCAAAGCCAGGGTGGAAAGGCTCAGAAATTGGGGAGATGAACCCAAAAGTCATCACAGTGCACTGGAGCCCTGGCCAGTGTAGACCAGCTTCCTGCAGCGTGCAGGCCAGCACAGGCGAGTTCCCACCTGTCCCTTCAAGGCAGGTTTTCATCAGTGCTCACTGGCCTCAGGATAACGCCCGGTCTCCTTCACATGGATCCCAAGGCTCTCCAGAGCTGCTGTCTGCCGAGCCCTCCTGCCTCCCTGTTGTCACCCCATGCTCCAGTTCCCATATCCCACCTGCTTGAGCTAGCTTCTGCCCGTACATACTCTGTTCCCTCTGCCTGGTCTATTCATTCATGTCTCTCCTTCTCCGGGAAGCCTGCCCGGCCCCCCACCCCACCCAAGGCCAGGATGGGTGCTCCTGCCCTGTGCTCCCATCACCTCTCGGGCCATTTGTATCGGCACCCCTGTGGCCGGGTTTGTGTCATCATCAGTGCTTGTCACTGAATGCTTCAAGCAGGGACCAGGTCTCCTGTGTTCATGTTCTCTCCCCGGGGCAGTAAGTGTCTGTATACACTAGGTACTCAATAAATGTGTGTGGGTGACCAAATGAATGAATATGGTGGTGAAGAATTTTCTTGGGATCACAGAGCAGCTGAGAATAACAAGGGACTGAGGACAGCTCCCTTTCTCTCCCAGAACTTCCCCAATCTTGCCTTCTGCCTGGATGGGCCGGGAGGGCCTCGCCTCCTCCTCCCCTGTGCCAGCGCAGCCTGCAGGGGGCTTGGGTTGCCCAGGGGCCACTCCCCTTTACTGGGGCAAAAGCACTCAGGTGTCTCCGTAAACTCAGCCTTTGTGTGGGATGGGCTTGGCCTGGGCGCTGACAACCTGTTTCAGACCCTGGATCCAGCAGTACCTGAAGCCAAAATACCTCTGAACTGACCCATTTACCAAGGAATAGGCACCAACAAATTCCCTTTTGGCCTAAATCACTTTGAGTTGGATTTTCTAGCATTTGAAAATGAAAAACCTTTTTTTTTTTTGAGGCGCAGTTTCGCTCTTGTTGCCCAGGCTGGAGTGCAGTGGCGCAAGCTTGGCTCACCACAACTTCCGCCTCCCAGGTTCAAGCGATTCTCCTGCCTCAGCCTCCTGAGTAGCTGGGATTACAGGCACGCGCCACCACACCCAGCTGATTTTGTATTTTTAGTAGAGACGGGGTTTCTCCATGTTGGTCAGGCCGGTCTCAAACTCCCAACCTCAGGTGATCTGCCTGCCTCGGCCTCCCAAAGTGCTGGGATTACAGGTGTGAGCCACCACGCCTGGCTGAAAATGAAAAACTTTTAAAAAACATTTATTGAGATATAATTTACATTCCACACAGTCCGCCTGTTTGAAGTGTACAGTTCAATGTTTTCAGTGATTCATCAAGTTGTAAACTATCACCACAACGTCATTTTACCTTTTTACTACCCCAGAAAGAAACCCCATACCCTGCCAGGTGCAGTGGCTCACGCCTGTAATCCCAACACTTTGGGAGGCTGAGGCAGGCAGATCCCTTGAGCCCAGGAGTTAGAGACCAGCCTGGCCAACATGGTGAAACCCTGTTTCTACCAAAAACAAAAAATTAGCCGGGCGTGGTGGCGCGTGCCTGTGGTCCCAGCTACTCGGGAGGCTGAGGTGGAAGAATCACCTGAGCCCAGGAGGTCAAGGCTGCAGTGAGCTGTGATGGCACCACCGCACTCCAGCCTGGGCGACAGAGTGAGACCCTATCTCAAAAAAGGAAGGGAAAGGACAGGACAGGAAAGGGGAAAGGAAAGAGGAGAGGAGAGGGAGGAGGGGAGGGAAGGGGAGGGGAGGGGGGGAAGAAAGGAAGAGAGGGAGAGGAAGGAAGGAAGGAAGGAAGGAAGGAAAGAAAGAAAGAGGGCAAGCCCATACTCATTAGCCGTCCCTCCCTCCCCCTTCCCCCACAGTGCCCTCAGCCCCTGGCAGCCACTCACCTGTTTCCTGTTTCCCTGGATTTCTTAGTTCCAGAGATTTCCTGTGAATATAATTCTGTGATATGTGATCTTCTGTGTTGGCTTCCTTCACTCAGCGTGCTGTTTTTGAGGTTCCTCCGTGTTGCAGTGTGCATTGGTGCTTTCGTCCCATTTCTGTCCAGTTAATCTTCCACTGTGTGGCTGGAGCACACTTTGTTCATCCATTCATCAGTGGATGAAATGTGGGGTGTTTCCAGTTTGGGGCTATGATGAACATGCACGTACAAGTGTTTGGGTGACACACGTTTTCAATTTTCTTGGGTATATACCGAAAAGTAAAACTGCCAGGTCATATGGTAACTGCGTATTTTACCTTTTAAGGAGCTGCCAAACTGTTTCCACTGGGGCTGCATCATCCTTCCTTCCCACCAGCAGCATACAGGGGTTCCAGTTTCTCCACATCTTCTTTGACACTTCTTTTTGTCTGTCTCTCTGATGACAGCATCCTCGCTGGTGAAGGGGCGTCTGTCCAGCATCCTTGCCGGTGTGAGGGTGTCCATCCAGTCTCCTCACCGGTGTGAGGGCGTCCATCCAGTGTCCTCACCAGTGTGAGGGCGTCCAGCATCCTTGCCGGTGTGAGGGCGTCCATCCAGCGTTCTCGCCAGTGTGGGAGCATTCAGCATCCTTGCCGGTGTGGGGGCATCCAGCGTCCTCGCTGATGTGGGGGTGTCCAGCGTCCTCACTGGTGTTGGGGCATCCAGTCAGGTTGCGATTTGCACTCCCTGATGATGAGAGGTGCTGAGCATCTTTCCAAGCGCTTGTTGGCCATCTATATGTCCTCTTTGGAGAATTACCTGTTCAGATCCCTTGCCTATTTTATTTTATTTTGCTCCAAGTTATTGGTAGATGCTTTGCCCATTTTAAAATTTGCACTTTTATTACTGAGTTATAGGTGTTCTTTTTTTTTTTTTTTTTGAGACGGAGCCTCATTCTGTTGCCCAGGCCGGAGTGCATTGGCGCCATCTCGGCTCACTGCAAGCTCCTGGGTTCACCCCATTCTCCTGCCTCAGCCTCCCGGGTAGCTGGGACTACAGGCGCCCACCACCTCACCTGGCTAATTTTTTGTATATTTAGTAGAGACAGGGTTTCACGGTGTTAGCCAGGATGGTCTTGATCTCCTGACCTCGTGATCCGCCCATCTCAGCCTCCCAAAGTGCTGGGATTACAGGCATGAGCCACCGCGCCTGGCCTGAGTTATAGTTCTTTATACATTCTGGATACAAGTATCTTATCAGATGTGTAATTTGCAAATATTTTCTTCCATTCCGTGAGTTGTCTTTTCACTTTCTTCATGGTATCCTTTGCAGCACAAATTTTTAATTTCAATGAAGCCCAATCTAAAATCTTTCTCTTTTTTTAGCTCCTTCTTTGGATGTTGTGGCTGCAGGAGCCTGTGTGATACACTCACCTTCTTTGTGAGGACGCTCACCCGCATCCATCCTCCTCTGCTCCGTGCCCTCACGGCCCTGTGAGGACAGGGAATACAGCGTGTGATGCTGGCTGCCGCCATTTCAGATGTGGCAGCCCTGCCTCTCAAATGAGAGTCTTGTGCCCTGAGGATAGGGCATGTGTTGGAACCAAGACATCAGTGTCATCCCACCCCCATGACCTGTTCTTGGAGACGGTGACTCAGGAGTGTGGACAGACCAGGATAGACCCGGCTCTGAGACACTCACTCCTGCCCCACACTGTCGCCAGAGCCGATGGGACATCCGAGGGCTTCCCGGAGGAAGGGCTGGTCCCAGGATGGCCATCGGGGAGTGGAAGACATGGTTGAGGGGGAGGTCACAGAATGAGAGCTCAAGTGGAACCCCACCCCTTTGGGGTCCAAAGACCGTGGAGCTCCCTTAAGCCTCAGTAACTCTCCCACCCCATGACGGCTTCTGTGGGCTCCACCTTATCCAAGAACATGTCTTGCCTTGGGCTAGCAGGAGTGAGTCTCTGCCCTTCGCCAGGTGGGGAGCTGGGTGGGATCAAGGCTCTTCTTTATGCTCCGACCCCCGCCCCACCCACCCTTGCTGCCCCCATACCAGACCCTCCACCCTGAACATTCAACAGCTCACTCAGTATTCATCCAAGAAACATGAGGTCAGGGCCGGGAATGCAATTAAGAATAAAACGACGCAGACTTCACCTGTGTGGCTGGCGCGTGACACCACTGTAGAAGCTCAGTGCGTTCATTTGGCCAGTGGCGAGTGTAGTTGCTTCTGACGTGAAGGCTGGGTCTGGCTGGCAAGCAGTCACGTCAGTTTCAGAATCTCCTAACTGAATAAGAACTAAAGAACTTCCGGAAGCCCGAAGTGAGCTCTGAAGATTTGTGTTCAGTCCTGACTCTGCCCTTTGCTAACTGTGTGGTCTTGGGCAAGTCACACAGCCTTTCTGAGCCTGAGTTGTCACCTGTCAAATGGGAAGAAGAAATCACCCCCTCCTCTCTGCACAGAATTAGGTTGTGTGCACATTGTGAATGTAAGTGACTGTCCCTGTTAACAGCAGCAGTCCCTCCTGTCCATGCACAACTGTGTACCAGGACTAAGGACCGAGCGTGACTCCACTGCATCCACATAGCCCCGCTCGGGAGGCACGACCAGGGCTAAGCACGACTGCGCTGCGTCCACACAATCCCACTTCGGAGGCACCCCCAGGAAAGGGAACAGAAGCCTCAAGAGGTGGGAATGGCAGAGCCACTGGCCTGGAAGCTCTGTGTGTTTCCTGGAGAGTTGGGTAAAGAGAACATGAACGTATTACAAGGGAAGGTGGCACTCATGCCACAAAGTAGAGACCAGGACACCAGTCGCGTAGACAGGCCCTACGCTCCTAGGCAGCCCCGGTGCTGGAGCTGGGATTGCCCCACTGCCTCACAATTGTAAATAACGCCATTGCAGGGACCGTGTGCACATGGAGGCTGCTGAGGAGGGTGGTGGGGACAAGCGGTCTAGAAGCTGGCTGTCTGAATTAAACTCCTAATGCCACCTCATTCTGGCTGGGCAGCCGGAGGCTCCTTAGGGCCCCAGAGCCTCAGTTTCTTCCCTGTCAGAGCAGCCGCCTCCCAGGGTTGCTGAGAAGAGGAAACGGGAGCCTCCAGCATGGCCAGGGTGCCGTGACATCTGCGGTGAGCACGGAGTCACTCTTCCAGATGTTTCCGTGTGTGTGTGTGTGTGTGTGTGTGTGTGTGTGTGTGTCTGCTTCCTTCCGATAAATCCCAAAATGTGGAACAGCAGAGCACGTGCGCTTTGCAGACTCTCTGTCTGCTGCCCAGTGGTTCTGTGTGTGCCAGGCTGCCCCACCTGCCCACATGCATCAGAGTCCCCTGGACTCTTGTTCGAATGAAGGTTCTGGTCCAGGAAGTCTGTGAGGGGCCCAAGACTCTGCATTTCTATGGTGGTGCTGATGCTGCTGGTCTGGGGCCCACACTCTGA
This sequence comes from Homo sapiens, assembly GCF_000001405.40. NCBI lineage: Eukaryota > Metazoa > Chordata > Mammalia > Primates > Hominidae > Homo > Homo sapiens. The sequence goes on along the minus strand of NC_000016.10, from coordinate 87,589,387 downwards.
ATGGCCAGGGCCCCAGGTATACACGTCTCCCCCTACCACTCCTCTTGCAGGAAGCTGGAGGCAGATGACAGCCCAGGGCAGTGTGTTCACCGCCAGGCTTGACATGTGGTCATCAGGCTGGAGAAGCCCATTCTTGGGACGCTGCCTGCGTCTGGGCAGGGCTCCTGCCTTCTCCGTGGTACCTGAATCTCTGCCATCAGCCACCAGTCCAGCCAGGCTGTTGATGCAGCCGATTCCTGCCAAGCTGATCGGCCCCAGGGAGGATCAGAGCCACCCGCTCTCCGTATGGAGACCAGGCAGTGAAAGGCCTGGCCGGAGGCACTGGAAAAGGCCGGAGCCCTTCGCAGTGGGGCTGGAAAGCTCTCCTGCAGCTTCACAGCCTGTGGGCCTCCGTTCCTGAGGCCGCCTGGCGAGCAGGCCCAGAGAGGATCGCGGACCAAGGGAGACCCCGTCTGGACGGCAGCGACCATGCAGCGCTGCCGCCACCTTCTCTCCATGGAAATTCCCGTGTGTGCGATTCCACCCGCAAAAGGTTGCAAATGCCCGTGCACTCCCCGGGCTTGGGGGGAGTAATAACCCAACTTCTTATCCAGATGGATGTTGTGGGGGAGACTGCAAAAGATTTAGTTTGTTTTACTTTTCTTTTCTTTTTTCTTTTTCTTTTTTTTTTTTTGAGATGGAGTCTCGCTCTGTTGCCCAGGCTGGAGTGCAGTGGCGCAATCTCAGCTCACTGCAAGCTCCACCTCCCGGGTTCACGCCATTCTCCTGCCTCAGCCTCCTGAGTAGCTGGGACTACAGGCGCCCGCCACCATGCCTGGCTAATTTTTTTGTATTTTTAGTAGAGACGGGGTTTCACTGTGTTAGCCAGGATGGTCTCGATCTCCTGACCTCGTGATCTGCCTGCCTCAGCCTCCCAAAGTGTTGGGATTACAGGCGTGAGCCACTGCGCTCGGCCTAGTTTGTTTTACTTTTCAAATGAACCATATGAAATTGTCAGCATTTGGCTGTTTTACATCTCTTAAAGGGCAATTTCACATGGTCCGATGTGAACCCTCCCAGCAAACCTTCAGGGTAGTTTTTGTAACTACCGCATGCACAGGACGCGTGACGCTGGCAGGCCTGTGCGCAATTGTCGTCACACAATTGCAGATGGCCTTTGCCATACACTCCATGGAACCTAAGATGCCACCAAGTGTAAGGGTGCTCTGGGCCCCTTTGCCTGGTGACAGCTGAGGCAAGCCGCTGACGAAGCTCTGCAGATTCACAGTTTGCTCCCCCCAATGTTTTAGGGCTGCTGTGCATGCCCAGAGCCACATACCTGTGAGGACTGATTAGCTGGCCCAGGAGAAAGGGTCCCCCACCCACCCATGAGCATCTGCCTCCTGCAGTCAGGGGCAGTTCTTACCACCAAGGCCTTGAAGGGCAGTCCTAGTGGAGAGCCGTGGATGGGGGTGGGAAGAGGGAGGCCAGACTGCAAGCTCTCAGCGAGGAGAGGGTTCACCCAGGGGCTGGGGCTGAGCTGAGGCTGAGCCCAAGAGATAAGGGCGCCAGTGCTAGCTGATGGAGGCCTGACCCACCTGGCCCTGCCCTTCCAGAAGGAGGCTCTCCGGGAGAGGAGGCTGGCTTCCCAAGCCAGGCCAAAAATGGCCACAGGAGCAAAAGAAAGAGACCCACTGGGGGCTGCGTTGTGGTCGGCGTGCCGGGTGGGTGAGGGCTTCCCCACACATGGGAAGGTCTGAAGCTCGTGCTAGCACCAGGTCTAGTGGGGACACCTGGGCCTTCTTATCAGCTTGCTGGGGTCTGGGGCAGAGAGCAAGGGGCAGTGAACACATATGTGTTCACACGTGTGTCACTGAGGGAGTGTGACAGGCCCCGTGAGCCCTGGCACACCAGCATCCCCATCAACATGGGGGTGTTCAACCCAGGCCTCTCCCTACAGCATCCTCACAGCAGTGAGCCTGTCAAAATACACTCACGATTTCCAGCTATGAACAGTTCAGCATGTACCAGACACCCTTGTACCACCCCCCAGATTTTACAAATGTTCATCTTTTCCATATTTGCTTTGGAGTGTTCTTTAAGGAGATGAAAGTTAGAGTTGCAGCTCTCCCCCACCCGCCCTGCGCCCCTTCCCCCGCCACAGAGGTCACTCCTCCCTGAAGCTTTGCGTGCCTCTCACGCAGTTTTGCTACCATTGCTGCTATGCCAACACCCGGAAACCACGCGGCACACGGGATTCGCGTAAAGGGCATCACGCTGTCAAATCCTTTAACAACTGGCTTTTTTCCACTCGATATCACGTTTTGGTTTGTTTTCTTTTGTTTTTGTTTTGAGACAGACTCTTGCTTTGTAACCCGGGCTGGAGTGCAGCTGCATGATCTCAGTCACTACAACCTCTGCCTCCCAGGTTCAAGCGATTCTCCTGCCTCAGCCTCCTGAGTAGCTGGAATTACAGGCACCTGCCACCATGCCCGGCTAGTTTTTGTATTTTTAGCAGAGACAGGGTTTCACCACGTTGGTCAGGCTGGTCTCAAACTCCTGACCTCAAGCCATCCACCCGCCTCAGCCTCCCAAAGTGCTGGGATTATAGGTGTGAGCCACCATGCCCGGCTGATGTAACATTTTTGGTTGATCAACATTGACTCAGGTAGCTCTCATTGTTCACCCGAAATGTGGCACGGGACGCTCCTCCACCCGCAGCTACGCCACAGCTCACGCCCCATCCTCCTTCCTCCTGGCAGACAGGTTGTTTCCACTTTTCCCTTACGGTCCTTGTTTTTACAGGAAGAGCACAAGACTGCTCAGCCAGGAAGTGGCAAGACTGGAACACGCACACAAGGCTGCAGACCCCAAATTTCCCATTCTTGCCACGTCATAGGCCAAAGTTTACACAGCAGCTCACAGAGCCTGGGTGAAACTACAAATCCCTGGCTGAGCGCACCCCTGGTGCTGGTTTTAAAGATAGGTCCGCAAATTCCTGGGCACTCTGCTTCTCAAGACGGAGAGCTTAATTCTCCCGCCCCTGAGTGCGGGCTGGACTTAGTCATTCATCTCTAACAAGAGATTACGGCAGACATGGAGCAATGTCGCTTCCGAGATGAGGTTACAAAAAGACCGTGGCCTCTGCCTTAGTGTCTCAGCCTCTCTCGCTCTCTGTGGGAAGCTGCTGTCGCGCTGTGATCTACCCTACGGAGTCTCAGGTAGCAAGAAACAGACGCTTCCCGCAAGCAGCCAGCAAGGGCCTGAGGCTGGCCGACGACATGGAAGTGGGTCCCGCAGCCCCATTTGGAGCCCCGTGACCCCGGCCCCGGCCACTGCCTTGACTCTGACCACGTGAGATCCCTGGGCCAGCACTACTCAGCCAGGCAGCCCCACATTCCCAACCCACAAAAACCATGAGATGATAAACGTGTGTTGTCTTAAGCCCCCGAGGCTGGGGGTATGTTAGGCATCAGCCAATAACAGATGCACGCGTTCAGCACAAGGAGGCCAGGCGAGGGGACACAGATGAACTTGGGCCCAGCAGGTTCTACCACCCACAGCCTCTAGACGTCTCTTCCCCATCCTGTCCTGGCCTCAGAGGGCATGTGACAACACACACCCTGGGCCTGAGGCCACAGCCACCAACGTGGACCCCGTCACAGTGTGCTGAGCTGTGCCCGTGCCAGGACCGACCCCCAGCATGTCCATGTGCACAGGGATGTGGGGATAGTGAGCGCCTCCCTCTCGCAATTTCCCTCTCTCTCCCGGGCCAGCTGCCCTCTCTCCCCCATCCTCTGCCAATTCCCTCGCTGCCTTGACTCTAGAATCCGCACAGAGCCAGCCCCGGTTTGCAGGAAGCCAGCCCTCAGTGGAGCTTTCTTCCTGAGTCTAACTTGCTGACACCAAACCCAGCAGCCTTCGCCACAGGAGGGGTTTGGGACTCCCCGCCAGTGCTGAGGGGCTTGGGAGTCAGACAGACCTGGGTTTCCCATCCCTGCCCACCCCACCCTTCTCCCTGAGCCTCAGGCCTCACTCCCCTCATCTGTGAAGTGGGATCAGTCATCTACCTACCTCCAGATGACAGAGATCCCAGGAGATGAAGCAGCCAGTGCCTAGGGCGTGCCAGATCTCAGGTCACGGTGCAGGCGAGCTCGGGGATTGTCCAGGAAGCTCCCTCTTGCACCCCCTCCTGCTCTCAGGTCATGGTCCAGGCAAGCTCGGGGACTGGCCAGGAGGCTCCCTCTTGCACCCATCCCCTCGCTTTCTGTACAAGGCCTTGCTGCTGCCTTGGGTACCACGCTGAGCAGCGCCTCTGTCCCCTGGGCCCTAGTGATGCTGATCCCTCAGCCTGGAATCCCCCCTGCTCCCTGCTAACTCTATTTAGGCAAAATTCACATAACAAAATGTGTCATTTTAACCATTTTATTTTACTTATTTGGTTTTATTTTTTAATTTTAGAGATGACATCTCACTCTGTTGCCCAGGCTGGAGTGCAGTGTGATCACAGCTCACTGCAGCTCCCGACCTCCTGGGCTCGAGTGATCCTCCTGCCTTGGCCTCCCGAGTAGCTGGGACTACAGGCACGCGCCACCATGCCCTGCCTATTTTAACCTGAACGGTACAGTGGCATTTGGTACGTTCACAGAGTTGTTGCAACCAGCAGCACCGTCCATCTGGCACCAGAGCATTCCCATCACCCCAAAACATCACCCCAAAACACCCCGTCCCCGTTAGCAGCCACTCCCCCTTCCCCTCCTGACCCCTGCCCCAAGCCCCTGGCGATCACTCATGAACTTTATGTGTTTATGGATTTGCCTATTGCAGACATTTCACATAAATGGAATCACAATATGTTATCATATTTTATGATTGGATCACAGTTTCCAGGGCATGTTGCGGTGTGACTCAGAGCTTCTTTCCTTTCCGTGGCTGAATAACACCCCACTGTATACACACTGTGTTTATCTCTTCAACCATAACAGACCCTTGGTAGTGTCCAGCCTCTGGCTGTTGTGGGTAATGCTGCTGTGAACGCGGGTGCGCAGGTATCTGTCTGAGCGCCTGTTTGAATTCTCTTGAGTAGACACCTAGAAGCAGAATTGCTAGGTCATAGGATGATTCTCCATATACTTTTGAGGAACCACCCCCCACACCCAATTCTTACCCATCCCTCAGAGCTCACTGCTGTCTGGCCTTTGTCCACCTCCTTCACATCCCCCCCCCCACACTTTCCCATTCTACTTGGCTTTGTGGAACCTTCTGGATGAAGGGGGTAAGCCTCCTGCAGGCAGGGATGTGTGCCTCGCTCCCCTGAACCCTGGCCTGGCACGTGAACGCCTGCACTGAGTATCTGCTCATGTGTGAATAGAGGACCACGTGTGGCCAACAGGTGTGCAGAGATGTCGCCAGAGAGCCCATGAATCTAGGAGCGAGGGTCACGCCAGAGTCCGGGGCACACGGTAGGCTGGAAGTGCTGGGATTTTTCGCCCCAGGAGCAGCCCTCGTCCAACAACAAACGGGAGTCAAGGTTTGCGGTTTGTCCTGCGACTGCCCCCTGCCCCCACACTGCAGCAGGACAGAGCCCCAGCTGCTTACTGCCACATCTCGGCTGGCTCCTTCCCTTCCCCACTGCGCCCCCACTCTCCCACTGTGCTTCTTGGATCCCCTCCCGACAGACTCTTTCTACTCAGATCCCAGCTCCCAGGGAACTGGCTCCCCAGGGAATCCAATCTAAGACAGCAGGGCCAGCCTCTGACCCAAGAGAGGAACCGCTTTGTCATTAGTAAGAATGAATAATAATTTAGAAGGAGAATGAATAACAAGTAGGAGACCTTCCCAAGGCCACTGCGCCAGGCACGGCGAGATTTCTCCTTCTCTAGGGCTGCACGTGGCCCTGGTCCAGATTTTAGGTGACTCACATGTGCGTGTGTGTGTGTGTGTGTCATAGTGTGTCTCTGTATGCATGTGTGTGTATACATGTGTAATGTACATATGTATAGATATATGTATGCTTGCATGTGTATATACGTATATATATGTGAATTGTCCCTGTGTGCATGGCTGTGTATGTATGTGTATGTGTGTACTGGTACGTGTGTACATGCATGAATGTGTGTGTGTGTATGTATTAGTGTATGTGTGCATGTGTGAGTTTGCACACCTAATAATATCAAGTGCTTATCATGAGCCCAATATTGTTCTAAGAGTTTTATTTTTTTAACCCACTTAATTCTCACAACACTATAATTCGGGTCCTACAGTCATCCCCATTTTACAGATGAGGGAACTGAGACTCTAGAGGCAAAATGGTTTTCCTATGACCACACAGGTGGTGGCCAGTGGGGCTGGGATGCAAAGCCCTCTGGCTGGCTCTGCACCCACCTCCTCCTGAGCCTCCAAGGCAGATCCTGGAGATGTGAGCAGAGCTGTTTCCCCTGAGCCACACGGCAGAGGGACGCTCTGGCCCATCTTTCCCTTGGTTCTAGCTCCTTCCCATGCTAGGAAGGCAAGAAGGCCAGCGTGTATCTAGCGCGTGTGCTCATGGCACAGTCAGGAGGAAGCACTCCAGGAGACAGGCAGCTCCTGCAAGCTCACGGGGCGTGGGTGGTGTGGGAGACCTGGAGGCTCCAGAACGCCTGCCCGCAGCCTGGCCTCGGAGGGGAGGGGGAACCCCATATGTCCTCCAGGCTGCAGAGGCCTTTCCGTTTCAGCTAAGTGCTGGGAGCTTTGCTCCAAAATCACCCGAGGTCTGCGTAAGCTGCACGCCTTCTTCGACGGCCGATGGCTGGCAGGGCCGGCTCTCTGGTCTGAGGCAGCCCTGCCCCGGCTCTCGGGCTCGGCCGCTCTCCAGGGCACCTCCCGCCTGGCCTTGGCTCTTTCAGGGGAGCTGCCTTTGTTCTCCCGAACCTCCAGCTTTAGTGGGAAAGAAAAGGGCCAGGAGGGACCCACAGGCCGGGAGGAGCCTCCCACACGTATATTTAGCTGGAGCTGGGCTGCCGCCCGCCTGGCTCCAGGCCTCATCTGCCTGCTGGAGTTGGATCATGGGACCCAAGAGGAGCCGCCTGCGGTGACGCTGCTGACAGACAGACAGGCTGGCCGAGGCCAGAAATGGTATGTTTTGCAGCTTTTCCTGGACCAGAGGTCCCAGGACAGCGCTGGGTTTTTGTTGTTGGAAAATCAACTTGTTTTTTTCCTCCATTTGATTTTTGAAAATTTTGAAGATTAATGAGAAATATAAATCATCATACCGGAAAGCTGAGATCGCCTCTGCTCCACTATACAGCAAGGAAATGAACAGCTTCGCGCACACACAGCAAGGATGACTCTCACAGCACAAGTCTGTGTGCAAGAGGCCAGACCCTGGGAGGCTCTGTTTATGATGACTCAGAGGCCACAACCTTGGAAACTAGCCTGGGGCATTTGGAGCTGGGCTGGCCACCCTTGGGAGAGGAGGGAGGGCCTGGAAGGAGGTCTAGAATGTTCTATGCCTTAATCGGGTGCTGATTATACATGGGAATTGTGAAAATTCATCAAGCTGGACGTTCGCAATTTGTGCACTTTTCCGTATGTATGGGCAAATAAAATGTTTACTAATATTTTGCTAAAATTTTCCCCCTTTCTATTCTCAAGGAATCGTCACTATTAATATTTTGGGGTGTTTGCTTATACACATTTTTCCATGCATATACACATTTTTTTTCACAGAAAAATAAAATCATCTTCTACCTCCCGTGTGGTCACAGGAGGCAATAAATGCTGAAGCCACGCTGTGGGGGTCCCACGCTGAACTCTCCAGCCAAGCCACTCACCTCCTGAGTTGTTGTTGTGTGGGCGACAGTAGAACCTCTGTAGGTGTGAGCTCTTTAACTTGCTTTTTTCACTGAATCTAATGCAAACATCTTTCCAAACCAAGAACTAACAATTGTGCCTTACATACAAGGGAACCGTAAACACAGGGCAATGTCCAACTGGATCCTCTAAAATGTTTTTTATCCATCTTCAAGATGTAAATGTTTTGATTGTGGATGGAAAAGTCACATGAGTGCTTATAAAATATAATTCATTGATTAAATTAGAAATGCATTTTGAAATCAAAAGTGAGATAAGACAGGGTGTGGGGTAGAGACTAGCCAGTTGTTCATCAAATTGCTTCCTCTTACTCCTGACAGTACAGGTTGTCTCCATTTCCCAGCCTCTGTTGCAGTCAGGACAGTCACATGACAGAGTCTGTCCAATGAGATTGGGACATAATGGTGGGCACCGCTTCCATGCCTGGCCTTGGAAACTCCTCACACCCAGCCTTCCCCATCTTCTGGCTGGATGCCAGGAATCCTCCCCAGACACTGGAGCCTGGGTGATGGTGAATCCACCACAATGAAAGGGCCTGGGCCCTGAGTCACCATGTGGAAGACCACCCACACACACCCAACTAGAACTTGTGTGAAGAAGAAACCCATGGCGCCACCTCTCGTAAATGTCTGGGTTGACGGTGCAACAGTTGACTCACCCTCATGCAATGCATTAATTTAGAAGACATGCTTCTTCCACTTCACATTCGGGTCCCTTTACTCACATCCATCACCTGTGTCATCAACATTGGTGCCGTTATCTTCAAGAACCACTTCTTGAGTCTTCTAATTCTGTTTTCCAAAGCACATCATCTTCTTTTCACTTCTGAGTTCTTTGAGATTTTAATCCACTCGGGGCACTGTTGAGGGCCATTTTATCAAGACACAACTCTCTGCCAGGCACGGGGCTCACACCTGTAATCCCAGCACTTTGGGAGGCCAAGGTGGGCAGATCACTTGCGCTCGGGATTTTGAGACCAGCCTGGCCAACATGGTGAAACCTCGTTTCTATAAAAAATATAAAAATTAGCTGGGCGTGGTGGCATGCACCTGTAGTCCCAGCTACATGGGAGGCTGAGGTGGGAGGATCTCTTGAACCCGGGAGGCAGAGGTTGCAGTGAGCCAAGATCACACCACTGCACTCCAGCCTGGGCGACAGAGCGAGACTTTGTCTCTGGAAAAAAAAAAATATGACAGGTTTTATTCCGCTCCTGCCGCACGCGCCCCCCCCCCAACACCCCTGCTTTTTGACTTGTAGGCTTGAGTTCTGCTCCTCACGACCACTGTTTCTTTTTTTTCTTTTCTTTCTTTTTTTCCTTCCTTTCTTTCTTTTTTTTTTTTTTTCGAAGACAGGGTCTCACTCTGTCACCCAGGCTGGAGGCAGTGGTGCAATCATGGTTCCCTGTAGCCTCGACCTCCTGGGCTCAAGTGATTCTCTTGCCTCAGTCTCCTGAGTAGCTATGACTACCGCCGCCCACCACCATGCCCAGCTAATTTAATTTTTACTTTTTGTAAAGAGAAGGTCTTGCTATGTTGCTCAGGCTGGTCTCAAACACCAGGGATCAAGTGATCTTCCTGCCTAAGCCTCCCAAAGTGCTGGGATTACAGGGGTGAGCCACCGTGCCTGGCCCAGTGTTTCTTTTTAAAGACATGTTTAAAAGGCTTATTCATGTCAACATCTATAGTGGGAGGTCCTCCCCCAGGAAGAGCTGCTGAATCTGTGGGGTGGTTTTTTGTTGTTGTTTTGTTTTGTTTTTGCCTCCTTTGTAATTGCTTCCCTCCGTTTCTCCTCTCAGAATTTCTTAGTAGAGCCTCATTTGAGGTTGTTTCAGAACAAGGTGTCTTCCCCAAACAATACTTGGTTGTGCAAAGTGAAATCATTAAAAGACCAACCTGTAAAGACTCAATTGTTAGATGACTTTCTTTTTAAACTGATATAGTTTGTTTTTATGATTATTTCATTTTTATTTTGGAGATTTGCAAGCCCATAAAAGGGTAGGGTCAGTAGTATAATAAACACCCATGGCTGGGCGCGGTGGCTCACGCCTGTAATTCCAGCACTTTGGGAGGCTGAGGTGGGCAGATCGCCTGAGGTCGGGAGTTCGAGACCAGCCCGGCCAAGAGGGTGAAACCCCGTCTCTACTAAAAATTCAAAAATTAGCCCAGTGTGGTGGTGCGCACCCGTAATCCCAGCAACTCGGGAGGCTGACGCAGGAGAATCACTTGAACCCGGGAGGTGGAGGTTGCAGTGAGCTGAGATGGTGCCATTGTACTCCAGCCTGGGCAACAGAGCAAGACTCCATCTCAAAAAACAAAAACAAAAACAAAAAACAAACAAACAAAAACACCCATGTACCCACCACTGAACTTCCGTAATGATCAATACATGGCCAGTCCTTTTTTTTTTTTTCTGAGACGACGTTTCCCTCTTGTCGCCCAGGCTGGGGTGCGATGGCACCATCTCAGCTCACTGCAAACACCGCCTTCCGGGTTCAAGCCGTTCTCCTCCATGGCCAGTCTTGTGTTCTTGCGTTAGCTCCACCACATCTGCCACACCCGCTGTTGAAAGGGATCTGTTTTGGGAGTGGAGGGAAGCCTTGCCTTATATTTAACGCTATCTCATATACTTACTCAAGATCATTGAAAAAACAAAAACCATTTACTATGGAAAATGACAAACACGCATCTATCTAAGAAGGCAGAGTGTAATGAACCCCGTGTGCTCACCTAGGGTGCCACCTGGGGTGCCCACCTGGGCCTCATTACCAGCTTCCACCTGGGAGCCATCTTCTCTCCTCCATACTCCCATTCTACCTCCCCGAGATGGTTCTGAAGCGAATGCCAAACTAGCTGTCCTCTATCCAGGCAGTGTTCGGGCGGCGTCCAGGCAGTGTCCCCACTGACAGCTGTCTCTGTGTATATGTTATTGAAAGATATCGGGGGGAGGGGGGAGGGAAAGCATTAGGAGATATACCTAATGTAAATGACGAGTTAATGGGTGCAGCACACCAACATGGCACATGTATACATATGTAACAAACCTGCACGTTGTGCACAAGTACCCTAGAACTTAAAGTATAATTAGAAAAAAAAAAGAAAGATATCAACGGGACAGCCCTGGAGATATCCAGGGTTTAGGTCTCAGCTGTGTGGCCTTGGGCAGCGACTTCCCATCTCTGAGCATTCTCCCTACAGGGACTTCCTCACAGGGCTTCTGAGAGCTCTGTGTAAAAACATCTGTGAAATGTGGAACACAAGAAATTCTGATTAGTGTGATTCATGTACTTATTTATTTTATTTTTTTGAGACGGAGTCTCACTCCGTCACCCAGGCTGGAGTGCAGTGGCACCATCTCGGCTCACTGCAACCTCCACCTCCCGGGTTCAAGTGTTTCTCCTGCCTCAGCCTCCTGAGTAGCTGGGATCACAGGCGCGTGCCACCATGCTTGGCTAATTTAAAAAATATTTTTGGTAGAGATGTGGTTTCACCATGTTGGCCAGGCTGGTCTCAAACTCCTGACCTTAAGTGATCCACCTGTCTTGGCCTCCCAAAGTGGTGGGATTACAGGCGTCAGCCACCGCGCCCGGCCTATTTTTGAGACAAGGTCTTACTGTTGCCCAGGCTGGAGTGCAGTGGCATAATCACAGCTCACTGAAACCTCCTGGGCTGGAACCATCCTGCCTCAGCCTCTTGAGTAGCTGGGAGCACATTTTTAAATATATAATTCCAGCTAATTTTTTTAAATTTTTTATTTTTAGAGATGAAGTCTCTCCATGTTGCCCAGACTGGCCTCAAACTCCTGGGTTCAAGTGATCCTCTCACCTTGGCCTGCCAAAGTGCTGGGATTACAGGTGTGGGCCACTGCACCCGGCCTGATCAGTATTTCTTGATAACTGCTTTTTAAAGTATTTTAAAAGCTGAGGAGGGGTGGCTGGTGCCAGGGTGTGGAGGACAGGTTCGTTCAGTTGCAGTCTGTGCCTCACTGAGGGGTGGGAGGGGTAAGCCCCCATTCAGCTGGTAGGCCTCGAGACCCCCCAGTGGATGAGTGGGAGAGGGTACCTGCTGTTACCCAGGGAACACGAGATGCTAGTGGCTGCCTTGCAGGGGTTCAACTGCAACACCAGCCATTCCTCCCAGGGCGCTGTTGGCATATTGGGGTAGGCAGCATGAATCACTGTGTTCACCCCCACAGGCTGCCTGCCCCATAGATGCCCATGGTGACACCGAGTCCAGAAGGTTGCGATTGGAGAAAGAGGCTGGGCGTGGTGGCTTACGCCTGTAATCCCAGCACTTTGCGGGAGGCAGAGGATCCCAAGGAGGCTGAGGCAGGCAGATCACTTGAGGTTAGGAGTTCAAAACCAGCCTGGCCAACATGGTGAAACCCCGTCTCTACTAAAAACACAAAAATTAGCCAGGAGTGGTGGCGCCTGCCTGTAATCCCAGCTACTCAGGAGGCTGAGGCAGGAGAATCACTTGAACCCGGGAGGTGGAGGTTGCAGTGAGCCGAGATCACACCACTACACTCCAGTCTGGGTGACAGAGCAAGACTCCATCTCAAAAAAAAAAGAGATGGGGTCCTGCGGTCATGAGGGTGGGGGCCACCATCGCCCACACTGTCGCTCGCACCTGCTGTCTGGGTCACCCCCACCAAAGCTTTCTGCACCCAGCTCCGTCATGCACCCGACCAGCCTGCTGTCCACTCCCTGACATGGGGGAAGCTATCATATGAACTCCCCCAAGTCATAACCCCTGTACCTCTGAACGTGACTTTATTTGGTCATAACCCCCTGTAACTCTGAATGTGACTTTATTTGGCGACAGGGAGGTGATCAAATTAAAATGAGGTCATTAGGGTGGCCTGTAATCCCATATGACCAGAGTGTTTATAAAAAGGGGAAATTTGGACACAGACATGCCCTGAGAGAAGATGTGAAGAAACAGAGAGGAAAGGTGCCGGCTACAAGCCGAGGAGCGCGGCCTGGACCAGGTGCCCCCTCACTGGCCTGGGAAGGAACCAGCCTTGCCCATGCCTTGATCACAGCCTTCTGGCCTCCAGAGTGAGAGAATGATTCTTGTAGCTTAAGCCCCCGGCTGTGGCGTTTGTTATGGCAGCCCAGGGAAATTCATGCACTCATTGGCCAGGACTGATTCCTGCCGGCTGTGGGCAGGCGGTTGCTCGGAGAGGCTCGTTGATACCAGGGAACGCCTCCTTATGAGTCCAGGCTTCGAGGAAGCGGGCAGTCCCCCGGCTCCCCCTGCGGACTTCTCTCCCCTGTCATACCCAGCGTGGGCGTGACACCATCGTCTGTCCTCACACAAACCAAGACACTCGCTGGAAAAAAATACCAAGCCCATTCTGGTAACAGCATGATTCGATCTGGGGGACAGGATTTCCGTCTCCCGCCCCTCCAAACCCAGCTTGGGAATTTGAATAAATTGAGGCTTGCTGGAGGGCTTGTTGTTATGGAATTGGAGCAATGAGAAGGAAAAACCATGGAGATGGCTATTTTCTTCCTCTTTTTAAAAATTTAAATTAAATAGTTCATGCAGGGAATGCACACAGATTTGGAAGTATATCCTTAGAATTCAGACATGGGCCTTAAGATTTTCACTCTCACCTCTACAGTCTCACACTCTCTGCCTTCCAGAACAAGGAATCCTTTTCAGAGCCAGTTCAAGAATAGGCCACTAAATGAAAGTGGCTTTAAATTTAAATTGTAAATAATTTAGGTTGGGGGAAGAGAGGCTCCTACAGGTTTCTTTCTCTTTGTCCTGCTAAACATGTAGCACAGGGTTTGGCCAACTTTTCCTGTAAGGGCTGGACAGTGAAGATTTTTGGCTTTTGCACAAATGGTCTCTGTTGCAACCCCTGGGCTCTGCCATTGGAGAAACAGAAGAGCCATAAGTAATATGTCAATGCACAGGTGTGGCTGTGTTCCAATAAAACTTTATTTACAAAAGCAGGCCGCAGTGGGATTTGGCCCAAGGGACGTGGTTTGCCAAACCCTGATACAGCTCATCTAAGCTCGGAGGAACTCCAGTGTCCACCCGGATCCCGCTCTCTCAACCCTAGGGGAAAAAACAGCGTGACCCTGAGGCCCTGCTGGGTTTGCATCCTGCCTCCAGAGGTTCATTTCTGGGTGACTCTGGGTAGGTTATCGACTTCTCTGAGCTTCATTGATAAAAAGGAAATTGCCACAGTCCTCCTCTTTCTGGAGCGGAGCGTGGCTGGCATGTAAATATCGTTCAGGAAGGGGACCAGGGAGGCTCCTCCCTTAGGCTGGGGAGTTGGAGGTGTGGGAGCTGGAGAAGCTGGGAGGCAGTGGTAATTAACCAGGCGGCCCACTGGGGGCAGGAGGAAGGGATCAGTGCAGGGAGGAGGGAGCAGGCAGGAGCAGGCAGGGGGAGGCTCCTCGCCTCTCAGCAGAGTCTGGAGCCATCAGCCACTCTTTTTCTAATGCTTGTCTCCGCTCTCTCCTCCTCTAGACTCTGCTGTCCACATGGCAGGGACCAGGGTCATCCTCAGGAATGTACCCCTTAGCACGAGGTGGCTGCTCCTCGAATCTTGGTTGGATGCACAGATGGGAGATGGGAAAGTCGCTTTGCACAGGGAAAGTGGGTGTCCCTGCTGTCTTAGGGTGGGGTAGGCTAGGGGAGTGGCAAAGGGACCAGGGAGGGAAAAGCAACAGAACCACAAGATGCACAGCGTGGATAATATGTGGATCCTAATTTTAAGAAATCACATAAAAACATCACTGGGGGCTGGGTGCCATAGTTCACGCAGAGGCGGGAGGATCGCTTGAAGCCAGGAGTTCAAGACAGTAACATAGTGAGACTCCATCTCTACAAAAAAAATTAAGAATTAGCCCAGTGTAGTGGCACGCACCTGTGGTCCCATCTACTTGAGAGGCTGAGGTGGGAGGATTCACTTGAGCCTGGGAGTTTGAGGCTGCAGTGAGCTATGAATGCACCACTGTACTCCAGCCTGTGTGACAGAGTGAGACACTGTCTCAAAATAAAATAAAATAAAAATAAAAAATAGGTCGGGCATGGTGGCTCACACCTGTAATCCCAGCACTTTGGGAGGCCAAGACAGGCGGATCACCTGAGATCAGGAGTTCGACACCAACCTGGCCAACGTGGTGAATCCCTGTCTCTACTAAAAATGCAAAAATCAGCCAGGCATGGTGGCAGGCACCTGTAATCCCAGCTACTCAGGAGGGTGAGGCAGGAGAATCACTTGAACCCTGCGGAGGTTGCAGTGAGCCAAGATCACGCCACTGCACTCCAGCCTGGGCAAGAGAGCGAGACTGTCTCAAAAAAAAAAAAAAAAGACTGAGGACAGGTCTCACACTATGTTCTTACCACAAATAATGGGGACATGGGGAGTGTTCTGGAGGTGCCGGATGTGTTGATTTCCCTGATCATGGTGTTGGTATCACGGCTGTTTGCCGATGTCCAAACTCATCAAATTACGCATTAAATATGTGCAGATTTTTTTTTAAGACAGAGTCTTGCTCTGTTGCCCAGGCTGGAGTGCAGTGGCATGATCTTGGCTCACTGCAACCTCCACTTCCCAGGCTCAAGCAATTCTCATGCCTCAACCTCCTGAGTAGCTGGGATCACAGGTGCGTGCCATCGCGCCTGGCTAATTTTTGTATTTTTTTGTAGATACAGGGTTTCGCTATGTTGGCCAGGCTGTTCTTGAACTCCTGATCTCAAGTGATCCACCCACCTTGGCCTCTCAAAGTGCTGGGATTACAGGCCTGAGTCACTGTAGCTGGCCAGATTTCAATATATTAATTATATCTCAATAAAGCTTTTAAAAAAAAAAGCAGTGGCTGAGCAAAAAAAAAAAATTTAAAGCATTCGTCCATCCCCAAGGGTGCATCTCCCAGCTGGTAGTGTTCAACCCAACAGATCAACCTCCTTCTTTTTTTTTTTTTGAGATGGAGTCTCGCTCTGTCACCCAGGCTGGAGTGCAGTGGCGCTATCTCGGCTCACTGCAAGCTCCGCCTCCCGGGTTCACGACATTCTCCTGCCTCAGCCTCCCAAGTAGCTGGGACTACAGGCGCCCGCCACCACGCCCGGCTAATTTTTTATATTTTTAGTAGAGACGGGGTCAACCTCCTTCTTTACAGCAAATAACTTTACATGTCCATTGCTATCCTGAAATGAAATGCATGGAAACCTACAAAACACCTTCTTCAACTCCACATAATGCCCCAACTGTAATACGCAGCTGATGAGAAAGGAACAAACATAAATATAAAATAATGGGGTTTCCATGCCTCCCCGGGGAAGAGAGAACAGGGCTGTCATCTGCTTGCCACGGTGGCCCACAGTGGGCATGACAGCAAACGGCGGCACCCAGCCCCAGTGCAGCACCTGGAGCACTCACCTACCTTACCCCACTTGGCCACTGGGGATGTGGTTTTCCAAAGTGTGAAAAGCTCTGTTCTGAATCAAAGTTCTGAACACAATGCAATCTCCCCTCCATCGGCAAAATCCTTGCATTCCTGGTAACAGATGGAGTAAAACTGTGCAGTGCATGTTTGTGTGTACAATGAAGTTTGGTCCTAGATACACATGGTTCTGGACAGCTTTCTCACCTGAGTGAACATCCTAGAGGCAGGACCTGGCTGAAGGTCAGGGGGCAGGTGCGCCAGAGACTGCAGAGAACCAGGTGGGCCAGCTTCTCAGGGGCATCTTCCTGGGGAGGGGAGTGTGGGTGGGAACCAGAAGCGTTGGGCAGACCCCAGCCCAGGCAGCAGGGCCATGCCAGGGGGCTACACCTGTAACAGGAGCGAGGGCAGAGCTCTGGAACAGGACTTCGGGTTAAGTCCCAGCTCCAGCACCTGCACCTGTGGGACCTCAGAGAGACACTCAGCCTCTCTGAGCTTGTTTCCTTATTCGAAAAGCATAGCTTCCAAGAATCTCATTTCCAGGCCTCCCTGTGAAGTTTGCATGTGCTCTTGCCTGTGCCTTACTTACAGGCCGTGCGCTGTCCATGAGCCCCAGTGGGGTTGTGGTTATTGCTCGTAGGAGGCCGTGGGCAAGGCCAGAAGCCTGGAGGCCCTGTGAGGATCACGGCCTCATGAATCAGGTAGGAAGCTGCTGGAGAGAGAGATCTCAGAGTGTAAGGTGCACAAATATAGAACTGAAGGCATCGGCCGGGTGCGGTGGCTCACGCTTATAATCCCAACACTTTGGGAGGCTGAGGCAGGCGGATCACTTGAGGTTAGGAGTTCAAAACCAGACTGGCCAACATGGTGAAACCCCCGTCTCTACTAAAAATACAAAAATTAGCCAGGCGTGGTGGCAGGCGCCTGTAATCCCAGCTACTCGAGAGGCTGAGGCAGGAGAATTGCTTGAACCCGGAAGGCGGAGGCTGCAGGGAGCCGAGCCTGTCCTGCACTCTGTCACTGCACTGCAGCCTGGGTGATGGAGTGATACTCCATCCCAAAAAAGGAAAAGAACTGAGGGCATTAAAATGGCCTTTCCTGTCATGGGTCTTTCCTGGCCCAGCACAGCCCCACGGTGGCTCTCAGCCAAAAAATGACCTGGATCCGGGCTTTCCAGGACGTCCCCTGGCTCCTGCCTCATTCGTCTTCCCTCTGCTGGGGCTGCTCTGCTTGTCACCTCTGGTTAGATTTTTAAAATCCTGCCCACTCCCCACCACGAGGCCCCCAGGGTGGAACAGGCCTCACCAAGCGGCCAGCTGTCCTGTGGTTCACAAAGCAGCTTAAAACTCCAGTAATAGATGGCCTCGTCCAGGCCCGAGAATGTGACTCAGAAGAAAAATGAAGCTGGGTGTGAATGGCATTCAAGTGAGGGAAAGGCGGCCCGTCACCCAGCACTGTTCCCAGCAGCCTTGCCTCTGTCACTGGGCAGGAGTCACCCTCATGTAATGACGGTGCTCACCTTTCCCACCCTGCCTCCCCAGCCTCCAGGTGAAGCCATCCCAGGAGCTTGAGCACCTTGTGCTATATTGTCACCACCCTCCCGAGGGCGCCATAGAGGCCACACCAGACTATGCTGGCAGGACACGGCCACCACAGCCGGCATTTAATAAACGAGCTTTGGGCTGCCTCTGTGGCTGCAGCTTCTGACTGTAAGATTTCAATCTTCTTGATTGAATAAGTAAATGAATGAATTCATTCATTCGATAAATATTTGTTAAACTCCTGGTAAGTGTCAGTCCGTGAGCTCAAAGCTGAGCAAATAAAGGAGGGAAGGAGAACCAGTCTCCGTGCTTGGAGCCAACCCTCATGCCGATCACAATGAAGACGTCTGGCATTTTCCAGCAGCTGTTCCTTCTCCCTCCCCACCGCTGGGAGGCCCAAGGGCTCCGTGGACACAGGGCAGTCTCCGGCCAGGGTGGCTGGCCTCCACCACCAGGCATTCCTGGGCTCTGGAATAGAGACTCACATGGCCTCGGGGACAGCCACCACCCGGCAAATGAGCCTGCAGGATTTTTACCCAAAAAGAGCTGGTTGCTTTGCGGTTCATCGCAGCTTCCCCAGGGAGCTCAGGGCAGGGAGAGCCCTGAGCATCACTAGGTGTACCCTGTGCCCCGCTGATGGGCATGCAGAGACCCAGGATGGGGAGGGACTTGCCCAAGGTCACTCGGGAGTGAGGGGAAGGCTCTGGAACTCCCAGGCCTTGTCAGAACAAGGAATGCAGGGCTCGGGCCAGAAGGTCAGTGGGAAGCCCTGGGAGCTGCCTTTGAGGGTCTCCCATTTGGGCAGGAGACTGTGCTGGCGTGTCCACGGGGCCTGTCCTGCCCCCAGCATCCAGTGTTTGGCACCAAGCTCCGTCCCTGCTGCTGGCTGTGAGGCTGTGTGGCCTCCTCTGTGTGTTTATCTAAGGGGTGTTGCCCCTAGGAGCTTCTGTGTTCTCACGGGCAGGACCCAGAACCCCCTCCTCTTGTTCTGGGGAATTTCTCCACTCCAAAGGGAACTCTCTGGATTACAAGACACTAAAGACAAAGGGCCGTCTGAGGCCCCTTCTCCAACTGGCTGGAGTGGGCTTTGGGCACACATGGCCTTGGAACAGCCCATTGGGCGGCCTCTGTGAAATTCCCTAGAAATGATGAGACTTCCCTGCGCCCAGTCCCCACCCCGCACGGGGAGTTCACACCAATTGTTCTTCCCCGGGGACTCCTGCCAACCAGGGAACGTGACAGTTCACAGTGAGGGGCCCGAGGCTGTGGGCAGCAGGTCCCGCTGGGGACTCTGGGCAGGATGCCACCTTCAGATGCTGCCGTGGCCACAGCATTCGTGCCAGACCAGCAAGGGTGTCCTGGACACTGCCCAGATGCTGACCCCGTCATCAAAGCAGACACTGGACACTGCCCAGGTGCCGACCCCACCATCGAAGCAGACACTACCTTGTCCCCTCCCGCCCCCCAGCAAGAAGACGCCAAGCCCTGAGAGATTTGCCTGTGCTCAGCACTGTGTGGAGGAGCGGCATGTTTTCGTGGGCACAGAGACAGCTCTGGTGAGGATGTAAAATAGCGCAACTGCCACGGAAAGCAGTCTGGCAGTTCCTCAAACAGTTTAACCTAGAGTTATCACATTTTGTGCTCCCCGCCACACTGGATATCTACCCAAGGAAATGGAAAACATCTGTCCATATAAAAGCTTGCACGTGAATGTTCACAGAAGCCATGTTCACAATAGCCAAAAGGTGGAAGCAACCCAAATGCCCATCAAATGATAAATGGTTAAACAAAACATGGTCTATCCATGTGATGGAATATTACTCAGCCATGAAAAGGAACGGATCCTGACACATGCTACAATGTGCATGAACCTTGAAAATATGATGCTGGGTAAAAGAAGCCAAACCAAAGACAAATATTGCATGATTCAACTTGTATGAAATGCCCGAATCATAGACACAGAAAACCCGAGTGCTGAGGGATGGAAGGATTGGGGATTGACAGGTAGGGGTTCAGGAGTGATGAAAATGTTCCAAAACTGACTGTGGTGATGGCTGCACAACCCCATGAATCCACGAACTGCTCTTTAAAAAAACTTTAAATGGATGAATTGTATGGTATGTGAATTGTATTTCAATAAAACAGTTAAAAACAAAAGTTAATGGAAGGCAAGAATGTAGAACAACTGGAACTCTCCGATACAACTAGAGGGTCTTTACTTGCAGGACTTCGTAGAACTGGCAACATCTATGAAAGCTGACCACACACAGCCCATGACTTCAGGTCTCACTCCCAGGACTCAACAGATGTGAGTGCATTTGTCCACCAAGAGGCATATGCAAGAATATTCACAGCAGCATGAATGGTGTCAGCCCTAACCTGGGAGCAACCCACACAAATGAATACACTGATTTGCTCTATTTGTACCATGGAATATCAGGGAATACTATGCAGCAACGAACATGAATGAGCTAAAACAGCATACAACAGCGTGCATGACTTGCACAAACGTGGCAATGGGTGAAAGAAGCCAGGCACACAGAAAGCACATGCTGTCTAATTTCACTTATGGAAATCTCAGAGATAAATCTCTTTTTTTTTTTTTTTTTTGAGACAGAGTCTCACTCTGTCACCCAGGCTGGAGTGCAGTGGTGCAATCTCGGCTCACTGCAAGCTCCGCCTCCCGGGTTCACGCCATTCTCCTGCCTCAGCCTCCAGAGTAGCTGGGACTACAGGCGCCCACGACCACGCCCGGCAAATTTTTTGTATTTTTAGTAGAGACGGGGTTTCACCGTGTTAGCCAGGATGGTCTCGATCTCCTGACCTCGTGATCTGCCCGCCTCGGCCTCCCAAAGTGCTGGGATTACAGGCGTGAGCCACTGTGCCCAGCCTTTTTTTTTCTTTTTTTTTTTTTTTAAGATGAAGTTTTGCTCTGTCGCCAAGGCTGGAGTGCAGAGGCTTAATCTCGGCTCACTGCAACCTCCACCTCCCAGGTTCAAGCAATTCTCTTGCCTCAGCCTCCCAAGTAGCTGGAATTACAGGGACATACAACCACACTCAGCTAATTTTTGTATTTTTGGTAGAGACAGGGTTTCACGATGTTGGCCAGGCTGGTCTCCAACTCCTGACCTCAAGTGATCCATCCACCTCGGCCTCCCAAAGTGTTGGGATTACAAGTGTGAGCAGCTGAGCCCGGCCTAATCTCAGAGATAAAGCTGATTAATGGTCAGATTACTGGTTACTGTCAGGGAGTGGACAGTCTAGGAGGGGACATGAAAGGGGCTTCTGGGGGGTGGTAATGCTCTATTTCTTGACCTGGGTGCTGTTACATGGCTGTGTTTACCCTGTGAAAATTCAGCTCATGGCGCATGTATGACTCATGAGATTTTCGCATGTATGCCACACTTCCATTAAAACTCTACTAGTAGACGGCCGGGCGCGGTGGCTCACGCCTGTAATCCCAGCACTATGGGAGGCTGAGGCGGGTGGATCACGAGGCCAGGAGATTGAGACCATCCTGACTAACACGGTGAAACCCCGTCCCTACTAAAAATACAAAAAATTAGCCGGGCATGGTGGCAGGCATCTGTAGTCCCAGCTACTGGGGAGGCTGAGGCAGGAGAATGGCGTGAACCCAGGAGGCGGGGCCTGCAGTGAGCCGAGATCACGCCACTGCACTCCAGCCTGGGCGACAGAGCGAGACTCTGTCTCAAAAAAAAAAAAAAAGCAAAAAAACCCAACTCTACCAGTAGAAATATATTGGCCGGACGCGGTGGCTCATGCCTGTCATCCCAACACTTTGGGAGGCTGAGGCAGGTGGATCACGAGGTCAGAAGTTCGAGACCAGCCTGACCAACATGGTGAAACCCCGTCTTTACTAAAAATACAAAAAATTAGTTGGGTGTGGTGGCACACACCTGTAATCCCAGCTATTCAGGAGGCTGAAGCAGAAGGATCATTTGAACCCAAGAGGCGGAAGTTGCAGCGAGCCAAGATTGCGCCACTGCGCTCCAGCCTGGGCGGCAGAGCAAGACTCCGTCTCAAAAAAAATAAAAAATAAAAAGAAATACGTTTTGGCAGTTAATGAAAGAAAACATCCCAATGTCCTTCAATGGATGAGCAGATGAGCAGATAAGCTGTGGTCTCTCCATACAATGGAATAGGATTCAGCTGTAAGAAGGAACAAAGCATCAACACGCTACATCATGGATGGGCCCTGAAAACGCGTGCAAAGAGAAAAAAGCCACACACACAAACTCACACAGCGTGATTCCACTTACACGAAACCTCCAGCACAGGTAAAAGCCGACGAGGGGTGGTCAAGGAAGCGAGGGGACAGGGAGGGACTGCTCATGGGGACAGAGCTTCTGTGAGGGATGATGAGAAGTTCTGGAATTAAATACTGGTAACGGTGGCAACAACTCTGTGAACGCACAAATGCACACGTTAAAATACGAAAAATGGTGAAGTTCCTATTTAAGAAGAAGTTAACGCAGTGCCCAGCGGATAGCCCAGTATAAGAAGGGCCCAGACCCCTCATGGACAGGCCGCTCTTGACAACACCTCGGTGTGTATTTTTATTTGGGGTCTTCACTGTCTGCCAGGCTCTAGGATAAGCCTCTTTCCTACTGCCTTAGTCCATGTTCTGTCGCTTATAATAGAATACCTGAAACTGGGAAATTTACAAAACAAAGGAATTTATTTCTTACAGTTATGGAGTCTGAGAAGTTCAAGGTTGGGGGGAGCCTTCTTGCCGGTGGGAGCCCTCTGTGGCACCCCGAGGTGGCGCAGAGCATCCCCTGGTGCAGGGACTGAGTGTGCAAGCTCAGGTCTTTCGAAGCAACAGTCCGCTTCCATGAGAACCCACTCCTCTATTAACCCATTAACCCAGGAATGGCACAGTCCTCACGACCCAATCACCTCTTAAAGGCCCCACCTCTCAACACAGCTGCACTGGGAATTAAGTTTCAACATGCAAGGCTGGGCGCGGTGGCTCACACCTGTAATCCCAGCACTTTGGGAGGCCGAGGTGGGTATCCACCTGAGTTCGGGAGTTCGAGGCTAGCCTGACCAATATGGAGAAACCCCGTCTCTACTGAAAATACAAAAAAATTAGCCGGATGTGGTGGTGCATGCCTGTAATCCCAGCTACTCGGGAGGCTGAGGCAGGAGAATCGCTTGAACCCAGGAGGTGGAGGTTGTGGTGAGCTGAGATCATGCCATTGCACTCCGGCCTGGGCAACAAGAGTGAAACTCCGTCTCAAAAAAAACAAAAACAAAAAAAAAGTTTCAACATGCGTTTCAGAGGGGACAAACATTCAAACCTCAGCACCTACAATCTCTCGTTTCATTCTTGACACTGTCCTGGAGGCATTGCTGTCACCACCCTCATTTTACAGAGGAGGAGTCAGATGCCCAAAGAAGCCAAGCTTCCTGTCCAGTCACAGAGGGCAGAGCCAGACTTGAACCATTCTGCCAAAGGCCACACTTTAGCTGGGCTGCTGCCGCTCTTGGTCTATACAGATGCCCGGCTTCCTACCACCGATGGGAGATCAGGACTAGGGTTCCTCAATCCACAGCTCACCTGGAGTGGCGGCAGGGTGAGCCACTTGCTGACAGGTAGCAAGAAGATGGGTGGATTGTACGGCCCCCGGCAGAACACCACCTCCCCACCAAAGCCTTCCCCTGAGGGGAGGGACAGGGAGGAAGGCGGGACTTGAGCCAATTCCTTAAAATAAATGCCCCTACACACACACGCACACACACACACACACACGCACAACGATGAGGATGCCGATGGCCGTGGCAGCATTTAGTTCATGTACAGCCCTCTACACCCCAGGCCTGCGGCAGACAGTTCCTGCCTCCTTCCCTTTGATTCCCACAGCAGCCTTGAAGCAGGTCCTAGTGTTTTCTCCATTTATAGTTGAGGATACTGAGGCCCAGGGAGGCTCAGCCTGCCATGCAGAGTGGGGATTCCAGCCAGACTTGGACTCCAGAGCCCCCATGCGACACCACTTGCCAACAGGTAACCTGGGTCCCAAGTACTCCCCTGCGATGGCAAGGTGGGGTCAGCACGGCAAGCCTTGGAACCCTCCCCAGGTGGCAGGTTACATAATGAGAGAGAAGTCAAGCTGCAGGCTCAAGGTCAATGTCGAAAAACAAAACTCTCCATAATTCCCCAGGAGGTGGTGGTAGGTGTTCAGAGGCCACCACCTGTGAGGACCAAGCTGGCACACTTCCGGAGAGGCCACCAGCATTCTGGCCGGAACTGGAGATGCCCCGCAGGGCTGGGCACGACTGCGTGCGGAAGCAGCGGGCAGGAGTCAAGCTGGCCCTGGCCTGGACTAGTCTCCTCCAGCAGGGAGCAGGTAGGAGCCCAGGACTAAGGTCATAGTAAGAGGCGGCCACCCGGGCAGGTGCTAGCCACGGGCCACAGGGAGCTTTTTCAGATCCGGGTTCACGCTCACGAACGAGGAACCTGCCCTAACAGAAGCAGGCCTTGCCTGGCCCCGGGAGGGTTCATTTAGTCATTCAACAAGTAGTTACTGGGTGTTGTGATGGTCAATTTTATGCATCACATTGGGTGGGCGATGGCGCCCACAAGTTTGTCAAATGTTATTCTGGATGTTTCCATGAGGGTGTTTTGGAATGAGAGGAACATTTTGATCGGCGGACTTCCAGTAAAGCAGGCTGCCCTCCAGAACATCGGCTTCTTCCAGTCAGTGGAACAAAAAACACAGAGCAAAAAAACTGATATTCCCCAAGCAAGAAGGAATTCTGCCAGCAGACGACCCGGGACTTGAGCTGCAACATCAATGCTTCCCCAGGTTGTCAGCCTGGTGGCCCACCCTGCAGACTGTGGACTTGTCAGCCTCCACAATCACTTGAGCCAATTCCTTAAAATAAATGCCTCTACACACACACACACACACACACACACAAATGCACACACACGCACGTGCACACACGCACACACCCCAACACATACACGCATGTGCACACACACAAATGCACACACACGCACGTCCACACACACACCCACACCCACACACACACATGCATGTGCACACACCCCAACACACACACAATCCACACACATGCACGTGCACACACCCCAACACACACGCACACACATGTACATACACGCACGTGCACACACGCACATTCCAACACACGCACGCACGTGCACACACGCACACACCACAACACACGCAGTGCACACCCACACACCCCAATGCGCACACACGCACACACCCCAACACACACGCACACACACAAATGCACACACACGCACGCGCACACACCCCAACACCCATGCGCACACACATGCAGGTGCACACATGCACACACCCCAACACAAATGCACACACACGCACACACCCCAACACAAGCACGCACACAGGCACACACGCACGTGCACACCACGTGCACACACGCACACACCCCAACACACGCACACAAATGCACATACATGCACGTGCACACAAGCACACACCCAACACACACAAATGCGCACACACGCATGTGCACACACGCACACACCCCAACACACGCACACACAAATGCACACACATGCCCGTGCACACACGCACACACCCCAACACACGCGCACACACACGCATGTGCACACACACACCCCAACACACACGCACACACAAATGTGCACACGCACACACCCCAGCACACACATGAACACACACGCATGTGCGCACACGCACACACCCCAACACACACGCGCACACACAAATGCACACGCATGTGCACACATGCACACACACAAATGCACACACATGCATGTGCACACACGCACACACCGCAACACACCCACTCTTTTGGTTCTGTTTCTCTGGAGAACCCCAATAGAGACACCTACTCCCTGAAAGGGCTGGAACTCAGAGGGTCACCCAGCCCCTACAGCCTCAGTCTGCCCTGTCTGTTAAAGGCGGGTAACAGCACCAGACCTTCAATACGCTGCAAGACCAAACAGGACAGGCCAAGTGTGGTGGCTCATGCCTGTAATCCCAGCACTTTAGGAGGCTGAGGTGGGCGAATCACTTCAGGTCAGGAGCTTGAGACCAGCCTAGCCAAAATGGTGAAACACCGTCTCTACTTAAAAAACACAAAAAGTAGCCAGGCGTGGTGGCACGTGCCTGTAATCCCAGCTACTCAGGAGGCTGAGGCAGGAGAATTGCTTGAACCCAGGAGGCAGAGGTTGCAGTCAGCCAAGATTGCTCCATTGCATTCCAGCCTGGGTGACAGAGCAAGACTCTGTCTCAAAACAAACAAACAAACAAACAAACAGGACAGAGCAGCTGCAAAGGCTTTGTGGGCCCGGGAGGCCAAGGCTGTCTGCCAGGTGCAGGGTCCTCCGGAAGCGCTGTGTGACCTAGACCACGGGACTGCACCTCTCTGGGCTTGCATTTCCTTGTCTGTGAAATGGGGTGGTGATAGTTTGACCTCATGGGTAGCGATCCTCCAGTGAGGACCAAACAGAACCGAATGTGTGCAGCAGGTGTAGAGGTGTGCCCACCCATAGAGGTGCCCAAGAAACTGCATCTGGATATAAATCTGTAGTTAGTCAAGCCAGGGACTTTCTGCATCCCAATCACCTGGGAGCTTGTCTAAAAATGCAGGTTGAGGCCAGGCACAGTGGCTCATGTCTGTAATCCCAGCACTTTGGGAAGCCGAGGCGGATGGATCACCTGAGGTCAGGAGTTTGATACCAACCTGACCAACATGGAGAAACCCCGTCGCTACTAAAAATACAAAATTAGCCGGGCGTGGTGGCGCATGCCTGTAATCCCAGCTACTTGGGAGGCTGAGGCAGGAGAATCGCTTGAAGCTGGGAAGTGGAGGTTGCAGTGAGCTGAGATCACACCTTTGCACTCCAGCCTGGGCAATAAGAGCGAAACTCCGAATCAAAAAAAAAAAAAAAAAAAATGCAGGTTGCTGAGCTCCTTCTGACCCACCAGGTTTCAGTCTCTGGGTAACAGAGCCCGGGATCTGCATCTGAAGCACATCTCCGGCTGACCAAGAGGCATTTTTTACAGAGGGGCAGCTAGGACCCTGCATGCAGACAGGGCTGTGCTCTCTCTAAATGCGCAGCAGCAGGCCTCCAACCTGGGCCGAGCTGAGTTGGGCTGGCGCTGAGTTCTCGGCCACAAACAAACATTGCCTGATAATGAGCTACCTCATTACTTCCCAGACTGGCACCCCCCTCTGCCACCATCTGCCATCTCACCTGTCACCTGGCACGGCCCCCATCCTCCCGCCAGCAGGAAGCAGGGCCCTGCTGCCTCGAACCTCCTTCCACCAAGTCGTGCCTGCCTCTGCTCCCACAGGGGGCGGGGGGGGGGGGGGGTCCTGCACCCAGGCCGTGCCACAGACATGAGCTGGGGGTGCGGATGAGGGGACAAGCAGTTGGCTCCCCTGGGCACGTTCTCACTTGGTTCCTTGGCTGATGCTGAATCTATTAGGCAGGGAACTGGGTTACAGAGTGCAAATTTCCTGAGGTGCAAAGGTGCCAGCCCCAGCTCCATGCTCACTTCCTACAGAGCTCCAGCTCTGTCCAGCGCACCAGGGTGCCGCTGAGAAATGACCTTCTCTGTGCCTGGCAGGGCCATGTGCCCAGCGCTGCCAGTGAGACCTGCAGGTCAGTTCAGGGGCTTCTGGAAAAGCCTTTCCCTCGGCTGTACCGTACACTGCTCTCCCTCCAGCCTGGTACACCTCGTGACCTTGGCGGTGGAGCCACCGTCTTGCAGTCAAGAGGACAGGAGTGGGTGAGGTTGCTGTTCCAGTGGAGCTGCTGCCTGGCTAGGACTGCCTGTGCCTGGATGCCACCCATCCCGGGACGAAACCCTCGCCTTAGCGCACTGAGCCCTGTGTCTGGTTCTGTGGCCCAATGCCACACGCAGCCCCGGCTGGCTCAGGAATAAAGTGAAAATAAAGTGAGACATGTCCCTCACAGCCCTGTCCCGCTCCCAGCTTCCTAGAGGCAAGCAATGTGACCACTTTCTTGGGGTCTTTCCAGAAATTCTGGATGAGTAGATAACCACATGATTGTATGTTGTTTTGCTTTTGAGCCCAAATGGTGGCATAGAGCATGCAGACCATGCTGTCTGCCCTCGTACCTTCTACCAGACGATGCACCTAGATGTCCTCCACAGGGCCGTTACACTGGCTGCGCATCACTGCGCGGTGTCAGTCACCTTAATCGGTTTAACCCGTCCCCTGCCGATGGTCGTTTCCAATCCTTAGGAGCAAACGCTTTGGCAATGATTTTTAAAGGTACTATTTGGACAGATGTTGACGAAAGATGAAGGCGCCCTGTGAAAACCAGGCTCTGAGGCTCAGCCAGAAGGCCAGCAAGGAGGCGTCCCTTCTGATTTCCTTCTCCAACCAGGGCTGGGCTCGGCCCTTCCCAAGCGTAGACCCACCCCAGGATTGGCCCCACCCTCTGGACCTCCCTTAGCTCCCAAAGGCCTGGCCCCACCCCTACTTGGCCCTGCCCAAGGGACAACTGGCTCCTCCCTCAAGCATGGCCCCACCTCCAGGAGTCCTGGCCCCACCCAAAGGCCTAGCCCTGCCCCTTGAGGTCTGGCTTCTCCTCCAGGCCTAGCTCCAGCCCCAAGATCCTGGCACCTACTCCGGTCCTAGCCCCACCCCTAGGAGACGGGGTTCCACCCCAAGGAGATCTGGTTCCTCCCACAGTCATGGCCTCATCCCCAAGCAAAGCACCACCCCAGGAGGCCTGGCCCCACCCCTTGAGGTCTGGCTGCTGCTCCAGGCTTGGCCCCATCCCCAGGAGACCTAGTTCCACCTCAGGGAAATCTGGATTCTCCCCTCAGTTATGGCCCCAACCCCAGGGGACGTGGGTTCTCTGCAGGAGCCTGGCTCCGCCCCCAGGCCTAGCTCCACCCTAGGAAGCCTGGCTCCACCCCCAGGAGACCTCGTTCCACCCCCAGGAGATATGGCTCCTCCCCCAGTCATGGCCCCACCCCGGGAGGTCTGGCTCCTCCTCCAAAACCCTGGCTCCGCCCCCAGGCTCTTTCTCCCTCACTGGGTCCAGCCCCCACGGCCTAGTTCCCGGGCTGCTGAAACTGCCTGCCTGCTAGTCTTTTCGTCCCCACTCCTGCCCCCTTCTCACTCCCCATCCATGCCACTCACTCTTCTTAAAACCCTCCAGGGGCATTGCGCCCCTGGGGTGAGGACCAAGCCCCAAGACTGGTTCTGGGGCTTTGGGATACTTGCCTCCCTGGCTTTTCTGTGACTACACACATGCTGCTTCCAACCCCGCCCCTGCTGCGCCCTGCTGCCCAGGGCGCCTCTACCCTGCAGACCCTGCTTCCAACGGCAGGCCTCTTCTATTGCCCGGCGCCCCCCTCCTCTGCAGAGCTTAGAATTCTAAGAGCTGACGACGTCCACCGCACGCTCGCATTTTGCTTGGCACGTTTCCTGGCATTGTCCGTCTCACTTAATCCTCAAACCGCTTAGGGAAGTCAGACCATTGTTACTCTCGCCCCAGAAGAGGAGACAGGGGCTGTTTGCATCCATGTCCCCTGGGCCCAGCACATGGGGTTTTGTTAGTTGAAAGAATGCGTAAATGGGGTGGGCAAAAGAAGAAAAAGAGGCAAAGACGATTCCAGTTTCCATGGCAATGGAAAGGCTACAGGACCATGAACAGAGGGGACTGAGGAGGGAGGTGCCCTGGGGAGCAGGATCAACCCTGGAATTTCAAGGTCCAAGGGACCGTAGGTTTCCTCTAATCCAGATGTTCTCTCCTGGGGTCAAGTTCACCCCCAGGGAACATTTGGTGATGACGGGAGGCATTTTTGGTTTTCATTTTGCTTAGGGGGTGGGTGCTACTGGCATATA
The DNA here is from genome assembly GCF_000001405.40 of Homo sapiens. Lineage (NCBI taxonomy): Eukaryota > Metazoa > Chordata > Mammalia > Primates > Hominidae > Homo > Homo sapiens. The sequence continues at coordinate 87,559,735 of NC_000016.10, read as the reverse complement.
ATGGATTGAGACCAGAACTATTGCAGGATGCCCTGCGGTGCACAGGTCAGCCTCCATAACAGAGTTATCCAGCCCAAAATATCAACAGCGCAGAAGTTGAGAAGCCCTGATGTAGTTTAACCCTGTTCTGGGTTAAATTTTCTCTACAACATTCTCCCACCCCCACCAGAGCTTCTTTCAGTCTTTGCTTAATCACTTCCAGTGATGGCGAGCTCACTACCTCTACAGGCAGCTGGTCCAAGGTGATGAGCTTGCACCAGTGCCAGAGCTGGTGAGACACCCAGGGGAAGTTAAGCAAAAGCCTCAACAGCCAGACAAGCAAGTGCTTGGCTGTCACTGAAGGGCTTCAGGAGGAGCAACCCCTCCCCGCCATCCCGCCCCACCACACACACACCCCCCAACTTCAGGCTGTCCTTAGATTCTCCTCCATAGAGGGGTCTCCAGAAACCAGGGGCCCGGGAGGAGTTCAGAGGGTCCTGTTAGTTCTTGCCCTAGGATATCTCAGCCTGGAGCGGCAGGGTGGGAGTAGGGAGAGGCAAGAAGGAGGCAGGACTTGGCCACCTTAATTTCTAGAAGTAAAATTAAGTTTCTGAAATATGAAAGCCTGATTAATGATTTGCATGTGGAAGTATTTAGGGGGAAATGTATGTATTCTGAAACCCATCGAAAAATAGAATGGATGGGTAGATGGAGTAATGGGTGGATGGGTGGATGAGTAGATGAATAGATGGATGGGTGAATGAATGCGTGGGTGGGTAGGTGGATGGGTGAATGGATGGATGAGTAGATGGATGGATGGGTGAATGATGGGCAGGTGAATAGGTGAATGGATGGATGGATGGATGGATGAATTGATGGGTGGGTGGGTGGAGGAATGGGTGGATGGATGGGTAGATGGATGAATGGATGGATAACTGGATGGATGGGTGAATGGATGGATGGGTGAATGGATGAATTGATGAGTGGGTGGGTGGAGGAATGGGTGGATGGCTGGCTGGCTGGCTGGATGGATGGATAGGTGGATGGATGGACGGATGGATGAATGGGTGAGTGAATGGTCTAATGGTTGGATGGGTGGGTGAATAAATGCACAGATATGTGATCAAGCAAATATGGAATATTTTTTCTTGTTGTATGATGAAGCCTATGTCACAGATAAGGAAACAAGGGCCAGAAAGGTTAGGGGAATCACTCAAGGTCACCCAGCTAGTGAATCATGGGGCCAGGATTTGCACCTGGACTGGTTTTGCAGAGCCATTTCTGCACACCCCTCTGGAACTCACCTCTCCCATTGGTAGTTATTGAGGGGCATGGCTGCTCCAGGGTTTATATGGGAGAATCGTCCCGGCAGCAGCCTCACCAGAAGGGTTTGTCTTGAGGCTGCATTTGCAGGGCACTCTGTACAACAGCCTCGATGGTACCAATGGGAATAGTGAGATGGGAACAGGTTAAAGGTGTAAACTTAGGGAAATCAGATGCTGTTCCTGACCAAGAGCTCCTTTAGATGCCAGAACAAGAGCAGTGCGTGGAGACAGGCAGGCCCTGCCCTCATGGAAGTGGCACTCTATTTTCCACCTCCTCATTATTATTTTACCAGCAGGTTCTAAAGCAAGGGTTCTTAACCCTTTTCATGCCATGGATCCTTTTGCCATTCCATTGAAGCCTGTGGATCCCTGCCCAGAATAATGTTTTAAATGCATAAATAAATGCATAGACTATAATCAAAGCCAGTTACGTATATAGCTCTAGATGAGATTCAGTGATAGGGGTTTCTTTATAGCACATTAAATAACCAGCTCTAACCTTCCCATCTCCTCTGCTAGAGGTGGGCCTCTGTGGGGCGGTCAGCTGCTGTGGAATCCTGCAATTCTGGTTTAGTGCATTAACCCCAAGGGGTCAGATGGACCTGGGTTCGAATAGCAGTTCACAAGCCGGGGACCCTGAGTAATGACATCCCCCAGCCTGGCTTTTCTCATCTGTAAAGTGGGGGTGATCACGGTGCCTGCCTGGAAGAGGAGGTAAAGACAGTGCTGCTATGAGATGTCTGTCTGGACACTAGCTGCGGGGTCCCTATCGAGGTCTCTGTGAACAGCAAAGTCACAGCTGACTGATCCCCCTGAGTCCAGGATCTGTGTGTGTGAGTTAAAGGTTGGTGAAAACAAACATATAAATTTTTCTTGCTAGGTTCATGGGCCCCCAAAGTCCTCCATGAGTCCCACGGAAATCCCTGCCCCTGGGGGAATCAGACATCCACTGCCTGCACCAGCAGACACTCTTGGCCTGTCCTTGTCCTCCAAGCAGTGGGAACTTTTAAACCTCTTGAGCCCAAGTGACTGCAAGAATGTCCAGGCTGTTAGAGGGCAATGACACCCGCCCCTCCCAACCCCCACGGGCCAGCAGGCTGATGTTTTGCTTTCTGTTCAGCCTGGAAGGGAAGAAGGGTCAGCCCTGAGCCGAGGACAGGCCTGTCAGGGTCCCTCAGACCTTGAGCTGGCAGCTGGGGAGAAGCGAGGCTGTTTTTGTGCCTGCTGAGTCCCTGGGGCCAGCCAGCCAGGAAGGCCACCCAGGGCCAGGCCCCTCTACTCACCAGCCAGACAGCTGTTTTCTTGAAAGTCCTGGCAGGATGGAAAAGCTCTGGCCTGGCCGGGAAGTGGAGACATTACCCAGCTGAGTGATCCCAGCTGTGGCTGGGGCCCTAGGCGTCTCTGATGTGGTCCGAGGCTGGGTGTCTGCCTTACCCATGGGGGAAGGAGTGTTGCCCACTCACCTCCCTGCCCCTGGGGCCCTGGCATCCAGCCCTGCTGCTCCTGCCCGGGCCAGAGGGGAAAATCGAGGGCACTCGGGTAGGGGAACAACCAGGCAAATGGCAGGGGCCGTCCAGATTCCTGGGCGGGGAGGAGATTTTGCTGACCAGAGAGGAGCGGCCCTTCTGAGGAGACGCAAGCCTCGCGCAGCCTGTGCCACCGGAGTTTAGCAGGGTTCAAAGCCTGTTACTGGCTGAGCGGTAGGGGGCCACTCCTGTAACCTCTAGCATCCTTTCGGTGGGGATCGTAGGGCATTCAGTCCTAAGAGCGAGCAGGTGCGACAGAACCCGCATGGGGTTGGGGAGAAAAGTGCGCCAGCGCTAATTAACAACAGTTGCCCTCTGGGCCCCGGCTTCCCCCATTGTAAACTGGGAAAGCCGGCCTCTAGAACTGACCTGACCCCTCCCTCTGCCCTGGAAACAGAGCCCAGCCTCCTCCTTGTCCAATCATTGAGCCTCCTGTTCTCCTTTAAAAGCTCATTTGGGATCAGGTGCAGTGACTCACACCTGTAACCCCAGCACTTTGGGAGGCCGAGGCGGGAGGATCGCTTGAGTCCAAGAGTTCAAGCCTGAGCAACATGGCAAAACTCCATCTCTACAAAAAATACAAAAAGTAGCCGGGCATGGTGGTGCATGCCTGTGGTCCCAGCTACTTGGGAGACTGAGATGGGACGATCGCTTGAGCCCAGGAGGTCAAGGTTGCAATGAGCTGAGATTGAGCCACAACACTCCAGCCTAGGAGACAGAGCGAGACCCTGTCTCAAAAAACAAAAACAAAAACAAAAACAAAAAAAGCACTGTTTGGTTTAGTTTTGTGCATGGAATGTGGAGAAAGAACAAGAGCATCACCCCCCACGTGGCCTCCACCCCATCGAAGTCCAACTCCTCTGATCCATCCCAGGTGGGGCTGCTTCCCCTCACACACATCCTCACTCATCATCACACCAAACAGACACTCACAGCGGGCACCGGACTGCGTTTCCCACCTCATGTTGTTCCATTAGGCACCAGTGCACGTTACGCTGTCATTCTCGTAAACGCTGCTTGTCCTTGCAACATTATTTATTTATTTTATTTATTTATTTATTGCTAAATAGCTGTTTCTCTCATTGTGAGAGCCGTACATACTCATTGCAAAATATTCAGAAGATCGAAAGTGTAACGAGAGGAGGGAGGGCAGGAAGCCGCCATCGTCTCATGACCCAGGAATCATCACCGCGAGCCCCGTGGTGCGTGGATTGCCAGATCGTGATTTTCAAAACTCTCCACATAAATGTATTGATTGATTGATTTCCAAATTTAAGATCATACCTACAGATCTGCTTGCCGCTATATATATTTTTACATCATATGCATGGGTATGCACAAGTATAAGCATACACTGATATATATTCACACTATACATCTACGCATATAATGTTTTTATTTCATTTTATACTCGTACACTTCCACTGAGATTAGGACAGCGAGGATACTAAAATATGTCACCTTTAGAATTTGTGGACACACACGGGCATCTTTTCAGATGTGGCGCTGTCTTTCTGGCTTGCCCCTATGTGAGGCCTCTCCTGCTAGCCCCGCCTCATCCAATCTCCTCTCTTTTCCACCTGCCCCATGCTTTGGGCGCTGACCTACCCCACCCCACGGACTCTCTGCCTTTCAGTTGGATTTGCCCAACAGGAGACTGGGACAGAGCAGAGCGTGGGAGGAGAGCGGGGTGTGCCTACCCACTGTCTCCTCCTGGACGCTGGCGATGGGCGGGAGCCTCCTTCTCTTCTGAAAGCCTCATTTCTGTTTGGGCCTACGGGTGGTCCCAGCTTCCCTCTTTCCAGTCCTGTGCTGCTTCCTATCCTTCGACAACCTCCTTTCACCCCCTCCTCAACACACCTTGATAACCCGCCCCTTCACTAGGTCCTTGAACTTGCCCGTCTGTTTCTAATCTAGCCCTGTCACTGCATTCCGTTCTGTGCAAGTTCATCGGTTCATGTCACCCAGCCTCTACGGAGTGACCGTGAGTGGTTTCCGACTTTTCGCAATAATTGTGAAACCCCGTTACTCTTGTTTCTTCATGCTTGCCCTTGTGCCTGTCTTTGGGATAAATTCTGGGAAGTGAAATTGTGGGGTTCCAGGATAGGCACATTTTAACATTTCTAACCATCGCTGTCTCCTTTTTTAAACCATCTCTTTTGATGATCCCACAATATTCCATCTAGAGAAAACGGAATCATTTATTCTACCATCTCCTCTTGTTGGACGTGTAAGTTGCTTCCAATATTTTCTATTGTGAATAACACTATGATGAGCATCTTTACGTGTGAAGCTTCTTCTGTACCCAGGATTGCTTCCTGGCTGTGTAGTTTTGTTGAATCGGCTCAGAGAGGACACACGGGGACCTTTAAGGCAGTGTTTGATGGTTCATTTAAAACAATCATACTTGGCCGGGCGCGGTGGCTCATGCCTGTAATCCCAGCTCTTTGGGAGGCCGAGGCAGGCAGATCACCAGGTCAGGAGATTGAGACCATCCTGGCTAACACGGTGAAATCCCGTCTCTACTAAAAAAATAAAAAAAATGAGCCAGGCATGGTGGCAGGTGCCTGTGGTCCCAGCTACTCAGGAGGCTGAGGCAGAAGAATGGCGTGAACCCAGGAGGCGGAGCTTGCAGTGAGCTGAGATCACACCACTGCACTCCAGCCTGGGTGACAGAGCGAGACTCCATCTCAAAAACAAAAACAAAAACAAAAAACCATACTTGCCAAAGTTAAACTCTGACCGAGTGACAAAAACTAACAATTATAACTGCTTTATCTCTAGATGTCTATGTGTATTAGTCCGCGTGGGCTGCTATAATAAAAACTCCATGGACTGGGTGGCTTCTAAACAACAGAAATTTGTTTCTCACAGTTCTGGAGGCTGGGAAGTCCAAGATCAAGGCCCCGGGAGACTCGGTGTCTGGTGAGGGCTTGCTTCCTGGTTCACAGATGACGCCTTCTCACCGTGTCCTCACATGAAGGAAGAGGGGCATGAATCCCATTCACGAGGCTCCCTCTGGACCTCATCACCTACCACAGGCCTCATCTCGCGATGCCATCATTTTGAGTGTTAGGACTTCAACATAGGAATTTTGAGGGGGACACACTCAGCCCGTATCACTGTGCGTCCATTGGTATGAAGGCCATAGCACCTCCACTAGGAGAACAGCAAGCACAGTCGCACAGAAACATGTAACCTTAAAAAAATAAAGAAGCAGCCAGGCACAGTGGTTCACACCTGTAATTCCAGCACACTGGGAGGCCGAGGCGGGTGGATCATCCTAAGGTCAGGAGTTTGAGACCAGCCTGGCCAACAGGGCAAAACCGCGTCTCTCCTAAAAGTACAAAAATTAGCTGGGTATGGTGACGCCTGCCTGTAGTCCCAGGTACTTGAGAGGCTGAGGCAGGAGAATCTCTTGGACCTGGGAGGCGAAGGTTGCAGGGAGCTGACATCACGCTGCTGCACTCCAGCCTGGGTGACAGACCAAGACTCTGTCTCAAATAAATAAATAAATAAATAAATAAATAAATAAATAAATAAATAGTAAAATAAATAAATAAGCAACAAAGATCTAACCTAAGGCTTCCCCCAGAACTGCTGCTTCCACTCCCTTTCCTCCTACAAACAGAAGCTAAACGTGCTTGGCTGCTATGTTCCAGCCAGGCTAACAGCGCAGGGAGAGGCCTGGGCTCGGGGCCTCTGTAAGGTGTCCTCTCTCTCGTGGGGCTCCCGAGCCCTCTGTTCTGAGAACAGAACCCTTGCTGATTACAAGGGGTCTGTCATCCATCGCTCCTCTCGGCATGAATGAATTTCAGGACTCATTGAAAAAGTGAGTCACTGGCAGGGAATCTCTGACACGTGCTGCAGAAAACCTCGTGATCCAGCGTGCACCTTTCATTCCACCTGATTCAGAAATCCTCCTGCTGGATCCAACGCCTCCGAAGTGCTCATTTTCCCTCTGGAGCCTCAGAGCATCGTCTGTTATCTGACTCCAGCATTCCTCCAGTGGAAGCTTTGCTTTCTCTCAAACACGTGGGTGTTAGGTGGACTCTCTCCTCTCTGCCCCTGAGGAAATCTTGTCCCTCTAAGGAAATGCCAAGCCGGAGCCACATGCACATCTGGGATCTGATCCCGCCCCCCACTCCAGAGGACCCTGCTGACAGCCCCCCTAATCCAGGGCCGGGTCACTTCCCAATGGAAACCAAAGGGCGGGTCATCTCTGCATTCATTCATCCATCCTTTCCAGGAGCATTTGTATTTGTAATGTCGCACACCTTGTGCACCTACTCTATGCCACATACTTGACAGGCATTGTCCGGTCTCACCCGTACAACAGCCCTGTGAGCTAGGTATTATTAGCCCCTTGTACAGATGAGAAGACTGAGGCTCTGGGGTAAAGTCCGCCACTTATGCTTGAGAGTGGTGGAGGCAGGACTCCAGTGCTGACCCACATATGCGGAGCCCACTCTTTCTCACCATGCCTCGGCCTGGAGCACCTCCTCAGGCATGTCCTCAAAGCACCCACAGGCCAGGGAGGGGGAAGGACACCCGGCCAAGTGCCGTGAAGGTGCCGCCTGGAGGGCTATGTGCACAGCCGGGCATAGCACTGTGCCGAGTCGGGGTAGGAGCCGTCTGCTCCCAGCCCGAGCTGCCCACCTGGCCCAGGTGCAGCTACCGCCAAGCTGGGTCTCAGAACCACAGGGAGCCGGGAGCCAGCCCACTTCTCAGCCCTGCTGTAGCCAGACTCCTGTGGGGGCGCCCTGCCTCCTCCACTCTCCTGTGGTGTCCCTCTACCTGAGCCCCTGGGGCTGTGTAGACAAATGACCACACATTGCATGGCTTACAGCAGAAATGTACTCTCTTTCTCACAGTCCTGAGGCCAGAAGCCTGGAATCAAGGTGTGTGCTCCCTCTGAGGTCTCTAGGGGAGGACCCTTCCTGCACTGCAAAGTGGGGACAGTGATTGGCACCACAGGGGGTCCTGGGAGAGACTGACTAGGTGTGAGGGCGTCCTGCAGAGGCATTGGGGTCCCCCCATGCAGGCACCATGGCCAGACCTTGCCTGGTTTTATTGGAGAGGGTAGAGCCGTGTGTGGTGGCTCCAGGCATTGCTGGGCTTGTGGCTGCACTGCTCCAGTCTCCTCCTCCATCTTCACATGGCCTCTTCTATCTGTGCCTCTTTGCCTTTTATAGGGACACCTGGCATTGGACTTAGGGTCGCCCCTCCTCCAATATGGCCTCATCTTAACTAATTACATCAGCAATGACCTTATTTCCAAATAAGGTCACATTCCCAAGTACCAGCGGTTTTGACTTGAACATATCAATTTTTGTTTTTCTTTCGAGACAGGGTCTTGCTCTGTCACCCAGTCTGGAGTGCAGTGGCGAAATCTTGGCTCACTGCAGCCTCCACCTCCCAGGCTCAAGTGATCCTCCCGCCTCAGCCTCCCTAGTAACTGGGACTACAGGTGTGCCCCATCAAGCCTGGCTAATTTTTGTATGTTTGGTAAAGACGGGGTTTCGCCATGTTGGCCAGGCTGGTTTCAAACTCCTGAGCTCAGATGACCCACTGAGCTCGGCTTCCCAAAGTGTTGGGATTATGGGTGTGAGACACGGAACCCGGCCTTAGATATATCTCTTTAGGGATTCCCCTCTCTACACCCTCCAACAAAAGCAGGGCCGGTATGGCTGCGCACCTGTGTGGGGAGACTGGAGCCTTTGCAAGGCATTCTCACACCTGGTCAGCACCCCCACGACCCTCCGTGGTGGTGACCATCATTGACCCCACTTGAGAGGCCACGCAGCCTGCCCATGGCCGCACAGCTCGAGCGTGGTGGAGCCTCGTGGACCGGGTGTGCGGACCCTGTGCCCCCACACTCTGTCCACCAGGATGGGCTGCCTGTCCCCGAAACACACGGAGGTGGAGGAGGCGGGACTCTCGCAGGGGTTTTCGGGCTAACAGGAGAGGTGCGCGGTGCACAGCAATGGCTGCGTAGGCCCCAGGACGGCCCAGGGCTGCAGACGCTGGGGGTCTCACGTGCAAACTGTGCTGGGTGTGGGGTGAGCGGCAGTGTCTCAGGGTCGGGCGCTCCCCACGGGTCGCCTCCCGGTGTCCTCACTGGGACGCAAGCTCCGGACGGGGAGGCCCCGTCTGTTCTGCTCACCATGGCTCCCAACCCCAGAACTCAGCCAGGCCCCATAAGCACGTGGACTGGGGGAATGGATTCCCTGGTATTCAGGGGAAGGAGAAGTCCAGCCTCAGTTTCCCCGCCTGCAAAAGGGGGTGGGCGGGACGCCTGACGACCTTTGGAACCTGCCCGGGCGCGCCACCTGCTGGACGGCAAGGGCAGCACACCCGGTGGGAGCCGTCTCCAAAAAGCCCCAGGTGCTCAGCCTGGCCCTGCATGACCCACTCCCTCGGGCAAAAAAGGCCAGGAGCCTCATTCCTCCCAGTCCCCCGTGGCACAAGTGGCCCCATGCCCTGTGACTGGCAGGGGCCGAAGAGGGAGTCAGGATCTGGGCAGTGGCCCAGGAAGGACATATGCATCCGGGGAGCCTTGAAACCTCGTCCTCGGCACGCTCACACTCACACTCATCATCACACACCACACACACTCAGACACACACAAGCATTGTCACACACCCACACAAACACGTCTTTCACATACACGCTGGCACACGTACACGGCCACACGATCACACATCCATGCGTGCACACTGCCACGTGCTCACACATACGTGCAGGCACACTGCCACAAACACACATCCACGCATGCACGCTGCCACACACTCACACATACGTGCATGCACACTGCCACATGCTCACACATACGTGCATGCACACTGCCACACACATCCACGCATGCACGCTGCCACACACTCACACATCCGTGAATGCACAGTGCCACATGCTCACACATACGTGCACACACACCGCCACAAACACACATCCATGCACGCACACTGCCACACGTTCACACATCCACGCATGCACATTGCCACACGTTCACACATATGTGCACACACACTGCCACAGTCATACATCCATGCATGCACCGTGCCACGTGCTCACACATCCATGCATGCACCGTGCCACGTGCTCACACATACGTGCACACACACTGCCACAAGCACCATGCTCTCCCCATGCAGTTCTCCCTGAGAAGGGGAGTGAGGAGCAGGAAGGAGCTCCCAAGCTCCCATGTAGCTCCTTTCCCAGGCATGGTTCCAGCCCTGTGTACACAGAGCTATGCAGTATCCACCGTTCAGCCTTTCTGCCTTGACATTCTGCTTTGGACCTGTATCCACGTAGCCTTAGTTCATTTCTTGTCATGGCTCCAGTGTCCCCTTGTGTGAATTTGCCATAATTTATTTATTCATTCTGTCAATGGATGCTTCCAGGTTGCCTGCTATCCTGGGCGACACTACTGTGAACCGTAGAGGCTTGTGCTTAAAAGAAGGGCATCTGGCTGTGGGGCACACACACTGTCCACTGCACTGGCCGTTGCATGCAGCCACCCTCTTTTCAGCAAAGTGCACGATGCCCGCTTCCCTTCCCGCCCTCCATCACCCGGGTGGCCAGGTTTTTAAAGTTTTGCCAAAGTGCTGGGCATGGACAAGCATCGTGATGTGGCTTTGACTTGCAATGTCTCAGCCAGCAAAGGCACTGGTTCTTCAGACACTTAGTAACCACACATGTTTTCTCTTCTCTGACTTGCTTGTGGCTCCCTTTGCCTGTCTTTCTTTCTTTCTTTCTTTCTTTCTTTCTTTCTTTCTTTCTTTCTTTCTTTCTTTCTTTCTTTCCCTCTCTCTTTCTTTTTCTTTCTTTCTTTCTCTTTCTTTCTCTCTCTCTCTTTCTTTCTTTCTCTCTCTCTCTCTTTCTTCCTTTCTTTCTTAAGACAGAGTCTCACTCTGCTACCCAGACTGGAGTGCAGTGGCCGGATCTTGGCTGACTGCAACCTCTGCCTCCCAGGTTTAAGCAATTCTCCTGCCTCAGCCTCCTAAGTGGCTGGGATTACAGGCATGTGCCACCATACCCAGATAATTTTTGTATTTTTAGTAGAGATGGGGTTTCATCATGTTGCTCAGGCTGGTCTTGAACTCCTGAGCTCAGGCGATCTGCCCACCTTGCCCTCCCAACGTGCTGGGATTACAGGTGTGAACCGCTGCACCCGGCCTCCATCTTTCTATTTTCTTGCTTGTCTTTTATGTGTAGATTTTCAGAAGTTCTTTACAGAGTGTGGACACTTACTCTTAGACCATTAGTTGCATTGCTGATAACTTCTAATCTGTGAGACTTGCATTTTCACTTTATTTACGACAATTATTTTAAACAGAAGTTTTAAAATTTTGACATCAAAGTCATCAGTATTTTCTCCTACAGTTTGTGCTTTGGAGATCTTGTTAAAGAAATCCTTCCCTGCCCCAAAGTCATAAAGATATTATAGTTTTTTTCCCAAAAAACCTCAATGTGTTTTGCTTTCTGCAATTACAGCCCCCTTTGCTGTTAATAGCTGACTCTCCAGCAGAGGACTGTCTGGGACTGTGGGGTAGTTGGCACTCCCAGCCCCCTGCCCTCTCCCTGGTGCCTTCTCCCCTCTCTCCACCCCTATTTTCTCTTCCTTCCTCCCTCTGATCCACACGCCCCCCACCCCCATGCTGGAGTGTGGCCCAACCCCACCCTCCCCAGCACTTCCTCCCAGCTCGGCTCCAGCCTACACCATGGTCAACAAGAGCATGGCCTGCAGACACCGGCCCCAGCCCACAGGAAAGGCAGGGTGGCTTCAGATTGGAATTCCTGCTCTGTCTGCTACAGTAGGAAGGGGGCACTTGGAGGCAGAAAGCCCTGGGTCTGAGCCCAGCTCCATTGCTTGCCTACAGTGTGATCTTAGCCACGTTTCTTAGCCTGCCACCAATGTGTGCCACAAAACATGCCACTACCCACTCCAAATGCCCTGCCCCATGAATGCCACAAAACATGCCACCATGCCCACTCCAAATGTTCTGCCCCATTCCAGCCACAGAACATGCCACCATGCTCACTCCAAACACCCTGCCCCATGCCTGCCACATCATAAGGAACAAAAACCACCAGGGATCCTGCGTCCCATGTCTTCCACGGCCCTTCACATCCACGTCTGCCCCTGCCCACTCTGTTCTCTGCTCAAGGTGCTGACAGCAAAAGTAGACCCTGCTGCCCCCTGGCCTCTGGCTGGCTGTGGGGCGCCCTGGCATGAGATCAGCACAAGGCAGCAGCAGGAGGCTGGTGCTTGCCTCCCCAGAGCCCTTCAGTCCCTCCCCGAAGGTCACACACTCTGCAACTCTGAACCCCACACACCTTCCCGTCCAGGTTCCAGGGCCACAGCCTTCCTCCCTCAGTCCCAGGGATGGCAGCTCTGCAGCCACCTCCTGAGGGTCGCTGAGCCTGCTGTGGTCCCCACCTGCCCTCACCTGGTAACCCACACATCTATAAATCATCCCCTGGTGTGGTTCTGAAGCAAGCGTGCCAGGCATTTTCTGACCGAGGGACCAAGACCGCCTTTCTCCTTCGGAGATCTCCAATCCCTACCAACCCAGAGAGAAACGCCCCAGGAAAGTGAGAAAGGCCTGGCAGCGGGCGTCCTAGGAGGTCTCAGAGGCAGCTGATGCAGTGGCGGATGACGGCTGTGTGTGTCCAGGCCGGAACACTGTGCTCCCCAATTTGGCCGTCGTAAAGACGAACAGACGTGGTCGGCACACTGGGGCAGCCTGAGAGGTCAGACCAGCCCTTCCCTGCCCTGAGTGCTGATGAAAGCAGCGAAATGGGGCAAGGGGAGGGGTGGGGGCATGGGGCATGAGGGCCTGGCTTGCCAAAGTCCTCCCTAGCACTTCATCAAGGTTAAAGGGGGTAGCCTCTTCCCACTATCCCCCTGCCTGCTGGAAAGCTAGATTCCATCAGGGAACAAGGACAGTAGGAGAGAGGGTGCCGTAGCGGGAAGGGCCTGGCTCTGAAGTCCTACCTGCCCTCGCTGAGCTCCCCGCCATGCTGTTTCCTACTTGGGTGGCTTGGGCAGGTCCTTCAGCCTCTCTGAGGATTACACAAAAAGTGTCTGTGAAACATTCAGCCCACGCGAGCTCTCAGCCACCCTTAGCTTTCACAGCTGCAATTGGGAGCATTCTTACGACTAACACAAAAAACAGAGCTAAACATGTTCTCTGGACACAAGAAAAAAAAAATGCATCAATTTCAGTGTTAAATTAATGACCACTGACCTCTATGGCTTTGCTGGACGGAGGAGAACATCAAGACCCAACAGAGGTGAGTGGCCGGCTAGGGCACCCAGTGGCAGCAGAAATGGTCCGGGAACACAGGCCTTTGGAATCTGTCCTTACCGTATCAGGGTGTGGCAGACACATTCCAGGGTGACCCTCAGGGAATCACACCCTGTGTGGTCCCCTCACCTTGAGAGTGAGCAGGGCCTGGAACGTGCTTTTGAACAACAGAAAGTGGCAAAGCGAGGGGCAGCTCCTGTGAGCACATTCCATTACGTTAACTCCATCTCAGCAGGCCGGAGTGAGGAGATCTCCTGCCAGCCTTGAGGAAGGAAATACCCACGTCGTGAAATGCCCTCGGACGGGGCCACAGAGCAGGGGACAAAGGTAGCTCCCAGGGGACAGTCAGTCATGAAAACAGGCCCTCAGCCCTACAACCACAGGAAATACATTCTGCCAACAGCCTGGATGAACGCAAAGCAGACTCTGCCCCAGTTGGGCCTGCAGATGAGAACGCAGCTCAGCAAACACCTCAAATACAGCTTTGGGAGACCCTGAGCACAGACCAGCTAAGCTGTGCCTGGATGCCTGACCCACAGAAATGACAAGATCATAAATGTGTGTGTTTTGTGTTTTGGTTTGGTTTTTTGAGACAGGGTCTTGCCCTGTCAGCCAGGCTGGAGTGCAATGGTGCAATCGTATGTCATTGCAGTCTTGACTTCCTGATCTCAAGCAATCCTCCCACCTCAGACTTCCAAATATCTGGGACCACGACCACAGGCACGCACCACCACACCCAGCTAATTATTTTTTTCTTGTAGAGACGAGAGGTCTTCCTATGTTGTGTGATTTCAAACTCCTTGGCTCAAGCCGTCCTCCTGCCTCAGCCTCCCAAAGTGCTAGGATTATAGGTGTGAGCCACCCCACCTGGCCGTGTGTTGTTTTAAGTAGTTAAATTTGTAACACAATGCAGCATAGGAAACTAATACACATAGGATCACTCTGTGTGCTCCCAAGCCAAGAGAAAACATCCCGTTCTTCCTACCAACAGCAGACACTCTGCTCCTAATCTCTCCTTTGCTCATGCACTGATTTGCCGAGCACCAAGGCTGTGCCTGTCTCATCTAGGTGCCAGGTGTTATGGTCTTCCCATTGATCTCATGGTGAGACCACCCCTGACTTCTAAACAGGCTTATGGCTGCACCCCACAGCCTCCCTCGAAGGTAGATATGGCCACATGATGAGGATGAGGATGAAAAGTGATGTGTGTACCTTCTGAGCCTCTCCCTGCACAGACTGGGGAGTCTCCCCCTCCCCTGCCCCTTCCTGCTGGCTGGAGTGCGGCCCACTCTCAGCTCTCTCTGGGAATTACCCTTAGCAGAAGAGAGCTGGCTTGCACAGAGGCACACCTACACTGGGGGGCTATAGAGGCCAAGCCCCTCACTCCCACTTGGGACAACTGTGATGGCCCGTGCCAGCCTCAGAGACCCGGCAGGAGCATCTCAGCCACCTCCTCCCTCTGTTGGTCCTGCCTCTCCCTGAGAGCATGCCCAGGTCCTTCCTGTATGCAAATCTCCATCGCAGGTCTGCTTCCCGGGACCCTGCCCTGCAGCATGTGGACAAGGACCATCCTGGGACCCTGCCCTGCAGCACGTGGACAAGGACCACACACAAGGGGAATTGTGGAATGACAAATGAGAAGGTGCCCGGGCCACACCAGCTCGACCTTGGTGTGAGAGACTAAGACAGAAATCACCTTCCACCTCTGGCAGTCTCTGCCACTCTGATTGTCTTTGTTAGAGCACCCAAACCAATACTCTCATTAATATCCCAGGTTAATGATGCATGGGTGTTCAGCGTGGATGGAGTCCCGACCATCCTGGGGCACTTATAAAAATCCCTCCACACAGAAAACTGTGCCTTTCCAGGCTGAGTCCACTCGGATAGGGAGTGCTTCCTTAGTCTGTTTTCTGTTGTTGATAACACAATACCTGAAACTGGGCAATTTATAAAGAAAGGGAATTAATTTCTTACAGTTATGGAGGCCCCAAGTGGCACAGGGCATCCCATAGTGTGGAGGCTGACTGCTCACTCAGGTCTTTCTTCTTCTTCTTATGAAGCCACCAGTCCCACTCCCGTGATAACTGACCCACTCCTGGGATAACCATTAACCCATTAACCCGTTCATCCGTGAGCCCACCAATGTTAACCCGTTCATCTGTGAGTCCACCAATGGATTCATCTACTGATGATGGCAGAGCCCTCTCGACTCAATCACTTCCTCAAGGCCTCACCTCTCAATGCTGCCACTGTAGGGATTCGATTTCAGCATGGGCTTCGGAGAGGACAAACATTCAAACCCTAGCACGTCCCTTTCTCTAATTTGCAGAAAGACACCTCATGCCCTGGCCAAGCCCCCACTTCATGGGCTCGAAGACCCACAAGGGAGAAGGCAGTGAGGGCCCCTTCCTGCCCACAGGAAGCTCGGCACAGACTTGGGAACGCAAATGAGGTTGGTCACCGCATGAACGGGTGGCCCACAAAGAGTAGGAAATCCTTATAAGGAACTTCCTACACAGCCGCGTCTTGGCTGAGAAACATGCGGCTCACACAGACCCATGCGGTGCCTGCCTGAGTGGAAGGTTCCATTTTTAGGATGATTTTCGGACCACACGCGGCAGCCCTACGTGGGAAGCGGCAGAAGGGGGCTCCAGAGGCCGTCAGGAGGCCTCAGATCGTGGAATCTGTGCCAGCACCTTCAAGGGCTCTGCTTATGGGAAAGACCTGAAACTTCGTGGATCAAACGTTGGAAACACATTACAAAGTTTATTACACCAATACACATATTTTGTGCTGAATGCACAAACAGAGAAATAAAACTTGTTGATGAGCAGAGTGCTCTCTGCAGTGCTTCTCAGCGCACCTCAAGGTCAGGAGGTGCAGTGAGGTATGTCGTGTCATTTCTGACGAAGCAGCAGCAGGGCCGCGAGCACGCAGGGGCCACCAGCTGCCTCCAGCTGCAGGGGCCCTCGGCCCTCTCCTGCCCAGTGCTACACCCCTGGAGGAAACGCGCTGGGGTCCACGCACCTGGGACTTCTTGGTCTAGCCAGGGCCTGGTTCATGGAAGCGCTGAGTAAATGGGTGATAATTTGCTCATGGATTGTCCCTAAGCCAGGGCAGCTCCCTATCTGAACCAGTTTTAACAGAATCCATTGGAAATGTGTGTTGAATAACCTCAGGGCCCCTGCCGGATCCCTGGATCCCTTTTTACCATTTTTGTGCTCTCCAAAGCTTTGGAGTGTTTATACCTCCAACAGCCAGCACCAGCAGCTGCTTAAAGCAGTGGTTCCCAAACTTCTTGGCACCAGGGACTGGTTTCATGGAAGACAATTTTTCCATGGACCAGGCAGGGTGAATGGTTTCAGGACGATTCAACTTATTACACTTACCGTTCACTTTATTTCTATTATTATTACATTGTAATATCTAATGAAATAATTATACAACTCACTATAACGTAGAATCAGTGGGAGCCCTGAGCTTGCTTTCCTGCAACTGGACAATCCCATCTAGGGGTGATGGGAGACAGTGACAGATCATCTGACACGAGTTTCTCATAAGGAGTGCACAACCTGGATTCCTCGAATGACAGTTCACAATAGGGTTCGCGTTCCTAGGAGAATCTAATGCTGCAGCTGATCTGACAGGAGGGGGAGCTCAGGCCGTAATACCAGCGATGGGGAGCAGCTGTAAATACAGAGGAAGCTTCACTCACTCACCTGCTACTCATCTCCTGCTGTGCAACCGAGTTCCTAACAGGCCATGAACCAGTACCAGCCATATTTCAAAGGCTCAAAAGCCACAAGGGACTAGTGGTCACCATATCGGACAATGCAGATCTAGAACATTCCATCAGTGCAGGAAGCTTTATTGGGCAACTCTGGTCTGGAGTGTAAGCTTCATACGGGAAGGGATGCGTGTCCGTGCTGGTCACTGCCGTGTGACAGATCATCGTGTATTAGAATCTCATAAGGAGTGTGCAACCTAGATCCCTTGCATATGCAGCTCACGATACGGTCCACGCTTCTATGAGAATCTAATGCTGCGGCTGATCTGACAGGAGGCGGATCTCAGGTGTTAACGTGAGCCGTGGGCAGCAGCTGTAAATACAGGTGAAGCTTTGCTCACTCACCTGCTGCTCACCTTCTGCCGTGGCCCGGGGGTTGGAGACCTCTGGTTTAGAGGGTGGCCTGTGGGCTCTCTGAAGCCGCTTCACCCTCATGCACGGAAATGCCTGGGAATTTATACCTCCCTAGACCACGCTTAACCAAAGACAGGTGGGTTCTGGGTGGGTGTATGAAGACCTCAGCTCCCTGGTCTCAGGCTGGGACATCCCTGGGTGTGATTGACCCTCCACAGTTCCCCTGTGGGGTCGGGCATGCCCCGCCCACCCCAGTTCCTTCAGGCTGCAGAAGGACTGTGCCCACATAGCACCCTGCCCAGCTTCCTTCCTTTTCCAGTCCAGCTTCCCACCCCCAACCTGTGTCCCCAGGGAGTACTCCCTGAATAGTCGCTGCAAACACATCCTCATCCTAGGGGCTGCGTCTGGGCAACTGCTCCTAGGGAAAAGGTCTGGTTACGCAAGCAGATTCCTTGGCACACCGACCCACAGGAGGGAACCCATGCTGTGCCGCCGTAAAAGAAAAAAAAATAAAGAAGCGGCGAATTTGGTGACAGCTTTGGAAAATAGTATTTAGTGAGAAAAGCAAGGTGCGGAAGCCTGGGCTGTGGTATCTTTATTTTCTGAGCGGGGAAAGATAAAAGTGGACCGTATCTTGTATTTGCTGCCTCCCTAAAGAAAACAAGCCGGAAATACAAGAAGCCAATGAAAGCGGACACATAGGGCGCCAGAGCGGGGTAAGGGTTCCCAGGCTCTCTGTATGTTTGGATTATTGAGTCATGTGGATTTGCACAGATCCCAAAACCAAAACACAGATCCCTAGGCCCCGCCGTCTGGGAGTCTGACGCAGCTGCTCTGCGGTGAGGAGACAGAGGCTGTGTTCCCGAGAGGTTCCAAGGGGGACAGTTGCACCGCCAGTCTTGCGGACGTTGTTCTAGATGATTTCTTTGAGTGGTCTGAAACAAAGCCGAACCACTCACCAGCAGCGCTGTCTTCCTGGATGCAGCCAGCCCTGCTGGAAACGGGTGGGAAGGCTGTCTTCTTCACTCCCGGGGGCCTCTGAAGGTGGGCGTGAGTCAGGGGCTCCTGGGAGAAATCGACCGCCCTTGCCGGCCTCCACGGGCCCTGGAAAGCCTGAGAGCCTGGCGCTCCTGCCACATCCCCATTGCCATGGCAACGGCAGACACAATGGTTTCTGTGGAGTTCGGATCTATAAATAATTTCTAGATTAGTCTTGGCGAGGTGGATGGGGTGGGCACCGAGGGGAGGTTCCTGGTGGCCGGCGGGACGGGCCACTGTCCACAGGCCATGCCAGGCCTGGGGCAGCGAGGTCACAGCCTCCTGGGTCAGATGCTGTGCCCTGGCCAGTCGGCAGGAGTGGCCTCGGCAGGCTCCGCAGCAGTTTCTGCCCCAGAGACCATGCGTGGGACAGTTCCATCTCATCTGTGAGTCCCGGACATGTGTGGACCCAGGTTGGCTGCACAGGACCCAGGGTGGCTGGGTAGAGGGCTGTAAAAAAATCCCTGCTGCTGATCTGGGGACTGAGGGAGGCTCAGGGGTGGGAGTTGATCACCACCGTTTCTAGGCACTCACGAGGGCCCTGTTCAGTGTCTCGGCGTTGCTGGGTAGACCCTGGTGGGGTGACAACAGGATCTGAGTGTTTGGACTCCATTCTCTCTGCTTCCTCTGTCCACGTTTTAGGGATGCCCTATTCAATGAGCCCTCTCTCTCTCTTCCTTTTTTTTTTTTTCTTTTTCTAGCAGTGTTTCCAGGGAAGGGCTCATATTCCCCACACTAGGGGCTGAGAGGGTGGATGCTTCTGGGTAAATCATTTGAAAATCAAGCAGATCCAACACCTTTGCTGTCTCTGATTAGAGTGAGCTCGCTGGGAGGGGCCCCCAAAGGGCCCCTGAATGGCTACGTGCTGCATGGCGTTAGGAGTGAGGGGCATGACCCTGACACCGGGAGGGCAGGCGTGTGAGCAAGTGCAGCCTACGGGGAGGCAATTTAACCACAGCCCCGGCACTGACAACGGCAAATCCTCTTGCGCAGCAGTTCTCCTCCGAGGATTCTTCCTGAGTGAGGCACTGGCATAGGGGCACAAAGGCATATATGTGCCAAAGGCATGACCCACGCCATGCGTTGATTACAGCAGAGACTGAGAGCAGCCTCATGCCTGTTGGTGGAGAGGAGTGGAGAAGGACAGCCTACTCCCCATGCACTGAGAGCTCTTGTGCAGTCAGCAAAAAGCGTGGTGGCTCCATCCATGTGGACACAGAACAGCTTTCAAGAGAAATAAGAAGGGCTGGAAGTGGCAGCTCACGCCTGTAATTCCAGCACTTTGGGAGGCTGAGGCGGGCAGATCACCTGAGGTCAGGAGTTAGAGACAAGCCCAGCCAACGTGACAAAACCCTGTCTCTACTAAAAATACAAAAATTAGCTGGGTGTGGTGATGGGCACCTGTAATCCCAGCTACTTGGGTGGCTGAGACACGAGAATTGCTTGAACCCGGGAGGTGGAGGTTTGCAGTGAGCCGAGCTTGTGCCACTGCACTCCAGCCTGGAAGGCAGAACAAGACTCTGTCTCAAAAACAAAAAAAAAAAAAAGAGACAGAGAGAGAAATAAGAAGAACCAGAGGCACCCAGCGCATGGGCTGCTACTGTCTGTGTAGGAGGCCGAGTAATGTATCACACATGCACACCTAAGTGTGCATACACATATGTGTGCACGAGCACATATGCACACACATAGCTAGAAAAAGGGGCTCTGGGACCCTGAAGATTTGGGGTGGAAGGAAGCTTACTTTTCAGGACATCCTTTCCTGTACTGTTTGGTTGTGGTTGTTTAACCATTTGTGTATGTTAATTTTTCAATTAAAAATAGTTGAGCAAGGTGTGGTAGCATGCACCTGTCATCCTAGCTACTCAAGAAGCTGAGGTGGGAGGACTGCTTGAGCCCAGGGGCTTGGGTCTAGCCTGGGCAACATAGCCAGACCCCATCTCCAAAAAGAGTTTTAAAAATAGGTGAGTGGAAGTTTGGAGAAGAAGGAAGGAAGAGGAAAGGAGGCAGGAGGAAGAGAGAGAAAGGTGTACCCCGCACCGCGGAGGCAGCAGGTCCTCACCTGAATCTGTCTCCCCGTTTCCCAGCTGCGTGGCTGTGGACAAGTCACTCGGCCTCCCTGCGACACCACTTTCCTGCCTGTGAAATGGACTCACGGATAAACCAATCTCACCAAGTTGTTGCCAGGATCAAATAAGTCAAAAATGAGAAAGGATTTAGGAAACTGCAACGGGCATTTTCCCTTGAAAATGGCCCCTGGCTCTTGCACACGCACGTGTGCCAAACAGCTCAGATAATGATTTTCATTTATTCTAATCCTCAGGCTGCCTGAGCTGGGCTTCAGGGGTACGCTGTGGGAAGATCTGAGCACACAGGCCCCGCCGGGGTTCAGATCTGGAGACCCAGCAAGGGCTAATAAAACACAAACTAAATATTCCTCTGGCCTCCCCCACGGAGTGTTTTTCTCTGATTCCGGATCGGCCCTTGGGCTGTTAGAAAACATCTTCTGGGGACAAAGGGCAAGCGGTGAATTTGTGTCCCCTACAGAGAGGAGGGCTGGAGTTGTGGTTCTCTAAGAAGCCACGTGAACCAGAAGCAGCTCTCAGGGGCGGCGGCGTCTGCCCTCAGCCACGCTGGAGTCCACCCCAACTGGCAAGTGGAGAAAAGGAAGGAAAAAATGAGTCAAAAGGAATGGGAAACTGTGTTGCTCACATTTATGAAATGAATGTAGGTCTCCAACATATGCTCTGGCCTGGAGCATTGCTGTCTCTGCGTTAGTAGCTGGGCATGGCTGTGTTGACAGTGGCGGAGGAGAACTCACAGCAGTGGTGAACGTCAAATGTCAAATGTCATTAGAAACCAAGAAGGGGGCAGATTTAAAAAGAAAAAAAGCAGGGAATGCATTCCACCTTTAAACAGAAGGCTTGGGCAGGGTATGAAGCTCGAATCTCATACTTCAAAATGTTTTTGCATCTTGAGGAAACCGTACAGGAACTTGACTGTGAGGAGCTATAGGGCTGCCTGGTCATTTGGATGTGGCCATGTTCACATAAACACTCAGTGCTCGTCAGCTGGAGTTTTGGATTCAGGGAGATGGAAACAATTTAGACTTGGGGGTGTTTGAGGTCAGCGGTTATAAGTGAGTCTCAGGGTTTTTCCCACAGTTGATGAAAACAGTTTCTTTGACATCAAAAATACATATCTATTTTGAAACAGGGTCTTGCTCTGTCCCCCAGGCTGGAGTGCAGAGGTGCAATCATTACTTACTGGCATCTCCAACTTCTGGGCTCAAGGGATCCTCCTGCCTCAGCCTCCTGAGTAGCTGGGACCACAGGCGCATACCATTTCCCCTGGCTTATTTTTAAATTTTTTGTAGAGATGGGATCTCACTCTGTTGCCCAGGCTGGAATGCAGTGGCATTTTCTCAGCTCACTGCAGCCTCTGCGTCTGGGTTCAAGCAATTCTCCTGTCTCAGCCTCCCAAGTAGCTGGGATTACAGGTGTGTGCCACCACATCCAATTTTTTTTTTTTTTTTTTGCATTTTTAGTAGAGACAGGGTTTCACCATGTTGGCCAGGCTGGTCTGAAACTTCTGACCTCAAGTGATCCACCCGCCTTGGCCTCCCAAAGTGCTGGGATCACAGGTGTGACCCACCGTGCCTGGCCTCTATATATTTTTAATGTAGCCATTGGGCTCCTTCACCAGGGCTGATCCAGTTAATCTGGGACGAGGCTCAGGAAGCTCCATTTTAAGAGTAACACAAGTGACGGGGATGCATGCCAATGTCAGAGAACCCCAGGCTGGAATAGGGGGACCCCAAACCCCAAAGGGCATGCAGGACAATCCTCTGGAAGTGTGGGAGAAAGCTATTATGACTTCAGCTTCAATTTATCTCATCCTTTTACATTTTCTCTTTTCTCATTTTATAATGTGCATGAAAGTCAGCTGCAGAGCCCAAATGTATGTTTTATAAATAATGATGATAAAAACCAACCCCTGCACTGCCGCTGTGCCACAGCCCTGTTCTAAGCCTTGTAAGCATATTCACTCATTTACTCCTCAGGACTCTGGGAGATATTATTACCCTCTGCTATGAATTGTGTGCCCCTAAAATTCATATGTTGAAGCCCTCACCCCCAGTATGACTGTTTGGAATAAGGAAGTGATTAAAGTTTGCCGAGGCCGTGAGGGCAAGACCCAGATAAGGTAGGGATTAGTATCTGTATTAGCATGTTATCACACTGTTATAAAGAAATATCCAAGACTGGGTAATTTATAAAGGAAAGAGGTTTAATTGACTCACAGTTCCACATGGTTGTGGATGCCTCAGGAAACTTACAATCACGGAGGAAGGCGAAGAGGAAGCAAGGATCTTCTTCACAAGGCGGTAGGAGAGAGAAGAGCAAGAGAGAGCAGGGAAAACTGCCTTATAAAACCACCAGATCTCGTGAGAACTCCCACTGTCACAAGAACAACACGCGGGAAACCACCCACATGATCCAATCACGTCCCACCCAGTCCCTCCCTCAACACTTGGGGATTAAATTCAAGATGAGATTTGGGTGAGGACACGGAGCCAAGCCATATCGGTATCCTTGAGGCAGGAGAATAGCGTCTGGAGGCAGGGAACCTAAGGCTCTTTCACGCTGATTTCCTAGAACTAAATTGAAAGGAGAGCCCTAACTTTCCACATCTAAATAACAAAAGGACCAGAGGCTACCCCTTTGCAAACCCCTACCTTTTCTGCCAGGCAGATGGGAAATTGAAAGTACCTCTGATTGATCGCTTTTTGCAACCAATCAGACGTTTGTATTGGAATGTAACTTTGTAACTTCACTTCAGCCTCTGATTGTGTGCTTTCCACAACCAATCAGATGTTTGCATAGGAGTGTGAGCTTTGTAACTTCACTTGACCAATCAGACCGATTGCAGGCCGCCACTTCATTTACATGGGGTGAACACCAAGTGGCCACTGGGAAACCTCTAGGGGGTATTTGGACCCGAGAAGATACAGTATCTGGGGCCCTTGAGCCCCTATGCCGGGGCTTACTTTCACCCTGTGGAGTGTACTTTCATTTTCAATAAATCTTTGCTCTTGTTGCTTCATTCCTTTCTTGATTTGTTTGCACATTTTGTCCATTTATTTGTTCAAGATGCCAAGAACCTGGACACTTTCCACCGGTAACATTCTCATCAGAGGGACATCAGAGCACATTCTCTCTCTCTCTCTCTCCCTCCCTCCCTCTATGCCACGTAAGGACCTAGGAAAAGGTGGCCAACTACAAGGCAGAAGAAAGCTTCATCAGAACCTGACCCTGTTGGCTCCCTGATCTTGGACTTCCGTCTCTGGAACTGTGAAGTCTAAACCACTCAGTCTATGGCATCTGTGTTATGGCAGCAGGAGCTGAGACATCCTGCATCGTGCAGATGAGGAAACAGAGGTGCAGAGAGGTGAAGCAGATTGGCCGAGGTAGAACAATGAGAAGGCAGGAGAGCTGGGATTTGAATTGAGGTAGTTTGGCTGCCGGTCCAGGCTTTTAATCATGTATTTGGGGCATGCTCCTTTAAAACTAGCAAACAAAAACTCCTAGAGGAATGTGTTTGAAGAAGTCTGGAAACGCCTGGGTTGGAAGGAAAGGGTGTGAGAGTCTATGGTAGACAGAATAGTGACCCCCAAAGATGTCCATATCTTAACCCCCAGAACTTGTGGATATCTACCTTGCCAAGAAAATTACCAAGTAATTTACCTTACTTGGCCGAAGAAACTTTGCAGATGTGGTTTACAAATCTTGAGCTCGGGGGGCTGGTTATCTGGGATTATCCTGGTGGCCCCAATGTCATCACAGGGATCCTGGTGACAGGGAGGCAGAAGTCAGCAAGGAGAGAAGATGCCATCCTGCTGGCTTGGAAGACAGAGGAGGGGCCATGAGCCAAGGAATGCAGGCAGCCTCTAGGAACTGCAGAAGGCAAGCAGACAGATTCTCCCCTGGAGTGTCCAGAAGGAGCAGGCCCGTTTCAGACTTCAGAACTCCTGAACTTTAAGATAATAAATGTGTCCTGTTTTAAGCCACTAGTTTGTGGTAATTTGTTGCAACAATGATAGGGGAAAAATGCAGATTTGGAGGGCAGATGACTAGGGGGATGATGTGGTTGGGGGGAAAGTGATTCTCGGTTTGGAGCTGAAGTAAGGTGGCCTGTATACAGGTTCCTTTGTAATGTGACTTAGCAAATCTGCAAAGGGCTTTGTGATATTGTGATATAATAAGAAATATATATTTGGTCTCCATCCTGGTTCCGGACACAGAGCTCCTAAAATCCTCAGAATTCCCTGAGCAATAAGGGTGGGAAGATCATCTTCGGTTATTCATAATGACAACTCTCTTCGTCCGTTTGTGTTGCCGTAAAGGAATACTTGAGGCTGGATAATTTATATAGAAAAGAGGTTTATTTGGCTCACAGTTCTGCAGGCTGTATGGGAAGCAGGGCACCAGCATCTGCATCTGGTGAGGACCTCGGGAAGCATCCACTCAGGGCAGAAGGTGAAAAGGAGCAGGTGTCATGTGGAGAGGAGAGAGGCAAGCGGGGGAAGCTGCCAGGCTTTTTAAACTATCAGTTCTCTCAGGAACTGCTAGAGCGAGAGCTCTCGAGAACTCACTCATTACTGCATGGACGGCACCAAGACATTCATGAGGCATCCACCCCCATGACCCAAACACCCCCCAACCAGGCTCCAGTCCCAACACTGGGGTCAAAGTTCAATATGAGATTTGGAGGGGACAAATATCCAAACCATTATTAGTAACTACATCTGAGTTTACGCTAATGAGGTGACTCTTGGAGGATGGGGGCTGGTTGCCAGAGGAGGGTTAGAACTTCAGTCCCCCTGCTCCCCAACCCCAACCTCCAGGGAGGGGAGAGGGGCTGGAGATCGACTTAATCCTCAATGGCTGATGATGTCATCAATCATACCTGTCTAATGAGGTCTCCAAAACACCTGTCAATGACTGGAAGGGGGTTTCAAAGAGCTTCTGGGTGGGGTTAGTGAACACATCAAGGTGCAGGGAGGGCAGTGCACCTGGAGAGGGCATGGAAGCTCTGCACCCCTCCTGCGCCTCCCCTACTTACCCCGTCTATTCCACCCCGTCCATCCCACCCTGTCCATGACTTGGCTGTTCCTGAGTCATATCCTTTGTAATAAACCAGTAAAAATAAGCAAAGTGTTTCCCTGAGTTCTGTAAGTCATTCTTGCCAACTTTTTGTTTGTTTGTTTGAGGCAAAGTCTTGCTCTGTCACCCAGGCTGGAGTGCAGTGGCTCCATCTTGGCTCACTGCAGCCTCTGCCTCCCAGGTTCAAGCAATTCTCCTGCCTCAGTCTCCTGAGTAGCTGGCACAACAGGCATGCACCACCATGCCTGGCTAATTTTTGTATTTTTAGTAGAGATGGGGTTTCACCATGTTGGCCAGGCTGATCTTAAACTCCTGACCTCATGTGATCTGCCTGTTTCAGCCTCTCAAAGTGCTGGAATTACAGGCATGAGCCACTGTGCCCAGTTTTGCCAATTATTGAATCTGAGGAGGGGGTCATGGGAACCCCTAAATCAGCTATAAATCATAGCTGATCAGTCTGGAGGGAGGCCCAGACTCTCAGTTGGCATCTGA
The DNA here is from genome assembly GCF_000001405.40 of Homo sapiens. NCBI lineage: Eukaryota > Metazoa > Chordata > Mammalia > Primates > Hominidae > Homo > Homo sapiens. The sequence goes on along the minus strand of NC_000016.10, from coordinate 87,533,755 downwards.
AGTGGAGGCCGTCCTGTGGGACTGAGTCCCTAAATCATGGGATCTGATGCTAACTCCAGGTAGTGTTGGAACTGAGTTGAACTGTAAGACACCCAACTATTTCAGAAAGTTGGAAGATTTGTTGGTGTGGGGAACCCCTACGCTGCCATTTGTTGTCAGAAGCAAAATGTTGCATATAGAAGAAATATTTTTTCCTTTCTAAGCTTTGACAAATATATAGAATGTGGCAAAAGCAATGTTGTGTGACTTCAGAACCTCAGTCCCAAGAGAACATGCTGTTACCACTCTCAGCCTTGATGGAATGCTGTGAAGATATCCAGGCTGCCTATGGGAGGATGAGCGGCCATGTGGAGCAGAGGAGCTCTATCTGAGCAGAGCCAGCAACCAGCATGACCACCAGGCCTGTGAGAGAAGCTTCTTAGACCATGCAGCTCCATTAGCCACCAGATGACTGCAGCCACACAGGTGATCCCAAGTGAGACCAGCAGAAGAACCACCCAGCAGAGCCCAACCCAAACTGTCCTGCCTAAGGATACATATATGATAGAGCTGGATCCCATTGCTTCAGAAACAGAGGTGGGTGAACACCTGACAGATTACCTTCTAGCTTTTTCTCCTCTCATCACTTTCCTCACCTCCTACCAATTGCAGTAACAGCAAAAGCAGTGAACATTGGTTCAACATCAGTTATCCTCACACCTTGGACACGGTCAGTTGTATTATCATTTTACAGATAAGGAAACTGGAGCCAAGAGAGCTTAATGGACCTGCCCAAGATCACTCGGCAGGCAAGCAGAGGGAGTGGGATCAGGACCCCATTTTATCTAATGCCCGAGTCACCATTATTGTGGCTTTTGCTATCATGCTGCATTCACTCATTCATTCAAGACCAATTTATGGAGTCTTTTATATCTGGTGCTTGGGATGGAAAGATGAACAAGAGAGACGTGGTCCCTTTGTCAATAGCTATCTAATGAAGAATCACAAATCATGATCATCACTGGGCTTTGTGTTGGCTTCAGTGATGAATTTAGGGTGCCTGTGAAAGTGGCCATTTGTTCCAAGTATAAATTATGACTGTGTTCAGCTGTGAGTCACAGGAGCCCTCTTCCAGTGGCTTATACAGCTAAGGGTGGAATTTTTCACATAAGAAGACTGAAGAGGGAGGCCAAGGTGGGTGGATCACCTGAGGTCGGGAGTTTGAGACCAATCTGACCAACATGGAGAAAGCCCGTCTCTACTAAAAATACAAAATTAGCCTGGCATGGTGTCACATGCCTGTAATCCCAGCTACTCTGGAGGCTGAGGCAGGAGAATCACTTGAACCTGGGAGGCAGAGGTTGCAGTGAACTGAGATTGCACCATTGCACTCCAGCCTGGGCAACAAGAGCAAAACTCCATTTCAAAAAAAAAAAATGACTGAAGATAAGCAGTCCAGGGCCGATGCTGCAGGTCATGAAGTCATATGTACAGTTGGTGTGCCTCACCCCTGTCATGGGATCAATGGCCCCAGGGCAAGAAGGGGCTTGGTTTGTCAGCTTCAGCTAGGCACAAACTCCAGATGAACTGCTTTAGTCACTTGCCCAGCCCCGGACCAACCACTGTGGCTGGAGAGGTGGTGTATGGTGTCTGGCCCAGCCTGGGTCATAGGTATCCTCTACTGGAAAGAGAATGGGGTTTGTCATCAAATGAGGGGAAGTGGAGAGGAATGGCAGGCTGTGTTTCCCAACATGGTTGCAATGATCTCTCTCTTCCTACAAACTCTTCTTACCATGGAATTTTTGCAAAAACTGGGGTCTAGGTTTCTGTCCCTTGAATCCTGGTGGACTTGGGACAATGGTCAGAGTGATGTCTAAGGCTGGGTTGTAAAAGATAAGTCAACTTCCACCTGGTTCCCTTGGGATGCTTCCTCTTGGAAGCCAACCACCGTGGAGAAGCCACAGTAGGTGTTTCAGCCAGTGCCCTAGTTGAGGCACTGGACCTGTGGGTGAGAGAGCCTTCAGAGACTCCAGCTCCCAAACATCAGGTCACCACCCTGAGGCTTCAAGCTGCTCCTGCCAAATCCACAGAGAGCGGGGATGAGCTGTCCCTGCCAAGCCCTGCTCGAATTACAGATTTGTTTATCTGCTTTTTGAGACAGGGTCTCACTCTGTCACCTAGACTGAAGTGCAGTGGTGCAATCATGGCTCACTGCAGCCTCAAGCACCTGGGCTCAGGCTATTCTCCCACTTCAGCCTCTGAGTAGCAGGCTGCCATGCCTCTCCTCCAACAAGGTGGAACTACAGACTGATGTCCAGGCTCACCCTTGTCCCCGCTCACCATCCAATGCTGGCCTTGGGTAGAAATCATCCTGGGGACAAGTGGCCCCAGGATGGGCTCTGCTCTTGCTGACAGCACCCTGTGCCTCTGTGCGAGTAATACCCCTATGGCTTTGTCCCCTTGCCTCTGAGATCTGAGTTTTTAATAACTGGAAATTACCTTGCTAAACTCTGCTATCATTTCTGATATTTTTTTTCCTGCAGAAGTAAGTTTTAAATGTAGACATATCATCTGAGAATGATGATAGTTTTGTTTCTTCCTTTCTGACCCTGATACCTTTATTCATTTTCCTTATCCTATGCTGACACAGAAATACAATGTTGAAGACAAGCACTGTCATTCTCACCTTGTTTCTGAGTTTCTGAGTTTAAAGAAACTCATGTGCACCATTAAGAATGATGTTTACCGGCCAGGCGTGGTGGCTCACGCCTGTAATCCCAGCACTTTGGGAGGCCGAGGCGGTCAGATCACGACGTCAGGAGATCGAGACCATCCTGGCTAACACAGTGAAACCCCGTCTGTACTAAAAATACAAAAAAACTAGCCAGACGTGGTGGCAGGCGCCTGTAGTCCCAGCTACTCGGGAGGCTGAGGCAGGAGAATGGCATGAACCCGGGAGGCGGAGCTTGCAGTGAGCCGAGATCACACCACTGCACTCCAGCCTGGGTAAAACTGAGACTCCGTCTCAAAAAAAAGAATGATGTTTACTGTAACATTTGGTGGAGATGCTTTTACATATGAAGAAACATTTTTCATCATTTGCCAATAGTTTTTATGATAAAAGGATTTAAATTTTAGCCATTGCTCTTTCTGCATCTGTATGAACAATCACAGGATTTTCTCCTTTAACTTGTACTGTGATGAATGGCATTTATAGATTTTCTAATGTTAAGTCACCTTTACATTACTGGGATAAATGTATATTTGTCATCATATATTACTTTTTTATATGTCAACAGCTGGGTTTGCTAATATTTTGTGTACGATTTTTCTATCTATTTTCATGGATGACTTTCATCTATAATTTTCCTTTCTCACACCATTCTTGTCAGGTTTTTATATCAAGGTTATACTGGCCTCATAGAATGAGTTGGGAAATATTCCCTCTTTTTCTACTCCTTGGAAGAGTTTGTGTAAGACTGTCTGATACTTTAAATGTTTGATAGAACTCATCTGTAAAACTCACTGGGACTGGTGTTTTCTTTGTGGGAAGATTATTATTATTATCGTTTTTTGAGACAGAGTCTTGCTCTGTCACCCAGGCTGGAGTGCAGTGGTGCCATCTCACCTCACTGAAACCTCTGCCTCCCAGGTTCAGGCGATTCTCCTGCCTCAGCCTCCCAAGTAGCTGGGATTACAGGCGTGTGCCACCATGCACGGCTAATTTTTTGTACTTTTAGTAGAGACGGGGTTTTGCCATGTTGGCCAGGCTGGTCTCGAACTCCTGACCTCAGGTGATCCACCTGCCTCAGCCTCCCAAAGTGCTGGCATTACAGATGTAAGCCACCACACCCAGCTATTTGTGTGAAGATTTTAAACTACTGTTCCATTTTATTCAAGGTTATAGGACTATTCAGACTTTCTTTTTCTTTTTGAGTCAGTTTTGGTAGATTATACGTTTTCTAAGAATTTCTCCATTTCCCTGCCACTCCCTGAATTGGAAAAATCCTTGCCTGGCCTTACCTAGGGCATATTCCTTCCTTCTCTTCTTTAGCTCATCTCTCAGAATTTACCCTCTTTGCAATCCTTTTTTTTTGAAAAATTCTCTTTGGAATCCTAATCTCTTCCTGCTCTTCCCTTCATACGTTGACATCCGGGTCAGGATTATGTGGGCTACAACTAACAGAGCATTGGATTAAAATTGATTAAAGAACAAGGTATTTTTGCTAGTTCATGAAAGCAGTCTAGCGGGTGGCAGTTCCAGGGCTGGCTCAGTGCCACTGAGAACCCAAGCTCTTTCTTTCCACCCTCGCACCCTCTGCATAATTCACCTGCTTCTTAGGCCTCTCTCCATGTGGTCACATGATGGCTGCTGCAGCTCCAAGAGTCACTGTATGGACATGAAAACACCCAAGAAGAGGAGGCATCTCCTCCTTTGCACCACTTTTATTGGAAAGGAATGCTTTCCCCGGAAGTCCCCACACCCCATGTCCCACGCAGCAGACCTGCCTCCAGGTCCTGCTGGTGCAGCTGAGCTCCAAAGGAGATGGAGACAGTGAGGATGTGGAGCTCACAGATTCTGAAGCAGTGGCAGGCCTGCCAGCCAGGACCAAGATCACATGTCTGCTCTAGCACCCTTGGGCTTAACCCCTGAGCTGTCCTGCCTTACCCTCTCCTGATCTCTCTGGCCTGTTGTCACCAGGCAACTTAACAGAAAATACTAGAACCTGTGGTTGTTGGTAAATGTTTAACAACTGGCTCTCCAGAGGTCAGGGGTTGGGGTAAGCCCTGCTTTGAAGGTTTGCTGATTTCCAGGGTGTAAACACTCCCACTTTGGTTGATTTCAAGCTACCAATGCAAAGTCCATGAGTGTGGAGTAGGGAAGAGATGCTCACCATCAGCTCTCGTGAGCCCTACGAACCGGCCGTGGTGTACCCCTGACTAGAACCCACGGGAATCCTTACCTTAGAGCTGGGAGTAGGGATGCCCTACCCAGGCTGCAGTGTAATAATTAAGGCATTAAAGGAGCTTGATGGACACAAATGAGACTGTTTGTTGGATCCCTACGATGTGCTGATCACACACAAATGTCATCTCGATGCCTCATGACTATCCCTTTGTCTGATGAAGAAGCTGGGATTCAGAGAGGTGGAGGCACCCGGTGACTTGTATGGAATCAGAATCCAAACCCAGGTCTGTCTTCTTCCAAAGGCTGTGTCCTTTCACCCAAAACAAAGGCCCAGATTCAGAAGAGACCCAGCTTGCTCCCATTCCACCCCAATGACATGCCAGGGGCCAGGATGTTCAAAGTGGAGTATGACTCACAGTCGCCAAAAAGTAGGAAAAAACAAATGTCCATCACTGAGGGGTGGATAAATGAAATGCGGTCCATCCATACAACTCATACCATCAGCCATAGAGAGGAACAAGGCTCTGACACACCCTACAACGTGATGAAACTTGAACATGATGCTGAGTGACAGAAGTCAGACACAAGGGACCACGTATTACACAATTCATTCCATTTACATGAGAGGCCTAGCGTGGCCAGTCTACAGGGACAGAAAGTGGATGGGTGTCTGTCAGGGGCCGGAGGGAGGAGGGAATAGGGAGTGACTGACAACAGATATGGGATATCTTTGTGGGGTGATGGAAATGTTCTAGAACTAGACGGAGGTGTGCACAACGTGTCAGTGTGCATAGTGCCCCTGAAATTATAAAACAAACCAAGCAGTGGAGGATTCCTCGAAAACGGATTTTCCTTGCTCCAGCCTCCCAGGCTGAGGCTCTTGTGTCACTTTCTCAAGTTCACTGCAGGTGGCTTCCCATGCTACCAGGTAAAAAGTAAAGGGGGCGAGGCCAGGCATAGTGGCTCACACCTGTAATCCCAGCACTTTGGGAGGCTGAGGTGGAGGATCACCTGAGGTCAGGAATTTGAGACCAGCCTGGCCAACATGGTGAAACCCCGTCTCTACTAAAAATACAAAATTAGCCAGGTGTGGTGGAGCATGCCTGTAGTCCCAGCTTCTCAGGAGGCTGAGGCAGGAGAATTGCTTGGACCTGGGAGGCGGAGGTTACAGTGAGCCGAGATTATGCCATTGCATTCCTGCCTGGGCAACAAGGGTGAAACTCAGTCTCAAAAAAAAAAAAGGAGGCATTTTACATGCATCTTTTGAACTAAGTACTCTCAACTCCCTTGTAATTGGGGAATACTATTAACCCCATTTTACAGTGAAGACAACTGAGGCTCAGGGAGAAATTAAGGAACTTGCCCATGAGCCCACAGCCAGTCTATGGGAGAGCCAGGATTTGGGCCCAGGCCTGTCTGATTCCAAAGTATTGCTCTAAACTCTTCACTGTAGTAAAGCAACGTCCAGGTTGCATGGGATTTTCTCCTTCCAGGATGCTAGTTCAGTGGCACAGCAGCTCAGAAGGCTACGTAGGCTGGAAGCTTCCAGGTTTCCCAGCCCTCTGCCCTCCCTCAGCAGGAACGAAGGACTGGAGCTGGAAGGGAAGAGCCCTGTGCTGAGGGCGTCCCAGGTCCGTCCACCACATCCCCCCAGGACACTCGGCTCTGTTATGACTCGGCTGTGTGGCGTTTGTTAGGCCTCATTTTGCTGACCTTAAAAGGTGACCAACAGCAGAGATCAGTGGTCCTCTACAGAGGCTGTGCTACCCCCGGGGGCCTTCTGGAAGTTTTCAGAACTTCCCCAATCCCTCTGCTTTTCGCTGTCCCACCAGGCTCTGGTAAATGAAAAACCCTCTTGTAAAACATAGGTCTAGAACCGAACTCTGGGTGTGTCTGTTTTTTGCATCATTGTCATATACCTGAGATATTCTGGGAACGCAACCACTGTGTGATCAGGGGAGAACTCCCTCTGGAGTTGCCCAGGATTTGGGAAAATCCCATCACCAGCAGCAGTACCTTCATGGTCTTTGAGCCTCCACATGACACATCTGTGTCCACCTGCAGCTGTGGCTGTCACATTTATGTGACTGTCTGTCTAGGTACACACATCAGGCCACTTCATCACGTCACCTGATGTGGCCAGACCCAAACATTCACCTTGTAGATTCCACATTATTTTATTATAATTGACTATCCTTTTGCGATTTTTCTCTTTGTCACAGTCAGGGCATTATACTGATTTCTTTTTCTTTTTGCAATTGGTTCATAGGTGGGTTAGATTTTCTATGAATTTCATTGCAGAATAATAAAAGAAGCATTACAAAATATTCGATGCTAAAAAAAACAGCATTGGTCGTGTGTGACGGCTCACATCTGTAATCCCAACACTTTGGGAGGCCAAGGCAGGTGGATCCCTTGATCCCAGAAGTTTGAGACCAGCCTGGGCAACACAGCAAGACCCCATCTCTGTGAAAAATTTTTTAAAAATTAGCCTGGCATAGTGGTGCACACCTATAGTTCCAGCCACTCCAGAGGCTAAGGCAGGAGGATTACTAGAGCCCAGGAGTTCAAGGCTATAGTGAGCCATGATCCCACTACTGCACTCCAGCCTGAGCAACAGTGTGAGACTCTATCAAAAAAAAAAATGTGTTAAGGCTGATATGGTTCTGGGAAAACTGAGATACATGATTTCTTAAGATCCCTTCCAGTTTTTAAATAATTAAACCTGACCTCATAAAACTTTTTCCATAATTCTAGTAAAACCAAGTGCATAGTGCCTTTTAAACAATCCCCAAAGCATCGTTGCACCACTGTGACCCAAGTGTGCCCAGAGGCTGATTAAAATTAACAAACCCTGAAGACTCTTAAGAGGCTTCCTTCTGGCCCTTGGTAGAATAATCTCTTCTGCGACGTTCAATGACAACATCTTTGCCTTGTTTATTTCCTTTTCACCTTAACAAAGAGAAGAGCTGATGCCCTAAACTCAAACTTTCTTATGCTGTCTTTGTGCTTTGACAAGTTCAGTGCTTAACTAGAATATTTTTGTTTTTGTTTTCACTGAAAAGAAAAAAAAAGAATAAATAGAACTCCAAGGAACTTTGGTAACATATTTTTATGTGCTGGAGTGAGTTCATGCCGTGTGACATTCCTTTCTATTAATTATTTCTCCTGGGTTTATCTTTCCCTCATCTCTTCTCTAACTGATAATATTCTAACAGCAGCCCACACCACATTCTGGATGGGCACCACCTTTTCTGTCTGCACAGAACAGACTGTTCACAATGGCTGGTGTTGGAGATGCCTTGCAGAACCTGCAAATGAGCCAGGGAGTGAAAAAAAGCAAAAAAGAGAAAGTGGAGAACAGAGTCAACTAAAACCAGGCAGGGAGCGCTGTGGTACCGAGGTGTTCGGGGCTGAAAGATATTCCCCAAAAATGCATGTCCACCTGAAACCTCAGAATGTTGCCTCATTTGGAAATAGGGTCTTTGCAGGTGTAGTTAGTTAAAAATGAGGTTCCATTGGAATAGGATGGGGCTTAAATACAACAACAGTGTTGTGAAAAGAAGAGAAGAGGACACAGAGACACACAGAGGGGAAGGTGCATGAAGATGGAGGAAGAGTTGGGAGTGATGTGTCTATGAAACAAGGAAAGCCCAGGAATGCCCAAAGCCCACAGAAGCTGGGAGAGGCTACGAAGGTCCTGGCCACAGAGCCTTAGGAGAGAGCATGGTCCTGCTAACGCCACACTTGTGTCCTGCAGCACTGTGGGAGAATAAGTGTTTATTCTTTTAAGTGACTTAGCAGATGGACATTTGCTATGCAGCCACAGAAAACCAATACTGGGATCACAGGAAAAGTAATCTTAACACTAACCCTAATCCTAACCCTAACCCTAACCCTAATCGTAACCCTAAAGACTAACCTTAACTCTAACCCTAACTCATGACCTTAACAATTAACCCTAACCTTAACCCTAACACTAAACCCAAATGCTAACCCAAAAAGCTAAAGCTAACCCTAAACCATAACCTATCCCTTAACCTAAACACTAATCCAACCCTAACCCAGAAACCTAACCATAACCCAAAGCCATAACCCATAATCCTAATCATAACCCTAACCCCATCTCAGACCCTAACACGAACCCTAACCCTAGCCTGAAACAGTAAACCTACCCCTAAAACCTAACTCTAACCCTAACCCTAAACACTAACCCTAACCCAAAACTCTAACCCTGCCACTAAACCATAAACCTAAGCCAAAACCTAAACCCTAACCCTAACACTAACCCTAAATCTAACTCCTAAACCTAAACCCTAACCCGAACCCTAAAACCTAACCTTAACAATAAACCTAAACCCTAACACTAACCCTAAGCCTAACCCTAACCCTAACTCTAAACCCTAACCCTAACCCTAAGCCCGAACCCTAACCTAACCCTAACCTACAGGTGGGAGAGCGATCTCCACCTGCCCCACTCTCCTTCCATCTAGGCAGCAACTGCAGAGTTGATGTTTAGAACCTGAGGGTGTGTAGGGTGGAGGAAGAACCTGCCAGGCTCTTTGCCTCACCTACAGGTGGGTGGTTTAAGAAACTGACCCCGCCCTGGGTATTCCTTTAGCTCCAGGTAAATGAGCCACTTCCTACATGCTGGGGGCACTTGGTGATAGGAATAATGGCTGACATTTACTGAGTTCTTACCATAGTCCTGGAACTATTCAAATGAATATATATGAATTTAAACACTCTATATTCTATTATATTAATAATTTTATTAATAGAGTATGTATATTCTATTAATGATGTTATCATCAAAATAGCAATTGTATTTTATGAAATCCTAGTCACCGTTCGTTGTAAGATACACCGTTATGTTACTATGGTTTTAAGAATTAAAAAAAAAAACCTGTCAACTAAACACATCATTACTTGTAAACACAACCTAATTTTAGAGACGTTAAAATTCATATCTTAGAATCAATAAAATACGAAGCCAGGTACAGTGGCTCGTACCTGTAATCCAATGCTATGGGAGGTTGGGGTGGGAGGATCGCTTAAGCCCAGGAGTTCAAGGCCAGCCTGGGCACCAGAGCAAGACCCCTTCTCAACAAAAAGATTAAAAATTAGCCAGACATGGTAGCATGCCTGTAGCCCCAGTTACTCAAGAGGCTGAGGCAGAAGGATCACTTGAACCCAGGAGTTTGAGGCTGCAATGAGCTCCGATCACACCACTACACTCCAGCCTAGGCACAGAACCTATCTCTAAAAAATAAAATAAAAATAAAGAATCAATGAAATGTGGTATTATCATCACCCCTATTTTATGGATAAGGAAATTGAGGCTTAGGTCACACAGATTTCAAGGGTAGGGCCAAGATGAAACTCCCTGGCCGTGTGACTCTAGGACCCAGGCTCCTTTTTTTTTTTTTTTTGAGACAGAGTCTTGCTCTGTCGCCCAGGCTGGAGTCCAGTGGTTCCATCTCGGCTCACTGCAAGCTCCACCTCCCGGGTTCATGTCATTCTCCTGCCTCAGCCTCCCGAGTAGCTGGGACTACAGACGCCCGCCACCATGCCTGGCTAATTGTTTGTACTTTTAGTAGAGACGGGGTTTCACCGTGTTAACCAGGATGGTCTCGATCTCCTGACCTTGTGATCCACCTGCCTCAGCCTCCCAAAGTGCTGAGATTACAGGCTTGAGCCACCATGCCCGGCCTCTAGGGCCCAGGCTGTGAACCACTGTCCCACAGGGGCTATCATTAGGGCACTGCCAGCTCTTCAGCTTCGAGTGTCTTAGGCTGAGTCCACCAGTTTTCATCCAATATCCATCCTCTCATTCTTCCTTTAGCATTAGAGCCCTTGAGTTTCCATGGGGCACAGGATCAAGCGCTAAAAGCTGCATTGCCAGCCTCTCTTGCAGCTAGACGTGGCTGGTAGAGAAAGAAGAATATAGGAGAGCCAGGGTGACACCATTTAAAAACTCAGCTCCGGCGGAGTGCAGTGGCTCACACCTGTAATCCCAGCACTTTGGGAGGCCGCAGCAGGTGGATCACCTGAGGGCAGGAGTTCAAGGTCAGCCTGACCAACATAGTGAAACCCCGTCTCTACTAAAAATACAAAAAAAAAAAAAATTGGCTGGGCGTAGTGGCAGGTGCCTGTAATCCCAGCTACTCGGAAAGCTGAGGCAGGAGAATCACTTGAACCCGGGAGGCAGAGGTTGCAGTGAGGTGAGATCACGCCATTGCACTCCAGTCTGGGCAACAAGAGCGAAACTCTGTCTCAAAAACAAAAACAAAAACAAACAAACAAACAAACAAAAACCTCAGCTCTATCTTAAAATTAGCAAGACACATTCCTGGCTGGTCACACTCCGTGGTGATAAGATGTTTACAGTTGAGGAAACGGCCTGATGATACCTCTGACAACGGAATGTCCAGATGTCCCAACACCCATAACAGTGTATGCTCTCAGGATCATGACAGTCGTGCTGGGATGTATTTACGCGCTAAGTGCCAAGGACAGTTTTCTTTAAATCAGCAAAGTAAGAAACGTTGTCACGCTGTGAGCCCATCCGCATGGAGTAGACACAGCTTAGCTTTTCCATAGATAAGGCCTCTTCATAAGAGGAAGTTAAAATGATGATGAGGTACTCCTCCTCTTGCTTTCTGAGGGTATAACTTTCTTGCTGGGCTGTAACTTTCTGGGCTTTCTGGGCTGTCACTGAGTAGTGTTCAATAAGCCATTTCTTCTCACTGCACTCTGAGACTCACTTTGAATTATTTCCTGTGAAAGATCCGAGAACCCTCTCTTGGGTTCTGGATCAACACGGCCACGTGACACAGTTCTGGCCAGTGAGATCTAAGTGGAAGACACGAATAAAGCTCTGGGCCTTGCTCTCATTTCCTCTTGCCTCCTTGCCTGGCTGGAATATGGACGTGCTGGCCGGAGCTGAGGCAGCCCCATCTCAGATCTTAAGATGGAAACCACATGTTAGGCTTGGCAGACCAGCCAGATAGACACCAAAGGGCGTCCAAAGTTGCTAGGCTCAATCTGGGGCTGTTTCATGAGAAAGAAACAAGCTTCTATCTTGTTTAAGCCACTGTCATTTTGGCCTTTTTTCTAGCAGCCAGAACGTGTCCTGATGAACACACTCAGTGCTGCCCTACAGGCGCGGTCCTGGCCCTCCAAGAGCTGCAGGCTCATTAAATGAGAATGAATAGAAAACACCTAATGCGGGGCTGGGCACAGCACGGGCCCTGGGTAAATGTTAGTTCCTCACAAAACATGGCTGACTCTGGCATGAGTTGCTCGGCTAGCTTGTCATTCTCCTGCTTTCTTCAAATCCTATCCATGTATGGTAGGAAAAGCAGTATTACTCTTGTTTTTCTTTTTCTTTCTTTCTTTTTTCTTTTATTTTATTTATCTTATTTTTTGAAACAGAGTCTCACTCTGTTGCCCAAGCTGGAGTGCAGTGGCATGATCTTGGCTCACTGCAACCTCTGCCTCTTGGGTTCAAGCGATTCTCCTGCCTCAGCCTCCCAAGCAGCTGGTTTTACAGGTATACATCACCACACCCAGCTAAGTTTTTGTATTTTCAGTAGAAACGGGGTTTCACCATGTTGCCCAGGCTGGTCTCCAACTTCTGGCCGCAAGTGATCTGCCCACTTTGGCCTCCCAGAGTCCTGGGATTATGGACATGAGCCACTGCACCTGGCCATGTTTATTCGTAGAGAGGGTCTTGCTTTGTTGACCAGGCTTGAGTTTTAGTGGTGCAATCAAGGCTCGTTGCAGCCTTGACCTCCTGGCCTCAAGTGATCCTCCTGCCTCAGCCTCCTGAGTAGCTGGGACTACAGGCACTTGCCACCACACTCGGCTAATTTTCGTATTCTTATTTTTCTAATTTCCCCTTCTAAAACCTCCATCACCTTCCCCTTAACAAATCAAACGTTTTCCTGAAAGGCAGGGCAGTAACAGTCAGCTCCGGCCTTTATACGACAATGGACTTTGGCTGCCATCTCTCCCTGTCCATCTGATAGTGGCTTCCACCTCTCCTCAATGGCCACCCCCAGCCAACTCCCTGTGGTCCTGACAAGGTCAGTGCTCCTTGTCCCCACCCTTCATCAAGCCAGAGGATGCTCATGGTCCAGCCTAGTTCCCCATCCCTCTGGCTACAGTCACTGATTTAGGGATGTGATCTGCATGCAGGCTGGATTGATCTGAATCTTTACTAAGAATTGGCCAATCGTGTTGGAGGGATGAAGGTCTATTTCCTCAATTCTGACCTACGGGGATCACGAAAGCTATAGCAGGGCACATCGCAAATTACCCCAAAACTTAGTGGCGTAAAACAAGTATTGATTGAGCTTATGGACTCTGGGGGTCAGGACAAGGCACAGTATGGTGCTGGCTTCCAAGGGCTATGTGTCCCCAAAGAGAGGGATGCCGGCAAAACTGGATTGCCTTTCAGGACCCAGCCTCAGAAGTCATAGAATGTCGCTTCCAACATTTTCCATTGGTTGAGATGGTTACAAACGACACGTGGATGGGACATATGTTGGTGTGGCCAAATTTAGAATACACAACCTGCCACAGAGCCTGGAGCTACTATCATCCTTGCTCAAGTGGATGAAGATATCTAGAAAGTGACATCACCACACGGAGGAAAGCAGAGCCGAGAGAAGGGGAGATATCATTTGAGTCCCTGGATCCAGTTGCGCCTGAAGCTAGACTCACCTGCAGGGGCTTTTTTCCAGTTAAGTGAGCTATTGATAGTATTTTTGCTCAGCCGGGCACGGTGGGTCACACCTGTAATCCCAGCACTTTGGGAGGCCGAGGTGGGTGGATCACCTGAGGTCAGGAGTTCAAGACCAGCCTGGTTAATGTGGTGAAACCCTGTCTCTACTACAAATACAAAAAATTAGCCAGGCGTGGTGGTGGGCACCTGTAATCCCGGCTGCTTGGGAGGCTGAGGCAGGAGAATTGCTTGAACCTGGGAGGCAGAGGTTGCAGTGAGCTGAGATTGCGCCATTGCACTCCAGCCTGGGCAACAAGAGTGAAACTCCATCTCAAAAAAATATATATATACATATATTTATATATATTTTATAATATATAATATATATTATTTTTCCTGTAAGTGATTCAGGTCGAATTTCTGTCATTGGCAGCCAAAAGAGTCCTGAGCTCACTAAGGGGCTCAACTGAGCCAGGACAGGATACTCTGGGACTTCTAGCAGCACAGAGCACTAGCTGGTGCTTGGAAATGATGTTTCCTCTGCTCTTGGCTAGCTGGAATCCCCAGGCCAGCATCCCCAAGATGAAATGTGCCCCTCCCTTTAGAAGGCAAGAATTGATGACAGTGAGTTTTTTGTTTGGTTTGGTTTGAAGTAGCCCAAATGTCCCCTTCCTGCCACGAGGGCAATGCAGCTTCTATCTTACAGCATCTGGGAGGAGCCATTTTTATGGCCTGGATCACTGAGACAGGAAGAGGGAGAGCAAACCGGGGGTTGGCACATTCCTCCCAGCTGGGTCCGGGGAATGTGGCTATTAGGAGAAGGACAGCCACCACAGCAGGCCCCTGTGATGAACCACACCTCCACTTTTGCACACCTGATTCCTGGCTGTCAAACCCTGCAAAGAAGGTCTTATCCCCATTTTACAAAGGAGGAAACTGAGGCAGAGAGAAGGGATGCAACTCGCCCAAGATCTATAGCTGGGAAGTTGTGACACCAGGCATTGGATTTCTGACTGCAGAGCGTGAATTCTCTCATGCCACGTTCACGGAGATAGGAGGGACACGGGGGAAGGGCGTTCAGGGCGAGGTGGACGGAGGCTTGGCATTGTGCAGCGATGGGGCAGCTGGCGTGTCTGCTGTGGCCGCAGCAAAGAGAGGAGGGCCTGGGTGTGGAGTGGACACTGACCAGGCGGCCTTGCTCCGCTCAGATAAATGAGGTTTGGCATCCTGCCGGGCCATTCTTTGGTGGCCTCTGTGTAAGCTGAGGCCTGGCTGTCCTGAGCCTGGCTTCTGGCTGCTGGTGAGTGGCTGTGGACCGTCTCCCGCTTGCCAGCATCGCCTTTGGTGCTTGGCTGGGTAGACAGAAATGAGTCACACTCCCCAGTCCTGCCCAAGCTCTCCCTGCCTCTGACCGGGGCACAGGCTGCCCGGTGTAATCCAAAATAAGCAATGTGTGGCCCCAGGGGTTGGGATGGGCAGGGAGGAAGCCCCATTAGGCATTCCTGTGAGGACAGCGTCCCTGAGCTGGGAGGACCCCGGCAGCTTTAGGCTGGTCAGAGGACGGCATCCGTCAGAGGTCTGAGTTCGGAGATTGTCCGTGCCTCCAATTAGCCACGTCGCCCTGAGCAAGTCCCCTCTGTAGCATGGAGCAAATTGATCCCGGAAGAACCTCCCAGCCAGAGGCTGCTTGTTAGTCCCCATCTTTCAGGCCCCCAACGCTGTTTCACTCCGGCCTTCCTGTGGGCTGGCTCTCATCTTACCTCTCCACTCTGTAGCTAGCTCAGGTCCTACCGGTAAACCCTTGCCTCCAGCCCCAACATGGTTAGCAAGAGCCAGGTTCTCTTGCTTGCAACCCCAAAACCCTAGCTGGAGAAGCAACTGAGGCATGTTCCGTGTCACTCCACCCGTCCCACTGCCCATGTAACCGCCAGCATCCCGAAGGGGCCCAGCGTGCTCAGCCTTGCATTGCACACAGCGTGTTCTGCCTAGTCCCATGGCGGCTCAGAGCCCACCCCAGGCCGGAGCCAGGCTGAAGGAATCCATGCTGGCGGCACGGATCCAGCACGGGAAGTGTCGCGAGAAACGCTCTGCAGAGCCTGAGCGGGGAGCTTTCCAGAAGTGGGGTGCGGCCACATGTGTCAGAGCTGCTGGGGAGTGCCAGGCAGGATGTGATTAATGTCGGCCGTGGGTGTGACAGCCAGCCAGCCCTCAGCCTCATTGTCAGAGTGGCTCGAACGCAGCCCCCTTTCCTCTCCCCACCCCTGCTCGCAGCACCCACCCCTGCTATGTGTGGCATCCCCTCTCCTCCCTCCAAGTGTACTGATCCACGGTGCCAGTCACTTAAAAATAGCATCCTACCCGAAACGTAGGCATGAGACGGAACTCCAGAAAAGGAGACAGCACCCCTCTTGTGCCTTGGAGCACGCAGATTCTTGAGCAATCTGTCCCTGGCGCTGACAAGGAGGGCCTCTCGCCGGCGCCTTCTGTTCCACTGGGGAAGGGAAAGCCCGTGTTGTAAGTCCCCCCATCTAAAGCCGGCATCTCAGCTCCACAGGGCTGGTGTGCTGGGCCACAGGGCTGCCCAACCAGGGTCACTCTCTCCCTGCCCAGGGGCTGGCCTGAGAACCATACCCTCGCCCTTCCTCACCCTCTCTGCTTCCCGCTGGGGGAGCCCTGGCATGAGATGTGAGAGAGGGCGGGGAGGGAGGCTGGGGTACTTATCCCCTATCTTTCTCCCTACAAGGCCAGCACAGGCTGGCCATGACCTTGACAGAAAATCTCAGGTCCCTCCACCTTCCACCCCGCCTCCATCCCTCAGGGCGCGTTGGCCCATCGAATTGCGTTCCCTGCAGACTCTATTGTGCGGCATGGTGGGTAATAGTGAAAAAAAAAACCGAAGGAGCCAAAATGTCCAAAAATAGAGGTCAATTGAGCTAATGACAACACTGGCACTGAGGAATCCTTTGTGGAAATTAAGAAGGATCTTTTAGGCTGCTGTGTTTCTTTGAATCTGAGAAGCCATCATTTGTTATTTGTATTACCAGTGTCATCATAACCCCCATTTTTGGGGGGAAAAAGAAGAAATAGCTGGCACATTTCTTTCGACATTGATTCTAAAACACATCCTTACTTCGAAACATTACAAAGTGAAAAAATATGCAATATGGTAAAATGTAATGATTTGGAGAATGTGTTCTCCATGTATTTTTAAGTTTTAAAAAAGTGGGTTAAGATACATTATGCCTGGTATTAAGAAAAAACTAACATGTCTATACATACATAAACTATCCTCATTCAACAATGACCAGATCCTATGAAATATACATGCATACACACCCACAGGAAAAAACCAGGAAGGACAGCTAACAAAAGGCCAGCGGCGCGGATTGCCGGGCCATGGGGCTACATGCACTTTTAGTTTTCTTCTTTGTATTTTTCTATTTCCGATTTTCTGATTTTATAAGTAGACAACTAAAATAATAATCGCTACCACTGATTATCTCCTTTCCACCTATCAGCACTTAACCTGTGCTGAACGCTTTGTAATGACGATCTCATTCATGTCTCCAACACCCATGGGAGTAGGAATGCTGGTTACCAGCTGTTCCACACACTGGGAAACGGAGGCTCAGGCAGCTATAAAGCAATGGAGCCGGAACCCAAACCCTGGTCATTCTGACTCCAGAACCGAGGCCCTTAACCATTATATTCTAGACACAAACTTCACCCTAAGGGTTTGCACCTTTTTGAGAATTTAACGCCATGTTGCAAGAGGGCACCCAAGGAAAATGTCACCCCTTTGCTGGCCAGGCAGGGACGCTGAGATGCTGACCACAGAGAGCCAGCCTCACAGCACAGCCTAAACAAAGGCCCAGGGCTGCAGGTGAGGACCTCCAAGTCTCTCTGGTCCTGAAAAAGCAACGTGTCTTGTGAGCCAATAAGGAACCCCTTGGATGCCAGCCGGGCTGACGTAGCTCAGGGCATCTCCGAGGCACTGTCAGCTGAGGCAGGACAAAGGAAGGGGATGTTCCCATGGCACCACGCTATGATGCCTTGACAAGGCCCCCTGCACCCTGTTTTGTGGTTCATTCTTATTTTGCTGAAAGGAGCTCTTCCGCTTCCTCCGAGATAAACATTCCTAACATCATTTCTTCTGAGCCGGCCAGCCAAGAGAACAGCTGGGAGCTCTCCGAGCACGGGGAGAGCGTGTTCATTTTCTGGAACTCAGCTGAGAATCTTTTCTCCAGGAGACCCCAATAAGCCATTGCAAATAAACAAAATGAAGTTGCTGGGGAAACTGGCGGCCAGGAAGCTAGAGCTGGTGTAGCCCTGGGGAGAAGAATGGAGTCAGCCCCCAACCCTGGGGTTGCTGGTGCTGGGTGCTGCAGTTGGCGGGCGCTGGGCTCCTCTGGATGCCAGGCTCTGCATGTCCAGAACTGCAATCCTGCATGTCCACGAGGCTGCCCCATTGCACAGATGAGGAAGTTGAGGCTCAGAGAAGTGAAGCGAGGGGTCCCACGGCTGGAATCCAGCCTGAGCGTGGCCTTACAGCTTTCCCACTCTTAAAACTCTCCCAGGTCACAGACTCCTTAAGAATCTGGTGAAAGTTACAGACCCTCTGCTTAAAAAAAAAAAAAAAAAAAAAAAAGTAATCCTGAAGTGCTGAGATTGTAGGTGTGAGCTGCCATGCCTGGCCCCAATGAAAAAACATTTAAAGCTTCATTAATTAAGACCTGCCTGTCACCTTCCACCACGACTGTGAGGCCTCCCTAGCCATGTGGAACTCTCCAGCTCCAAGCAAGGCCTAGTTTAAATGCCACCTTTTCTGTGAAGCCCTATTGGACTTTCTCAGGCTCATTTTCCCTTTGGACTTCTAGAGCATCTTGTAGACAATGGCAATTATCAAGGCCTGGATATATACATTATATAATTGTTATGTAATCATTAATGTGGCACAGAACAACAAATACGGATCTTGCAGACAGAAAAAAAATTGTGGTCATCCTCTTTATGAACTTTCTTGATTGATTTCATAAAACATCTATAATCATTGTTTAATCTGAGCTTTTTTTTTTTATTTTTTGAGACGGAGTTTTGCTCTCGTTGTGCAGGTTGGAGTGCAATGGCATGATCTCAGCTCACTGCAACCTCTGCCTCCCGGGTTCAAGCGATTCTCCTGCCTCAGTCTCCCGAGTAGCTGGCATTACAGGCGCACACTGCCACACCTGGCTAATTTTTGTATTTTTAGTAGAGATGCGGTTTCACCATGTTGGCCAGGCTGGTCCTGAACTCCTGACCTCAAGTGATCTGCCTGCCTTGGCCTCCCAAAGTGCTGGGATTACAGGCATGAGTCACCACGCCCGGCCTGGTCTGGGTTTTTGGATAGCTCATAGACATGAATTCTTCAGGGCAGGAGTCTCCAAAGTGTTTAGATCATAGATCCTAATGGGCAAAACCTTTCCCGCAGGTGCCCACCATATACGTGTATCTTAAAACTTAAGAATTATATATATGCATTGCTGCTCTCATATTTTATGTATAATCATAAAACTCCTAACAAAATGGACTTTTTTTTTGAGATGGAGTCTTGCTGTGTTGCCCAGGCTGGAGTACAGTGGTGTGATCTTGGCTCACTGCAACCTGCACCTCCCAGATTCAAGATTCTCCTGCCTTAGCCCCCTGAGTAGCTGGGATTACAGGTGCACACCACCATACCTGGCCAATTTTTGTATTTTTAGTAGAGACGGGGTTTAACCATGTTGGCCAGGCTGGTCTTGAACTCCTGACCTCAGGTGATCCACCCGCCTCGGCATCCCAAAGTGCTGGGATTACAGGCGTGAGCCACCACGCCCAGCCAAAATGGAAATTTCTAAATGCCAAGTAAAAGATTAAACAAACAATATTCTTTTTAATGTCTTGCTAATTATGATGGTTTCCATTACATCTCAAGGCAAAATATGCATTTGGGGTGAGGATTATTGTCAACAATGATGGATTTTCTAATCTGTACTTCGACTAGACTTCTGGATAATTAGGGTTCGTGTGACTGTCCTCTGCGGGCTGACTGGCTGGCTGCCTTTGTTTTTACCTTGGGATATGTCTGACCAAGAGCACAGGCCAGGAATAAGACAGCTGCTCTGATGCGTTCTCACTCTTTACTCTGCTTGGCTTGTTAGTGTTTCCTTCATTCCACAGTTCCTTTGTATGAATCTTTTTAAGGCATACACCGAATTTAGTTAGAACCAGACAAGATAGGTACCAGCAGCTACAGATCCACTCTGGTAAGCCAATACTTCACCAACGTATGTTGCCATATTTTAAGATGTAACAGACAGGTGTGGTGGCTCACGCCTGTAATCCCAGCACTTTAGGAGGCCAAGGTGGGCAGATTGCTGGAGCCCAGGAGTTCAAGACCAGCCTGGGCCACACAGTGAGGCCCCATCTCTACAAAAAATATAAAAATTAGCCAGGTGTGTTGGCGCATGCCTCTGGTCCCAGCTACTTGGGAGGCTGAGGCAGGAGGATTGTTTGAGCCCAGGATGCAGAGGTCGCAGTGAGCTGAGATCGCACCACCGCACTCCAGCCTGGATTGACAGACCAAGACCCTGTCTCACTTAAAAAAAAAAAAAGAGCTAACAAACTGTCAGATGGGACTTCACCGTGAAACTCCCATTCATCCTGCAAGGTTCCCTTGGGTGACAGCTGAGAAGCCACCACCGCAGTGCCACCAAGCCTGAGGGGTGTCCCTGCCTGTGACCTCAGGTCCCCCTTCTGCCTCTTTAGTCCTCCATTCCTCATTCCACCAATGCCCAATATTAAATTCTCTCTGCTAAACTAACCAGTGCGTTTTCTGTTTTTCTGACTAGACTGTCATGGGTACAGAGAGCCAGTGTCAGCTCAGAGTCAATATTCATAAAACCTGATTTCTTGCTTAATCTTAAGCAATAATCTCATCTCTTCTTCCTGGTCCTCAGTGGATCACCTCACACCCCAGGGGCATGATCACTGCTCTAGAACATAGAACACGTGGGATATTTAATGCTAACTTAATTACCCCCATCATTGGCTTGCTGTGTACCCACTGTGGCAGAGTGAATCACGGCCCCCAAAAAGATGCCCACGTCCTAATCCCCAGATCCTGTGGATGTGACCTCATGTGGTAAAAGGGACTTTGCAGATGTGATTAAGTTATGTATCTTGGCCGGGTGTGGTGGCTCATGCCTTTAATGCCAATGCTTTGGGAGGCTAAGGTGGGAGGATTACTTAAGGCCAGGAATTCAAGATCAACCTGGGCAACACAGTGAGACCTTGTCTCCACAAAAAAAAATAATAATAATAAGGGCAGGGCGCAGTGGCCCATGCCTGTAATCCCAGCACTTTGGGAGGCTGAGGTGGACAGATCACCTGAGGTCAGGAGTTCGAGACCAGCCTGGCCAACATGGGGGAAACCTCGTTTCTGCCAAAAATATAAAAATTAGCCAGGTGTGGTGGCCCGCACCTGCAATACCATCTACTGGGGAGGGTGAGGCAGGAGAATTGCTTGAACACAGGAGGCAGAGGTTGCAGTGAGCTGAGACCATGCCACTGCATTCCAGTCTGGGTGATAAAGCAAGACTCTGTCTCAAAAAAAAAAAAAAAAAATGCCGGGCGCGGTGGCTCACGCCTTTAATCTCAGCATTTTGGGAGGCTGAGGCAGGCGGATCATGAGGTCAGGAGATCGAGACCATCCTGGCTAACATGGTGAAACCCCGTCTCTACTAAAAATACAAAAAAGTTAGCTGGGCGTGGTGGTGGGCGCCTGTAGTCCCAGCTACTTGGGAGGCTGAAGCAGAAGAATGGCATGAACCTGGGAGGTGGAGCTTGCAGTGAGCCCAGACTGTGCCACTGCACTCCAGCCCGGGTGACAGTGAGACTCCGTCTCAAAATAAATAAATAAATAAAAATAAATAAATAAAAATAAATTACTCACTCTTGGGTATTTCTTCACAGCAGCCTGAGAACAGACTAATACAGTAAATTTGTACTGGGAGTAGGGTGCTGCTATAAGGATACTTGAAAGTGCAGAAGCGACTTTGGAACTGGGTAACTGGCAGAGGTTGGAACAGAGGGCTCAGAAGAAGACAGGAAAATGTGGGAAAGTTTAGAACTTCCTGGAGACTTGGAGAGCTCAGAAGACAGGAGGATGTGGGAAAGTTTGGAACTTCCTAAAGACTTGGTGAATGGTTTGACCAAAATGCTGACAGTGATGTGAATAAATGAAGTCCAGGCTGAAGTGGTCTCAGATTGAGGTGAGGAACTTGTTGGGAACTGGAGCAAAGGTGACTCTTGCTATGCTTTAGCAAATAGACTGGCAGCATCTTGCCCCTGTCCTAGAGATCTGTGGAACTTTGAACTTGAGAGAGATGATTTAGGGTATCTGGTGGAAAAAATGTATAAGCAGCAGAGCATTCAAGAGGTGACTTCGATACTCTTAAAAGCATTCAGTTTTATGTAGTCACGAAGGTATGGTTTGGAATTGGAACGTGTGTTTAAAAGGGAAGTAGAGCATAAAAGTTTGGAAAATTTGCAGCCTGACAGTGTGATAGAACAGAAAAACCTATTTTCTGGGTTTTTTTTGTTTCTTTGTTTTCTTGAGACAGAGTCTTGCTCTGTTGCCCAGGCTGGAATGCAGTGGCATGATCTCCGTTCACTGCAACCTCCACCTCCCAGGTTCAAGCAATTCTCCTGCCTCAGCCTCCTGAGTAGCCAGGATTACAGGAACCTGCCACCACGCCTGGCTAATTTTTGTATTTTTAGTAGAGACAGGGTTTCACCAGACTGGTCAGGCTGGTCTCGAACTCCTGACCTCAGGTGATCCACTCCCCTCGGCCTTCCAAAGTGCTGGGATTACAAGCATGAGCCACTGTGCCCGGCCAGAAAAGTCTATTTTCTGAGAAGAAATTCAAGCCAGCAGCAGAAATTTGCATAAGTAACAAGAAGCCAAATGTTAATTGACAAGACAATGGGGAAAGTGTCTCCAGGGCATGTCAGAGACCTTCACAGCAGCCCCTCCCATCACAAGCCTGGAGGCCTAAGAGGAAAAAGTGATTTCGAGGGGCAGGCCCTGGGCCTTGCTGCTCTGTGCAGTCTCGGGGCTTGGTGCCCTGCATCCCAGCTGTGGCTAAAAGGGTCCAACACACAGCTCAGGCCATTGCTTCGGAAGGTGCAAGCCCCAAACCTTGGTGGCTGACACATGGTGTTGGGCCTGCAGGTGTACAGAAGTCAAGAATTGAGGTTTGGGCCAGGCACGGTGGCTCACGCCTGTAATCCCAGAACTTTGGGAGGCCAAGGCGGCTGGATTACCTGAGGTCAGGAGTTCAAGACCAGCCTGGCCAACATGGTGAAACCCCGTCTTTACTAAAAATACAAAAATTAGCCAGGCATGGTGGCACACCCCTGTAATCCCAGCTACTCGGGAGGCTGAGGCAGGAGAATTGCTTGAGCCCGGGAGGCAGAGGTTGCAGTGAGCTGAGATCATGCCACTGCACTCCAGCCTGGCCAACAGAACAAGACTCTGTCTCCAAAAAAAAAAAAAAAAGAATTGAGGTTTGGGAACCTCCACCTAGATTTCAGAGGATGTATGAAAACACCTGGATGTCCAGGCAGAAATTTGCTGCAGGGGTGGAGCTCCCTGCTATGGAGAACCTCTGCTAGGGCAGTGCAGGAGGGAAATGTGGGATTGGAGCCCCCACGCAGAGTCCCCATTGGGGCAGTGCCTAGTGGAGCTGTGAGAAGAGAGCCACCATCCTCCAGGCCCCAGAATGGTAGATCTACCAACAGCTTGCATTGTGCACCTGGAAAAGCCACAGACACTCAACGCCAGCCCACGAAAGCAGCTGGGAGGGGCGTGGGAGCCCACCTCTCGCATCAGCGTGACCTGGATGTGAGACATGGAATCAAAGGAGATCATTTTGGAACTTTTAGGTTTAATGACTGCCCCATTGGATTTCGGACTTGCGTGGGGCCTGTAGCCCGTTTGTTTTGGCCAATTTCTCTCATTTGGAATGGGTGCATTTACCCAATGCCTGTACCCCCATTGTATCTGGGAAGTAACTAACTTGCTTTTGATTTCACAGGCTCAAAGGTGAAAAGGACTTGCCTTGTCTCAGATGAGACTTTGGACTTGGACTTTTGGGCTCATGCTGGAATAGTTAAGACTTTGGGGGACGGTTGGAAGTGCATGATTGTGTTTTGAAGTGTGAGGACATGACATTTGGGAGGGGCCAGGGGTGAAATGATATGGTTTGGCTTTGTGTCCCCACTCAAATCTCATCTTGAATTGTAATCCCATAATGCCCACATGTTGTGGGAGGGACCTGGTGGGAAGTAATTGAATCATGGGGGCAGTTTCCCTCGTGCTGTTCTCATGATACTGAGTAAGTTCAAGACCAGCCTGAGCAACAAAGGGAGACCTCGTCTCTACAAAAAATTAAAAAGTTAGCCAGGCATGGTGGTACACATCTGTGGTCCCACCTACTTGGAGGCTGAGGCAGGAGGATCGCTTGAGCCCCAAGAGGTCAAGGCTGCAGTGAGCTGTGAACACACCACTGCACTCCAGCCTGGGTGACAGAGTGAAACCCTGTCTCAAAAAAAAAAAGAAAGAAAGAAAAAGAAAAAAAGAAAAGAAAAGAGGGAGACAAGAAGTTCAAAGGTAAAAGAAGGGGATGTGACTGTGGAAGCAGAGGGCAGAGTGATGCACTTTGGAGATAGAGAAGGAGCCATGAGCCAAGGACTGTAGGCAGCTTCTAGAAACTGGAAAAGACAAGGAAATGGGTTCCCCTCTGAGCCTCCAGAAAGAACCAGCCCTAGCCAGGTGCGGTGGCTCACACCTGTCATCCCAGCACTTTGGGAGGCCAAGGCGGGCAGATTGCAAGGCCAGGAGATCGAGACCATCCTGGCTAACATGGTGAAACCCTGTCTCTACTAAAAATACAAAAAATTAGCCAGGCGTGGTGGTGGGCGCCTGTAGTCCCAGCTACTTGGGAGGCTGAGGCAGGAGAATCACTTGAACCCGGGAGGAGGAGCTTGCAGTGAGCGGAGATTGCGCCACTGCACTGCAGCCTGGGCGACAGAGTGAGACTCGGTCTCAAGGAAAAAAAAAAAAAAAGAACCAGCCCTGATGACACCTTGGTTTTAAACTCATGGAACTCATTTTGAACTTCTGGCCTCCAGAACTGTCAGAGAATAAATTTGTGTTGTTTTAAGCAACTGAGTGTGTGGTAACTATTGTTACAGCAGCAACAGGAAGTTACACTCCTACCCAGAAGGCAGCATAAATCCCTTAAATTTTTCTTTCCCAGTTCCCTGGACAAAGCAAGGAAGCTCGAAAGACTTTGAAGCCTGTCCTCATAGAAAAATGTCAACCCCTGCTTCAGTGTATGCTAAGATGCCAGCTGACTACTAGGAGATTCAACTCTCTTCACTAGAGTCCAACGCAGGCCACACCCCAAGGGCTGTAATAAATTGGCACTGAAGTTCGTAAAACTCAATGGTTTCGGCCAGGCGCAGTGGCTCACACCTATAATCCCAGCACTTTGGGAGGCCGAGGCGGGTGGATCACTTGAGGTCAGGAGCCTAAGGCCAGCCTGACCAACATGGTGAACCCCCTTCTACACCAAAAATACAAAATTTAGCTGGGTGTGATGGCGTGCGCCTGTAGTCCCAGTTACCCGGGAGGCTGAGGCAGGAGAATCGCTTGAACCCGGGAGGCGGAGGGTTGCAGTGAGCCAAGATTGCACCACTGCACTCCAGCCTGGGCAACAGAGTGAGACTCCATCTCAAAACAAACAAACAACTCAATGGTTTCACTTAGGAGCCTTGACTTCCTCCCTGTTTTACTGGCCCAAGTCCATTGATAATGGTATCAGTGTCCACCGCTCTTGGGTGCCTACAATGCGCTGGATCCTCAATATTCATGGTCCTCGAGCCACACAGCAATGCTGCAAGGCATTACGCATTACACAGTGAGAAAACCAAGGCACAGACGGAGTAAGGCACACCCAAGCCCACACAGATAGGAAGTACAGAAGTCAGGTTTCCAAAGCGCTAGCCTTTTCCAATGCTCTCACTTATTAAGAGCTGCTAACCATTAATAAGCTGACAGGGTGAGGAGCATTCCAGCGCAGTCTGCTCGGGGCCAAGGCAGGGCGGAAGCTAGTGTTCATGCGAGTGATAATCACGGCACAAGATCCAAGTGAACGCTGAGGATTGAGAATGTTGTGGACAACGTGCCTATTCCGCAGGTGTCCTCCGTCAGGGCCAGCCATGGGTTCAACAGCAGGAAACCACGGATAGACAGCCTCTCCAGCCTCCTCCTGGTCACACTTCCTCGGAGATGCTAATGAGTGACAGAGTCAATAACTTCCTTCCCTCCTCCTAGCACTGCTGCTGGTTCTCAGAGAAATAGCCACGTGAACGGGAAGGAAGAAAGTGTGTCCACGGGCTGCGGAATCCGTTGCCGGTGGGGCGGGGATTCATCTGGCAGACCTGGCCTGCAGACAACATTGCTGGAATGAGTCCATGTGATGATCCGGGACTGTGAATGTATCTGCCCAGTTGAAAAATGAGTGATTACTGAGCACCTACGTGATTGAAAATGGGCTGTAATGCAGGAGGATGACCACAAAGAGTGCGGGAGCAGCAGGGTAGCAGCAGCCCGGGATGACAGCAGCCTCGGCCCACCACCCTGTGGAAAGCAGCCGAGGTCTAGGGGAGATCTGGAGTCAGACAGATCCAGGTTGGAAACCCGGCACTATAGCTTACCAGGTGTGACCTCACACAAGTTATATAACCTCTCTGAGCCGTACTAGCCTCATTTACAGATAGAACTCTCATTGTGTTCTGGCACTCACACTCTTTGCACAGCCATGGCCTTCAGAGGAGCCTGGCTCCAGCCCCAGAAGGCATAGTCTAACTGTTCAAGGGTGGCCATGGTGACTGTATTCTCCTGGGTGGTTTAACCATGGCCAAGTGAGACAATCCGGCCAATGAGAGTCTGCAGAGGGGCTTCGGGGAAAGGTATTTTTTTGCCTTTATAGTCTTTCTTCTGCTACTGGCTGCTGGCTGGAATGGCTGCAGCCACTTGAGTGTATGAGGACAGCCAGGCTGAGGCTGAGGCCGACACGCTAGGAGGGCAGAATGTATAGACGGAAAGAGCTTGGGTCCTCAGTGGTGTCCTTGAGTTAATGAGTCAACCAACTCTGGAGAGCCTCAGACCTCAGGACTTCTTGACAATGGCTTAGGCCCTTTGAGTTGTATTTTCTGATGTGTGCAGCCCAACGCACCCTACCTGGGGCAGGGCTGTGTTGAGGATTAAATGTGTAAAAAGCCTAACATGATGCCAGGCACACAGTAGCTTCTGTTGTCGAGGAGATGATGACACAAGAAATGTCACAGTAAAGCAACATGATGCTGGGGCTTCATTTACTCACGTACGCGTCATGCTCGCCAGCTGGGGACATAAATTCCTCAGGGGAGACACTGTGCCTTGATCCTCTTTCCTATGCCCCAGTGTCTGCCTTAATAAGTGCTCTGATACTGACCCCATGGTAAACAATGAAGTTTGCCTTCTGTATCCATTAACCATGGCTACAAACATACCGAATAAGAAATCATTGACAAACAATACTCATTAATTCTCACACACCTGCAGCAGAGGAGGCTGAGGGTCAGCTGATCTAGACTGGGTTCAATTGGGCAGCTCTGGACTTACCTATCTTGGGGTCCACTAAGGCCTGCTGATCTGGGCTGAGTTCGGCTAGGATGGCTCTGATCCCCGTTTCCCATGTTTCTCGTGGGACCAGACGGCTAACTTGGCATGTTTCTCTGTGGGTGATGGCAGAGGCATAAGAGAGCAAGCTCAATCGCAAAGACTCTGGTCAGATCCTGCCCACTGTCCTTCCTCATCTCCTTTGCAGCTATGGGTGGCCATTGGTACAGTGTTGGCAAATGAGATTGAAGCAGAAATCTATTAGAGGGTTTCTCTGGGGGAAAAAGAAGCATTTGCTTTTCCTCATCTGCTGGTTTCATCCCTTACTCCCTTTTTCTTGCACTGAATGCAGGATGCGATGCTTGGAGCTATGGCAGTCATACTGCTACCATGAGGAAAAGCCAAGAGAATTGTGGCTGCTGTTCCAACATAACTGAGCATCATTGCTGGTGCAGCGTTAGCAACTGCCCATCTCTGGACTTCTTGTTCTGTGGGAAAATAACCCTCCATATGTTTATGTCACTGTTAATTGCAACCAAAGGCATTTATCACTAAAACCCAGAAGCAACTAAACAGGATAGTGCAGGATCTATACTAAGTGGACCATTGGAATAAATGAGAAAGTAATATACTGTGATTCAATTCAAGTTCCATCAGCCATTCATTCAACAAATGTATATACTAGCCACCCTGAGCAAGCACACCCAGCCCCGGCCCTCCGAGCGTGTCTAGGTAGCAGGTTACATGGGTGAAGTCTTATCTAATGACAGAAGCTTGGATGGATAGTGAACAGAACACGTTACTGAAAAATGTTCTCACATCTATTGAAGAAAAATTTGGCCAAGCATATAATTGATCCAGAATCTGAAGATATTGTGAATCGATCAGTTATTTTCTGCACCAGCAACCGGTTCCCAAATATAGGTTACTAAGTGGATTTGCCGGTTGACCCCTGGAAGTCCCTCTGACATGTTGAACTTTACCTTCCTTATTTGCTAATTAAAGAGTTAATCTGGATGACTGCTGAATTCTCTTCCAGTTCAAGTCTTTCCCTTCCTGAGATGAATGCCATGTTATAAGAAAATATTAACAATATTTTGGGAAAATTCCACTTTACAAGCATTTGGGTAAAACCATAGTTATACATGACAAACCATAATTCGTAGATGACATAGCCCACTCTTTGGAGAAATTAACGTAGTACCATAATCTTTATAGAAGAAAATGTTTCTGTTTGGGAGAAGCATTGTAAAAATGTATGTAAGAAGCCAGAACAGGCCGGGCATGGTGGCTCACGCCTGTAATCCCAGCACTGTGGGAGGCCGAGGGAGGCGGATCACCTGAGGTCAGGAGTTCAAGACCAACCTGGCCAACATGGTGAAACCCCGTCACTACTAAAAATACAAAAATTAGCTGGGCGTGGTGGTGGGAGCCTCTAGTCCCAGCTACTCAGGAGGCTGAGGCAGGAGAATCACTTGAACCCGGGAGGCAGAGGTTGCAGTGAGCCAAGATTGCACCACTGCACTCCAGCCTGAGTGACAAAGCGAGACCCCGTCTCAAAAAAAATAAATAAATAAAAATAAAATGCCAGGCATGGTAGCTCACACCTGTAATCCCAGCACTTTGGGAGGCTGAGGCAGGTGGATCACTTGAGGTCAGGAGTTCGAGACCAGCCTGGCCTACATGGCGAAACCCCATCTCTACTAAAAATACAAGTATTAGCTGGGTGTGGTGGTGGGCGCCTGTAATCCCAGCTACTAGGGAGGCTGAGGCAGGAGAATCACTTGAACCCAGAAGGCAGAGGTTGCAGTGAGCCAAGATCACACCACTGTACTCCAGTCTAGGCGACAAAGTGACACTCCATCTCAAAAAAAAAAAAAAAAAAAAAAAGGCAGAAAGACCACCAGCAAACATTTAATAAGCACCAACTGCATACATGGTACCCATCCGGAGCTGGAAATCCAAAGTGAGAAACTTAATCAGCCTCAGCCCTGACTCCTGCTCTCAAGGAGCTGAGAATTTAATTAAGCCTCTGGTCTATGTGTATTGTCATGGCCAGCTTCCACAGGAATACACAGGTGGGCTTTACTGTGTCTTACACCAGTGGTCGTTCCAATGGTTCTGTGCCAGCCTCCTAGTGAGGAGCCATCCCTGGGTAAGACAAAAGAAGCAGGCATGCCAAGACTCAAATATGTGCAAGATATCATATGTACGACAGGTGGACCAGCAGGTTAAAAAAGTGTTAACCCTCAAACCACTCTCAAACAAAGTCTTAAGCTGAAGCCAGCTTTCAGATATGTATTATTATATAGTAATACATGTTAATATATATTAATATGCAATTTGTACGTATTAGTATCAGTAGGAACACAGGACCTACATATGCACACACACGTACTTACTAGAGCTGCTGTGGCTCAAATGCAAGGGCAAAATCCTCTGCTTCCTCAGGAACCTCCCAACGTGATTAGGATCACACAGCAGAGAAGACACAGGCTTCATCATCAAGCAGAACTGGACCTGTCCTTCTCGCTGTCTACGCTGGGCAAGCGGCTGCTCTAAACCTCAGTTTCTTCATCTGTAAAAGGGGAAGAATGTTCTACTTGCAAGATTGTTGTGAGGGCCAAGTGAAATGAGGACATGAAACCCCAGCCACCAGCAGGTCTCAACAGGCGTCAGCATCCGGGACACCAGCCACAGCTGTGCGGCTTCAGGAACCTGGTCCACTTGACCCTCCTCGCCAGAGTCATCATCCAGACCCAGCCTTGACCCACAGCTGCTCTGGAGGGGACGGGGCAGTGGGATTTGGGATCGGGAGAGCTTGGTTCAAGTCCTAGCCCTGCTGGTATCTGCTGGCCTCCCCCAGGGCCTGATTTCCCCCTCGGCCAGGTGAGGAAAATGACCTATTGATTTTAAAGCATGTCACCAGGGCTAAATGAGGCATGAAAGTGCTTTGTCCCCTGGCACTTCTGCGCTCCCTGTTTTCGGTGCCAAAACCCTTAGCCTGGCCAGGCTTGGTGAGAGGCACCGTGAGGCTGCTAGCCTGAGCCCTAGCTCTGTCCTGGCCGGCGGGCCATCCTTCGCAAGTGACCACTCTGCCCCAGTTGTTTCATCTGCAAATGATAACAGCCAGCACCAGCTTCGCTCATGATGGAAGCCCCGGTGTTAAGCCCCTGCCTCCGCCTCCACTCGGCCGGCTCCAGGCAAGGCAGCCACTGTGGCAGTGACTGTCAGAATTGCTTTCTTACAAGGTGCTGCTTGCACCAAACTCAGGTGGGGGTGTCTGTGTTGTAAACACAAGCACACACACATACACAGCACATGCCACACACATGCACACACCACACATACCACAGGCATACATATACACACACATAGCACATAGAACACACACATTCCACACACACCACATGCCACACACCACACATACACCACACCCTACACACATACACAGCACGTGCCACACGCATGACACACAACACCCATACCACAAACATAAACACACATCACACACATACACGGCACATGCCACACACATACCACACATATACACACCACACATAACACACATACTACACACACACATACATACATCACACACATACAAAGCACATGCCACACACATACCGCACATACACATATACACACCACATAGCACACACATTTCACACATACCACACATAAACACATACACCACACATACACAACACATGCCACACACATATACACACCACATAGCACACACACAACACACACACATTTCACACACACCACATGCCACATACACCCCACACACATACCACACACACATATACATACCACACAGCACACACAACACTCACACATTTCACACATACCACATGCCACACATACACCACACACAACACACATACCTCACACACACATAAACACAATCACATACACAGCACATGCCACACATACACATATACACACCACATAGCACACACAACAGACACACATTTCACACATACCACATGCCACATACACACCACACACATACCACACATACACATATACACACCACACGACACTCACACATTTCACACATACCACATGCCACACACACAACACACACACCACACATGCCATTTACATAAACACAACATATAAAATACACACCTACACACATCATGCACACACACATCTACACACATACGTACATGTCACATACCACCTACACATATACACACATACACACCACACAGATATCACACACGTATACACACCACATAGCACATGCATACACACACCATGCACAAATCACACACCACACAGATATCAAACACATATACACACATTGCACATGTATACACAGACCACACACAAATACATACATATCACATACCTACACACACCTACACATATATACACATACACATCACATAACACACATATCACACATGCCACATACACGCCAACGTACCACACACATACACACACATGCAGACCACATACCACACATGTGCCCCTACAGACATATGCACGCACACACACACACACACACACACACACACACACACACACAGGTAAGGGGTGTTCATTTGGCATCAGGAGCTTGCTCACAGCTCCAGTGCGATGGGACACTTTCCACCCGGGCACTAGCTGTGTTTATGTTGTTTACGTGATGTAGCCTTTCACAGGATCCCCACCTACCTCAAAACACCAGGGTGGCCGGGCGTGGTGGCTCACGCCTGTATTCCTAGCCCTTAGGGAGGCCAAGGCAGGCAAATCACGAGGTCAGGAGATCGAGAGCATCCTGGCTAATACGGTGAAACCCTGTCTCTACTAAAAATACAAAAAATTAGCTGGGCATGGTGGTGGGAGCCTCTAGTCCCAGCTACTCAGGAGGCTGAGGCAGTAGAATAGTGTGAACCTGGGAGGTGGAATTTGCAGTGAGCTGAGATCACGCCACTGCACTCCAGCCTGGGTGAAAGAGCGAGACTCTGTCTCAAAACAAAACGAAGAACAACACCAGGGTGAAGACCTTCTCAAAGCAATGCCAGCCACTGTTTCCTGAGCACCTGCTAAGCATTTGCTAAACATCATCTCAACTAATTCTCCCAGCCATGTTGTAAAGTAGATATTTTTATATCCATTTCACAGAGGAAGTGGTGGGGGGACTGAGGAGGTGAATTGCAAGCTTGGGGAGGGGAATTTGGACATAGACACGCAGGGGAGACAGTCACGTGAAGACAGAGGCAGAGACTGGAGTGATGAGTCCACCAGGGGAGGCCCCCCACAGATGGCTAGCAGCCCTTGGAGGCTGGGAGAGAGGCCC
The DNA here is from genome assembly GCF_000001405.40 of Homo sapiens. Taxonomy (NCBI): domain Eukaryota; kingdom Metazoa; phylum Chordata; class Mammalia; order Primates; family Hominidae; genus Homo; species Homo sapiens. The sequence continues at coordinate 87,501,090 of NC_000016.10, read as the reverse complement.
TCAGGGCCTCAGAAGGAACCAACTCTGCCAACACCTTGATTTCTGGCCTCCGCCTCCAGAACTCTAAGAGGATTAATTTCTGTTGTTTTAAGTCATCCAGTTCATGATCATTTGTTTACAGCCACCCTAGGAAACTGTGCTTAAAAAAAAGAAAAAGAAAAACAGGGCCCGACACCGCGGCTCACACGTGTTCCCAGCACTTTGCAAGGCTGAGGCAGGAGGATTGTTTGAGCCCAGGAGTTCAACACCAGCCTGGCCAACAAAGCAAGACCCTGTCTCTACAAAAAATTTTAAAAATTAGCTGAGTGTGGTGGCACACACCTGTGGTCCCAGCTACTAGGGAGGATGAGGTGGGAGGATCTCTTGAGCCCAGGAATTCGAGGCTGCACTGAGCTATGATCGCACTACTGCATGCCATCCTGGGCCACAGAGCAAGACCCTGCTGTCTCTTTTTTTTTTTTTTTTTTTTTTTTTTTTAAGATGGAGTCTTGCTCTGTCGCCCAGGCTGGAGTGCAGTGGCGCAATCTTGGCTCACTGCAAGCTCCGCCTCCCGGGTTCATGCCATTCTCCTGCCTCAGCCCCTCGAGTAGCTGGGACTACAGGCGCCTGCCACCACGCCCTTCTAATTTTTTGTATTTTTAGTAGAGATGGGGTTTCACTGTGTTAGCCAGGATGGTCTCGATCTCCTGACCTAGTGATCTGCCCGCCTCTGCCTCCCAAAGTGCTGGGATTACAGGCGTGAGCCACCGCGCCCGGCAACCCTGTCTCTTAAACAAACAAACAACAAGTAGTTTTAATCTCTGACTGGCCACAAGCCTTACCACCCCCTATTTTATCATACCATCCAGTGTCACTCATTTATTTTTTGCATGGCCCTCAAACTCATTTATTTATTTATTTAGTTTTTGTTGTTTTTGTTTTGTTTTGCTTTTTTGAGACGAAGTCTTGCTCTGTCACCCAGGCTGGAGATGAAGTCTTGCTCTGTCACCCAGGCTGGAGTGCAGTGGCGTGATCTCAGCTCACTGCAACCTCCGCTTCCCAGGTTCAAGCGATTCTCCTGCCCCAAACTCCCAAGTAGCTGGAATTACAGGTGCCCACCACCACACCAAACTAGTTTTTGTATTTTTAGTAGGGACGGGGGTTTCACAATGCTGGCCAGGTTGGTCTTGAACTCCCAGCCTCAAGTGATCTGCCCAGCTCGGCCTCCCAAAGTGCTGGGATTCATGCACTGCCACACCCGCGCAATAAAAGCTCTTAAAAATGGAGAGAAACATAGACCAAAAACCTGATAGAAAACGGGCAAAAACAGGCATCTTATTGAACAAGATACAAAAAATGGCATCCCCACCTAGTTCTCTCTCCCTTCCAGAGACTTTGAGATGTCGTTATAATTTAATAAATCTGTTTCTGCTCAAGCTAGACATCATAGATTCTGTTGTTTCTAATTTATTTGGTGGGCACAGGCTATTTATAGAAATCAATCCACCTTGAATCGTGAAGGCTTTCCAGCCTGCAGTACGTCCCAAAGTTACTGACACCAGATCCTGAAACAGTTTTAAAAGAGGAATTCACAGATGTATTTTCAAGCAATTACAGTTTTATCCCAGTGTGAGTACTGCCTTCTAGAGTGACGACTTTGAAGGAGACAGAGTTTTGGGTTTGGGTGAGCCCTGGTATGTTTGTTCAAAAACAGAGCTTTTAGAGTTACACCTCATCACCCAAACAATATGTTATATGCCTTTGGAATGTTTTTTTTAACCACACTTGAGTCTGGGAGTGTCTCATGTCTTGAGACTTCATTTCAAACAAAACAGTGATGGTAACGTGAAGATGATTCAGATGGCATTGGGAAGCTCTCCAGTTCTTCCACTTTCTTGATACTTCTCTGAACTCTACACAGGATCTAGAGGCGACAGATCGGGTGTCAACCTCTTGAAAAGTCCAGGGTAAGCAGGACTGCCTTTGGAAACTCTCTCAGCATAGAAACAACCTGAATGCCCAACTAGAGGGGATTCTTTGAATAAATCATGCTAAATCAAACAAAGATTTGTGTTGCCCTTAAGAGCCATGATTTAGAATAGAGTCATGGATATGAAAAGACATTTGGGATGTATTGTTAAGTGAAAAAAATAGATTGCAAAATGTGGAGTACCATCCTATTTTTGTGTCGTATACTTTTTTTTTGTAAAAGTATGTGTGCATAAATATATTTGAATACAAAAGTGTCTAGAAGAGTATCTTTTAGAGTTGGTTATGACTGGGAAGTGAGATGATTTGTAGCTTTTTATATTGTTTTTTAGCGAGTTATAATATGTTCATAAGGAACATGTATTGCATCATAATCAGACAAAACAACACAGTCATTTACATGTTTTTAAAAATCCTGTATTTGCTTGAAAATACTCCAGAAAGAACATGTGTGTATGTCGGGGGTGGGGTGAGAGAAATGGATGGAGTAAGAGTGGCAAAATGTCATCTTTGCTGAAGCTGGCCAAAGGGGACTATGAAAAATCACCATATGATTCTCTTGACTTTTGAGTATGTTTGCACATTTCACAAGTGAAGGTGAAAACAAACAAACAAATAAAACCAAGGTCAGCAGTGAGTTCATCCTTGGCTTTTAGAGGATATCACAATTGCAGTGCAAGAAGCACAGAAATACGAGAAACAAATATACAACAGAAATAAGGCCGCAAAACTTAACGCTAAGAACCCAGGAGCCATCAGCTGTGCGACCTCAGGTCAATAACAGCCTTATGAAGCCTCAGGTCCCTCATCTGTAAAACGGGAGGAAACCCTTGTTGCGTGGCAGGCTTGTGGTTGAGACTGAAAATTCTAATTACTACTGTGGCTGCCGTTGTTCAATCCATAGGCCCTGGAAGTCTGGAAGCAAGAGCTCCACACCCCAACAGTGGTTTCAAACTTTGGTGTGCACTGAGATGAGCAGGGTTACTAGCAAACATGCAAATTCCTGGCCAGGCACGGTGGCTCATACCTGTCATCCCAGCACTTAGGGAGGCGGAGGCCAGTGTATGGCTTGAGGTCAGGAGTTGGAGACCAGCCTGGCTAACATGATGAAACCCCATCTCTACTAAAAATATAGAAAATTAGCCAGGCATGGTGGTGCGTGCCTGTAATACCAGCTACTCGGGAGGCCGAGGCAGGAGAATCGCTTGAACCAGGAGGTAGAGGTTTCAGAGAGCTGAGATCGCGCCACTGCATTCCAGCCTGGGTGACAGAGGGAGACCCTGTCTCAAAAAAAAAAAAATGCGGATTCCAAGGTCCTACCCCTAGGGACCCTGACTCCATACGTGGGGCCAGGCCTAGGACCCTCCACTTTAAATAAGACCCCGGGCCATTCCCACTGGGGAAATGCTGCATCTAGCCCCACACCAAAGACACCCGGGTAAGCAAGTCTGCCATGGACAAAAACGCCTCGCCGTGCAGAAACCGGGTCTGGACGTTGTTCGGGGCTGATTGCCCATTTATGACTCTAGGTGGACTTTGTCTGCAGTCATGGCTGGAAAAGCTGGCAAGCAACAGACACCTTTGCAAAAATAGCAAATAAACAATATGTCACATTTGTGGTTTCCTCCTGGGAGGGGCAGAGTCTATGGGCAATTGACTTAGGGCAGAATCCAATTCCAACATGAACTAACTGTGTGGCCCGGGCTGAAGCCCTTGACCATTCAGTATCTGCGTGATGGGAATTCAGTATCAGAAACAGCTCCATGGGGTTTTGTCAATTACACGAGGCTGTCAGGCACCGAGGCCTGGAGCCAGGACCCCATCAGGAAATTTAGGGATCCACTGGATTTATGGCCTCCATGCTCAGGGTGTCAGGTCCCAAACCTTCTCAATGACAGGAAAGCAGGAGTCAGGCCAAGGGAAGGAAGCGCACGTTGCAGCTAGAGACCACACACACCTTGGCAGCACCCCAGGGAGAGACAATTCCCTGCCGCGCCGGGCTTCTCTGCGCACTTCCAGCCCCAATCACTTAAGGAGCCCCTGTCCCACTCTGAGTCTTCTTCTGAGGCCTCTGTTGGTGTTGTCCTGCTCCTGGCTTGGCCTCCAGATCCCTCCTCTCGTGGGGTCCTAGGTCTGAAGGAAAAGCAAGATGGTGGCAGTCTGGGGGAAGAGCATGTGCTTGGGGTCCCTGTGGCCCATTTCTGGGCTTGGCCTGGTCACCTGCTGCAGTCGGTATCACTCATTCAGAACTAAGCAGTAACGCCAGGCGGGTCATGTCCTTCTTGTAAAATTGTTTGTTTGGGGAATTTGTGGTGAACTCCAAATCTCTCTCTCTCTCTCACAATTGATACTATTAGAGTCATTTGTGCTTGATTGCAGCTCTGTGGAAGGGACAGCCCCCACTTCTCCCCTCGCCTCTTTGTGGTTATTTGTAGGGCAGTCACAGGAAACCAATAAAATGGCATTTCCCCCTAAACATGAGTGTGGCTCTCAGCGCAACCCAGTTTACAATAAATAGTCTATCCTTGCCCTATAGGACCAGGCCTCAGGAAGGGCTTGGGGGCCTCAGAGGCAAATGACACCCAGCCCTTCAACCCTGCACAACCACAGACCTCACACCCAGTGGTAGCCAATTTGGCTGAACAGCACCCTAGACTGTGGGCTCCCCCTGGTGCTGGGCCCCCTCACAAGGAGGCAGGGCCCACCCTCCTGATCTAGCCTGAGCCCCTGAGTCCTCTCCCAACCTCCTCCCAGCGATCTCAGCCGCTCCAGCAAGGCGTGGGGCTGCTGTCCTTCAGCTGCCTCCCTCTCCAGAGGAGGAGAGGCGGCAGATGTCGAGGCAGAGGTGGAGAAAAGCTCCTGGCACGCTTGCAGCTGGGGTTACCTTGTGCACGGGCAGAGTCAGGGAAGCGGGAGACAGTAGGTGCCCTGTGTGGAAAACCAGAATCTCGGGGCCAGGACCCAGAGAATGCTGGAGGGCCCGGGAGGTCAGCGTCTGCCCTCTCCTTATGAGGGAGGCCCCCTCCTTCAGGCAGCCTGCCTGCTTCAGAGTGGGGAGTCCAGGTTGTCAGTTCTGTAGGGTCGATGGACCTGGTCTCATTTGCCTCTGAGGCCCCCAAGCCCTTCCTGAGGCCTGGTCCTGTAGGGCAGGGATTTCATATTTGTTGTGAACTGGATTGAGCTGAGCCACACCGATGTCTGGGGGGATATGACATTGTTTCGGTTTCCCTGGCTGCCCTACAAGTAACCACAACACGCGTGAGTGAGGGAGGGGTGGGGAGATGGGGGTAGGGGAGGGGTGGGGGGGGGGTGGGAGATGGGGATGGGGGAGGGGTGGGAGATGGGGGTGGGAGAGGGTCGGGGGGTGGGGGAGGGTGGGGGTTGGGGGTTGAAAACAATAGCAACTTACCCTCTCACAGTTCTGGAGGCCAGGAGTCCAAAGTCAAGGTGTGGGCATGGCTCTGTTCCCTCTGGAGGCTCTAGGGGAGGGTCCTCCCTGTCTCTTGCAGCCTCTGGTAGGCCCAGGCACTCCTTGGCTCCAATCTCTGCCATTCTTGCACATAGTCTCCTTTCCCCCGAAGTCTCTATGTGTTCTTTTCTGTATCTTGTAAGGACAGTCTCATTGCATGTAGGGCTCACCTTAATTCAGTGTGATTTTATCTTGACTCTTACCTTAATTATATCTGCAAAGACTCTTTTCCCAAATAAGGTCACATTCTGAGATTTGGGGTAGAGATAAACTTTGGGGGGACATGATTCAACCTACTAAGCCATTAAATCACAAAGAGCACGCAAGAAGGACCAAAAAGGCAGCGGGAAGTGGGGAGGACCTTGATCCAAGGACTTCCACAGCTCAGGCCTCCCTTGTTCCAGCCAGCAAGGGCTTTCCATGAGCACCTTTGACTTCCACTGCTAGCCAGGATGACGGGTTCCTGGCTGTCTTCTACAGATGAGGAAACTGAGGCTCAGAGGCCTCTGAATGCATAGCCAAGTTCACACAGTCAGCCACAGCTGGGACTGGAGCTCACTTGGTACCAAAGCCTGGGGGTTTCACAGCCAGCTCGGCTGGATTGAAGAAGCCCCACCCCCACCCCCAGCACTAATGAGGTTCCAAGATCTTTCTCCAAGGAGCTTGCTTTATCAATAAGAAATGAATCTTTTGTTTTGTTTTGTTTTTGAGACAGAGTCTTACGCTGTCACCCAGGCTGGAGTGCAGTGGCGGGATCCCCATTCACCGCAACCTCCCTTTCCCGGGCTCGGGCAATCCTTCCACTGCAGTCTCCCAAGTACCTGGGACTACAGGCACATGCCACCACATCTGGCTAATTTTTGTAGTTTTTGTAGAGATGGGATTTCGCCATGTTGCCCAGGCTGGTCTCGAACTCCTGGGCTCAAGGGATCTACCCTCGGCCTCCCAAAGTACTGGGATTACAGATGTGAGCCTCTGAGCCCAGCCAAACTGTCTTGATGTTCACGTTCTTTCACTACCTTAGATTATGAATTTTGGAATGTGGCCAGTTCCCTGGAATCACATTAAGAAGTGAGGTCCAGGACAACGACGATTAATTTAATTATTAATAGAAATCAGCCTAGACCTGGGAAATAAGATGAGGAGACCCAACTGTCCCCAGCCTTGCCCTTGTGCCCATGTGGGAGGCCATCCTGACTCCATTTAGATTTTTGCTTCTTCCTACACTGACAAAGAACACTGGGGCAGCTCCAGGGAAATGTGCCCAAGGTGTGGAGGGGGCTGGGGGAGTGGAGAGCAATTTTTTTTGTTCCCAACCATGCCTTTCTGCAATCTCTGTTCATCCTCGAAGACCTAAGACTGGAGAATGTGGGGTTTGTTTGTTTTGGAGCGACTGGGGCGGGGAGGGGGGGTCTCACCATGTTGCCCAGGTTGGTCTTAAACTCTTGGCCTCAAGCGATCCTCCTGCCTCGGTCTACCCAGTAGCTGGAACCACAGGCGTGCCAGATTCGGCTGAAGAGTTTTGTTAGGAAGTTTTCAGCACCTTGGACCATATCCTGAAAAAGTTCATTCATTGATTTAACCAATCTCTAGTGTGCACTGCCCAGAACCAGAGTGTAAGCTCCACAGGGTAGGGAGGGCGCCAGCTTTGCTCTCAGCTGCCCCCGGGCGCTTGGGACCTGGAACCCATGAATGAACAGACCCCGTTCTAGATCAACAGACATTCAAAGCAGCGCTCTAGGGGAAGGGCAGGGGAGGAATGAGCGTCCAGCCCCCGCGGCTCTACTTCTATGCCTGTGTGTAAGTGGTGGGATTTAAAGGTGGTTGGGTGCACCGGCCCTTCCCCCACCTGCAATCCGGTGCCAATGCAAGTGCCAGGGGAGGGTGGCGTTTCTGTTTACTTCCAGCCAGGTCAGCTCCCTTGCCCCCTCCCCTGTGTTTGCATTTTCTGCGTTTGGCGAGCTGGTGAAGTAGCCGCGGAAAGAAGGCGGATTTAAAGGCTCCATTTGGACGAGGCTTTTGGAGAAAGCTTGCACCTCCCATCACACCCCCAGGGCAAGTCAGCCGCCTCAAAAGTGCCGGTGCCGGCCCTCTGTGAGCTCAACACCTTCGCACAAACCTCGGGGGCGGTTATTATTACCCTCTTTTTCCCGGGGAGGCGCCTGGGGCTCAGAGAGGCCAAGTGACTCGCCCAAGGTCACACAGCTTTGCAGTGGCCGACCCGGGATTGGAACCCGGGGCTCCGGACCCCGCGGCGGCCGTTTCTCGAAGATACCCACTACCTCCCTCTTACACCGCTCAAAAATAAAGCAGGAAGGCCGAACGCCCCGTTTTCGCCGAAAAACAATGCTCCACGCAAATTTGCGGGAACAAAAGCAACCAGAAATCCAGCCCGGGTTTTCCGCCTCTCCGATTCCGCGGACCAATCGCGTCTTGACGGCCGCCGAGGGACGGGAGGCGGTGGCCCCAACATGATCGACAGCCCCCAGGGAGGCGTGGCCGCGGAACGGGCGAATGGGATTGGGGACCCGGCACAATCACGGGCCGAGAACGGGCCGCCTGAGCCAATCAGTGGGGGGGGGACGGGCCCGGCAGGCCCGGGCTGTCGCGAGAGGCGGCCACCCCGCCCACTTCTGCTGATCCCGGCCGCCCGTCAGCCGCGAGCGCGACGATCCCTCCGCTCCTCGGCCGGCGCCTCCTCCGCCGTCGCCGTCGCCGTCGCCGTCGCCGTCGCCGCCGCCGCCGCGCTCGGGCCCGGATCCGTCCGCCGCGCGGGAGCAGCAAGGCCGGCAAGTCCCGGCCGGATCCCTCCGCGCCTCCCGCCGCGCGTCCCTCCCCCTCCAGCGTCCGTTTCGCGGCCGCGGCCCCCAGCGCTCCCCAGGCGGCGACGCCGCGCCCGCGGCCCGGGGTAACGGCCGGCCTGGGCGGAGGCGCGGGCGGCGGCGACGGCATGGCCGGGGCGGCTCCGTCGGGGGGCGGCCCGCAGTGACAGACCCTGCGGCGCGGGGGGAGATGGGGGCGGCCGCCTCCCGGGCGACGACGACGACGACGACGAGGAGCAGCCGCCGCCGCCGCCGCGCACCGGCCGCCGCTGGGCACGGGCGCGGGGAAGGCGCCTCCCCGTGAGCGGGGGGCCCGAGGCCGCTCGCCGCCCCCGGCCGCCCCGGCCGCCCCGGGCCCCCCCGGCGCCCCGCGCGCGCCCGCCCGCCGGCCCCTGACGGGAGCCTTGCCCGGCCCCGGTCCCCGCCCCCGCCCCGGCGCCCGCCCGGCCCGCGGCGCCCGCGCGCCCTCGCCCGGACCCGGCCCCGGCCCGCGCGTCCCCGGTCCCGGCGCGCCCCGGCCGCGGCCCCCGGCGCCCCCCGGCCGCCCCCGCGCGGTCCCCGGCCCCGGGTCGCGGCGCGGCGCGGGCGGCAGCATGGTGGAGAAGCGCTGCCCGCTGCAGAGGGACGGCGTGTACCGCTGGTTCTCGGAGCTGCCGTCGCCGCAGCGCGTGGAGTTCCTGTGCGGCCTGCTGGACCTGTGCATCCCGCTCGAGCTTCGCTTCCTCGGCTCGTGCCTGGAGGACCTGGCCCGCAAGGACTACCACTCGCTGCGCGACTCGGAGATCAAGGCCAACAACCCGGCCGACCTGGGCAGCCTCACCAACCTGACGGACGAGGTGGTGCGCAGCAAGCTGCTGGTGTCGCTGGCGCTGCTGGGCTCGGAGCAGCGCGAGGCGGCGGGCGTGCTCTACCGCACGCTCACGCACATCGACTCCATCATCCACAACTACGGGCTGCAGCTTAACGAGGGCCGCACGGGCGATGAGTTCCTGCTGCTGTTCACCATGGCCTCCAACCACCCGGCCTTCAGCTTCCACCAGAAGCAGGTGCTGCGCCAGGAGCTCACGCAGATCCAGAGCAGCCTGAACGGCGGCGGGGGCCACGGCGGCAAGGGCGCGCCCGGGCCGGGCGGCGCGCTGCCCACTTGCCCAGCCTGCCACAAGGTGCGTGCCCGCCCCGAGCTCTGCCCTGTACCCCAAGTCTGCATCCCCAACTCTGCACTCCAAGCCTCCAGCCTGCACCGCGACCCCCCGACCCACGCCTCCAGCCTGCACTGAGAGCTCCCACCCAGGTCTCCAACCTGCACCACGAGCCCCCAGCCCGTATCCCAAGCCCCATCCTAAGCCTCTATGTCGCACCCCAAATGTGTGCCCCACCTCTCCAAGCCTCCACCGTACATCCCAAGCCTCCGCCGTACATCCCAAGCCTCCGCCGTACATCCCAAGCCCCCATCCTAAGCCCGCACTCCTCACCCTAAGTCTGCACTTTAAGCCCCAAGACCGCACCGCGGCCCTGAGCCCACACCCTCAGTCCCCTCTGCGTGCCCCAAAGCCTCCACACCTCCGCCTCGCGCCCCTTGGGCAGGAGCGGCTGCAGGGGCCCTGGGTCCGAGGATCCGCGGGAGCGGTGCGGGAGACGTCCGCGGTCAGAGCTCACAGTCCCAGGTGCCCTCCTTTCACTTAGCCGGCTGCAAACGCGATAAGGCCTTTGTCCCCTTAATGGGGCCCTTGGGTGACAGATAACACACATTGCGGCGCCTTGGTTTCCCCAAATCTGGTATTTATTACCAGAAAAGGAAGGAGCCGTGGCCACGCCAGAAGCCGCCGGTGAGGTGAACATTGCAAGGCGCTGGGGCTTCCCCGTCTGAGCCGCTCCCTCCACACAGGTGGAGGCCCTGCTTGGGGCCTGTGTCGCTGGGGGCCTGGGCGCGGGACATGGCTGTCCGTGTGAGCTCATTTATGGACACGTGCATGCTGTATGATGTACGCGTGTGTCGCATGTGGGCATGTATATGTGCACACGTGTGTATGAATGTGCACATGCTTGTGAACGTTGTGTGTGATCGTTTTTAAGAGCCGGGCTACCTGTAACAGACAGAAAAAGACTCCCAGAGCCTTAAATGCCCGTGAAACCTATTTATTGGCGACCCTTAGAAACAAAACCCAGGCTGACTTTGAGTGGGAGGGCACCGATGCCTTAAGGAATGTTAGGTTAGGTTAAAGATCTCCGGTCTCCAAATTGAACCGGAAGGGCGTCCTGGCCATCCACTTAGCGATGTGAACTTTTGTCTAAGTGTTTCAGAACTGAAAACGCAAAGTGTCTGGGGCTCCAGCTATTTTGAACAGCCCCCTGCAATCCAGTGCCAAAATTTTGCTGCCGGAAGAGATTACTTTGACCTGGTGTGATGTGTATTTAGATTACAAACTGATTATTTTTTGGAAGGGAATAGGTTGCAGTCGGGACCAAGTCTTGCTCAGTGTCTCTTTGCAGTGTCTTTAAGCTCTTTGAAGTTAAAACTTTGATAAGACTTTGCTTTTATGAGTGGCTGAGAACACCGTCTGGTTTGCTAGGTTTTTTATGTGTGTGTTTTTAAAGCTGTCTTTCAATCGTAGATTGTGGCTTTTCTTTTTTAATGTCTTCCTGTAAGAAGTGGTTGTAGTACATACATCGGTTTTTTTAAATTGATTTTTGTGTGTGTGACATTTACCTCCAAGACTATAGTTTTCTTTTTAAGTTCGGCTCCCACCCTGTATTTCAGGCTGTGTGCTGTGCAGAGGGTCCTAGGAAATGTAGTTGTTTATAGTAATCCATGTAAGCCTTGACATGCCAGCAAATTGTCACCTATTCATGGAATCTCAGTCATTTATGGTCAGTTTCATGTGCTGTTACTCCTTTGTGTAGATTCCACCCACTAATAATTTCTATGGCTGTTGCTACAGTAACGTCATCTCTTTAAGGGGATTCTTAATGTGTGAGCACGGGTGCCTCACTTTATGCAGACAGTGGTGATTATTATTTTGATTGGGCAGTGAGCTAAATCTAGAACAAAAATGTCTTTTATAGGAGAGCCTTTCTGTGAAGCAGAAATCCCTTTGATGAGATGAAGGGGCTAATCTATTCCTCTCTGCTCACCCCTGCACCTCCCCCGCTACACCCCAGTCCCAAGGCCATGGGCGCTGAATTTACCAGCCGTGCAACCTTGGCCAGGATCCTTCTGCCCCTCAGTGTTGTCCCTGTTGCAGTGGAGGGGATGTAACCTACCTCACAGGCTTGTGTTGAGGATTACATAGGTAACATACATGAGCTTCCAGCAGAGGTGCAGTAAATGCTGCTTTCTCCTCTATGGCCTCTCCGGCTTTTAACATTCCTTTTTATAGAGGTTTGCTAACTTAAAGCAAGGCATGTTTTATAGATTGAATTATTTACATCTTGGCTATGAGCGTTTATGTGTTCTAAATTGGTTTTTGAGTAGTTACTTGGAGCTGACAATTTTTTTGTTTCATCTTTGGAAAACTGGAAGATTCTGTGACCCTTAATGAGAGGATTATTATAAGGAGTAACCTTGGGCTGTCATTTCCGTATTTCAAAACAACCGTGGTTTCTAGTTTTCCCTACATCCCTAGTGTCACTGCTAAGCTAATTTCAGCCCCATTCATTTAACTTTCGTTTCTGTTGCTGCTTCAAAGCTAAGGCTGACGTTGATGAACCCTTTATTGCTTGGAGCATGCAACTCAGATGAAATCTAGCATTTAAGTATTTTGCTTTCTTAGTTTCTAAATCTAACGTTTGGTGTATTCCTGAAAAAGCAGCCCCGTTAAAGCTGTCTGCATTCTTTTGTAAGCTGTTGTATTTTATTTTGAACTCTTTGAGCTTAGAGACTTTGTATTTTTCTTTTAGAGATACAAATGTCAATGGCTTTTTAAATTCTTTATCCAATTTGAATTTTTATTTCTTGGCCTGGCAAGGTGGCTTACGCCTGTAGTCCCGGAAGTTTGGGAGGTCAAGGTGGGCAGATCGCTTGAGCCCAGGAGTTCAACACCAGCCTGGGCAACACAGCAAAACCCTGTCTCTACAAAAAATACAAAAATTAGCCAGGAGTGGTGGCACACACTTGTAGTCCCTGCTACTTGGGAGGCCGAGGTGGGATGATTACCTGATCCCAGGAGGTAGAGGCTGTAGGTGAGGTATGATCATGCCACTGCATTCCAGCCTGGGTGACAGAGTGAGACTGTGTCTCAAAAAATTTTTTTTAAATTTATTTTAACTGTATTTTCCGAAATAGTCATTATTTGCAATTCCTTGTCCAAATCCTGTGTTTTTATTTAAAAATTCTTATTATTCTGAGGACTTCTAGAGGTGTAAAAGTGGGGGGAGTACAAAGTAGACATACCTGTATTTTACTTTCAGAAAGAAAAATACTTCCAGTAGCCACACTGATGGTAGGCTGAATTAGTTGTACTCTGCCTAGTGGCCGGTAATGCTGCTGCTTGCTGCTCCTGCAGTCGCCTGTTCCAGGGTGCCAACTGTGGGGGATAGTTGGCTTAGACTTTCCAATGCCTATTTTACGTAAATAAAAGACCATAGTTTTGGAAATAGTTAAAATAAATCCTTTGCGGCTTTTTCTTTGTGTCAGTGATAATTAATATGCTGTGGTATGTGCACATGCTTATTCTTGTTTAAAAAATAACAGCTTTATTGAAAGAGAATTCATATACTATATATACTTCACCCTTTTACAGTGAAGTCAGTGGTTTTTAGTATAGTCATATAGCTGTGCAAGCACGACCACTGCCACTGAACGTTTCCATCTCCCCAAAAAGAAACCCAGTGCCTATTAGGAGTCGCTCCCCATTCCCCCTCCCCCCAACCCTTGACCACCCCTTTTTGTCTCTATGGGTGTCTTTTTTGGACGTTGCATATAAGGGGACCACACACCGTGTGGCCCTTTGTGACTGGCTTCCTTCACTCGGTGTCGTGATGTCAGGGCCCGTCCATGCTGTGGGTGTGTCAGCACTTCCTCCTCTTTCGCTGCCGAGTGGCGTTCCCCTGTGTGAAGAGGCCGAGCTGTGCTCACGCATTCTTCAGCGGGTGGACCTTGGAGTTGCTTCACATGCTTGCTTTTGTAGACTTTTGTCTTCATGGTTAATAGGCTCTTTGTCTTCACCCCCGTGCACTGTGCCTAACACTTAGCGCATCCTCTGTGGACCGCTGGCGCACGTGTCGGTGCGGGGCTGTCCTGAGGGCTCCTGTTCCACCTGGTGGATTGCTAGGTGCCGTGTGCAGAGCTGTGTAGGTGTGGCCTCAGCCAGCCTGGGGAGCTGCAGCTGGAGGTGGCAGGGAACTCTGTGCTGTCAGTACAGAGCCTCCGGGCTGGTGCATTTGGTCAGCGACAGGTATGGGGGAGCAGGGCCTGGTGGGCAGGGGCGGGGCCCCGCCTGAGCTGCAGCTGTGAGGGCCCTGCCGTTTGTGTTTCAGCATCCTCAGGGTATGGATAATGAACTGCTTCATGGGGCTGATTTTTTTAAGGGGGTACTAAAAAAAATAACGTTTTTAAAGTTTTTGGTGCAGGAGTGTGGTGGGGTGGTGGTCTTCTTTAGGGGTAGGTTCTGTGGAACAGTTCTGGAACTCTCTGTGGCTTGCATTGTGAGTGCCTGAGGATAAGCACTGTGGAAACTTCAGATAGACACAAATACCGTGAATAAACCTGCTGAAAATGTCTGTCCAAAGATCAGCAACAGCTTTTGCTTCGTTGCTTTTCGTAAGCTGTTGAAAATCATTGCAGTTCAGAGGTGAAACATGGGATAGTTCATCCTCTGGTTATCAGGCAAAGTATAAGTGGTTTCTTTTGGTTTCTCCTTTAGCCCTAAACTCTGGGCCTATTGCAGCCAAGAGTCATCTAGCATTCCATAAGAACGGACTCTCTCTGGAGCAGCTGTTGTCACTGATGGTTAAAGGAATAGCTGTGACCTAAAAGCACTGTTTTGTCTCCATCTTTAACACTTGTTCTCCTGGGCAGCTGGGAACCGCCTGGTCTATGAACTTGTCTGTGAACTAAGTCTTCTGGCTGTCTTTGTATACATTGCTTTTTTTGTTGTTGTTGTTACATTACAGGAGATACAGGAGATAATATTCTAACACATAGTGGATCTTTTTTTATTTTTATTTTTATTTTTTGGCCAGCTGCTACAGGTCTAAAACACTGTCCTGTTTCATAGTAAAGTACAGTACATGATACGGGAATTGAGGCATACAGTCATGTGCTGCTTAAGGACACAGATACGTTCTGAGAAAAGCGTCCTCAGCTGATCTTGTTGTGTGAGCACCGCAGAGTGCACTTGCACAGACCTGGGTGGCAGAACCCGCTACACCTCTGGGCCACATTGTAGAGCCTGTTGCTCCTCGGCTGTAAACCTGTACAGCGTGTTACTGTACTGAATACCATAGGCAGTTGTAACCCAGTGGTATTTGTGTATCTAAACACAGAATAGGTACAGTAAAAATGCATTATTAGAATCTTAGAGGATCCCTGGTCCGTGTGGTCTGTCAGTGGTGGAAGCATCCTTATGCAGTGCGTGACCGTGCTGGGATGCAGTTCTGATTGCTTTCTTGGTGGTAGTATTTCTGTTGATGCCATGATGGAGCTGCAGTAGCACTGCCATCTACTGTGTAATGGCTTGGATTATGTGGTACTTTAATTACTGTCCTTTGCCCTCACATTAAATGAAGGCCATTTACTTTGACATGAGCTAGTTCACATTTGCCTCATTAGGTGAACACACATTTGAGTTTTGCTGTTTTCTACTGTGTTCTGGAGCACAGTTGTAGAAACTGGAAATTCTGTGTCATATTTGGGTATGATGAGTAATACGATGGTATCATTTGTTCAAGTGCGAAGATAACTGGAGATAGGCATCTGCGTTAGTCTTGTCACTGCAGGTGAAGCGTACTGTTTACTTAGGCTTTAGTTTACCCATTTTCTCTTTAGTCCTGTAAACTTCATCTACCTTTTGAATTAACATGCTTTTCCAACAAATCTACATGAGTCTTAAAACTTCAGAGTCCAGCTAGTAGAATAGAATAGTAAGAGGTACTCGCGCTGGGGCATCTTTGTTTGTTGAATTGATGACGAAGAAATTTTTGTTATGCTAGGAAAAATTTCTGCTTTAGTATTCTCCCCCGCCCCCCACCTTAGAGGGATTAGATTTTAGAAAAAGATTCTTCTTCTTTTTTTTTTTTTTTTTGGAAAACTGCCCGTTGGAACAGTAGTTATCTTGTTAGTTTAAGTAAGAAGTGTAGCTGCAAGTTACCTAATTAGGGTACATTATTGAAGGGCTTTTGGTTTTGGACTTTAGTCTTAACATACGCAGTTTAGAAATTAGTTTTAGCAAGGTAATTTTTTTCTCCAGTCTCTGTAGATGTTTTTATTGTAGAGAGACCTGACACATTGTAGAAACATTTCCTGTCAAAGGTAAAAAGAGATCATCCAGAACTAACAAAATAGGTTAATTCTTAGCAGTTTCTGTTTTGTTCTGGGTTAAAAGACCTGAAGCTACTTAAAGTGAGAAGACAGAAGCAAGACAGAGTATCTTTCAAATAATTGCTCTTCTAGCAGCCGTGTGTCATGTCTGATCAGGGCATGATTAAGCAGGACAGGTCTTCACATGCCGGCCACAAAGCCCTGGACCCAGCCGTTCACCCTTAGAGAGGGGCACTGTGGACCCCGCCCGCCATTCACTACGCAGCTTGCCAGTGGGGCGGGTGCTTTGCAGGCTCACAGAAAAATCATTCGCCCTTGAAATGTCTTATCTGGGCCTGGACACCTCCTTAGTTTCTCTTGTGTTTCCTTTCTGTGTAAGGCTGGTCCCTCACCGCCGGTTTGGTCACACCCCTCTGTTTCCTCAGGGTCACTTGTAGGTCAGCGTTTGAACTTTGTGATTTCTATCTCCCTCCTTCAATCCAATCTTTGACCTCTAGTATTTGCCCACCTGACCCATAAACAGAGAACCATAATGGTTCTCTGATTTGTGTTTTCAACAAAACCCCACCTTTAACACCACTCACCTCTACCAGCCAACAAAACCCCGGCTTTAACACCGCTCGTCTCTACCAGCCCCTCTTCTCTTAGTCGCTTCACCACTGAGGCCTCCCTGAGCAGCTAGCAGAAAAGGCCTTCCATCCCGCTGGCTGGCGCTGGTACCCGCGAATAGGTTGGTGTGTGTCTTTCCAGACATGTTTGTGCACATATATGTTCACATGTTCTTTCAAGACACCATATACACGCTTAGATACACGTAGGATCTTACATACATGCTGTTCTTCATGCTGTAACACAGCCATGCTTCGTGAAGTCACTCCTGCTGTCTCTAGTTCCTCACCTTCAGTTATTCCTCAGCGTCCTGTGACCTGCCTTTTGCCTCGAACCTCTTTGACAAAAACAATTTTTTCGGAAGAGTATTCAGCAATCTCTTCAGTGAAGAAAGGTTTTAAATCGGTAATGTAACCAGAGGTAGGAAATGGAAAAGTGCCAGAGGCTGCTGCATGGAAAGTCCCTTCTCCCACAGATGGCACGGAAGGGCACCCAGGACGTTTTAAGGGTCAGGCAAGGTTCTCCTTTCCCTGGGTGTTGATAACTTTTATTTCACGTGTAAAAAACATGTTTCTTACCCTCTTCCCAGCCATCCAGTTCCCCTCTTTGCAGATAGCACACTTCCTCGTAGAACCTTCCAGAGAAACCATATGTATTTACAAGTAGATACCTGATGTCCCACTGCACACACAGGTGCCTCCTGGTCTTCTCTTGGCAGTCTTTCCAGATGAGGCTTCTCTGTCAGTCCATAAAGAGCTTGTTCAGTGGCACAAATGTGTTATTTAATCAGGCCCTATAGATAACATTTTGTTCCATCGTATTATTACAAACCAGTGCACTGTCATTTACATATTATATACATATCACCTACATGTTACAGACAGCAGATGGGACCTTTCACATTCAGGTAAGTCTACCTGTGGAGTAGAAATCTGGAAGTGGAGTTGGGTCAAATGGTCTGTGCTTTTGTAATTACTTTACCTGTTGCCGAGATCTGCTTTTAGAATTCCCACAGCCACATACAAGGCCTGTTTCCCTAACCTTTAACGAGCCCAGCGAGTTAGCACTTGCTGGTTGCGGCCATACAGTTAGGTGGAGACTTGCCCTGGTGTGGTGTGGTTTTATCTTAGGAGTTGATAAAGGTTGAATATTGTTTCAAGTAAACGATTTCATTGATATTTGGTGAGTTGTTTGTCTCCTTTGCTCATCTCTGTTGAGTTGTTGGTCTTTTCTTTTTTTAATTTTTACTTTATTTGAGACAGAGTCTCACTCTGTCACCCAGGCTGGAGTGCACTGGTGTGATCTCGGTTCACTGCAACCTTTGCCTCCCGGGTTCAAGCAATTCTTCTGCCTCAGCCACCCAAGTAGCTGGGATTACAGGCACGTGCCACCAAGCCTGGCTAATTTTTTTTTTTTTTTTTTTTTTTTTTTTTTTTTTTTTGGTATTTTTAGTAGAGATGGGGTTTCACCATGTTGACCAGGCTGGTCTCAAGCTCCTGACTTCAAGAGATCCACCCACCTCGGCCTCCCAAAGTGCTGGGATTCCAGGTGTGAGCCACTGCGCCTGGCTGGGTTCTTAGTTTTTAGAAACTCCGTAAGTTTCAAGGCATTGTCTTTAGTAGGAATTGCATGTATTTGTTTTCTGGGTTTTTAATCTTGTCTTCTGACTTTGCCATGCAGTTGTTTTCTTTTCTTTTTTTTTAAATGCTATATTTATCAGTCCTTTTTGGTATGGCTTCTGGGTTTTGTGTCATAATGCATAATGTATAATGCGTTTCTCATCATACATATTATACATATGCATGTATTGTGCATACATAATACACATGACGCCCCGTACATTCTGAAGACAGTCCCCTGCAGTGTCGCCTGGTATGGAACTTGTGTCATTCTCTTTTTATATCAAACGGATCCATCTGGAATTGATTTGGTATAAGGTACAAAGTTAGTTTTATATTTTCCAGATGACAGCCCATTTGTCCCAGTGCCATCTGTTAAATAGTCTCTGCTCTCCCTCCCAGATCTGAGCTGTCTCTCGTTTACTCCCACATCTATTTGGGTTCACTTCTGGACCCTGCGTTCTGCTTCATGGATGTCTCCATCCATATGACCTCATGTTGGCCAGGTTCATTGGATACTCTTGGTTTTGTTTCTTACCTCTCGTTCGTTTTTGTGGGTTTCCTACACAGAGGAATCCCCAGGAAGGGTTTTTTTGGGGGATTTTGTTTGGGATAAATATGGCTGTGAGGCGCCTGCCCCGGATGGTGGCTTCTGCAGCCTGGGTGTGCCGGGCCGGCTGGGATCTCGCTGCCTTCGCCAGTTCTGGCACTGCTGGTTTTCCTCTTCTCTGGACATTTGTTTTCAGTTTTTCCTCTGCTTTCCTGCACTTTTGATGATGTTATTCCTCAGACTTCTCTCCTTTTTCTTCTTTGTTTTTGCTTTATAATTCGTGACCTTTTCAGCTGTGGTTTTGCCAGTCACACTGATGAGTCCAAAAAACCTAAAGGCTCAACCAGACCTCCAGCTCCCAGTGAAGGTTCCCAGTAGCTCAGTGTGGCAAAGGCAGGTTTCTGTCTTCCAACCTGCCATGGTTCCCATGTTTCCCCCAAAGTTTGCGTCTTAGAAACTTAATCCCCAGTGCGGCAGTGTTGGGACATGGGTAGGTCGGGAGGGCTCTGCCACTGCCATTACAATGAGGTAATATCCTTGTCACCGGAGAGTGGTTTTTGTGAAGGCCGGTGTGGGGCTCCTCTTGCTGGCTTGCTCTCTGGCTCTCTCGCCCTTTCCCCTTCTGCCTTCCACCATGGGATGTCCTAGCAGGAAGGCCCTAAGCAGATACAGGCTGTTGCTGTTGGACTTTGCAGCCTCCAGAACTGTAAGAAATACATTTCTTTTCTTTATAAATTACCTACTCTGTGGTATTCTGTTACAGGAACACAAAACAGACCAAGACACCAACCCTGACCTGCTCTGTCCTTCCCTTCTAATCCCTTCCAGCCAGAGGCCCAGGCCTGTCATAGAGATGCCCTTTTTTATCCCCTCCAGCTGGTTTATGACCAAGTCCTAAATATCTTTAGATTTGTCTCCAGTGACACCGTTACAGCCCCGGTTCAGTGTTCCCTCAGGGTCTCCCTTTCTTTCCCCCTGTACTTTCCTTTCTTCCTCTCCTTCCTTTCCCCTCCCGCTTACCCTTCCCCCCCCCCACCCCCCCCCCCCCCCGTTTCTCTCCCTGCCACACTTGCCATGGTGCTCACATACATGGCACACTTCTCTGGACGCAGGCTTAGATTTGAGGCAGTATGCCAGGGAAGCAGGATGGAGATTAGAATAGTCTTCAGGAAACCAGCATGGCCCCAGCCTAGCCTAACTCCACTTTGCTTCTGATTAGAAATCTGTGTTAGAATGCAAGTCAGTTGATGTCATTGTTTAAAGTCTGCAAGAAACAACTTCATAGCTGCTCCATTTTATTTTCTAATTAAATAGTTCAGAAGCATTGGTACCTTAACTCTTTTTAGAAATAACACTGATGTGCCCAACTCTGACCTTGACCTAGGTCTAGCCTCATTAACATTCCAGTCTCCTGGCCTGGGTCTGCCCGCTGTAACCCTTTTTGGTCTCCCTGGCCTGGGTCTGCCTCCATAACCCCCTCTGGTGTCACTGGCCCCCTCTTAGCCTCTGACATCAGTTCCCTTGTGTCATTGGAATGGTCCTCGTCAAATGCATGCTGCAGGAGCTTCATTTCTGGCTTACGGGTCTTGGCATGATGTGCCATGGCCTTTGTGATCTGTCCCCTGCCTGTCCGTACACACCTCTCTCTGTAGGCGCAGTTCCTCCTACTCACTGTGCTTTCTCTCTCCTGTGCCCTTGGAGAGGCTGTTCTCTTAGACTGGACACCGGTTACCTGTGATACCCCTATACGCATTATTGGTTCATAGATACCAGTCATTTTGTTGTTGCATCCTTATCCTAGACCTTATGTGCTGTGTTCTGTTTCTGCCCAAGACTTTGACTTTGGCAGAGACTGACTTTTTAAATCACTAGAGCCTAGCAGTTCCTACCACCTACTAGGGGCTCACCTGCGGAGCATCCGTTAAACCCAGGGGCAGGAGGTGTTGGGTGGATGAAAAGCCGCCGTAGTACAAGTGCTTTTTCCCTTTGGCTTTTTCTTTTCAGTGGCCACAGTAGTCACTCCTGTAACCAACTCATACTTTTTATCTTTTTAATTTTTGCCTTTATCCAATGACTACCTCTCATATATTATGTAGCTGGAGATTCTAGTGAAGTTTAACTTGAATTTTAACATCTGTATTCTACTTTCTCATTTTTATTTATTTATTTTTTTTGAGACAGTGTCTCGCTCTGTCGCCCAGGCTGGAGTGCAGTGGCGCAATCTCGGCTCACTGCAAGCTCCGCCTCCCGGGTTCACGCCATTCTCCTGCCTCAGCCTCCTGAGTAGCTGGAACTACAAGCACCCACCACCATGCCAGGCTAATTTTTTGTATTTTTAGTAGAGACGGAGTTTCACCGTGTTAGCCAGGATGGTCTCCATCTCCTGACCTTGTGATCCGCCTGCCTCAGCCTCCCAAAGCGCTGGGATTACAGGTGTGAGCCACTGCGCCTGGCCCTACTTTCTTATTTTTAACTTTATATTTTTCAAAAGCTGGCATGCAAGGCCAGGTGCACTGGCTCACACCTGTAACCCCAGCACTTTGGGAGACCAAGGCAGGTGGATCACTTGAGGCCAGGAGTTCAAGACCAGCCTGGCAACATGGCGAAACCCCATCTCTATTTAAAAAAAAAAAGAAAAAGAAGAAGAAAAAACTGGCATACAAAAGCTTTCATTGGGAAGAACTCTCTAACACGAGAGTTGGGCTTTAGGTTACCTGGGTTGCACTCATACAAGGTTGTGAATGCGTCAGCTGAGAGCTCGGAAGAAGCCGCGTGGCATCATGATGCTTTGGTGGCCTTGTCTCCTGTGGAGCCTGTGGAGGCATGTATGTGGATGAGTTCATTTCCATGGAGTAACATTTTTAGTTCTGCAAGTAAGTTTGTCTGGATTATATTTCTTTAATGCTTTTAAAACTTTAAATCATGGTAAGCCTCGATGTTTTAGTTTGCTACATAATGTCAATAAATTGAAAAACCGTTACTCATTCTAATTAAGGTTTCATTTGTATTTCTTTTATACTTTCAACAGTGACATCAGATTAACTCTTTAGAAGGGAGCATTATGGCATCATTTGTCTAATTATTTGGGACATTTGCATAAAAGCATCAATAGAATTACCAGAAAGAAATTATATCCTTAGGTTTCTTTTTTTTTTTTTTTGAGACGTAGTCTTGCGTTGTCACCCAGGCTGGAGTGCAATGGTGCGATCTCAGCTCACTGCAAACCTCTGTCTCCCGGGTTCAAGCGACTCTCCTGCCTCAGCCTCCTGAGTAACTGGGATTACAGGCACCCGCCACCACACCCGGCTAATTTTTGTATTTTTAGTAGAGACAGGGTTTCACTATGTTGGTCAGGTTGTCTTGAACTCCTGACCTCAGGTGATCTGCCCGCCTCAGCCTCCCACGGTGCTGGGATTCCAGGTGTGAGCCACCACGCCCAGCCTATCCTTAGGTTTCTTAATGACTCTAATTAAAACATGTATATATAGGAACTAGTGCTAGAAGGATTATAGTCTAGACTTGAAAAAAGATTAAACTGTTTGAAATAGGAAGAGATTTAGTGTATGGGGAAGAGGAACAACCCTCACCCCTACTCTGTTTTGGGCATTTTAATAAAATTTAGAAGCTTGAGCATAATGCTAACAACCTAGTTATAGTAAAATTAGTAAAATTGGCCGGGTGCGGTGGCTCACGCCTGTAATCCTAGCACTTTGGGAGGCCGAGGCGGGCGGATCACAAGGTCAGGAATTTGAGTCCAGCCTGACCAATATGGTAAAACCCCATCTCTACTAAAAATACAAAAATTAGCCGGGCGTGGTGGCGGGCGCCTGTTATCCCAGCTACTCGGGAGGCTGAGGCAGGAGAATTGTTTGAACCTGGGAGGCAGAGGTTGCAGTGAGCCAAGATGGCGCCACTGCACTCCAGCCTGGGCAACAGTGAGACTCCGTCTCAAAAAAAAAAAAAATTAGTAAAATTAATGAGATACTTTGAAAGCACAGAGTATTGAGGTTGTGTGGGAAGCACTGTGTGGTGTGTAAACTCTACCCGGACACAAATAGATACTCACAGAACTTGCACACCACCTCTGGGAGATTCTCCTGACTCCAGGTTCCTGGTAGAGTATCTTTCATACGTGAGAACTCAGGCCATTTTCCAGTCGGTTCCAACCTTCTCTGCACCCCGACTCCCAGGCCTTTTTTCTATTGTTTTCCACCACTGATCAGTTTCGCCTATTCTAAAACTTCATTTAAGCAGAATCATGGAATTCTTGCTGGCTTATTATCTGTTGGCTTCCTTCGTTGCGTGATTTTAGTGGCTGGTCTAGGGATGACACTGTAGATTCTGAACTTTCGACACTGCATTGTGCCACACGTCGTGCAGTGTGTCATTTCTCAAAGCACTTATATGTGTGGGTTGTTTTTTAAATAGGTGGAAGGCTTTTAAACCAGCATACCATTAATAGTGTATTGAGGAAGTTAATTTATCAATGTTATTTTTCCTTTTACAATTGCTAATAAAGATATGAGGTGAGGAGCAGCAGGCTACAGGGAGGAGCGATGCGTGGGGGCGTATCAGTGGTTCTAGGTGCATGCAATGATGGGCAGCGGACTCGGGAGCGATGTGTGGAGGCGTGTGTGTTCCCCAGGTGTGTGCGGTGAGGGGCAGCAGGTTCAGGGGGATGCGGTGGGGGCGTGTCGGTGTTCCCCAGGTGTGTGCGGTGAGGGGCAGCAGACTCGGGAGCGATGCGTGGAGGCGTGTGAGTGTTCCCCAGGTGTGTGCGGTGAGGGGCAGCAGGCTCAGGGGGATGCGGTGGGGGCGTGGCGGTGTTCCCCAGGTGCAGGAGGCTGCTCTGAGGGTGTCGCATGTATTTCATTTAATCCTCATAACAGCTCCATGAGTCAAGTTCTATTTTTGTCCCCATTTTAGCAATAAGAAAACAGACACAGAGGGGTTAAGTATAAATAATTTGACAAAGACGACATTAGTGAGTGGCTATTTTTATTATGTGAAGTTAAAATTGTTTGTGTGTTGACTTCATCATTTAAAGTGAGAGGAAGAACCTGAGGAATATGAAATGAGATGAGGGAGAGAGCCCCAGACTCTGCGGCTGGTAGAAGTAGGGAGTGTGACCTCATCCCCGGCTTCTGCCAGCTCTGCTGATGCCCGGGGCTGCCCCATGTGCGCGGCCGGCCCTGGGCGGGATCCATGGTCTTGGTGACAAAGCTCCTCTCCCTGCCTTCGCCCCAGCGGCTCGTTTTTATTCATTCAGCACAGAGTGTGTAACTGATAGTCCTCAGTACCGCAGTCTGATATTTTGTTGGGGTTCCTTTTTTTCTTTTCATTTAAAGGTAAAACCTACATTTAGTGAAATGCACATATTTTAAGTGTGTCATCTGGTGTTTTCACCACTTCAATTTTTTTTTGGTTTTGTTTTGTTTTTTTTTTTTTTTTTTTTTGAGACTGAGTCTCTCTCTGTCAGGCTAGAGTACAATGTAGCGATCTTGGCTCACTGCAACCTCTGCCTCCTGGGTTCAAGCAATTCTCCCGCCTCAGCCTCCTGAGTAGCTGGGATTACAGGCACGCACCACCATGCCCGGCTAATTTTTGTATTTTTATTAGAGACAAGGTTTCACCATGTTGGTCAGGCTGGTCTCAAACTCCTTACCTTGTGATCTGCCCTCCTCAGCCTTCCAAAGTGCTGGGATTACAGGCACGAGCCACCGCGCCCGGCCACCACTTCAGTTTTGACAGAAGCAGTAAGCCTTGATGCGGGTTTGTGCGGTATGACCGTCAGCCCAGAGAATTCCCTCCCGCCATTTTCCACCTTCTCCCACCCCCCACCCCCAGGCCTTAAAAACTCTTTCTCCCTCTGTTCTGTTTCTTTTCCACCATTGATTAGTTTTGCCATTTCTAAAACTTCATTTAAGCAGATTCATGGAATTCCATTTTATCTGTTGGCTTCCTTTGTTGCATGATTTTAGTGGCTGGTCTAGAGATGACACTGTAGATACTGAACTTTACACAGTCTGCTTGGAGTTAATACCGTACCCCGCCTTGTGCAGTGTAAGAAGCTGGTCACTGTCTTGCAACCAGGTGCCTTCCCGGTCCTTGCTGTGGCAAGTGTACATGTTACATCTGTGCTGTAGACATCACAACATATATAGTATTGTTGTTTGCTTCAGTATGAATGTACCTTTAAAAAAATTACGAGGAAAATATTGTCTTTTATATATACTCACATATTTACCTTTTTTCCCCCAACCCCTAAGTGGAACCAGGTCTATTTACCATTTTGGTGCTTTTCATTCCTTACCGATCCAGTTTGTTACCATATCCTTTCAGTCTGGCAAACTCACTTTAGTATTTTCGGGAGTGTAGGTGTGCTGGCAAGAAAGGCTCTTAGTTTTCTTTTATCAGAACATGTTTTGCTTTCACCCGTGCTATTGAAGTATGTTTGCACTGGACGTGAGGTCCTTTGTTGGCAGCTTTCTTCTACTGGGACTTTGAGAGAAGTCGAGACCCTGTCTCTCCTCCAGGGCTCTGCTGTTGGCTGCTCCCCTGTGCTCACAAGTTGTTTTTCTCCAGCTGGCTTTAAGATGGACTGTCTTTGGTATTTGAGCAGCCTGACTGTGATGTGTCCAAGTGTTTATTGAATTTATCTTATTTGGTGTCCTGAACTTACTAGATCTGTAAATTTATGCCTTCTGCCAGCTGTGGGAAATTTTCAGCCATAATTTCTCCAAAATGTTTTTCTGCCTCAATCTCTCTCTCCTTATGGGACTCCAGCTCTAGGTATGTTAAACTGTGTGATATTGTCCCTGAAGCTTTGTTTGATTGTTTTCCTTTCAGATCTTTTTCTCTCTCTGTTCTTTGGGTTGGATACTTTTTATTGATCCATCTTCAGATTCACTGAGTCTTCTGTTACCTCCAGTCTGCTGTTAAAGCTCGTCCACAGGATTTTTCTTCGTTTAGAAATAGCATTTTTTAGTTCTGGAATTTCCTTTTTTTTTTTTTTTTTTTTTTTAAGACAGAGTCTTGCTCTGCCACCCAGGCTGGAGTACAGTGGCACACTCTCGGCTCACTGCAACCTCCGACTCCTGGGTTCAAGCGATTCTCCTGTTTCAACCTCCCAAGTAGCTGGGATTACAGGCGCCCACCACCACACTCAGGTAATTTTTTTATTTTTTTGTAGAGACAGGGTTTTGCCATGTTGGCCAGGCTAGTCTCGAACTTCTGACCTCAGGTGATCCGCCTGCCTTGGCCTCCCTAAGTGCTGAGATTACAGGCGTGAGCCACTGCACCTGGCCCTGGAATTTCCATTTTTTAAGAAATGTTCTCTTTCTCTCTTGAGACCCGTTTGGCTTGTCCAGCCTAAGTCCCTTTGCCTTTCTGTTCCTGAGCCCCGTTGTAAGGGCTACTGAGTCCTGCCTGTGCTGGCAGCATGGGTGTGTCCTGTGCCTGGTCTCCAGAGCTAACTCTTTCCTCTTTGTACAGGTTATATTTTTGTTTCTTTCCATGTCTAGTAATTGTGGATTGCTTCTTGGATTTTGTGAGTGATCTGTTGTAGAAACTCTGGACTTCGTTCTATCCTCCTGAAGATTGATGATGCTTTGTTTTAGCAGGCAGTCAGTTTGGCTGGACTCAAACTCCAGATACTCTTCCTGTGTTATCAGCAGCTAATATCTCTGCTCAGTTGCTGTAGTGTGACCTTGCTGTCCTGGACCTGCCCCGTGCCTGCC
Source organism: Homo sapiens (assembly GCF_000001405.40). Taxonomy (NCBI): domain Eukaryota; kingdom Metazoa; phylum Chordata; class Mammalia; order Primates; family Hominidae; genus Homo; species Homo sapiens. The sequence continues at coordinate 87,474,837 of NC_000016.10, read as the reverse complement.
TGTTGCAGGGCTCACACAGAGTTGATGTGCAGAGCGTGCTGTCCCCTCCCAGGGTGCTCTCCCTTCCAGGGTTTCTCCTGTCGCTTTCCAGCTGCGATCATCTACCAGAATTCCCCTCTCTGGTTTTTCAGGTGAGACTGTGGGGCTCTCTGTGAGCTTTAGCTGCCCCCCTTCTCTGAGGAGGACCAGGTTCTGCCCCAGGACAAGAAACCCGTGCAGTGCTCAGCTCGCTCTGGGCACAGGCTCCCTCCAGTTTCTGCTTGTCTTGGTCCTGTTCAGTTTGTTTTTTTATGCTTTGTCCAGAGTTTATAGTTATCTGCAAGAGGATTGGTCCAACGTCTCAGCCATTACTGAAGGTAGAACCACCTGTTTTATATACTCCAGGGGTTGCAGAAATAAATACGAACCATGTGTTCTAGGAAGAATTCACTCTCCCTGAGGAAGGGAGGCTGTGAAGGGGGGTTTTATACTAACTGGAACATGTGCTGTTAAAAGGATGAGGTGCTGTGCGGAGAGAAGGCTAGCATGGCCCAGTGCCTTGAAGTTCATGGGTCCATTTGGAGGATGTCAGTGGAATGGTTGTCTACATGCTCTAGCCCCTGGTGGCGGTCAGCCACGGGAAGGAGAGTCAGGCGTGTGGTGAACTTGCCAGAGAAGCAGGCCTGGGCTAGGCTTCACCTGTAGGTGTGAAGTTCAGTTGGGCAGATACCAGGTGCCTAGGGGATGAGGGTCTGGTCATAGCTGCAGTGGGAGGTAAATCTGAAACTTTTTGGCCTAAATGTCTTCTGTGATCAATCCAGGTGAGCCCTTTCTGGTCTGATCTTTTGTTGCATGGCTGACAGTAAGAGATGGGGACCCTGGCTCTGAAGCAGCGATGCCTTGTTCATAATAGGGTGTCCCAAGAAGACTCCTGGAATAGAGTTTGTGGTGCCTGCAGAAACAAAGCCTGCTAGCCGATTTTACTGACACTTTCTGGACCTTGGATGCACTCTTGTTTTGAACCAGGGGTTTCTCGCTCCTGGCCTCTTCAAGTCCTGTTCTTTCCCATCCTAGATGCCTAAGTGTTCTGAAACCGAACCTATACTGTGGCTGGTATCCCCAAAGCACTGTAAAGCAGCCACTTGAACGTGCTCACTGCTTTGAATGGTCCATCTCAGGGAGCTGAATATTATAGTGGGAACCAAAATGGTCATGATAACGCAGTTTAGTTATTGTGATTAGACATTTAGCCAGCTTCTCTAAGAAAACCCCAGTATTTAAGCATATTCCTGGCCAAATATTCACAATAACAATATTGTGTGTATTATGTACTTAACGTCAAAAGTCCTGAAGATGGGCCGGGCACGGTGGCTCACGCCTGTAATCCCAGCACTTTGGGAGGCCAAGGCAGGTGGATCACCTAAGGTCAGGAGTTTGAGACCAGCCTGGCCAACATGGTGGAACCCTGTCTCTGGTAATAATACAAAAATTAGCTGGGTGTGGTGGCGCCTGCCTGTTATCCCAGCTACTCAGGAGGCTGAGACAGGAGAATCGCTTGAACCCAGGAGGCGGAGGTTGCAGTGAGCTGAGATCGTACCGTTGCACTCCAGCCTGGGGAAAAAGAGCGAAACTCCATCTCCAAAAAAAAAAAAAAGTCCTGTAGATAAAGATAACCTCAGGGAATGTCTCATCTGCCATCCTCTTGGATGTGGCATCAGTGGAGTTAGATTGCATCTATGCCTGCAATGGAGAGGGTGCTGGCTGCAGCCTCTGCCCCTGAAGCTGTTGCAGCTCACTGTTTCTAACATTACGAGTGTCACATCATTTAAATTTTTTCTTACACTGGGTGCAGTGGTTCATGCCTGTAATCCCACTCACCACTTTTGGGAGGCTGAGTTGGGAGGATCTCTTAAGGCCAGTAGTGCAAGACCAGCCTGGGCAACATAGGGAGACCCCCATCTGTACAAAAAATAAAAACAATTAGCCGGGCGCTGTGGTACACGCCTGTAGTCGCAGCTGCTCAGGAGGCTGAGGTGGGAGATGGCACTGAGCTGTGGTTGTGCCACTGCACTCCAGCCTGGGCAACAGAGCGAGCCCCTATCTCAAAGATAAAAAATAAAAAGTGCATTTTTCTTGAGGGGGAAGGAACCATCATGGTGGCCGTATTGCTTTACTTTCTGATGGTGTCGTCTTCAGAGATTGTTGAGATTGGGTTGTTGGTTCCCACGTGGCCATGTCCTGTCAGTGTTGCTTCTGTGTGTTCCCTCGCTGTCACCTGTTGCTCCTAAGTGCTGACTTTGTACCTTTTTCGAGCAGCCTCTGATTGGTTTCTCCCCGACCCGGCCCGCGCCACAGCGGTGCTGCTGGTGGTCTGCTCTGTGGGGCCGTGTTGAGAGAGAAGCTCTGAGGGAGAGGCTTTGCATGCGTGCCTCGGTGCACGGTGCCAGCCTGGATCCCTGTGGCTGTGGAATGGGCGCTTGCTGTTTGCCAGGCTCCATCCTGAGAGCCATGCTTGGTGGACTGGCTACTTCAATCCTTGCACCAACCCTCGGAAGTCAATATGGTGGCTGTCCCCACTTTACAGATGGGGACACAGGCTTGGAAATGCCACATCACTTGTGTCGCACGACTAGTGATGGGGGCGGCCCTCCCGAGGGTCTGACTGTAGGGCCGGCATTTGGCATCACTACAGGAGGTTGACACTTTCACTATTATGTTTACTCCTCCTACTTCAGTTCCACCCCTACCCCCAGCCCAGTTTTATTGACACTTGCACTTGTCTGTGCAAGCATTTTCTCTCCTGTTGCATAAAGTTGTTTTTTTTAGTGGAGGGTAGTAGTTGCTCAGAAGCACTGGAAGACAGCAGTGGTCAGAGCCCGGTCAGCAGTGAAGGTCAGCGCCATTGCCGGCCTCCGACCCTAGTGGTGAGTAGGTCGCTGCTGGACAGGAGGGCAAGGAGGGGCTAGGAAGGCAGAAATGAGTTGTTGCTCATGAGTACAAGCAAGATGCTGGTGTTCTCTCTGAAGTCAATACATCCGTTAAGATGCCCTTTGAACCCTGTTTTATGGGATTACAGGACTAGGAAGTATGTCTTTAGCCTCCCTAGGGCTCTCGACTTTAGACTCCCTCTGTTTCTACAGGCAGTGTCTGGAACAGGGATTCTGGGTGTGTTGGAGGCTGACTGTAGGGAAGCCCTACCCCAGAGGTCCCATGTGGTTGGCCCCTGGTGGGATGTCTTGGCACCTGGAGGCCTGGAAGCCCCCGCGGGTGGGCAGTTGGGGCCGGTGTTCCTAGAGGAGGCCGTGCTGCCCTGTGGCTATTTGTGAAAGAGATTTGCATCTGGTCACTCTGGGAGCTGGTCTAGTTAAGTACTGGGTTCCCTTTGCTGAGATTTTAAGCAGTAATCTTTTTTCTCTCTTTCTCTTTTTGATGAGTAGAGCTCTAGGTTAAGAAATATTAAAAGGAATGTTTTTACATGGAAAATGTTTTTTTGGTTAGCGTTGGCTTTCACTTGGTCTAAGTCAGCAAATAGCTTTCACTCTTAAACTGTCTGTCTTCTTGTTCTGGTTTTTAGAGACACGTAATGACTATTTTAGCAAAATGCTTACAAATCTATTTTGTTTTTATGTTTTATGTTTTTTACGTTAACTTAAAAGTATTTAACAGACGTTACTCCTTCCTGTATAGAGGTAGGTTAATTGGAAAACAAATTGAAAACACTATTTTTTCATAGTCATGTTTACTGTATTTTGTTTGTGGGGGTAGACACTTTGAAGTTCATGTTAACCCCTGATGTGCCCGGCCCTCGAGATATGTGTGGAAGGAAAGTGTGGTTATGGTTTTAGAAGCTTGCTTTTTCTATACTTTTCATATCATTCACATCTTGTAGGGAGGTATTTATATTTAGACTTAATATCTGTAACTTTTTTAAATTCTAGAAGTAGTGATTGTTCCTCACAGAAAAATTGGAAAACAGAAAAATAAAATAAAAATTACCCAGAGATAAATGCTAGTAATATTTCGGTGTACCTTTGTCTTTTCTCAGTGCCTGTTTGCACACAACTGATGTACGTTCTGCCCATTTTCACATTATCTGTGAGCATCCTGCATGCCTTTTAAGACTGCATAATATTCAGTCATCTGGACATACACATTTAGCGACCTATTTCAATAGTAATCTGTTGCTGGGATGTTTATGTTGTTTGTTTTTCTTTTTGCTCAAGCTGAGATAAATCTCCTTACACACAAACCTTTGACTACATCGCTGATTGACTGTATCCTAACAGCAGACTCCTCCCAGTGGGATTAGTGGGTGAAAAGCTACAGATGGGAAAAAAGCTCATCACATCCTGCCTCCTTGCTGTCCAGACAGTGGCCCCAGGTTACACTCAGCTGAGGACGAGGCCACCCCCTGCAGCTTTATGAGCATTTGACTCCTGAGAACATTTTAACTGTAGTCCAAGTAATTAAATAATTATTCAAGCTGTCATGTGCTTGTTTTCATTATTTATTTATTTATTTATTTATTTGAGTTGGGGTGTCGTGCTGTCTCCCAGGTTGGAGTGCGGTGATGCAATCATAGCTCATTGCAGCCTCAACTTCCCAGGTTCAAGCGATCCCCCCACCTCAGCCTCCTGAGCAGCTAGGTACAGGCACACACCACCACACTCGGGTAATTTCTAAATTGTGGTAGAGATGTAGTCTCACTATGTTGCCCAGGCTGGTCTTGAACTCCTGACCTCAGGAGTTCCACCTGTCTAAGCCTCCCAAAGTGCTGGGATTACAGGTGTGAACCACTGCTCCTGGCCCCAGGCTGGTTTTGAACTACTGGGCTCAAGCGATCCTCCTGCCTCAGCCCCCCAAAGTGCTGGGATTGCAGGCGTGAGCCACTGTGCCTGGCAAGTGCACTGGTTTTAGAACAGACGATCACATGTCGTGGTAAAGTCTCTACTTGAGAAGATAGGCCCTGGCCCCCAGTGCAGGGAACACGGAGCTGGGGTGGCTGTGGGTGGCTCTGTCCTCATCCCCAGTGCTTCTGGGGGTGTGCTGCCCACAGGGGTGCAGCAGATGCTGTAGACACAGGGAGCCCTGCCTTCCGGGAGGCCCAGTTGCCGGTGCCCCTCCTGGATCCTCCCAGAGCTCCGAGTCTCTGTGACAGCACTGAAGCAATTTAATTGTCCTCCAGCCACACCGCAAGCACCACAATAATAACAGCAACTAACATTTTGAATGCTAACATTTTTCCAGTTCACAGTACTAGAAATGCATTTTACTGAATTCTCACAAAAGCCTTAGGTAGGTGCCATTATTTCCATCCCATAGTGGACGAAACAGGGGCTGCCCTGTGTGGACCCAGCACTGGCCGCCGAGACGGCTCCTGACCGCTGTGCTCCGCTCGCCTCCTTGGATTTAATGTGCACAAATCACAGACCTCTGTAGTTACAGGACCTAAAGTCTGCACTTGATTCTGCTCCCTACTGGCCAGATGACCTTGGGGAAGGCATTTAGGAACTGACATTCAGTTTTTCTTGTTTTTAACATGGAGATAATTTGATCTGTGTACGTCACGTACTGCAGGGATCAGATGGATGATCTCATATGGCTGCATAATGGATACTTGGGAAGAACTGTACAAAAGGTGGTTATAGCCGGGTGCATTGTCTCATGCCTGTGGTCCCAGCTACTCGGGAGGCTGAGGCAGGAGGATGACTTGAGCCTGGCAATTTGAGACCAGCCTGGGCAACATAGACCATGTCTCCAAAAAAACAGACAAAAATGCTAGTACTTTTTGTTCTTTTATTCTCCATGGTCTCTCACAATGTGTCTTGACATCGTAGGCATTCCATTGGCACCTGGCTTTTTAAACTGACCGTATTCTTTTTAAAGATGTCTAGACCTGGCTTTCTCAGCCTGCGTCGTTTGCCAGCTCCCAGGTATTCCACATGCAGACGCAGTACTCAATATTAGGGAAAATAAACTGTATCAGGGAGGGCCTCTCAGCCTTGGCACTCCTGAGGCCTGCGGGCAGGTACTTCCTTGCTCTGGAGCTGTCCTGGGCTCTGCAGGATGTTTAACAGCATCGCTGGTCTCCGTTGGCTGCATGCCACGAGAATCCCCACCCCAGTTCACAGAAAATGTTTTCAGCTGTGGCCAGATGTCCCCTGGGGACAAAATTTCCCCCAGTTGAGAACCACTAGGTTAGGGAATAATAAGACTTTATAAGTTAAGTTAGGAAAAACATCTAACAGTGTGCTAAAAAACGGGGGAAGGGGTTTGAACCTGAGGCAGTAGATGATAAGGAACTGTTTGTAGGTTAAGCCTGGCATGGTGGCATGCGCCTCCTGTAGTCCCAGCTTCTCTGGAGGCTGAAGTGGAGGACCACTTTTTTTTTTTTTGACTATGTAATTAAGGGTATCATTTATTGTAATATAAGAACATATTCTAAAACAGCTGAATGAACATGCACAACACAATGTGATGACACATACTCTCCTGAATTTATGTAATTTTTCCTTAAGATATCTCTTAATGAGCAATATTATTTTTAAAATGTTAAATAAAATCCTTACCATTGGCCAGTGGGATACTGAATACCACTATTTAAGGAAGAAACCTGAAATGGTTACGTACAGATGTCACCATCTGTACGTCTACCCTTCCTACTTTCAAAAGGCCACTTAAACTTCTTCATATAAAAAAACACATGAATCTTTAGAGAACACATACAAATAAATGAAGATTTACATCTAATAATCTATCTTAAATGTACCATTCTTAAGAGACAGAATCTTACCTTGAAATAGCCATTAGAAAAAACCGTTGGGCCAGGCGCGGTGGCTCACGCTTGTAATCCCAGTACTTTGGGAGCCAGGCGCAGTGGCTCATGTCTGTAATCCCAGCACTTTGGGGGCCAAGTGCAGTGGCTCACGCCTGTAATCCCAGCACTTTGGGAGGCTGAGGCGGGCGGACCACGACGTCAGGATATTGAAACTATCCTGGCTAACACGGTGAAACCCCGTCTCTACTAAAAATACAAAAAATTAGCCGGGCGTGGTGGTGCGCGCCTGTAGTCCCAGCTACTTGAGAAGCTGAGGCAGGAGAATGGTGTGAACCCGGGAGGCGGAGCTTGCAGTGAGCCAAGATCGCACCACTGCACTCCAGCCTGGGCGACAGAGCGAGACTCCATCTCAAAAGAAAAAGAAACCGTTCGACCAGGGAAATTCAGAGTCCCCAAGGAAGTCAAGTTGTCATCTCCAGATCCTTGACACCTATTCCAATTTTCAGAACCAACGGGAATTGGTGGGATGACATTAAAAATAGGCTTCTGATCCTACTGTTGAGAAAGGGATGCTGTATTCATGTCATAGTGGTACATCTGTCCTCCAGAGGTACTCACACCGTGAACAGAAATGGCAGACATTTTATTACCAATCATATTTGCTCCAGGAGAGCTTGCCTGACAGTAAACTGTGCCCAGTTTCTCTTGCTTAATTACCCCAGGGGTGCAGAGTTGGATGAAATCTTTTTCTGTTTTCGCTTGGGGCAGTGTTACATTATTGAGGCTTGATAAAAACCAGATCTCCATTATCCTTAATTTTGGGTTTAGTGTCCGGTAAAACGAGAGGCTTGCAGTCCTCATTCGAGTTTCCTTTTAAAAGGAAGAATAGTCTTCTCCCGCCAGAGGAGAAAGCAGACAGTTTTCATCTATCAACAGGTCTGATCTGGTGGAGGACCACTTTTGAGGCCAGGAGTTAGAGGTCAGATGGGGCAACATAGCGGGACCCTGTCTCTTTAGTAAAAAAAAAAAAAAAAACAATTTTTTTTTTTCATGAAAAACACGTGACCTCCAAAGTGACTGTGAGGCTTTTCCAGGGCTTGTTTTTATGTGGCATGCTGATGTGAATACTGTTCAGGTCCGTATTTGTAAAGAAACAAGGTGAGGAGGGCAGTGGCAGGCTGCCCCTCTGGTGGGCACGGTTAGATGTGACTGTCCCAGTAGGGGCTCCTAGCCATGGAGAGTGGAAGCCATCACAACTTCACTTTCTCCAGCCTCTAACTGGGAATTGAGCATTCCCTGCCTTTATGGAAGCAGGCAGGAATCCACAGTCATACGAACAGTACCTGTGACTTGGTCACAGATGCAGTCACAGATACTTTGATTGCACAGTCGTAGAAAGCGTCTTCAAGTCTCCTTCATGCTCAGCGCTCCTGTGAAGTGAGCTGAGACCCACAGACTCTGTTCGAGGAGCCCATTTGTCTTCTAATACTTAGATGACGGTTTTCAATATAATTGGCTTTGTTTGCAGTCCTGTGTATTTTATGCATTTAAAATATGTTTCTTAGAAGGGCTCAGTAGGTGTCATCGAACTGCCAGAGAGGTCGCTGGCACAAAGAAAAGGTTAAAACCCTGCTCTAAAAGCTCACTGCCGTTTTTCTGAGCAGTTTTCAAATGCCCACCAGTGGGGTGCAGCGAGTCTTCTGCAGACCGAGGCTGCCGTCAGTGTTGGGGGGCTGTGCTTCCATCTGACTGCGTCAGCACGTCCCACTTGGATGTCTTTGGAAGAGCTTTCAGGAAATAGATTTTTAGAAATTAATTCTCTTCTAAAAGTTATGGTCAGGTCCGTGAACATTAAAGTGGGTTGTAAGCACAGAGCTGTAAAGTAGCCTGTGTGGTGCTGGGTTTTTTTCTGTCAGGCGGCATGAACTAAGGACAAACCTTTTTTTAAAAAAAAGCGTAAATACCTGAGGCGGGGGGTAGTTAGCGGGGGTCACAACCTGCAGCCAGCGTCAGCTCTTCTGCAGGCGTAGCTCCTCACCCTTGCCTGGAAGGGCCTTTGATTCCCTCTGGTCTAATTGCGCAGTGCGGGGATTCCCTTTTCCATCCCATCTAAAGGGACGTTGCGGAGACCGGGCTCGGTGGCTCACGCCTGTAATCCCAGCTAAGGCGGGAGGATGGCTTGAGCCCAGGAGTTTGAGATCAGCCTGGGTAACATGGTGAGACCCTGGCTCTGTTTATTTTTTTTTAATAAAAAAATAAGAGGAGGCTGTTGAGCCTTTGACTGTTTTGATCATGGTGAAGATTTACCTTGAAATATTCATGCAGCAGCATTATCATGTGGGAGCTGGTTAGAAATGCAAGATTCTCAGGCCCACCCCGGACCTCATGAATCAAACCTGCGTTTCAGCCAGATCCGGAGGCATTTTGCACATTAAAGTTTGGAAGCAGAGGCCTCCTCTCTTTAAACTGTAACAGTAAGAAGGGTGATTGCATAAGAGCCAGAGGCGGGCTGCCCAAGTCCAGGTGCCCCTAGATGTGTGGCCACTGTGGAACCTCAGTCAGCTTTCCTGGAAGAGCCCCAGGGGCGGGTGTGCCCCGTGACTACCAGTAGCTTGCTTCAGAGTCATATTTCATTCCTGGGTTAGCGCTTTGTAGATGTGGTGGAACAATCTGATTGTCTGTTACATAATGTAGATTGCAGAAGTTTTTGTTTGAAATAGAAGTGCTTTCCGTTTGATTCTGAATTTCATTAAAATTTGGTGATATCATGATGTATTTTACAGATCCTTATTAACGGCCTGCTTCATGCCAGGCCCAGTTCGAAGTGCAAAGGAACAGCAGTGAACAAAGCAAACCAGAAACACAGCTGCCTTGCTGAGCATCGAGAAGTCTTGCTAAGAAGGACGTTTGAGTATAGATGGGAAGGCACAGGGGCGCTTCCAGGCAGAGGGGACAGCCAGGGCGAAGGCCCCAGGCAGATGTGACTGCTGTGCCCAGGGCAGCAGTGCATGGAGTGAAGAGCTGGGGGAGGACTGGATGCCAGGTTGCAGGGGCCAGGCAGAGGGTTTTTGTGGGTTGTGGGAAGAGGCTGGCTGTGGAGAGGAAGAGAGCAGCTTATCGTTGCCTTCCTAGCAGTAGCAGAAGGCAGCCTTTGGAGCCGGTCAGTCTTCCCTCTCGTGCACATCAGGCCAGATGACGAGTCCTGCGGGTGAGCCTGAGTCAGAGAGCACTTGAGTGGAACATAGGTCACGTGGAGCAAACTAACTTCACCAAAAATAACCCCAAAACAGCATTTCTGGGAAACACAAGTGAAGACAGCTTTCAATGTAAACAAAGGAACAAAGTTACGATAAAGGCTTGGTTGGAAAAAGTGAACATGTGGAAAACTAAGAAGAAATTCCTTGGGAAAATATACGGAGGAAAACAGGTCTTTCTTTTCCAGCAGTTGCCATTCTAAAGAGTTTTCCTTCCTGTCTTGATGTCAGATGCAGTGTGTGTTTTGCTAGGGTGGCTCACGGGCTTTCCCCTTCCAGTTGTGGTTGTGGCAGACGGACCTACAGCCTTTAGCTCTTCCTGTCTGCGTGGGGAAAAGACTTCCTGTTTTCTCTGGGTCTCCTCTTTGTCCTTGCCGGGATTGGACCGGATGATGGGTGCAGTATAAAACCTGGACTTGGGGTCGTGGTTGGTTCTTAGCCTAGCTGCAAATTAGAATCACCAGAGAAGCTTCAGGCACAAAACAAAAGAAGCCCCGTTTCCAGAAACTCTGATTTTGGTGGGGAGTGTGGGATGTGGTTTTCTCAGGGCCTTGGTGTTCCAGTGTGCTGTCGAGGCCGAGAAGCACTAATCAGTACTGCTCTCCTTCTCTCCAAGGCTGTGTTTTCCCCTGCTCAGCCCTCCTCTCCCCTTCCTCCCCTAGCAGGCTGAGAGTTGGGAGGCTGGCTTTCCTTTGTGTCTCTTTGGAGTGTTTTAGGGTGGGCAGGCGGTGTGTGTGTGCGAGAACGCACTGATCACACGTGTTTCTTTTTGGGGCAGGAAGGTTTGCCACTACCAGCAAAGTTGGAACTGCTGATGCTGGTTGTCAAGGCAGCTCACTCTCAGCTGTGCGTGCTGGTGTGCACCTGTGGTCCCAGTTACTCAGGAGGCTCAGGTGGAAGGATCACTTGAGCCCAGGAGGTCGAGGCTGCGGTGAGTTATGATTGTGCCACTGCATTCCAGCCTGAGTGACAGAAGAGACTCTGTTTGTTTTTTTTTCTCCTGAGACGGAGTCTTGCTCTGTCACCCGGGATGGAGTGCAATATGGTGTAATCTCAGCTCACTGCAACCTCCACCTCCCGCGTTGAAGCGATCCCCCTGCCTCAGCCTCCCGAGTAGCTGGGATTACAGGTGCCCGCCACCACACCTGGCAAGTTTTTGTATTTTTAGTAGAGACGAGGTTTCATTCACCATGTTGGCCAGGCTGGTCTCGAACTCCTGACCTCAGGTGATCTGTCCGCCTCGGCCTCCCAGAGTGCTGGGATTACAGACGTGAGCCACCGTGCCCAGCTGAGACTCCGTCTCTTAAAAAAGAGAAAAGGCAGCTCACTTTCTCTTCTTAGAACCAGGACTTAGAATATGTACCAAAGTAGCTAAGAGAATGTGGAGGTTCATGCATCAGGCCAAATCGAATGGGCTCTGCTGTGGTTATATTTCTTTTGTTTTCTTGAGACAGGGTCTCGCTATCGCCCAGGCTGGAGTGCACTGATATGATCATACCTCACTGCAGCTTCAAACTCCTGGGCTCAAGCGATGCTCCCACCTTAGCCTCCCAAGTAGTTGGGACTGCAGGCACAGGCCACGACACCCAGCTAATTTTTGTGTTTTTGTAGAGATGGGGGTCTCAATATGTTGCCTAGGCTGACCTTGAACTCGTGGCCTCAAGTGATCCTCCTGCTTTGGCCTCCCAAAGTGCTGGAGTTACAGGTGTGAATCACTGCACCTAGCTGTGTTTCTTTTTTCTTTTTTTCTTTTTCTTTGAGACAGAGTTTCACTCTCGTTGCCCAGGCTGGAGTGCAATGGCGCAATCTCGGCTCCCTACAACCTCCAACTCCGGGGTTCAAGCGATTCTCCTGCTTCAGCCTCCCCAGTAGCTGAGATTAGAGGCGTGCGCCACCATGCCTGGCTAATTTCGTATTTTTAGTAGAGACGGGTTTCACCATGTTGGTCAGGCTGGTCTCAAACTCCTGACCTCAGGTGATCTGCCTGCCTCGGCCTCCCAAAGTGCTGGGATTACTGGCGTGAGCCACTAAGCCTGGCCTCGGCCGTGTTTGTTTTTTTTCTTTTTTCTTTTTTCTTTTTTTTTTTTTTGTGAGATAGAGTCTCTGTCGCCCAGGCTGGAGTGCTGGGGCGCGATCTCGGCTCACTGCAAGCTCCACCTTCCGGGTTCACACCATTCTCCTGCCTCAGCCTCCCGAGTAGCTGGGACTACAAGCACCCGCCACCATGCCTGGCTAATTTTTTGTATTTTTAGTAGAGACGGGGTTTCACCGTGTTAGCCAGGATGGTCTTGATCTCCCGACCTTGTGATCCACCTGCCTCGGCCTCCCAAAGTGCTGGGATTACAGGCGTGAGCCACTGCACCCGGCCTTGGCTGTGTTTCTTGTACAGTTAATGTGTTAACCTCCTGAGTTGTCTTGCAAAGTAATATGTACTGTTTGGAACTAAAAATCTCCTTGTGTAAGATTTGTATCGTACTTGTATCGGTTCTATTATCTTGTTTAGTGGGAAAGGAGTTCATTTCTGGGTTCTCTAACCATAGAATAATGAAAGAGACTTTGTTAAATCGGAAGGAAATCACCCAATTTAAATTACAAATATAAGAAATTCAAAAAATTTTATTTTCTTGATAACATGTTATTAAGTTATCCAAAGAATTGACTTTCTGGAGGAGTTGCTGCATGGCTAGGACTTTTTTTTTTTTTTTTACTTTTTTAGAAATTTAAATAGAGACAGGGTCTCGCTGTTACCCAGGCCAGTAACAAACTCATAGTTTCAAGCAGTCCTCCTGCCTCAGCCTCCCAAAGTGCTGGGATTATAGCCATGAGCTGCTGCGCCCGGCCTTATTTTCTCGAGTTACATAAACTTCCCAATTATGTAGCCCTGTGACAAGTTGCTTTTCTTGGAAGGCATCTGTTGAGCCGCGTGGGATCTGTTAGTCCCTCTCCCTGCATGAACAGCCCAGGAGGGCTTCTTGCTGGGGGGCAGGGGCATTGACAGAGCTGGGATCAGAGGATCTCGCTATGGACTTGGGTGTGGCCCCTGTGGCTTGCTGTCTGTGGAATACAGCAGGTGCTGGTCCTGCCGGAGTGGCAGCAGTCTCCACCCTTTCCTCCCAACTCCAGCTTCCGCCTCCACTTTCATCCTGTCTGAGGTCGAGGCCACGCCTACCTGGCCAGCCCTCTGCAGAGCGAGTGCTGGGATCTGTGCTTGTGAGTGAACTTAGGGGATGTTTTGGTCAACTGCCACCTACCGTCCAGGTATGAGATGAAAGAACAAGTGGAGGCTGGAGAGGTCAGGCCATTTTCCAGGCTGCTTGTGCCATGTACTTTCCCATACTGTGAATGCAGCATTGCTTATCAGCTCTTTTGATGAACTTTAAAATCTTACGCCTCTCATATCCTCCGAAATTTTGAAATACATTGAGACTGTAAAGAAGTTACAGCATTGGCCATTTTTATTCTTCTAAATCCTATAAGTTATAAATGTGTTTTGGCTGTGAAATTTTAAAATACTGATGGGGAGGGAATGAAGGTTATTGCTACCCCCCTCCTCTCGCCCCTCTGGGCCCCTTCCGGCTTATTCCACATTCACACCATCACTGAACCCAGGAAGCAGGAGGGGTGGGACGAGCCTGGCTAGCCCGTGGCTTGTTTCTGCGCTTGTTGTGTGTTGGGAGCACTGGTGGTCAGGAGGGCCTCCCCCACCCACAGCTTGGGGGCGGCCGTCACCTGCAGGTACACTGTCTGTGCTTAGCAGGTCTCTGTCGATGGGGACTGAGGGTGTGCCCCGCTTTCCCTGTCACAGACACTCCTGCAGTGGGCACACCCCATCAGGTCATTTTCTCACGTGTGAGTACTTGGTATGGTGAATTCCTAGAAATGGAATTGGGATGTAATTTTAGGATATGCTTTTTCAAACTGTACCCCAAATAGACCGAGTTGTATTCTGTTCTTTGCTGTTGTTTTTAAAGCATTTTATGATTTAAGATTTATAGAAGGAGAATGTTAAGTCCTGCTGTGTAATTCGTTTTATAGGGAGCTATTTGATTTGAAGAAATATGAAAATAAAAGTTTGCCTCAAATAAAAATATATAATTCATGCCACCTTGGCTAACATAGTTCCTTTTTTTTTTCTTGGAGATAGAGCCTTACTCTGTTGCCCAGGCTGGAGTGTAGTGTCACCATCTTGGCTCACTGCAGCCCCTGCCTCCTGGGTTCAAGTGATCCTCCCACGTCAGCCTCCCGAGTAGCTGGGACTATAGGCACTTGCCATCACGCCTGGCTAATTTTTGTATTTTTAATAGAGATGGGGTTTCACCATGTTGGCCAGGCTGGTCTTGAACTCCTGGGCTCAAGAGATCCACCTGCGTCAGCCTCCTAAAGTGCTGGGATAACAGGCGTGAGCCACCGTGCCCGGCCTCTTTGGCTACCATAGTTTCTGTGCACCCGATGAACCCCAGCCACAAGACGTAAGCGCCCGTGTTTGACTCAAGTTATCTGAGCTCTTTTGCACTTTCAGTGGAGAGTAGTAGGTGAAATTTTCATCTTTCTTGGGGAAGGCTTATTATTATAATAATACATGTTTTGTAGAAAAATGGAAACCAAGGTAATTATGAAAGACTTAATTAACAAATAAAATTGTCCCCTATTAACTCCGTGGGAGAAAATAAGATGATTCTGTTTCTGTTCCCTCAGATCACTCCAAGAACTGAGGCCCCTGTCAGCAGTGTCAGTAATAGTTTGGAGAATGCCCTGCACACATCAGCACATTCCACGGAGGAGTCGCTGCCCAAGAGGCCCTTAGGAAAACACAGCAAAGGTGAGTGCACGCACGGGTTTCAGGAGGACGTCTGACGGACGGAGGATGGGCACACCCCAGATCCCCGTGAGGGCATTGTTAAATGCTTTCAGATCTTTCATAAATGCCAATCTTATGTGTATTTTTCTAAATTCTATAAGCAATACATGAATATGCTTTGGCTGTAAAAATCTCAATTATTGATGTTTTTTAAGGAGAAGTCCAGACGTGGTTTCTCACACCTGTAATCCCAGCACTTTGGGAGACTGAGGTGGGCGGATCACCTGAGGTTGGGAGTTTGAGACCAGCCTGACCAACATGAAGAAACCCCATCTCTACTAAAAATACAAAATTAGCTGGGCGTGGTGGCGGGCATCTGTAATCCCAGCTACTCGGGAGGCTGAGGCAGGAGAATCGCTTGAACCCAGGAGGCGGAGGTCGTGGTAAGCCAAGATCACGCCATTGCACTCCAGCCTGGGCAACAAGAGCAAAACTCCGTCTGAAAAAAAAAAAAAAATTAGCCAGGCCTGGTGGTGCACGCTTGTAATCCCAGCTACTTGAGAGGCTGAGGCAGGAGAATTGCTTGAACCCAGGAGGTGGAGGTTGCAGTGAGCCGAGATCGTGCCACTGCCCTCCAGTCTGGGTGACAGAGTGAGATTACATCTCAAAAAAAAAAAAAGGGTGGGAGGAATAAGTTTTACACCCTCCTCCCCACCCCACATGGAAATCATCCTTAACCACTAGAGCGGTGTTGTCCTGAAGCGCTCTCTGTGGTGACGGAGTGTTTTCCACCTGCACTGAGTTGGTTGTCAGCAGCCACACGTGCCTTCCGCGCACTTGAAACATGGCTAATGTGACTGGCTACCTGAGTCTTTATTTTTCTTTAACGTACACGTGGACAGCTCAGCGTGGGTAGTGAGGCGCGGCCTGAGCCCCTGTGGCTCTGCACGCCAGCCTCTGCCGTGTTATGATCAGCTGCAAAGTTGGTAACCATGCCATAGTAGTGGAGGCTTTGGGGAGGGGAGAGTAAGGTGGTTTGTAGGACTAGATGGACCAGATAATGCATACCCGGTAAAATAAATGCTTGTGTGGTTTGCAGAATCGTCAGTAGTGGGGAGACAGAGACCAGGGTGGCGCTTTCCAGTGGGGTCACTGGTCCTGAGCCCCCATGGCATAGAGGTACCGAGGCCGGCTGTGTCCGCATCTGCTGGCCTCTATTCTCCCTGTGTTATTTACAAAGATGTTTGTCTCCTAGCAGGTGCGCCACGTGAGGCCCAGAGCCGCACTCGCTCACCCTGTGCGCTCTCCCCCAACCGCCCCGCACCGTCCCCGTCCCTGGCACGGCGCTTCGTGCCTTCCACAGGCTTCATAACTGCTTTGTTTCTAAAGTCCCGTTCTGACAACGCCATCGAGAGCCACCTGTCTCTGATTTAGATCCTAACTCAGGAAGGACCCATTTCCCCAGCAGCTGCAGCCTCTGTTGATGTAATGAGCACGGTATGGTATGGAGACAGTAACTCCTTACTGCAGCCCTGCGAGGGCTCCTGTCCCCACTTGACCCTCGTAGCAACCCCCTGAGGTCGCAACAGTCTTTGTCTTATCCACTGCTCTTGGGAGGGTCTGTGGCTCTTGGTTGAGCGTCTTCACCGCACCCTCATCCTGGTGATGCCGCGATGCTCCAACCCCAGAGCGGACACTTGGCGTCGGAATTGCAGGGAGTCCCTCCGCTGTAGAAAGGGCTCCTCCTCTTCCTTCCCCCATGCCATCCCAGGAGAAAGGCCTGCCGTGGAGTGCCGCTTCCTTTGTCCCCAGACAGTCCAGCCTAGGAACCTGTGCCCTGCACACCCTGTGAATCTTAAGGGATGGACCCTTCAGTGCTTTTTCTTCAGGATGTAATTATTGACATCCCCATTCTTTTTTTTTTTTTTCTGTATAATTTCAAAGTAGCGAGTATCTGTCATTGTCTCGTCTGCATGCTTTGGTGCCCAGAGAGACAGAGGGTGAGCTGACTCTCATGTGAGCTGTGGCAAAGCCTGCGTAGGCTGGCGGGTCGGCTCTGAGGCCACGAGTGGTCATTCTCAAACCCCACAGTGCTTAAAATACCGCAGCGAGCAGACGCTCTTAATTACCTGCAGCATTCTCCATTCATTAGTCATAGAGGGTCGCGGTTTCTGTTGTCCGGAAATTGGCAAGTGAGTTAACTTGGTTTTCTTAGTCACTTTTCATGTGAATCCTTTTAATATTCTGTTGGGTGCAGGTTATTGCCCTTCAGAAAGTCTAAAGTCACAGTAAGTTGTATAGTTTTATTACTATAAAGTTTTCTCTCTGTCTTTTCTGTATCCTACTTCTGTTTTGGTTTTTCTCTGCTTCTTCAGAAGTCTTACAGTGATACAGTTTAATTTATAGAGTGGTCAGACATTTAAAAAATTTCTTAGTATGTAAAAGGTTAGGGAAGCTTTTATATACTTGAACAACAGTCCAAGCACATGACTAACTTACATGACAGATACTGACTTACATCATCTTCATAACAGCCCTTTGAGGGCTGATTATACCTATTTAATTCTAACTGATCCCATGTGGTGATTTTTACCCCATTTTACAGATGGGAGAACTGAGTCACAGATAAGAAATTTTCCTGAGGTCAGCTGGGATTCAAAGCCAGAGCTAATGCTCTTAACCCTGTGGCTGGCTGAAGAAAATAGCAGAGGAAAAGAAAGGTGGGACTGTACTGAAAGTGGAAAACACACCGTTGTGTGGGCAGTGCCTATGAGTACACATTAACCAGTGAAATCATTCCTTTTTTTCCTGACCTATTTATTGTGAACATTTTCCAGTTCAGGAGTAGAGATTGTAGCCTAGTAAACCCCGTACCCAGTGCCTGGCTGCAGCTCCAGGTCACTGTGTGTGGCTTCTGAGCCCCCTGCCCCTCGTGGGTGTGGCTGAGAACTGCGGTGCACTCTCCAGCGCTCCAGTCCCTGTGTTGATGATTTACTGAAACTTAGGGAAGCTGTTGTAGTGTACAAGCTGAGATGGAAACTGCTTTTACTAATACTCTCAACAAAGTAAGTTCTGTAACTTTGGACTTTGAGGAATTATAATTTTTTAAAGTTTTCTTTTTGTGAGACAGTGAAGGAGGTATACTTTCATTAAACTTGTTTATATACCAGTAGTTTTCAATCTTTTTGGTCTTAGGACCCCTTTGCACTCTTAAAAATTAGAGATTCCAAAGAATCCATGTTTATGTGGGTCACATCTATAGGTATTTACCATATTATCGATTAAAACTGAGTTTTTAAAAATTATTTTAAATGAATGTTTTCCATTGTGTGCCCCTGGGGTTTGTGTTTGCCATGCAGCGTTGTTACAGCTGAAGAGAGCTAAAGACCAAACTCCAAAACAAAATCTATCCCAACCAATTAGAACATGAATTCTAAGAAGACAAGAATTCACCTAAAATCTAAATTTTTTTTTTTTTTTTTTTTTTTTTTTTTTGGAGACAGAGTCTTGCTCTGTCGCCCAGGCTGGAGTGCAGTGGCGCAATCACAGCTCACTGCAACCTCCGCCTCCCGGGTTCACGCCATTCTCTTGCCTCAGCCTCCGGAGTAGCTGCTGGGGCTACAGGTGCCGGCCACCACGCCCGGCTATTTTTTTATATTTTTAGTAGAGACGTGGTTTCACCGTGTTAGCCAGGATAGTCTCGATCTCCTGACCTCGTGATCCGCCCGCCTCGGCTTCCCAAAGTGCTGGGATTACAGGCGTGAGCCACTGCGCCCAGCCCTAAAATCTAAATTCTAAAATGCCCACAGTCTGTGGCCTTTCCTGGGTTGTGCTGGGATTCCAGTGTGTAGCCGAAATCGAGAAGCCTTGATAGTTTCAATTTCCTTATGGGTTCTTTATCTAACATTTTATTATGAGGACTTTGAAACACACGGTAAAGTTGAAAAAGTTTCACAGTGAGTACCCTTCACCTAGATTAGACAGTTCCATTTTACCGCATAGATGCTTTTCAACTTACAGTGGGGGCTGCAAGTTGAAAATACCACAAGTTGCAATGCAGTGAATACACCACACCTGCTACACATCATGGCTTAGCCTAGCCTACCTTAAATGTGCTCAGAACGCTTGCATTAGCCTGCAGGTGGGCAAAATTATCTAACACACAGCCCACTTCATAGTGAAGTTTTGACTCATGTAATCTATTGAGTCTGTACTGAAAGTGGAAAACAGAATGGTTGTATGGGCGCTCGAAGCAGTTCCTTCTGAATGCATGTTGCTTTTGCACTGTTGTAAAGTCGAAAAATCGTCAACTCCAGCCATCTTCAGTCAGGGACCATCTGTACTTACTATTTTTAAGCTGGTTGCCTGTAGCATTCCTCAGCCACGGATTCTGATTTGAACCCCAGGGCACAGAGAATCATTTGAGTGATGGTTTTCTCAATTTCCCTGAAGAAAATGTGATTAGAGACACAGGAGGAGTCAAGTTCTTCATCGTAGAAGAGCTTCTGTAGGACGCTAGGACTTTGCGCCCTCTATGAGCCCCCCATTTAAGAGAAGCAACAGGAATGCACTACACATCTTTACCTTTTCAGGCTCTACTCTGAGTTAATGTTGAGCCACTCCATGTGACACAGAAGCCTCTTGTCACTGTGTTGTTCATTGGGGTGCCGAGGCCAGCTCATGGTATCTCCTGAGAGCCAGTCGTTCACTTTCCAGTATTTTTTTTTGCGGGGGCGGGGGGGGACGGAGTTTCACTCTTGTTGCCCAGGCTGGAACACAATGGCACGATCTCGGTTCACCACAACCTCCACCTCCTGGGGTCAAGTGATTCTCCTGCCTCAGCCTCCCTAGCAGCTGGGATTACAGGCATGTGCCACCACGCCTGCCTAATTTTGTATTTTTAGTAGAGATGGGGTTTCTCCATGTTGGTCAGGCTGGTCTTGAATTCCCGACCTCAGGTGATCTGCCCGCCTCGGCCTCCCACAGTGCTGGGATTACAGATGTGAGCCACGGCGCTCGGCCTCCAGGATTTTTTAAAGCCCGCTGATGTTGCATTGGTGGCTGATGGTGGCATGTCGTCAGCCGTGGCAGAGCATTTATGCTTTGTGGATCGGCAGATGACACAGATCAGGGGCCGCCCCGTCCTCACCAGTTGTCAGCCGTTTACCAGGCATCATCAGTGCAGCTCTGCCCTGTCCTGTATGTGTACTTGTCACATGGGTCCAGCTACGTGTGCTCTGCACCATGTAAAACAGGGCTAGGATTTTTGCATCTATTCTAAGAAAGGAAAAGGAAAAAGATGATAGTCTTTTATATTATCCATACTATTTACTATTCCCACTGCTCTTCATTTTATCCTGAAAATTGGAATTTCCATCTGGTCTCATTTCCCGTCAGCCTGAAGAACTTCCTTTCACATTTCTTTCACTGCAGTTCTGCTGACAGTGGATTTTAGTTTTCATTTATCTGAAAATATCTTTGTTTTGCCTTCATTCTGGCTAATTATGGAATTCTTCATTGAGAGTTTTTGTTTTAACTTTAACAATGTCATTTTGCTATATTCTGGCTCTTGTTTTTCTAAAGAAAAGTCCTCTAGCATTTCTGTCGCTGTATGCCGTGGGCCATTTTTCTCTGGCTGCGTTGAGGATGTTGTCTTTGGTTTGGAATGGTTTGTCTGTGATGTGCCTTGGTGTAATTTTCTTTTATTTCATTTCTTGTTTACTGAACTGCTTGTTTCAGCTTATGTTTTGCACTACAACAGAAACTTTTCAGCCAGTATTGAAGTATTCTTTCTTCCTCATTCTCCTCCTCTTCTCCATCTGAGACTCCAGTTCTCATGTATGAGAAACCTTTGGTCTTGTCCCACAGATCTGAGGTGAAGCTCAGTTCATTTTTCAAATTCTTCTCTCTCTCTCCCTCAGATGGGACATTTTCTTTTTATCTGTCTTCAAGCTCTTGTACCCTTCTGTCATTTTCAGTCTGCTGGTACACCAAGCTAATGGACGTTTTCATACCAGATATTGTATTTTTAGTTTCAGAATTTGTGTATGGTTCTTTTTTATAATTTCTCTTTTTCTGCTGAGATTCTGTCCATTCATGTATTGTGGGCATTTTTGTTTTTACATCTTTGAATGTCATTATAATAGCTGCTTTCAAATCCTGGTCTGCCAGTTCCAGCATTGGGGTCACTTAGGGCTGGTGTCCATTCATCGCGTTTTCTCTTGAGTATTCCTCACATTTCCCTATTTTTATGAATGTCTAATTCTAGATTGTGCCATTGTGTGTGATTATAGAGTTTCCAGCTTTTCTCATGTTCTGAAGAGTGTTGTTTCTCTCTTGCAACAGGGAATATTGTCTGGACAAGGTCGAGGCTTCTGCTGGTGGGGGCAGGCAGCAGATGGAGGTGCCTTAGTCCTTAGACCGCACCAGCTGTGCGAAGTCGGCCCTCCACCGTGGCTGGGGCAGCCAGGTGTGTGGCGGGCACGTGCAGAGCCTGGGCTTTGTCTGGGACGCTCTCCTTGGTGAGCAGCTGCGCTCATCCCAGCCCTATCCCCTCTTCCCAGGGCTGGGCACTGACGGGGGAACTGACAGGGCCCGCCCTCGGGTGAAAAGCACAAACCCGCACCCTCCCATGTTCTGCGGCCTTCCTCCAGGTTCTGCCTGCTCCCACTACTCTCCAGTGACTTCAGAGGGGTGTTTTGTTCTGTAAATACATTTTTTTCCCCAGAATCGTTCTTTGTTATTTGTGGAAGGGTTGGTCCTGTAGGAGCTGTTGCCATGACTGTGGCCCAGCGGGCCCAGGTCATGCCACCTGCCCCTAGTCGGGCTCTGCGTGAGCGCTGCTCGCTCCCAAGCATGGCTTTGTCCCCCAGGAGCACCCCCTTCCTTCCAGCAGGTGGCTTTGCTGGAGGTTGTCACAGGTCAGCGTTCCATCTTCCAGCTTGTTCAGAAGCCAATCTGCCCCTCTATTTCGCCTCCCCTCCCAGGCTGTGTCCACTCCTCTGTCAAGGGAGACGGGTGCTTGGCGTCCCCCTCTGTATTCAGCCTTCTCTCCTTTCTCAGGGCCCCCAAGGTATCTCCACTTGGGCGTGGGCACATGTGTGCACTTGGGCCACCTGAGCCCTCCTCCCTGTCACGTCACAGCCACGCTGCTGGAAGGCATGGGGCTTCGCTGTTTCTTTCAGCTGCACCACTCACCCCAGCCTCAGCACCTGCACCTCCCTGAAACTGCTGTCACGAGGGGGGTCACCAGGGGCTCCTCAGCTGACAAGCAGGGTAGGTGCTTTCAGAGCTCACTACCTTTTCTTGGCATTTGTGACTGCCCTGCCCCAAACTCCATCCTCCCTTGGCTGCTTCTGTTTTTTTTAAATTGTGAAATGTCATCCCTGTGCAGCTGGTGGGCTGCATTAAATCGGTTTCCTGAGAACACCCTTGCCTGGCTTTCCCCTTGCCTCTCTGTTTCCTTTGAAATTCCCTCTTCTTGTGTCCCTCAAAGGCTGGTGGTCCCGATAGCGCTCTTCTGTACCCTACTTTACGCTTTGCCTGAGCCGTCTTACCCAAGCCTGTTCTGCAGCCACTATCCCTCTCTTGGTGGCTTTCAGCTCTGAGTTCAGCTGAGACCCTTACAGACTCCAAGTCCTCGTCAGCCACTGATAACGTGAATATTTCCACCCATGCAGCCAGTGGGTATGCAGTCGCCCACCCAGCATGGAGCTGCCAGCTCCTGCCTGCCCTCAACATGGTTCCCACATTGGTGATTGATCCCAGCATTCGAGTGCTTAGAGCGAAACCTGTAAGTCCAAGGTAGCTCCTCTCCCACATGTGGCTTTGGCCCTGCAAGGCTATCATTGTTTCTTCCCCCTCATCTAGGCCTCCATCTTATCTGTCACTTTGTGGGTCCCTCTGTCTCTGGCCTTGCCCCTCTTCAGTCTGTCAAGCAGGGACCAGTCCAGTACACACTGCGTCACTGCACGCCCCTGCTTACGGCTTGTCCGTGGTGGCTCAAGAACGCTGCAGTCAGCCCACACTTGCCCAGCCCCGTGCCGTGCAGGGAGAGCCGGGATTCCTTTTGCTCAGGCGAGGACATGCGGCTTTGAGGGGTGAAATAACTGCCCAGGCTCGTGAGCTAGAAAGTATCACATTTCAAACCAAGACATCTGAATGCAGCAGACCTGCAGGATTTCTTTCCGTGTTCACTGTGGTGTCACCAGCCAGGGAGCTGCTGCCTCTGTGTGACCTTCTTCCTTCCCTGTATCAGCTCCTGACGCTCCCCTTCCGCTCCAATGACAACAGCACTGTCCTGCTCCTGGGCCCTGACTGTAGCATCCCTCTGCCCAGAATAGGCCCTGCCCTTGAAGCCTAGCACAGCATCACTTCTTTGAACCTTTTCATTTTTATATCACTTATGGCTGGCGCTGCGCTTAGAACGTACTAATGCCGAGCAGAATGTTTACCTTAATATGTAAATAAGTGACTTTCCTAAGGCCCCTAAATTCAAATGCCACATCACTAATCATTACAAATGGAAATTTGTCTGGGCATGGTGGCTCACGCCTGTAATCCCAGCACTTTGGGAGGCTGAGTTGGGTGGATCACCTGAGGTCAGGAGTTTGAGACCAGTCTGATCAACATGGTGAAACCCCGCTTCTACTTGAAATACAAAGATTAGCTGGGTGTGGTAGCCACGTGCCTGTAATATCAGGTGCTTGGGATGCTAAGGCAGGAGAGTTGCTTGAACCCGGGAGGCGAAGGTTGCAGTGAGCTGGGATCATGCCATTGCATTCCAGCCTGGGCAACAAGAGAAAAACTCTATCTCAAAAAAAAAAAAAAGGCTGGGCGCCATGTCTCACGCCTGTAATCCCAGCACTTTGGGAGGCCGAGGCGGGCGGATCACCTGAGGTCAGGAGTTTGAGACCAGCCTGGCTAATGTGGTGAAAGCCCATTTCTACTAAAAATACAAAAAATTAGCCGGGCATGGTGGCACGCACCTGTAATCCCACCTACTCGGGAGGCTAAGGCAGGAGAATCGCTTGAACCCAGGAGGCAGAGGTTGTTGTGAGGCAAGATCGTGCCATTACGCTCCAGCTTGGGCAACAAGAGCGAAACTCCATCTCAAAAAAAAGAAAAGGAAAAGGTGTTCACTTCCTGTTTTTGCTACTTTAAAAATATTATCAGACCATGCGCAGTGGCTCACGCTTGTAATCCCAGCACTTTGGGAGGCCAAGGCAGGCAGATCACTTGAGCTCAGGAGTTCCACACCAGCCTGGGCAACATGGTGAAAATCCGTCTCTACAAAAAAAGATGGCACATGCCTATAATCCCAGCTACTCACTCAGGAGGCTGAGGCAGGAGAACTGCTTGAACCTGGCAGGTGGAGGTTGCAATGAGCCGAGATCATGCCATTACACTCCAGTCTGGGCAACAGGAGTGAAAGCCTCTCTCAAAAAAAAAAAAAAAAAAAGAATCTATTATCAGCTTTATGTTTTCCCAATTACTCACTACTTTTGTTTCTCTTTGTGAAGAACTAACAAATGAAATTAATGCAATGTAGCTAGATAATAAAAAACCAAAGAAAAATAAATTATATCATGTTCTTAAGTATAACATTGCATGTCCTAAAAAGATGTAGGGAAGAAGGAGCAGCTTAATCAGTGTGATGGTGAATGTTCAAATTCTAATAACAGCTACAAGAGGTAATGCTTCTAGAAATTATCCCATTAACATAGACAAGCAAATGAAAGTGAGAAAGTCAGTTGATATTTTAGGAAAATTATTATTTAACTGCAAGTCTTAAGAACACAGTTTTCCAATTTTTAAATGAAAACTGGCTTTTGGTAATAACATTTTAAAGCAGGAAGTATCTACGGTGTGATCGTGGTACAGCTCTTAGTTCAAGTGTGAAGACATTTGGTTGTCTTGTATATGACCTAGAAGAAGGGGCGTCTGCTGGAAAACAATGCTGTTCTTTTTCTCTTTGTTTTTTGAGACAGGGTCTTACTCTGTTGCCCAGGCTGCAGTGCAGTGCCTCAATTTTTCAGTTCAGTGCAGCCTCGACCTCTGGGGCTTAAGCAATCCTCCTGCCTCAGCCTCCCCAGTAACTGAGACCACAGGCACACACCACCACACCCAGGTAATTTTCATATTTTTTGTAGAGACAGGGTTTTGCCATGTTGGCCAGGCTGGTCTTGAACTCCTGGGCTCAAGCCATCCACCCACCTCGGCCTCCCAAAGTGCTGGGATCACAAGCGTGAGCCCCCATGCCCAGCTTATCCTGGGTCATTTTTTAAACTCTCCCCTCTACCATAAATAATATTCCCTTTACTGTGATTTTTTAAGCATAATTTTGTAAATTGTTGAAGTGGTTTCTCATTGTTGGGAATGTAGATTAAACCACTTAATAAAGATACCTTGAAAGCAAATTAAAGAAAGACATTTGGCGGAAAACTACTGGTTTTCTTCTGTAGGTCTCTGTTGACCTAAAGAGAAAGGGATTGGGGTTTGCTCTCTTGGTGGCGTTGCTGAATTGGTCGGGGTCTGTCGCTGCGCCTCTGCACCTGTGTGATTTGCTGAGTGCTCCTCTCTCCTCCCTCGTGATCATGGATGGAGGGCCTAGGAGCCCAGGAACCATGGTGCCCTTCCCCCTGTGCTGTGCCCCTCACCCTCTCTTCCCTGCATCTATCCCTTTCTACTTCTCTTCAGAGTTTTAGAGATAGGAACATTAAAGTGTGCCCAATTGTTTTTATGAGGTTTTGTTCTAGAGAAAGGATGTAAGGAAGCTTGTAAAGACAGACCACAACAGGTTTAAGAGATGCCTGGGGTGTGTTGGTCAGCTACAGCTGTGTAACAGCCAACCAGCAGAGCTCAGGAGCACCCAAGATGAGCGCCTTCCTCACGGATGTGTGGGTTGGCTGGTGTCAGCTGGGCCATGCTCCGTGACTGTTCAGGCCGTAGTGGCTGGGGTGGCTCTGACTCAGGCGTCCCTCATCCTCCTTGAACTGGGGACCAAGGGCACATGGGAGCCATGAGGATTCGTAAGGCCGAGCTTGGGCCGGCACACGGTCGCTTCTGCCTCTTTCTGATGTCCGCAGTGAGTCTTATGGCCACAGCTCCAAATTCAAGGATAGGAAAGTCTACACTACCGTAAGCCAGCTGCAGCATGGGTTTCAGTGTGACGAGGGGTAAAGAACTGTGGCAGAGAATTCAGACTACTGCAAAGTACACAGACAAGTCAGAGAACAGAGGCTGATCTTTTTGATAAGCATCCTACTTAGGGAAACTCCAATTAACATTTTGTGGGAGGCTGAGGGGATATTGCATTTGTCAGATGAAAGCTGGGTGCCATGAAAAAAGAAAACATGAAGACCAAGAGAGAGTTGTTGGGATGTAAAAGTGACCACCAGAGCAAAACATTCAGTAGTGTTCGAGGATTGCCGAATGTGGAGATACAAGGTAGAAGGTGAGTGGCGCAAATGGGCAGCCAAGCTCAGCCTCTGAAATGCAGGGTGGCTGGAAGAGAAGATGAAAGGAAGGAGCATGTTCAGTACGCACGGGAAGAAAACGGCCTCGTGAGTCTTCACACGAAAGGGCAGACTGAGTGCTGAGAAAGGTGAGTTGAAAACACCCATGTCGAGACGCATTGTTGTTTTTTTTGATAAGGGATCAAGAAATGATCTTACACGTTTTCAAAGGAGAACAACAAAACAGATTTCACCTGTGAAGAAACCAGAATCAGGCTAACATTGGACTTGCCATTTGCAACAGTGGATGCCAGAGGACTGTGGCAAGCCAAGTTTTGAATGAAAGTTATTTTCATTCAGAATAACAAAATGTTTCAGATTTTGGAGCATTTTGGATTTTGGATTTTCAGATTAGGAATACAGCCTATATAAGGAAATGGAAGACGTTAATGATTGTGAAGATTATCTTCCTATGGAAGAATGGTATGCATTCCAAGCAGTAGATTACACATATATTAATGCAATTAGGTTTTTTTCTACCAGCAGAAAAAAGAAAGGCAGTTAACTCCAGAGCACTCATACCTGCTTGTACACACAGATTGTCCAGGGATGTCATGATTCAAGTCGCCAGTCATCAGGGAAATGCACATCAAAGCCACAGGAGAGTATCATTTCTATTCACCGAGGTAATGGAAGTCAGAAGGACAGAATAGCAAATGTTAGGATCAGAAGCAGCTGGAGCTTTCATCCGCAGCTGATGGGAGGATTAAATGGTACAACCATTAAGAAAACAATTTGGCATTTCTTATGAAGTGATAAATGTATCTTATATTCCTGCAGTTCTCGTCCTAGGGAATTTATCCCAAAGAAATGAAAGCGTACATCCACAACAGCACTTGGAGATGAAGGCTTATAGCAGCTTATGCATAATAGCCCCAAACTGGAAACAACCCAGATGTCCATGAGTAGGAGAATGGATAAACAAGCTGTGGTATATTTATACAATGGAAGAGAACTCAGTCATTTTCAAAGCTAATACATGTAACCACATCGGAATCTCAAAAATACAATGTTGAATGAAAGCAGGGCCCGTGTATGGTCCTGTTTATATGACGTTCAAGACTTTTTAGAGAATTGAAAAGCACTGCGTCTTGATTCAAGGATTAGTGATCACATGGGCATATAAATGTACCCAAACTCATTGAATTGTACACTTCAGATCTCTGCATTTTGCTCTATGTAAATTTCGCCTCAAATTAAAAAAAAAACACCTGACCCCCTTGCCGTTTCACACAGGCCCTTTGCAGTCTGGCAGGTGTCCAGGCTGCCTGCTTAGTTCCCCCTGGCCCAAAATATGTGTGGGTGGAGGGGTGAGGTCTGTTTCTTCCGCCATCTTTAAGAATATGTATGTGTCTTATAAGGCTCTGCCCCAAAAGAGCTTTGCCGGAGTGTCTTTTCCTAGTCTATTGGCAGAATTCTGTCTTCCTGTTGAGTCTTAGATGACGTTATATGTATTTTGAATGTGAAAATTCTCATGTGGTATTTGTGTTACTAAATTGTCTTCTCATATAGAATGTTGGTTTGCTGGCCGGGCACGGTGGCTCATACCTGTAATCCCAGCACTTCTTGAGGCCAAGGCAGGTGGATCACCTGAGGTCAGGAGTTCAAGACCAGCGTGGCCAACATGGTGAAACCCCCGTCTCTACTAAAAATACAAAAAAACTAGCCAGGCATGGTGGTGTGTGCCTGTAATCCCAGCGACTCGGGAGGCTGAGACAAGAGAATTGCTTGGGAGGTGGAGGTTGCAGTGAGCCAAGATCGCGTCACTGCACTCCAGCCTGGGTGGCAGAGCGAAACTCTATCTCAAAAAAAAAAGAAAGTCAGTTTGCTGACCTCAGCTATAAACCAAGGAAAGCAAAGCCACTTTTTCATCATCTCATTTGCTCAAAAGGTAGAGTTTGTTGTCAGCATTTCCACTGACACTCTGATTCAGGAGCTGGCAAACGTTTTCTGTAAAGGGCCAGGTAATTCATGTTTTTGTGTTTGTGGGTCATGTGTAGTCTCTGTCTCATAATTTTTTTTTTTTTTTGAGATGGAGTCTCCCTCTGTCGCCCAGGCTGGAGTGCGGTGGCGCAATCTCAGCTCACTGTAACCTCTGCCTTCCAGGTTCGAGTGATTCTCTCACCTCAGCCTCCTGAATAGCTGAGATTACAGGTGCGTGCTACCACTCCCAGCTAATTTTTGTATTTTTAGTAGAGACGAGGTTTTGCCATGTTGGCCAGGCTGGTCTCAAATTTCTGACCTCAAGTGATCCACCCACCTTGGTCTCCCAAAGTGCTGGGATTACAGGCGTGAGCCACCGCACCCTGCCAATTTTTTTTTTAAGTCTTTTTTTTTTTTTTTTTGAGACGGAGTTTTGCTCTTGTTGCCCAGGTTGGAGTGCAATGGCGCGATCTTGGCTCACTACAACCTCTGCCTCCCGGGTTTAAGTGATTCTTCTGCCTTAGCCTCCCAAATAGCTGGGACTACAGGCATGTGCCACCGTGCCTGGCCAAAATTGTTTAAAGTTTAAGAAAAATACTGTCGATGTTTGGAGTAAGGAGTACCTAAAAATATTTTTTAAATCAATTGGGAAGATGATAGGACCTAGAAAAATAGGTTGATTTCCAAACAGCATGCGTAATTAGATGGAATCTTCTTTAATTAAAAAATTAGTTTTCCCTCAACAATCATTATTTAATTTGCTTTATTTTAAAATTTGGCATCAAAAGAGACACTACAACCCTGTTCTGGAAAAATGTTTGTGATATGCTGTGGTTTTGCCCTGGTCTTCAGTTCTTGGCCAGATGGTCAGCATGTGTGTTTCTCAGGTCGGCGCGTCATCACATAGTCGTAGCGGCTGAGCCCACACGCCGTGGCTTGAGGGACTATCTGGTAATAAAATATCAAAGGAAACTTCAAAGGAACATCTGATCACATGGTGGCCTGTTAAAACCTATACCAAGTAATTCCTGAAGATTTGGAAGAATGGATTATGATCCTTCACAGTAAAAACAAAATACAGGAAGATAACACAGCAATCATAATTAACAGAAAGAAAGAAATTCAACCTCTCCAATGAAAAAAATAAGCACTGACAGACAATGCCTTTCTTCTGATGGTACACACTGAGGGAATAGATCTGCGTCTTTAAAAATGGTTCATTTTAGGCCAGGTGCAGTGGCTCACGCCTGTAATCGCAGCACTTTGGGAGGCTGAGGTGGGTGGATCATGAGGTCAAGAGATCGAGACCATCCTGGTCAACATGGTGAAACCCCGTTTCTACTAAAAATACAAAAATTAGCTGGGCGTGGTAGAGCACACCTGTAGTCCCAGCTGCTTCGGAGGCTGAGGCAGGAGAATTGCTTGAACCTGGGAGGCAGAGGTTGCAGTGAGCTGATATCACACCGCTGCACTCCAGCCTGGTGACACAGCAAGACTCTGTCTCAAAAAAAAAAAAAAAGTTTATTTTGAAAAACAAAATCACAAATTTATAGAAAAGTTGTCACTACAATATAAAGAACTTTCCTGAAACATTGGGAGTGAATTGTGGATCTGATCCCCCAACATCCCCAAATCGTGATCATGTGTTTTCTGCAAACAATAAGTACTGCCATCAAGATCAGGAAGTTGGCATTGAGATGTCACCACCCTCTAATTCTCAGGCTTACTCCCATTCCGGCCATTGTCCCAGTAATGCCTTTTATACCCAGAGGATCAAGTTCGGAATCCCAGGGTGCATTTGGCCTCCTTTGTATCCTTCAGTAGCTGCTCCTCCATCTTCCCTTGTCTTTCATGACCCGGATACTTTAGAAGATTATGAACCACTGATTCTGCCAACCATCCCACAATCTGGGTTTGTTTGATACTTCTCCTGACTAGATTCAGGCTGTACATCTTTGCCAGGAACATGCTACGCTGCTCTCACTGTGTCCTGTCGGGTGGTACAAGCTCTCAATTTGTTCCGTTACTGATGACAGTCACTATATTAATTTTCATGCTATCTGCCAGGATTCTCCTGTGTAAAAATTACTTTCTAACTAGATAAATAGTCTGTTTCTTATCAGACTTTCAGCTTAATCATTTATTTAAGTTTGTATGGGATTATTGTTTCCTGTTTTATTCAGTGAGTTATAATCCATTAATGTCGTTACTCTGATGTTGAAGCTGTACCAGATTTGGCTGGTGGGAGCCCCTGAAAACTGATGTTTTGTGTCTTTTTAATATGTCCTGTCATTCTATGAGCAATTCCTTGCTTTCTGACATAACAAGATGTTCAACACTCAGCTTTCTTTCCCCTAGCCCTGAAATCAACAATTTCCAACGGCCTAGGTTCATTTAGTGGGAAATGGGTTTTAGAAGCCAAAATCTGATGCTGTGTGTGCCCTGCTGATGGAGTGTGGCTGCTCTAGGCCTTCTCAGTGACAGTCTAGCTCCACAGGGCCGTTTCTGTGTTTTTCCTTTTCTTTCTTTCTTTTTTTTTTTTTTTTTTTTTCTGTGATAGAGTCTCACTCTGTCACCCAGGCTGCAGTGCAGTGGCACAGTCTTGGCTCACTGTAATCTCCGCCTCCCAGGTTCAAGTGATTCTCATGCCTCAGCCTCCTGAGGAGCTGGGACTACAGGCATGGGCCATCACACCTAGTTAATTTTTGTATTTTTAGTAGAGATTGGGTTTCCCCATTTTGGCCAGGCTGGTCTTGAACTCCTGGTCTCAAGTGATCTGCCTGCCTCAGCCTCCCAAAGTGCTGGGATTATAGGCATGAGCTGCAGCTCCTGGCTTTTTTGGTTTTTGTTTTTGAGATAGTATCTCACTCTGTCACCCAGGCTAGAGTGCAGTGGTGTGATCCCTGCTCATTGCATCCTTGAACTCCTGGGCTCAAGGGATCCCCCAGCCTTGGCCTCCCGAGTAGCTGGGGCTACAGGTGTGTACCACCACACCCAGCTAATTTTTTAAATTTTTAGTAGAAATGGGGTCTCGCCATGTTGCCCAGGCTAGTCTCTAACTTCTCAGCTCAGGCAGTTCTTCTGCCTTGGCCTCCCAAAGTGCTGGGATTACAGGTGTGAGCCCCCATGCCTGGCCACTGTCAGCATCTTTTAAATTTACTGATCCCAACTCAGCTGACTTACCTGGTAGCAAATAAAAGGCTCACTTGACAATTCCTGCATTGATAAAAAGCTGCCCACTTAAAAAAAATAGGTTTCTTGGAAGCAGCAGTGTTTTCTCATTGAATCTTTTGTAGAGCCATCAGTGACCCCAGTCTGCCTGGAGCCCACTTACCAGTGCCGGTGGAAGGTGGAAACCCGACCACCATCCAGGCCTCTGCCCTTCCGGTCACAGTTGTCTTAGGAATTCTATCCGCAGGCATCGAAAGCTGCTTGGGACCGCGTTAATGATTTTTGTTTTCAACCATCAAACCTATTTTGAACAACTCAAAAGCGGAATAGACTGCTTTTATATTACCCAGATATTTCACATTTCTCTTGCTTTTCTTTCCTTCCTGATGGTCCAAGTTTGCTTCCCGTTCATTTTCCTTCTGTTCAAAGAACTTTAGCAGTTCTTTCAGAGCAGGCCCGCTGACAAACAGTCCTCTCAGTTTTCCTTCATCTGAGGGTGTCTTATTTCACCTTGACTGGATGTAGAGTTACAGTTGGTAGTTATTTGCCTTTAGTACTTTAAAATATGATTCTACTTTCTTCTGGCCTTCATGGTTTCTGATGCGAAAGTCCCAGTCATTTGAATGGTTTTCTCCTATGAGGTAATGTATTGTTTTTGATTGCTTTCAAGATTTTTTTGTCTTTAGTTTTTAGCATTGTGCTTATGACGTGTGTGGGTGTTGATTTCTTTGGGCTTATCTTGTTTGGATAAGCTCATTGAGCTTCTTATGCATAGGCTTATGTCTCTCACACAATTTGGGACTTTTTCAGCCATTGTCCCACCGCTAAAGTTTTAATTTTTTTTTCTGTAAATTTTCATTTGGTTCTTTACACCTGGATTTGTGCAGGCTTTCTGTCTGTCTGTGCATCTCAGGAGTGTTTGCCCCTCCCTGTTGGGGCATTGTGCCAGTAGCTGCTTCTGTGTCTTTGGTAGTTCTAGCATCTGTGCCATCTCAGTGTTGGGATCTGTTGATTTTCTTGAATAGTATGATACGAGACTCTGACTCATCTTTAATCCTACAGAGAATGTTGATGCTTTTGGTTTGGTGCAGTTGACCTGGTTGGGTTCTGACAGCAAGTACTGTGCAGCCTTCTGTGGGGTGTGGCTGTGGTGCCAGCTCCATTTTCCGAGCTGTGGCGGTGCTGTTTGGCCTCGTCCTTTGGGGGCATTGCTTGCCGTCCAGCCTCAGACTCTGCTGGAGGTGTGTTCGGCAGTTCAGATTCTTCCATGTGCAGCCCCCGGGTGAACGCACCCACAACGCCACGGGGTTGCTTCCCTGAAATCTTCCCTCTCTGCTATCCTTCTGTACTTCCAGTTCCCAGGGGCTCCCCTTTTTGGTCCTCCAGCCAGAAAGCTGGGGCTTTAGCCCTCTCTGCTGTGCACTTCAGTGACCATCCCCATCTTCATGGGAAGACAGAGAGAAGAAAAGGCAGTGAGGAGGTGTCACCCCACCTGGAATCGCAGCCCCCACATCAGAGAGGAGCGTCTCCCTTCCAGGGGCTTTCGTTGCTGCTCCGTCTTACCTGGAACCAGAGTCCCCCAACACTACGTTTTCATAGATCATCTTTAGTTCAGTTTCCCTGAAACACAGGTTGGCCCCAAAAAAGTAAGAGGAAAGCTGTAACAACTTTATAAGAGTGCCTTTTTAATGCGCTAGAATATGTGGCTATTTATTGATGAATTATTTTTAATCTCAGAGTTGTCGATTGTACCTTTAAGAAAAACATATTTTCCTACAATAAAGCCCCTAATTTTATTTGCTAAAATCAGAGTTCTAGTTCAGATTTTGTTTTGTGTTCTTACTCTGGAGGCACAAATGGAGTAACACCAGTATGTTTATGTTGGAGAGGAGTTTTGTGTTGCCTTTCAAACTTGAATCCAATAGAACTACAGACTTAAACAATAAATATGAATGGGAGATAAGGAAAATCAAAGACAAAAAAAAAGAAATGGACTTAATAAAAGATTTTTGTACATAAATACTTCTTCTGACCCCAAGACAAAACCGGGAAAGATGAAGCATATTAAGATAATGTAGGTGACTCTATTAGTAATCAGCTTGAGTATTTATATGAAGGTGTATGGGAGGCCGGGCATGGTGGCTCACGCCTGTAATCCCAGCACTTTGGGAGGCCGAGGCGGGCGGATCACGAGGTCGGGAGATCGAGACCATCCTGGCTAACACGGTGAAACCCAGTGTCTACTAAAAATACAAAAAATTAGCTGGGCGTGGTGGCGGGCGCCTGTAGTCCCAGCTACTTGGGAGGCTGAGGCGTGAACCCGGGAGGCGGAGCTTGCAGTGAGCCGAGATGGCGCCGCTGCACTCCAGCCTGGGTGACAGAGCGAAACTCTATCTCCAAAAAAAAAAAAAAAACTTTATGGGAACAGTCGCATATGTATAATAGCAGATAGAAGACTGATGTTAGAGAGTATTTCTATGCTTTCATCTGAAAATGAAGGGCAGGGCTGGGCGTGAAGGTGCAGGCCTGTAAGCCCAGTACTTTGGGAGGCCAAGGCAGGCAGATCACTTGAGTCCAGGAGTTCCAGAGCAAGCAGCCTGGGTGACATGGCGAAACCCCGTGTCTACAAAAAAAAAATACAAAAATCGGCTGGGCATGGTGATGCATGCCTGTAGAGCCAGCTACTCAGGAGGCTGAGGTGGGTGGATCACTTGGACCCAGGAGGTCGAGGCTGCAGTGAGCCAAGATCACACCACTGCACTTCAGCCTGGGCGACAGAGTGAGACCCTGTCAAAAAGAAAATGAAGGGTATTTTGTTGTGAGGAATCAGTTTATGCATAGTCTGGGATGTGGCCAGTGACCTCTGGATACTTCCCTGTTTGGTGCCTTCCTGAAACATGTTACAAATTCTGTTTTATAAAATGCCTGATCTCTCTGTCTAAAACTTTAGAATCAGCTGGGCACGGTGGCTCATGCCTGTAATCCCAGCACTTTGGGAGGCCAAGGTGGGTGGATCACTTGAGGTTAGGAGTTCGAGACCAGCCTGACCAATATGTCGAAACCCTGTCTCTACTAAAAATGCAAAAATTAGCCAGGCGTGGTGGTGTGCGCCTGTAATCCCAGCTACTCAGGAGGCTGAGGCACAAGAATCGCTTGAACTCAGGAGATGGAGGTTGCAGTGAGCTGAGATTGCACCACTGCACTCCAGACTGGGCGACAGAGCAAAACTCTTATCTTAAAAAAAAAAAAAATTGTAAACATAAAAGCATACTGTCGCATGCATTTCAGTCAGTGAATTCAAAGTGCATGTTAGGCCGGGCACAGCGGCTTTCACCTGTAGTCTTGGCTGCGTAGAAAGCTGAGGCAGGAGGATTGCTGGAGCCCTGGAGTTCGAGCGCAGCCTGGGTAACATAGGCAGGCCCCATCTCTAAAATAAATAAACTTTTAAAAATGCTTGTTAGCAGCATAAAATTGTGTGGGAAAATGTTTGGTTCGTTTTAATTAAAGGATGTAGAGAGCTGCTGGTAGACAGCAAAATACTTAACAACTATTGTGCTGATTGTCCTGTGGTTTGATTTACCAACCTAGTCATTGTAGAATTAGATATATAAGATACAGAATTGATGTGGTTACCTGTATTTTGACTTTGTAACATTTTAATCATCCTCTAAGATCTTGTTTGTTTAAAATGTATGTGGTTTTTTAATGTAACTTGTAAGATGTGTTTATTTTCTATGGATATCTCATAGTTATACCTACATCTTTTGGGTTGGAGGTGTATGTGATATTTTGATATATGTATATAATGTGTAATGATCAAATCAGAGTGAGGTGTCTATCTCAAGATTTAATCTTTTTATTTTTTAATTTATAGGAATATCATAGGTTTTTGATTCAGCTTTGCTTTACTTTGGAAATCGCACTTGGTCATTAAGGCAGAATGCCAAGGGGGAGACTGCTTAGCAAAGTGAGGAGTAAGAACTTGTGGCCAGGCACAGTGGCTCACGCCTGTAATCCCAGCACTTTGGGAGGCCGAGGCGGGTGAATCACAAGGTCAGGAGATTGAGGCCAGCCTGGTCAACATAGTGCAACCCCCATCTCTACTAAAAATACAAAAATTAGCTGGGCATGGTGGTGCGTGCCTGTAGTCCCAGCTGCTCAGGAGGCTGAGGCAGGAGAATCACTTGAACCTCGGAGGCAGAGGTTGCAGTGAACTGAGATCATGCCACTCCAGCCTGGCGACAGAGCAAGACTCCCTCTAAAAAAAGAAAAAAAAAAAAAGAACTTGTATGAGGGTCGTCCTCCCAGGCCTTTTGGAATCCTATAAAGAAGATTCCATAATCCATACGCAGGGCACTTCAGAAAGGAAACTTGGTAATGTTCGTGGCTTGTCTTAGCTTGTGTAAATAGCAATATAGTGGTAAATTTAGCTCCTAGGATTCTGAGTCCCTTATAATCCAGAAATACATCTTAACTAAATAATACGGTCTGCTCATTAGTAACAAAGGTGAGGCAGGACACTTCACCTCTGGAGCCATAGGCTCCATGGAGATAAATCAGTTGCATTTCAGGGACTCCACTGTAGGGCCCTCTGCTGTTCCTCTGTAGCGGGAGGAAGACCGGGGCAGTGCCGACGGTGGGCCCGGGCCTCCTGTGAATGCCCCAAGCAGGAGGAAGACCGGGGGCAGTGCTGACCGTGGGCCCAGGCCTCGTGTGAATGCCCCAGCAGGGCCCTTTATTTCTTGGGGATTTTATATCTTTATACTTATTAGGACCATTTCCTGTTTTTATTCATATTTGATTACAAACTATTGGCCCTTTTAAGCTACTATCCCCATTAAACAAATGAGGAAGCAGACACAAAACTGACCTTAGTTACTCAATGAATATTCGAACTCAGGTCTTGGGAGGCATCATTCCGTCTCCTTCCCGTGTGTCATTAACTGTGAGTTGCTACTGGCTGGAAGACTTTCTCTGTATCTAAAAAAGTAAACACATTGCCCACAAAACTAACATGCTGCTTTTTATTGGTCATAGTTTTATTGAAAGAGCCCTTTAAGACTTGGCTGCAGAGTTTCATAATATCATTCTTGTACATGCATAGAAAGGAAAATATCCAAATAAATGAGGTGAGGTGCTCCTGCAGTTGACACACAGAGTCCAGCCCCCGTGCACGCCGTCCAGCCGGCTGGGTCGGGGCGTGCATTCCTCCTGTGCAGTGGGCTCTGTGTGCCACGCAGTGCTGCGGTACCACAGCATTGGAGCGCGTGCCCGGTTGCTGTTTTGGAGTTTCTCCTAAGCTACTGTACCCGCTTTGTGGGTGGGTTGCTGGGTTTTTCCTCATTTTCTCCATAGGTGGCAGGCTGTCACAACCATGTTATTCCTGCCACATGGCCAGCAGCAGGTGTGAGATGGTCCTGGCATCTGATTGTAGAGGCACTGAAGTGTAAAAGGAAAAAATCAGAAGCT
This sequence comes from Homo sapiens, assembly GCF_000001405.40. NCBI lineage: Eukaryota > Metazoa > Chordata > Mammalia > Primates > Hominidae > Homo > Homo sapiens. Next base: position 87,437,949 of record NC_000016.10, on the reverse strand, counting down.
GTACACCTTGGCATCGAAACACCGTGGTGTGGTGCAGTTGGACCAAAGGGAGGCCTGACTTTGGACATCACCATTCTTATTCCAGCTTCCCTCCCTTTTTCAGTTGCTACGTTAGAGTACTGGTTTCTAAATGTAGGTGTTGATTCAATTATAAAATGATAGTCGATGTGAATATACATTTTATCGAAGGCTGTGTGATCTAACTTGTAAGACTTGAGGAAAATGCCTGTTGTGTACCTGGAATGAGAAAAGAAGAAAGGTTTGAACAGACAAACATTTCAAAGGGAAAAGTATATCATCCTTCGTGTTCTTACTTCAGGAGGGCGCAGGCCTGGCCCAGCCTCGGGTCCCTTTGCCCCAGCCGTGTTTGTCCCCACACAGGCCTGCCTGGGTGCGGTGCTGACCAGCCTCAGTGCTCCAGCAGAGCCTCCTCATGGCCTTGGCTGCCACGCGCTGTGGCCGAATCGCCATTTTTACGCACGTGAATGCTTTCCTCACGGAGGCTTTCTGGCCAGCGCGGATCCTGTCTTTGTGGTCCCTCTGGCTCTGCTCTCTCAGGTGATGGGGTGATGTTTGCCCCTGAATTTTTTTTTTTTTTTTTTTTTTTTTTTTGAGATGGAATTTCACTCTTGTTGCCCAGGCTGGAGTGCAATGGCGCAAATCTCAGCTCACTGCCACCTCTGCCTCCTGGGGTCAAGTGATTCTCCTGCCTCAGCCTCCCAAGTAACTGTGATTACAGGCATGAGCCACCACGCCCGGCTAATTTTGTATTTTTACTAGAGACGGAGTTTCTCCATGTTGGTCAGGCTGGTCTCTAACTCCTGACCTCAGGTGATCCACCTGCCTCAGCCTCCCAAAGTGCTGGGATTACAGGTGTGAGCTCCCGGCCGCCCCTGAATTTATCTAGGCATTTGCTTACGCTCCACAGAAGGCAGTGGGGCTGACCAGGGAGGGAGGGGAAGGCGGCCACACTGGGGGCAGACTGGAAGTGGGTTGTAATGAGTGTCTGCGTGCAGATAGGTATTCGCTTTGAGATGGCAAAACCACATTACAGAAATGTGGGGAAAAGCTACTCTTCACTTCGCCACCGTACACAGCTGTTCCCATCACTTTCGATCGTTTAGTTTTAGTGTTTTCATTTCCATTTTAAACAAAACTGTCATCATGTTATGCATAGAATTTGTAATTTTCCAGTTAATATCCGAGGCTTTTTTCTTTTTTTCTTTTAAGTTCTGGGGTACGTGTGCAGGATGTGCAGGTTGTTACATAGGTAAATGTGTGCCATGATGTGTTGCTGCACCCATCAGCCCATCACTTAGGCGTAAGCCCGGCATGTGTGAGCTATTTATCCTGCTGCTCTATCAGCCTTTTTTCTTGTTGTGGTTTTTCGAATCACAGCGTCTAATGGCTGCAGAGTTGAGAGCGTGCTGAAATCTTTCCTGACCTTGACTCAGGCTGGTCACCCAGCCCCCGCACTAGCCCGGCCCCTCACTCCTTGTGCCTGGTCTTCCCTCTCTCCCAGGCTCCTCTTCTCAGCCTTCAGAGCCCGCGGAGCACATGGGGTCCAGGGCAGGAGTAGAGGGAGCCTCGCTGCGTCGCTCCTGGGCCCGGAGGTGCCCTGGCGGGGGGCCGCCACTGCCCAGGCTAGCCATTCTGCAGAGGGATGCGCCAACATTTGGAGCCTAGAATTGGAAATGCCTCTTTTATTTGAAAACAGCTGAATAACATTCATCTGCTTTTTCCCATTTTCCTGTCCAGATATGAAATATGACTGAGTCACTTCCTACTCTCAGTCCAGATGGGTTTTTTTTCCTTTTACTTTTTTCATAAACCCTAATATTATTCAGTCCTGGGACATGAGGTACACATGGTGTTTGTGGCCAGGGAGAATGCTGACTACATGTTTCTGTATTCATTGACACTATATGTTGTTTAAAAAAGTAAAATACATGGATTAGAGTGATGTCATTGTGGGAAGTTTTAGAAGTACTGCTTTAGAAAAACATAAAAGCTATGTATTTGCTGACAGTCTGACTGAGGAAGTCAGGCAGGAACAGCGTGTAGTTCCACTAAGTGAACATCAGCAGGGCTGTGTAGCCTCTAAATGTGCTGTGCTCTTTGTTTTGCCAGAAAGGAAATAAACATTTGTATTTTTTATAGTAATTCCTTCCTGTGAGGTGCTATTTTAAGCTTAAAGAACTCTAAAGCGAGTGGACTCCCGCATCCGTGAGATGCACGAGGTTCCCTGGAGGAGCAGGTGGTGCCGCTGGGAGCGCAGCGCCCGCTGCCTCGTGCTCCACGACCCTCACAGCACCTGCAGGGTGACCTGGGACGTGGCCGGGTGTTTGCAGCACACGCTGGGGAGCGAGCGAGGATGGTTGGTTCAGCGCAGGGTTGGCTGGCTCATTCTGCAGATACAGGGAGTCAGTGTCGTTGGCTCCAGGAGCAGGGTGGTGTCTGGCACAGCTCCTCAGCCATGGTATCACGGGGTGGCCACAGAGGACATGCAGATGAGGGGCATGTGGAGGCCCACAGAGCTGCTCACGGACGGGCGGGTGTTGGTTTAGACAGCGCTGTCTGGGAGCACACCGCCCAGCGTGGCAGCCACTAGCCTCCCATGGCTGCAGAACCCTCAGCGTGGTTCTTCAGGACAACTGGGGGTTGAACGTTTAATTTTATTCCTTCTTAATTAACTTAACTTGCCACGGGTGATTTGGGCAGTGCAGGCTTAGAACCATCCCCAGAGCGTGTGCACAGAGCAGGTCCTTGCTCTAGGAGAGGTTCGTGTATGTTAGGAGAAGAAGTTGCCAAAAAATGTGGGGAATCGTTTAAAAAATTATAATGTACTGTAGGACTTGTCAGAGTCCTTAATATCCTAATGTACATTGACAGTTTACAAGGAGTTTCTGAGATTTTTTTTTCCCAAAAAACGTCTTTTTTTTTTTTTTTTTTTTTTTTTGAGGCGAAGTCTCACTTTGTTGCCCAGGCTGGAGTGCAATGGCGCGATATCGGCTCACTGCAACCTCCGCCTCCCAGGTTCAAGCAATTCTCCTGCCTCAGCCTCCCGAGTAGCTGGGATTACAGGTGTCCGCCACTACACCCAGCTAATTTTTTGTCTTTTCAGTAGAGACAGGGATTCACCATGTTGGCCAGGCTGCTCTCGAACTCCTGACCTTGTGATTTGCCTGCCTCGGCCCCCCAAAGTGCTGGGATACCAGGCGTGAGCCACTGCTCCCAACCACCCCAAAAAACTTTTTGGCCATACGGTTTTTTGAGGTGGCCGTGACCTTGTGTGAGCACTGGCGCCCGTGGAGAGGGCTCTGGAGAACGGTGGTGCAGGAGACCAGGCGGTCTTTGGGTGCCTGCAGGAAGTGTCACATTCACAGTTCTGAGAAGTTGTGTTGAGTATTTCACGTTGGACAAAGTTAGATTCTACAAATTAGCAGACATCCCCGTCGCACGCGGCCAGGTGGCCTCCAGACCCAGCGAAGGCTGGTGGAGGAAGGAGGGAGAATGCTCCCGTAGCCTCTTTCCCAGTTATGTGTAAAGCTCGGCGTGGGGCTCCTGGCGCCTGGGAAGTGTGGAAGCTGGCAGAGCCGGGTGTGTTGGGCAGTGAGAAACTTCAGCGCTGGATCAGCGGGGCAGGCCTGCCTTGATGAGGCTGAGTCAGAAACTACAGCATGTTCGATACGCGGCTGTTTTATTTTGAGCAGATATTTGGGCTCATTTAAAAATAGTGCTTAAAACCTAATTGTATCATCTTATTTTTGATGAGAAAAACACGCACCAGTGTACGTGGAAAACGGGATGAGTAGGCTGATGCCTTCCGGGCTCCCTGGTGAGGCCGCTCATCCCTCTGGCTGTCCATCCCGTGCAGCTTCATTCACTGCAGCCCGGCTCTGCTCCCAGACGGTGCTATCTTCCTGACTCCCCCAGGACTGTTGTTCTGGTCTCCTCATCCTTGCCCTCGCAGAGAAGGATGAGAATGAATTCTCCTGAAAAGAAAGGCCAGGCACGGTGGCTTTCGCCTGTAAATCCAGCACGTTGGGAGGCTGAGGCGGGCGGATCACCTGAGGTCAGGAGTTTGAGACCAACTTGGCCAACATGGCAAAACCCCATCTCTTCTAAAAGTACAAAAATCAGCCAGGCACGGTGGTGCATGCGCCTGTAATCCCAGCTACTGGGGAGGCCGAGGCACGAGAATCGCTTGAACCCAGGAGGCAGAGGTTGCAGTGAGCCGCCGAGACAGAGTGAGACTCCGTCTCAAAAAAAAAAGAAAAAAGAAGAAAATACATAGAAGAGACCCCCCAGGTGACTGTGTTCTTGGGGAAATATTGTCTTAAACAGTCACAGTTGAAAATGCTGAGCATTACCTTTTCAGAAGTTGGGACAGATTCGTAACGGTTTTGAGGGTGAACCCGGGAGGCTGCACAGATTCTCAGTTGTAGCTACTGCTGGGCTCTCACTGGGTCCATAAACGTGTGTCTGTACTCCAGTGCCGTTCCTGCCCTTCCATTGCCAGGTGTGGCTTTGCTTTCCCTCCTTTCTGTTGTGAATCTGCCCTGCATTGGTGCTGCCGCCCGCCTTCCTCTCTGGGCTCTGGTTCTAGGTGAGATGCCACCAAAGTGACAGGACAGCCTTGGGTGCTGAGAACCTGGTTTTGAAAACTGCTGAATATCAAATGCTAAATAATCATGTATATACTTCAAGCTCTTATTTCATTTTTGTTTTTTGTTTTACTTTTACAGTGAGTGTTGAAAAGATAGACCTGAAGGGATTATCACACACAAAAAATGACAGAAATGTTGAATGTTCCTTTGAGGTAAGATGCTAAGTTTTTTTCCCCTCTCTCCTGGAAGGCTAGGAAGAAAACACTTACCCTGGAGATGCTTTTCCTTCCTAGCTAAGGCTGTGCCTTGTGCAAAGCCCCGTGCCAGTGCTGTATAGGAAGCTGGCCCTGAGCTCGGGGTGGGCTGTCTCCAGGGTGGGGGTTGTTGGCTGGGGGGCCTCTGCAGGCGGGAAGGGTGGGGGCTCGGGCAGGGCCTGGGGTTGTCAGTTCAGGTGTGAATGGTGCATACCTCAGGGGGCTAAATAGCAGAACTGGATGAGGCAGCCTGCGGAGCAGCGCACACAGAACCCGGGGCCGTGGTGCCTCTGGAGACTGATGATGAAAGCTCCTTGGTCTGGGCAGGGAACGCTCCTTAAACTGACACGTTCAGATGCTGGGAGCTGGTCACTGAAGTTGGGTACCACAAAGAATCAGGAGAGAGGAGCAGTATTGTGTTTCCCGGTGACCCACGGTGACCAGGGTCGAGATGGCCAGAAGCCCATTTCCCTCTCACAGCAGGGCGTGCAGGAGGCCACCCCGTTCCCTGGACGCTGTACCCCATCAGAACCTGAGGGTGCCCTTAGGGGTACAGGCCCCCTCTGGCTACTCTGTGCCATCCCTAGGATGTGGCCCTCTGCTCCCGGCCCAAGGTGCTAGCCAGGGCACCAGTCCTCACGCGTTCATCCTGGGCAGCAGGAGGAAGAAAGGCAGGCTTGAAATCTTTCTCTTAAGGAACATTCCTGAAAGCAGCCTCTAGACACTTCACTTATATTTTGTTGGCCAGATTTAATTTCTTGGTCCCACCTAGATGCCTAAAAGGCTGGGAAATGTGTCCCGGCTGATGGTGCCGAGCTCCCAGTCAGGGCTCTGTCAGGAACCCTGACAGGGGGACATTCTCCTTGGACCACATGTGCATCGAGTGCTGACTGCTCTTGAAGGTCGGTTCCCAGCGTCATTGGAGAGTGCTCTCCAGACAGAACTCCTGTGAGCATCTGGCATGACTCATCTGTGCAGCTTACTAATTTTTTGAAGAGTGTAGCTACACAAAAATACTTCAAATCCTTTTTCCACTAAAGGGACAAGTCTCCACTTGGTTTGGGAGACTGTGTTGTGACAAGCAGTTGTTACGCTGTGCGTTTTTCATTTGAAAATGTAAGGAAAATCCTCAGCTGCTGAGGTTTGGAGGTTGCTGGTGCCTGTGATGGTAGTGCCGGAGTCTCGGCGCCCACGGAGTTTCTGGGTCTCATGTCGTGCAGCCCAGGCGGAGCCCAGGGAAAGACCACAGGGGCCCTCTGAGTGCCCTGGAACCCAGCAGCGGTCCCAGTGATCCTAGGTATTTGCTGACATTTTGCAGTGGTCGCGTGTGACACCTTCCTTCATTCCTTGCATTGCGGTGTCAGGCCTCTTCAGATACTGGTGGGGACTGTGCACTTAAGAAGGTGCTGTGCACGGAGCTGTCTTCGCATATGGTCATAGCACAGTGGGCTTTGATTTGCTCCCAATCCTTAGTCCAGTTAGTCCAGTTATTTGTGGTGAGGAAATCAGGAGTCAGGTCCACACAGTGTAAGGTGTGAGAACTTCATACAACCTGACCGGCCATAGCTTTGCTTTACTTTTCTCTTTTCTTTTCTTTTTTTTTTTTTTTTTTTCAGACAGAGCCTTGCTCTGTCGCCCAGGCTGGAGTGCAGTGACGCGATCTCGGCTCACTGTAAGCTCCGCCTCCCGGGTTCACACCATTTTCCTGCCTCAGCCTCCTGAGTAGCTGGGACTACAGGTGCCCGCCACCATGCCCAGCTAATTTTTTGTATTTTTAGTAGAGACGGGGTTTCACCATGTTAGCCAGGATGGTCTCAATGTCCTGACCTCCTGATCCACCCGCCTCGGCCTCCCAAAGTGCTGGGATTACAGGCGTGAGCCACTGTACCTGGCCTTTTCTTTTCTTTTCCTTTCCTTTCTCATTTCTTTTCTTTTTTCTTTCTTTTTTTTGACACTGTCTTGCTCTGTCACCAGGCTGGAGTGCAGTAGCATGATCTTGGTTCACTACAGCCTCGATCTCCTGGGCTTAAGCAGTCCCCTCACCTTAGCCTCCTAGTAGCTGGGACCACAGGCACATGCCACCATACCCAGCTAATTTTTTGTACTTTTGTGGAGATAGGGTTTCACCGTGTTGTTCAGGCTGGTCTCAAACTCCCCTGCTCAAGCGATCTGCCCGCCTCAGCCTCCCAAAGTGCTGGGATTACAGGCATGAGTGCACCTGGCCAGATTTTTCTATTTTAGAAATCAAGTTGATTCTGAAAGTTAGCGGGGCACAGTGGCTCACACCTGTAATCCCAGCACTTTGGGAGGCCAAGGTGGGTGGATCACTTGGGGTCAGGAGTTCAAGACCAGCCTAGCCAACATGGTGAAACCCTGACTCTACTAAAAATACAAAAATTAGCCGGGCGCGGTGGCGGGCACCCGTAGTCCCAGCTACTCGGGAGGCTGAGGCCGGGGAATCGCTTGAACCTGGGAGGCAGAGGTTGCAGTGAGCCGAGATTGTACCACTGCACTCCAGCCTGGGCAACAGAGCGAGACTGCATCTCAAAAAAAAAAAAAAAGAAAGAAATCAAGTTAAAGTGATATGGAAAGAACTTGAGTAATTAATTTTGAAAAGAAGAAACGAATTGGAAGACTTGCACAACCTGATTTCAAGCCTTCTCGAACAGCAGGATCACAACGCTGTGAGGTAGCAAAAGGGAAGGCAGCACAGATGAGTGGGACAGAAGAGGCTCCAGACAGACTCACACGCACAGGCCGGGTATGAAGGAGTGCCACAAAGAAAGGATGCGCTTTTCAGCAGACACCCTGGAACAGACGTCCGTATGCAGGAGAAGCAAGCCTTGACTCCCGCCGCTGCCCTTACACCAAATTAACTCAGAAGTGATCGGAGACCTAAATGTAAACCCAAAACAAAAACTACTGGGAGGAAACACACTTTGTGATTTTAAACTAGGTGAAGATTTCTGAGATACGGTGCTGAAAACATCCATAAAAGACAACATCGATGAATTAGAATATATTAAGATTTGAAACTTTCTCTTTGAGAGATGCTATGAAGAGAATGAAAAGGCAAAGATTAGGAGAAAATATTTGCAAGTCATGTAGCTGATGAAGGATTTATATGTTCAAAATGTATAAAGAATTCTCAAAACTTTTTTTTAAGAGATGGGGTCTCCGGCTGGGCGCGGTGGCTCACGCCTGTAATGCCAGCACTTTGGGAGCCCAAGGCGGACGGATCACCTGAGGTCAGGAGTTTGAGACCAGCCTAGCCAAGATGGCAAAACCCTCTCTCTAGTAAAAATAGAAAAATTAGCCAGGCGTGGTAGCTGGTACCTGTAATCCTAGCTGCTTGGGAGGCTGAGGCAGGAGAATTGCTTGAAGCCAGGAGGCGGAGGTTGCAGTGAGCCAAGATCATGCCACTGCACTCCAGCTTGGGCAACAAAAGCAAAACTGCCTGGGAAAAAAAAAGAGATAGTGTCTCCTTCTGTCACCCAGACTGGTCTTGAACTCTTGCCTCAAGGGATCCTCCTGTCCTGGCCGCCTAGGTTGCTGGCATGAGCCGCCATGCCCAACAAGTTGCTGCTTCTTACTAAGTTTTGAGAGTTCTGCCAGGTGTAGTGGCACATGCCTGCAGTTCCAGCTACTCGGGAGGCTGAGGCAGGAATATCCCTTGAGGCCAGGAGTTCAAGACTAGCCTGGGCAACAGTGAGACCCTGTCTCCACAAAGAAAAAAAAAGATGATTTGCCAAGGAAGATACATGGGTGGCACATAAACACATGTGAAAAGATAGTCACCATCCTCATCATTAGGAAAATGCTAAGTCAACCACAGTGAAAGGGCACTGCACACCTCTTGAAATACTGGAATGAAAAACGCCGGCCCCACCCACCTCAGGCTGCGGTGTGGGGGAGCTAGAATCACATTCACTGATGGTGGGAATGTGAAATGGTGCAGCTATTTCGGAAAACAGTCTGGCAGTTTCTTAAAAAGTATGACCCGTAAGTTCCAGCCTAGGTATTTACCCTGGGGGAATTAAGCACATGTTCATAAAAGATTCATGCATGAGTGTTTATAGCAGCTTTGTTTGTAACGTTCCAAGACTGTCAACAACGAAGACACCCGTTCACAGGCGCGTGGACAGGCCAACCCTGGTGTTATGTCCACGCAGTGGAATACCACCCCCGGCAGTAATGCTGAGGGGTCTCAGAATGGACAACTGAGATACTCAGCCATATGCACGAATCTCGTGTTGTGTGAAAGAAACTAGACGACTCCTTCCAAAAAGTTTATACTCAGTGAGTCCGTTTATGAGTCTAGTTATATAAAATTCTAGAAAATGCAGACTCATCTGTAGCAACAGAAAGCAGTCAGTGGTTTCCTGGGGAGGGGCTGGAGGACACCTCAGGGGTGATGCTCCCTGCCATGGTGGGGCATGGCTCACAGGTGCCCTCAGATCAGAACAGCAGATGGACCCCTTTAAATACGTGCAGTTCATCGTCAGTTATAATTCATTACAACTCCTTTTGTTAAAAAAAAATACTTGAAGATTCAAATTTTCCTTTTGTCCATAGAACCTTGACTAATGAAAATCAAATTGTCCTTTAAGTAAGTTGTCCTTTGTAAGTGGAAATAAATAGCAATTATACTGTGACCAGAGCAATAAGCCAGCATTCGTAGGAATGCCTGCTGTGCTTTGCTGAGGTGGAACAGTCTGTTGCCGACAGTATGGCAAGATTCAAAGAAACGTTTTTTTCTAAAAACTTTCACTTATTCAGGGAGAAATAAGTAACTTCTCCCTGCCCCACTGATTTTCTCAGCCTGTTTCTCGTTTTAATTTTTATGTATCGTTGTTTTCCAGGATACAAAAGGTTACTGTTTTATAGGAAGATATAAGTAACTGGATTAAGATGACTTCAAGCTTTTTTTCTATGGAGTTGGTTTTGATTTTGCTGAAATTATAATCGCTAGTTCCTCGTTGCTGAGGAAATCAAACCAATATGCAGGAATCAAATGATGGAACCTTTTTGATATAAAGTCAGCATGTAGGCAGCTGAGGCAGGAGCATCACCTGGAGGCCAGGAGACTGTGACTAGCCTGGGCAACACAGTGAGACCTGTCTCTTAAAAAAAAAAAAAAAAAAAATCATAGAGGCCAGGTGCAGTGGCTCATGCCTGTAAATCCCAGCACTGTGGGAGGCTGAGGCAGACGGATCGCTTGAGCCAGCCTGGGTGACATGGTGAAACCCCATCACTGCAAAAAGTGCAAAAAGTACAAAAAGTAGTTGGTCATTGTGGCACTCACCTATATTCCCAGCTACTGAGGAGGCTGAGGTGGGAGGATCACTTGAGCCTGGGAGGTCAAGGCTGCAGTGAGCCAAGATCATGCCACTGCACTCCAACTTGGGCGACAGTGAGAGACCTTGTCTCAAAAAAGAAAAAAAATGATAAAACAATACTAATAAACAACTCTTATTAAACCATCCTTTAAAGTCACCCAGACGTTATTTTAGTGTTATCTTTTCTTTCAAAGTTTATTTTTTCACTTGGGTGGCTGAAGCACAAGGATCGCTTAAACCCGGGAGGCGGAGGTTGGTTGCAGTGAGCTGAGATCGCGCCACTGCACTCCAGCCTGGGCAGCAGAGCAAAACTCTGTCTCAAAAAGAAAAAAAAGTTCATACCCCAAGCAACACTGACTGCTCCGAGTACGCTGTCAGTCACTGTTAGCAAAGAAGGAGTCCTGGCAAGTGAGGCTTCCCTGAGTCTCTGTTTTTATCACGTGTACACCTGCACAGCAGAGGGCCCAGTGATTCCTCAGGCATTGCCAGAGCAGCAGGCACTAGGTAGACCCTGCCCTCCAAGGTTGGGGGACCTGTGGTGATGAGTGTGGCTGCAGAAGGTGACCCGTGGCAGAGCTGAGTGGAGATTCTGGGTGTCTTCATGTCTCACCCAGTATCCAACACTGTTTCCACTGGAGCTGTTTTGTGTTTGTTTGCTGATTGACAAGGACTTAGAAAGCTGCTCCTTCCCCCACATCTTCCCCTGTTGGCTGGAGCTCCTCTGGCGTGCACGCGAGCCCGCGTCCCGTCGGGTTTTTGCTCTGCTCTGTGGACGGCTGCCTCGTCTTCCTGCCTTTAGTTGAGCGTTTCATTCCTACTGGCCTGGTTTTCATTTCAGAGAACTCTTGGGCTCTGACAGTTGTTTTTTCATAGCATCCTGTTCTCGGATATGCCTTCTTCTCTTAGCTTAGTAAGAATATTGATGAAAATTTTTTAGTTTTCTTAGAGTCCACGCTTTCCCTTGGCTGCTGTGTTCTCCTTGCTGGCTTTGCCTGTCTCTGTGCTGGGCCTTGGCTCTCCTCAGGGGTCTCCAAAGGTCTGGGGGATCCTGGGCTGCCTGTCCCCTTAGGGGTGTGGCTGAGCCCTGCCCCCAGAGGTGCCTGGCTGAGCCTTTTCTTGTGCAGAATGAGGCCGCATGGCTCCAGTGGCTCTGGAGGGGGAGGCTGTGTGGAAAAACACTGATGTTCAGAGCCAGTCCACAGTGAGCCGGAGGAACTAGACCCTGCGTGTGAGGACATCCTGAGCATGCACGGGCTGTGTGCACATTGGGCTTTGGGGTGTGATGAAGATGCATTACAATTCGTCCAGATAAGGCTAAGTAGCTTTTCAGGGACGTGATAGAAGATGCTGTGCCAGAATCTAATTGGCAACACTTTTTCTTGGTGAAATGTAAAGTAATGGGGTAGCTGGTTGTGGATGCTTGTGAGTATGGTTGGACACGTGTCCCCATAGTACGGGTCAGGCAGGTATGACAAGAGGATGCTCTTCCCGCCCCCATGCCCCTCTAACGGCCGGTTCCCCTTCTGGCTCTCTGGGGCAAGTCGGCAGGTGAGGTAGAGGGCTTGGCTGGGTCTGGATCGTGGCTGCTGCAGCTTAGCCATCAGCCAGCATCACCTGCAGAGCGAGCGACATGGGCTGGTCTCCGCCTGACTGTGCGGTCTCTGTTTCCAGTGCTCACTTTCTGATAGCCTTAGGGAGGAATGTGAGCTGCACCTGCAAGTCAGAGAAAAATGTATCCGAACACAAAGTAGAAGAGTCCTGTGTAATTAAAGTGCATAACTGTTGGAAAAGCAGATTGTCTGTTTCAACATAAGATGATCTGTCCATACCATGTTTAATCGCTGGGGTGGTGGATTTCACATCTTCCCTGGGTTAGGGCGCAGTAGGAAAGATACAGCCTAGAGGCAGGTGTGAGAGCTGTGCAGAGGAGACGTTTTCTATGACACGCTTTACCTTGAAAGAGACACGCTGTCAGCAGCGCGGGGGACAGCCATCTTCACGGCAGGGGTTTGTGTCTGTTGGTGGTGGTGTTCTTGGAGTTCTGTGTGGGGAGCAGCTTAGGAACCTCTCCCCAAGATTTTTGGTGTTGAGAGATTTTAATATTTAAGGCAGAGAAGGAGCTCAAACATTTTCTTTTCTTTTCTTTTCTTTCTTTCTTTCTTTTTTTTTTTTGATAGAGTTTCGCTCTTGTTGCCCAGGCTGGAGTGCAATGGCGCGATCTCGGCTCACTGCAGCCTCCCCCTCCCGGGTTCAAGCAGTTCTCCCACCTCAGTCTCCCAAGTAGCTAGGATTACAGGCGCCTGCCACCATGCCCGGCCAATTTTGTATTTTTAGTAGAGACGGGGTTTCTCCACGTTGGTCAGGCTGGTCTTGAACTCCTGACCTCAGGTGATCCGCCCACCTCAGCCTCCCAAAGTGCTGGGATTACAGGTGTGAGCCACTGCGCCCGGCCTCAAGCATTTTCATTTTAGGTGTGGAAGATTCTGGGTGGCAAGGTGCACGCCTTGCAGCCGTTAGTTCCAGGGACGCTGCTGCTTGCCTTGATGAATTCTGGTAGGCACTGGGGTTCTGGTGAAGAAGAGGTGGCCCTTTCCTCGACTGGCCTGTGTATTATGAGGGCGTGATGAAACAGACCCAGGAGTGACGCTACGTGATGTGACGAGACTGGCCTCAGTTTCAGCAGGCAGGAGGGTGGACACCTCGGGGACTAGACTGCAGGCCCATGGATGTGGGTGTGGGTGTGGGTGAGGGAGCAGAGGTGGTTTGGGTGCCTGTGAGCTCTCTTTGCTCTAAATCAGTGTTAATACAGCGTTTTCTTTTGCATAATGTATTTGGTCATTTTATTTGCCGACTTGAAATCCCCCAGCTTCTTGTGGACTTGAGTGCAATTTGCATTTGGTGCTTGTCCCTTCCTGACCTGGCCTCCTCCCTGTCATTTCAGGCCATCCCCTCTGTCCATCTCAATCCTGTAGCTAACTTCTTATTTGCCTTTCAGAAGTCAACCCAAGCTCTTCTCCATGCAGAAACTCCCTCTAATGTGCAAAAAGTACGCTCTCCTTCCCCCTCAGTCAGCTTTGTTTAGCACCTCATGTGACGAGCATTGTGATAGCCAGGGGAGAGCTGAGCAAAAAGACACCGCCCCTTCCCCCCTGGAGCTTAGCGTGCATGTGGGGAGATGGACCTCCGTGGAGCCATGCAGTGACACCGCCCGCTGCTGCATGCTGGGAAGGAAAGCTGATGCTCACAAGGGCTGGGCACACCAGACGTTGCAGAATCTCCTCCAGAAAGCCCTTTTCACTGCTCTTCCCCAGCAGTGATCACTGCTGCCCTAGTGATCACTGCCCTGTCCTGTTGCTATCAATGGACTCACACTGTCCCCACAGCTCTGCAGTGTCCTGAGAGCAGGGCCTGGGCTCACTGTGTGCCCACAGCACCTGGGCGGGCGCACCACGGGCCCTTACCGGTGGTCGAAGGGCTGCTCTCTGGGAATGTGTCGCTCTTGCATCTGAGGCACATAGGCTCACTTAAGAAGAGGAGGTCCCCTGAGGAAGTTGAACAGGGCACACACAAGCAATTGTCAGGGATTTTCTAGAACTTACAGGAGGCAGCTGTAGACCCCACTCTGGAGTAATTTGGTGATATCTGAATAATTGCATAAAACAAGTTAGACTTTAGAGGGCCTGGAGCTATGTGACTCTTCTTTCTGTAACAAGTCAAGGGATGCTTAGGTGCTTCCCACAGCAGGTGCACGGCCCACTGGGCTCAGCTGCCGACTGAACGTGTGCCCCAGTCGTACCAGGACACGTGCTGGGAACCAAGTATGTGGTGTCTGTTTCTAAGGTTTGTTTGTTTGTTTGTTTTTAAGGTCTTGTGGTCTGATTCTTCAATAACATCAGTAACCAAATCTTCCTCTGAAGTGACGGAATTTATTTCAAAGGTAAGGTAATCAAGGGCTCTTATAAAAATTAAAAGAATCACATTCCCCAGTGGCTGATGATACCACGGAGTAATTTCAGAGGCCACTCCCTTCAGCTAGCGAGTGAGCGTGCGCAGGGCGGGGCCTCCTGCCCAGCCACAGTGGAGTCCCAGGCCCGCTGCTGACATGAGCGTTGCTGCGAGCACAGGTCCGTGACCCCGCGGATGCCTCCTTCACTTGTTGAGACTGAGATGAGGCTGAGAGATGCGCCGGGCATGAGCGACTGATGAGGACATTTGGTTTCTTTTGTTACTTTTCAGTCCCCCAGGTTTCCTTGGCAAAGGCTGGGGGAGAGAGGCATGCTCAGGTGGCTGAGTGGGTAGAGACTTCACCTAGTTCTACCTTTATCTGTTTTTATTTATTTATTTATTTTATTATTATTTTTTTAAGAGACTGGATCTTGCTCTCGCCCAGGCTGGGTTGTGGTGGTACCATCATCACAGCTCACTGCAGCCTTGACCTCCTGGTGCTCAAGTGGTCCTCCCACGTTTATCTTTACAAATATCTGGTTCAGCAGATACCATTGAACAGAAAGTTCCACTACTAAATAAATGCCTCTTTGCCTCCGTGTGCATGTGTACACACAGTTGTAACTGCACACGTGTTTAGGGCCCACTGGCCTGTGCTGTAGCGTGAACGACTGTCTCAGCCAAAGTGATGCCTCTCAGGCAGTCAGCTTTGTGAATGGGATAACATATGTAAATGTCTCCAAAGAGAGCCTTACTTTTCATTATAAAGCCAAGGCCTCATCCTGCAGGAGAACATGGAGTGAGGACGATGTCTGATTACACTTATCTTTTTGGCCTCTTGGGCATTGAAGAACACGACAGTGCCACGCCTTCGAGGGTAACACACACCCCCCCCCGGGAATCTGCTTTTCCCTCTGTAGTGTTTAAAATACTAAATCTCCTCGCCTCTGTGTGTAGTTTCCCCTTTTGTTAAACACAGCTTCCCTGGACTCCACTCCTGCCGGCTGGAACTTCGACCTCTCATTGGGCTTTTGTCTCAGTGTTTTGTTTTGTTTTTTTTTTCTTTGAGATGGAGTCTCACTCTGTTGTCCAGACTGGAGTGCAGTGGTATGATCTTGGCTCACTGCAACCTCCACCTCCCGGCTTCAAGCAATTCTCCTGCCTTAGTCTCCCAAGTTGCTGGGATCACAGGTGCACACCACCACGCCCAGCTCTCTCTCTTTTTTTTTTTTTTAATTTTTAGTAGAGACAGTTTCACCATGTTGGCCAGGCTGCTCTTGAACTCCTGACCTCAGGTGATCTGTCCTCCTCGGCCTCCCAGAGTACTGGTGTTACAGGTGTGAGCCACTGCACCTGGCCTAATTTTGGAAAATTCTTATCCATTTTCTCCTCAAGCATTTCTTCTGCCGCATCCTCCCCTCTCCTGGACTCTGGCGGCACGAGCCTCAGACCCCTGGTGCTGCCGCCCCACGGCTCTCCCATGCTTGTGCATTTCTCTGTGTGTACGTCTGGGTGGTTCCTGTGCCCGTTTCCACACCAGCCGATCCCCTCAGTTCTGCCCAGGCTGCTGTGGAGCCTGTCCATGTACTCAAGTCCTCATTTCTGCTGCCAGGGGTTTCTTTTGTGTTTTTGCCCCTAGGTTTTCCATTTGACGTGTTCATGAAGTTTCCATCTCTCTGCTGAAACGTGTTCATGAAAGTTCCCGCTTGTTTGTGCATATTGTCGTTTTCACTAGGTCCTTTAGTACATCCATCATAGCTGTTTAAAGTCCCTGTCACTAGGTCCCACATCTGAGTTATTTCTGAATCTGGTTCTAATGATTGCTTTATCTCTTGACAATAGTTTTTTCCCCCTTTATTCCTTTTTTTTTTGGTATGTCTTGCAAATGTTGACTGAATGTCAGACATGTTTAGATGACCGTGGAGCCGGAGGAGAGCGAGATTTATGCCTGGAAAGGGTCAACACCTCTTCTGCCAGGGCCCTTAGTGGGGTCCTGGAGGCCATCTGGGCAGGATGAAGCTGGCACTGGGCTCTCTTGCTGCCTCTGTTACCCTCAGGGCCTCTCCAGTGAAGGCAGCTGCTGCCTGAGTCTGGAGGGTCTTCTCCGCCGTTTTGCTTCACTCCCAGCTTTCAGCCGTCCCTGCAGGCCTGTGGCACACAGCAGGGCACTCTCTACCCTCTCGGCCCCTTTTCGGGGGTAGACCGCTGCTGCTTGTTTGCGACCTGGTGCTGGGCTTGTGGGGGCAAGGGCCTTCACTCTTGCAGCCCAGCCTGATCCTGGGCAGGCCTGTGTGCCTGGGCTTCGGGGTGGCACTTCCTCAGTGCCTTGCCCTCCCCGGCAGGAGCTGACCTCCTCCAGCACCAGAGCGCTTTTGCTTTTCCCCTTCTTCCAGGAGCAGCGGGTCTTCTTGTGACTGGTGGCAGAGGAAGGGAAGTATTGTCCCTGCCCCACTCCTAAAAACCGGGCCTTTGGTTTGGGCTCTGGGGCCAGGAGCAATTTTTGTCCCTCCTGCAACGTCTTAAGGGCTTTTCCTCAGATCCAGAGAGTGGTCCCGGGAATTGCACTAGGCCTGGTGCCCGGTCCCCAGGTGCCACCGATGGGGCTCTCTCTGGCTCCTCCTGCGGAAAGGAACTTGGAAAGAAGGGCCCACTTGCCCCGCCTGGGGCTCCGGCATTTCTGTTGGCCACGTCAGCCTGTGGCAGTGTGTCCATCGGAACCTGTCTCTCCAGACCTGCTGGTGTGGCAGCCACCAGGGCCTTGTGCCCTGGCTTGTCATGGGAGCAGGTCCCGTTTGAAATTAAGTTGACTTAGTGGCCCAGCAACTCTCAGATGGGCTCAAGGAACATTGTGATTGTGCAGATTGTCAAGCTTTTCCGGATGTAACTGTGAGAGCGATGTTCTTTTGTGACTTTCTACACCCTAAGTGGATGTGGGCCCCAGAATAGCTCTGACGGGAGGTGTAAATCATATCAGACCAGCAGGCGGCACCATGGAGCACCTGCCCCAGGTTTTCCTGCAGTAGCAGAATTCTGCTGGTGTTGGATGGGTCTGGACACACCTCCTCTACCTTGTCCTCTCTTCCAGCTATGTCAGCTCTATCCTGAAGAGAACTTGGAGAAACTCATTCCTTGCTTAGCTGGTCCGGACGCATTTTATGTGGAGCGAAACCACGTGGATCTGGACTCAGGCCTGAGGTGAGGCCCTTACCAGGCACCCGGCGCGTCCACAGCTGGCAAGGACAGGCTGGTCCTGTGGTCAATGCTGTGGTCCTCCAAGGAGCTCTGGGAGGATGCGCGGTCACCTGGACCTGGGTCTCTACTTGGCCTCTAGGGATTTCCATTAGTTCTGGAGGATTCGGGAGCCCTCAGTAAGCTGAGAGTGGTTCTGAGTGTGTGAGGAAGGGAATTCCAGGGTGGGTCCCACCACGTCTTGGGCTTTGGCAGTCCTGTGAAATAATCCTGGGCTGCTGTTTCCATCCTGTAGTCCAAGGTTGAGACTATTCCCAGATAAAATTGGCGTCTCTTAAACAGTTTCTCTGGACCCTCGATCGTGTCTTGGCTCACGTGGCACACGAAGTAACATGGCCGACCAGTTCCGTAAATGTGCTGCTGCCGGGGCCCTGGGGACCAGTGTCCAAGCACCTTTCTGGCTGGTGGGTGGCACTGATCTCATGTCACAGGGCATGACTGCTGTCGTCAACCTTGGTGGCCATGAATACAGCATTGAGAGGAAGGGCTTGAAGAAGCAGTGGCAGTCGGGCAAGAACTCAGTTGAATTAAAGCAGGAAGAATATGAGGCTCTGGCACTTCTGGCTTTTTTCCTCTAATACACATTTCTCTTGATTAAAAGTTAAATTTTTTTCTTTCAATTCGTCAGCAGGAATGCCATTTTAATGTTGATAAGACCACTTGTTTGCCTTTTAGGTACCTGGCCTCATTACCTTCTCACGTGTTGAAAAATGACCATGTCAGGAGGTTTCTCAGCACTTCCTCTCCCCCACAGCAGCTTCAGAGTCCAAGTGAGTTTGTAAAATATGGTTAAATATAAATTAAAAAAAAAAAAAACAGCTGGGCGCAGTGGCTCATGCTTGTAATCCCAGCACTTTGGGAGGCTGAGGCGGGCGGATCACCTGAGGTTGGGAGTTCAAGACCAGCCTGACCAACATGGAAAAACCCTGTCTCTACTAAAAATACAAAATTAGGCTGGGCGCAGTGGCTCACGCCTATAATCCCAATACTTTGGGAGGCTGAGGCGGGTGGATCACGAGGTCAGGAGTTCAAGACCAGCCCGGCCAATATGGTGAAACCCCGTGTCTACTAAAAATACAAAAAAATTAGCCAGGCGTGGTGATGCATGCCTGCAGTCCCCGCTACTTGGGAGGCTGAGGCAGAAGAATCACTTGAACCCGGGAGGCGGTGGTTGCAGTGAGCCGAGATTGCACCACTGCACTCCAGCATGGTTGACAGAGCAAGTCTCCATCTCCAAAATAAAATAAAAATACAAAATTAGCCGGGCGTGGTGGCAGGCTCCTGTAATCCCAGCTACTCAGTAGGCTGAGGCAGGAGAATCACTTGAACCCGGGAGGCGGTGGTTGCAGTGAGCCGAGATTGCCCCACTGCACTCCAGCATGGTTGACAGAGCAAGACTCCATCTCCAAAATAAAATAAAAATATAAAATTAGCCGGGCGTGGTGGCAGTCGCCTGTAGTCCCAGCTACTCGGGAGGCTGAGGCAGGAGAATCACTTGAACCCGGGAGGCAGAGGTTGCAGTGAGCCGAGATCGCACCATTGCTCTCCAGCCTGGGCAACAAGAGCAAAACACCGTCTCAAAAAATAATAAAATAAAACAAATATTTTCATTGTCTGTAAATTTTTATGGTATTTATTTTTAAATTTATAGGTCCTGGCAATCCCTCCCTTTCTAAAGTAGGTACCGTGATGGGCGTGTCTGGAAGGTGAGAAATCTTCTATGTAACCAGCACAGTTCAGATAAGCATTTTACAATGTTTACTTTGAGTTCTGTGTAAAGTTGTTCCAAGAATTAAGTCATGCTCAAGTTGAGTCTTGGATGATATTGAGAAGAATTGAGTAGAGATGATTGAATTTACGATTTCCAAAAAAAGAGTTCTCTAAGCCACTGGAATCAGAATTCCCAGGGACTCCTCCCCAGTGCAAGGTCCTGGGCCCCATCATAGACGTAGAAAGTCAGAATTTCCGAGAATCTGGCTGTGAGAAACCTGCTCCCAGAAGCATAGGGTCGTGCTCCTGAGGAGCGTCCTCTGTCCGCACGGGCCCTGGGTAGCTGCAGTCGTATGCCGGCAACACAGAGGCTCCCATCTTTGCTGACAGTGAGGTGGGCTGTCACAGATCAGTGCACACGCACCCCCATAGGGAGTCTCGTGGAGATGTTGTCTGGGCGCGAGGTTTCGAGGCGTAGACTGGCATCCTCCTGGTGTCGGGGTAGGGTAAGCGCCCAGTCAGCAGGTGTGACTTTGCAGTTAAGGAGCAAGGCCAGAGTGGAGTGCCGGTCACACCTTCCAGCCTTCTGCGTTTTACTTTTCTAGAAAAATTGTATTTGAACATTAAAGATTTAATAGTCTATTTTGATGTATGATTTATCAGTGTCATTCTGTGACTTAGAAGTAACAGAAATACCTATCGGAGTAGCATGTTTTTAAAAAATACAAGTAACAGAAACTTGGCAGCTAAAGCAGAAGTCTGGTGGGGACAGAGACGTACACATACATAATACACATACGTACACACAAGTAGACGCATACTCCGAAGCACGGGCAGAGGCATGTGTGTGTATATGCACAGCCGCCTGTATGCACACGTGTGCACAGACATGCATTACAGAAATCTTAGCTGCAGAAAGGTGGTTGGGGAGGGAGGGCAGTCATAGCACAGCAGTGTTGGCAGTTCAGGGTGGCCTGTGACAACAGGGCCGGCCAAGAGGCAGAGGCTGGCACAGAAAGGCCTGGAAGTGAGGTCTGTGGTGGAGTCTGTGGTTGTGGAAGCCACAGTCTCTCTGTGTCCCTCCTGCCCCTGTCCCACAGGCCTGTGTGTGGAGTGGCTGGTATCCCGTCCTCGCAGAGCGGAGCCCAGCACCACGGGCAGCACCCGGCCGGCTCCGCCGCCCCCTTGCCTCACTGCTCCCATGCGGGCAGCGCGGGCTCAGCCCTGGCCTACCGGACCCAGATGGACACATCACCTGCCATCCTCATGCCTTCCAGTCTGCAGACCCCTCAGACCCAGGAGCAGAATGGGATTCTAGACTGGCTTAGGAAACTGCGTTTGCACAAGTATTACCCCGTCTTTAAGCAGCTCTCCATGGAGAAGGTATGTCGGTTTTCTGGCTGGCCGTACAGAATTGCTAGATTGTTTACTCAAGACCTCCCTGGGGGCATTGAGTTTCCAAACCAACACAAGGTGGATGAAGTACGGAGGCCGAGGCGCAGCGCCTGTTCTTAAGGGAGACGGTGGGCTTTGCGGAGGCCGCCTGCAGCTGCAGCCAGCCACAAACAGGACATGTTGTAAACAAACAGCTTGTCTAGGGGCTTCAAGACCTTCACAAACTAGATGCTCTGCGTGACGGGAGGGACAGTCCGTCCCCAGAGCCCTGCTGTGGACAGAAATCCTGAGCTCTGGCACGGTGCCCCTTTTAGACATTTCTCGGCGTAGCTGGCGCAGACACTGCGGCGGGCCAGATCTAGAGGAATGGGTGCATTTTACATCTTCCAAGCAGTCGTACCTAGAGAATTCTTATGAGGAACATTTTTTCACTGTTAAAAAAATTCAGAAATTTCTTAAGTCTTGATGTCAGTGATAAAACTAGATTAAACCCATACAAGGTATTTGAGCTCTGGACTCCCTCTGCTGGGCAAACCGGCTT
The DNA here is from genome assembly GCF_000001405.40 of Homo sapiens. Classification (NCBI taxonomy): domain Eukaryota; kingdom Metazoa; phylum Chordata; class Mammalia; order Primates; family Hominidae; genus Homo; species Homo sapiens. The sequence continues at coordinate 87,416,906 of NC_000016.10, read as the reverse complement.
GGTGGCTTTTATCTATGTAAAAATTTCATTTCTCGAAAAATCTACAATTGAACCTAGAAATCAAGCTTTTACTACATAGTTAAATCCAAATTGTAAGTATATTTGTAATACCCTTTGTTTAGGATTTGTGAATGTTTTTTTCTTTTTTTGAGATGGAGAGTCTTGCACTGCCACCTGGGCTGGAGTGCAATGGTATGGTCTCGGCTCCCTGCAACCTCTGCCTCCCGGGTTCAAGCGATTCTCCTGCCTCAGCCTCCTGAATAGCTGGGATTACAGGTGCCCACCAGCATACCTGGCTAATATTTTGTATTTTTAGTAGAATCAGGGTTTCCCTATGTTGGCCAGGCTAGTCTCGAACTCCTGACTCATGATCTGCCCACCTCGGTCTCCCAAAGTGCTGGGATTACAGGCATGAGCCACCGCGCCTGGCCAAGGATTTGTGAATCTTAAAAAGCAGAGATTTTACTAACCTTGTTCATAATTAGTTTTAAATGTTTTATTCTTACGTTTGCATTGAGATGGCCTAAATCACAAATCATGTTAGGAAATAACATGAAAATTAGAGGCTGGTGTGTTTGCGTAGCACCAGCCTACACAATGGAGTAGCCACACAACCATTCAGCGTGGATGGCATCTGCTTTTCTGCATCACTTGCTACCTGACAAAGTTGCTGTCATCCCTGGCCAGGTGCGGTGGCTCACGCCTGTAATCCCAGCACTTTGGGAGGCCGAGGCAGGTGGATCATCTGAGGTCAGGAGTTGAAGACCAGCCTGGCCAAGATGGTGAAACCCCGTCTCTACTAAAAATACAAAAATTAGCTGGGCATGGTGGTGGGTGCCTGTAATCCCAGCTACTCGGGAGGCTGAGGCAGAGAATTACTTGAACCCGGGAGGTGGAGGTTGCAGTGAGCCGAGATCGCACCACTGCACTCCAGCCTAGGTGACAGAGTGAAACTCCGTCTCAAAAAACAAAAAAACAAACAAACAAAAACAAAATAAGAGCGAGATTTTTGTCTCAAAAAAAGGAAGAAAAAGACGACCATCCCGCAGAGGGTGATGAGTTCTGAAGGGATGGCACTGTGATGGGGCCGTCCTGGGGAGGGTGGGGGTGGCACGCTATCATAACTTGCATCTCCACGGTGATTCAAACTGTGACTTATGCAAGACGTTTTCTTTAGTCACCTGCCCCAAAGCATGTACCTGCTGGTATTTACTCACAGAGCAGAGGGCAAGTGGGCACCTTTGGCAGAGCCGCCAGCCTGTGAGGTGGTGCACCCATCCACACAGCCTGCACAGAAGGTGCCCTGGAGGAGCCGGGGACACTCTTGCTCAGAACTGCGTCTCGGAGTTGAACCGTTGACACCAAGTCATTTAGCAAGTAAAGGGTCTAGGATTTCCCAGCTTGTAATTGCTGAGTTCAGCTGGATCTGTTTGCATATCCCAGAGGCAGAATAAATGTACTGAATTCAACTCCAAGTTCTTTGTTCTCAGAGTCCTACTTATGTCTCCGTAACTTTGTAATTTGTTTTTTCTGTGAAAGTTTTTGAGCCTTACTGAAGAAGATCTGAATAAATTTGAGTCTCTTACCATGGGGGCAAAGAAGAAGCTCAAGACCCAGCTGGAGCTGGAAAAGTGAGTGTGAAGTGGGTTTTGAAACCTGTGTTTATTTCCATTTCTCGTGTGCCGAATGGAGTGCTGAGGCTTCCAGTGCTAAATACTAGTGATTGGATTAGTTCCTGTTGCTTATCCAGTCCTTAGCCATGCTTTTATTTATTTTTATTTATTTATTTTTTGAGACGGATTATTTTTATTTATTTATTTTTTGAGACGGAGTCTCGCTCTGTCGTGCCCAGGCTGGAGTGCAGTGGTGCAATCTCGGCTCACTGCAACCTCTGCCTCTCAGGTTCAAGCGATTCTCCTGCCTCAGTCTCCCAAGTACCTGGGATTACAGGCACCCGCCACCACGCCTGGCTAATTTTTTGTATTTTTAGAAGAGACCGGGTTTTACCATATTGGCCAAGCTGATCTCAAACTCTGGACCTCAGGCGATCTGCCCGCCTGGGCCTCCCAAAGTGCTGGGATTACAGGCCTGAGCCACCGCGCCTGGCCTAGTCATGCTTTTAAAGTTCTACAAATGTGTCTTAGGTTTGACAGGAAAGGACCTTTATAGTAAATTTGACCAATCAGAATGAGTTCCTTGCCTTAATGCTCTGGGGGGAATTTCCCTGTGGTGTGGAGTAGACCCATCTCGAAGTCGCCCTGTATCAAAGCCGCCCTGTGGTGTGGAGTAGACCCGTCTTGAAGCCGCATGTGAGGCAGCACCAGTAGGCAGTGCTCACTTGTTCCTGTGCTTGATTATTTCACAGGGAGAAGTCAGAGAGACGGTGCCTGAACCCCTCGGCCCCGCCGCTGGTCACCAGCAGTGGTGTGGCTCGAGTGCCCCCCACCAGCCACGTCGGGCCCGTGCAGTCGGGGCGGGGCAGCCATGCAGCAGGTGAACAAGGGTGTGTCGGGCAGATGGGTTACTCATACACAGAGAGGGCCCGTGTGTCGGGCAGATGGGTTACTCATACACAGAGAGGGCCCGTGTGTCGGGCAGATGGGTTACTCGTACACAGAGAGGGCCCGTGTGCCGGGCAGGTGGGTTACTCGTACACAGAGAGGGCCGGTGTGCCGGGCAGGTGGGTTACTCGTACACAGAGAGGGCCCGTGTGCCGGGCAGGTGGGTTACTCGTACACAGAGAGGGCCCGTGTGCCGGGCAGGTGGGTTACTCGTACACAGAGAGGGCCGGTGTGCCGGGCAGGTCGGTTACGCAGACACAGAGAGGGCCTTGTGTTCTGTTTGATCATTAGATTTCAAATCACACCTATTTGATTTTTACATTTTTAAATCTTTATACTCATTTTCCATTAACTATTATAGTCTCTGCCATAAGAAAATCGAAGGGACAGTTGGCTTAGGAGCTAGAGGGCAGTCACCTCCCTGAAGTTGCTTGGGCAAAATGATCAGGTCCAGAAACTGCCACAGTGAGAGCGAGCGCGTGGGGGTGAGCAGAAATGAGATGGGAGTAGCCTGCGCCCACCCCCCACCCCAGGACTGGTGCCCAGAGGCCACGTTTTAAGTCAGTGCCTTTAATGTTGACCCATCAGTGACATGGTTCTCCATGGACCTTCCTGCTTTGGGGGACCCTCAGTCTCAGCGATTTGGTTTTCATCCTCCCCTCTCAGAAAGGGCGGGACACCTGGCGCGCTTGCTCCGTTGTCTCACAAGAGGAGCCGGGTTTTCTTCACAATAGAAATCGGAGGAGCAGTAGCTCAGGAGGGAAAAAAAAAAACCTGGCAGGATGGATTTTAAGTGGTGATTTGACTGAAAAGATCTCCGTGACTCGGCCGGCCTCGTGAGATGGGGTGCGGTGTAGTGTTGTGATAGTTCCTGGGGGTGCGCTGGGGGTGCCCTTCACAGGGCATTGTTCTGGGGTTGATGGCGGGGGCCGGCAGGGCCCTGGCTGAGCGGGTGTTGAGCATCGCTGCCATTTGAATCTCTGCTGCATCCGTCACCGTGCGGCCTGGGCCGGCGTGTTCGTTTTCTGACTCTCAGAGCCCTGCGTTTCCCTGGAAGGAGCACCTGCCGACAGTGCGATGCAGGGGCACGGGGCGGGCTGAGCCTGCAGGGGCGCTAGTTGATGGCTGCTCCTCTGTCCCTTTTCTGCAGAGCTGCGGGTGGAAGTGGAGCAGCCCCATCACCAGCTGCCCCGGGAAGGCAGTTCCTCGGAGTACTCCAGCTCCTCCTCCAGCCCCATGGGGGTACAGGCCCGGGAAGAGAGCTCCGACAGCGCTGAGGAGAATGACAGACGTAAGGGCACGTGCGCGGCGCTGGCTCGACCTGGCCCAGCTGTGGAATGGCACTGACCACTCTTGTTTCCCTCTCTAGGTGTGGAGATTCACTTGGAGAGCTCTGACAAGGAGAAGCCGGTGATGCTGCTGAATCACTTCACTTCCAGTTCCGCCAGACCCACGGCCCAGGTTCTCCCTGTGCAGAATGAGGCCAGCTCCAATCCATCAGGCCACCACCCCCTGCCCCCGCAGATGCTGAGCGCAGCCTCACACATCACACCCATCCGCATGCTGAATTCCGTGCACAAGCCGGAAAGAGGGAGCGCGGACATGAAGCTCCTCTCGTCTTCTGTGCACTCACTTTTGTCTCTAGAAGAAAGGAATAAAGGATCTGGACCAAGAAGCAGCATGAAAGTGGACAAGAGCTTTGGCAGCGCCATGATGGACGTGCTGCCCGCGTCCGCACCCCACCAGCCTGTGCAGGTCCTCTCTGGGCTTTCGGAGAGCAGCTCCATGTCACCCACAGTCTCCTTTGGTCCCCGGACCAAAGTCGTGCATGCATCCACGCTGGACAGGGTGCTGAAGACAGCACAGCAACCGGCCCTGGTCGTGGAGACCAGCACGGCCGCCACGGGGACGCCCAGCACAGTCCTCCACGCCGCCCGTCCGCCCATCAAACTGCTGCTGTCGTCATCTGTTCCTGCTGATTCTGCCATTTCTGGGCAAACTTCCTGTCCTAATAATGTGCAAATAAGTGTGCCCCCTGCAATAATAAACCCCCGGACTGCTCTGTACACAGCCAACACCAAAGTTGCCTTTTCTGCAATGAGCAGTATGCCAGTGGGCCCCCTGCAGGGTGGCTTCTGTGCAAACAGCAACACTGCCTCTCCCAGCAGCCACCCCTCCACGTCCTTTGCCAACATGGCCACGTTGCCCAGCTGCCCAGCCCCCAGCTCCAGCCCGGCGCTGTCCTCCGTCCCTGAAAGCAGTTTCTATAGCAGCAGTGGCGGTGGCGGCTCCACAGGAAACATTCCTGCCTCGAATCCGAACCACCACCACCACCACCACCATCAGCAGCCCCCGGCACCCCCGCAGCCCGCCCCACCCCCGCCAGGCTGCATTGTGTGCACGTCCTGTGGCTGCAGCGGCAGCTGCGGCTCGAGTGGCCTGACTGTCAGCTACGCCAACTACTTCCAGCACCCGTTCTCCGGTCCGTCCGTGTTCACCTTCCCCTTCTTGCCCTTCAGTCCCATGTGCAGCAGCGGCTACGTCAGCGCCCAGCAGTACGGCGGCGGCTCCACCTTCCCCGTCGTGCACGCCCCTTACAGCAGCAGCGGGACCCCAGACCCTGTCCTGAGTGGGCAGTCCACGTTTGCCGTGCCACCCATGCAGAACTTCATGGCAGGGACAGCAGGGGTGTACCAGACCCAAGGACTGGTGGGCAGTAGCAATGGTTCCAGTCACAAAAAGAGCGGGAACCTATCTTGTTACAACTGCGGGGCCACTGGTCACCGCGCCCAGGACTGCAAACAGCCGTCCATGGACTTCAACCGGCCAGGTAAGCGCGCGCCATGGCCGCGCCCACCAGGCTCCCGCAGGACCAGTGCACACAAATGCTTGGTTTTTATGAAGAGTAAACTTCTTTCTTTGTAAAGCAAATAATTTTTCGAATGCTCTTTGAAAGCGCGTGGAAATCTTCATGATAGGCCGTGAGGTCCCCAGAAGGACTGCTGTTGGGTCTAAAACGGCCATGATGATTTCAGACAGCCTCTGGTTCTAGAAGGTGCTTAGCCAGTGTGGACAGGGCCTCCCTGGACTGCCGTGTCCTGATTCGAGCCCAGAGAGGCACGTGTGAGGGATTCAGTGCTGCCCCCTGGCTTAACACTGGGGCCCTCAGGCTGTGGCGCATCGGCATTCCGGACCCTCTGGGGTGGGGCTCGCTGTCCCCTCTGCCCCTCCCTGCCGGCGCGGCTGTGGGTGTGGGGGGCTGTCACCCCTCAGCCATGCTGCATCTTCCGTTCCCTCCTGTTTTATCTCCGCTATTTTTTTGTCTCCTTTAGTCAAATCCCAGTGGATGTCTGATGTAGTTGTAATAGGGTTCTTCTTGCTGTCTGTTTTGGAAACGGGGGACTGGGAAGGTGGGTCCCAACTCTGACAACTCATGGTGCCACCTTGCCAAAGTCACTTGATCTCTGCAGACTTCCAGTTGCTTCTAAGGGTTGCACTAGATCTGTGATTCTCAGACCTGCCTGTAACATCACGTTCACCTGGAGAGTTTTTAGAAACACGCCTGCTGACTCAGCAGGCCTGCAGGCAAGGTGGGTTGACAGGCGCTCTGCCATGCGGGCCCGGGTGGGCCTGTGCCTCCCTTCATAAAGCTGGCTGCATCTCCAGAGGCACGGGGCACTCACCAGCGCTCACCTGCCCTCACCCAGTGAAAGGACGCATGTTAGAGCAGCCCGCCTGACGTGTGCAGAGCCTGACTCCCAGAGGAAGCTCCCAAAGAAAAAGATGGTGAACTTTTCCTGAGTCATTTCACCCCGGTCAGATTTGATAAACTTGTAAAATTAGGTCCCATTTTGCAGGGGCAGGAAGGGAGTAGAAACGGTCAGGATGGGTGGCCTAGATTTCCAGCACCAGAATCTTGCCCAGTGGCTCTGGACATGACTGGACAGATTGGTGGTTGGTGGTGATTCTACAGTCATTCAAATTTGACCTCTTTTTTCCCCTCTCTCTAGGTACTTTTAGGTTGAAATACGCCCCTCCAGCAGAAAGTCTGGACTCCACAGATTGATATTTTTCTCTGGCAACAGAACGTTATTAAGCCATGGAGACATAAGGAAAATTAAATACAAAACTGAGAAGTCTAGTTGCTGTTGAGCTTAATCTTTTTAATCCAAAGGTGCTTTACTTTTCCTAGACTGGATAGAAAATCTAGCGTAGAAGTGCATCAAACTCGATTTATTGCCAAAACCCTAGATTGGAGCTTGGTGTCAGAACTCGCCTAGTGGGCATCTCTGTGGCTGGTGAGATCGGCCACCTCCACTTTTGGTTGCAGTGCAGAGACGCCATGTCTCCCGAAGAGCATTGCCATCACTGGCCCTCCTAGGCTCACACGTCAATTCCAGGGCAGCTACACGTGGTCTGAATCGAGAACCGAGCTTGGAGTTCTCCAAGTGGAGTTCCACCCGCCGGACTCCTGACACCCCTGGGCTAGGGAAAATGTCGACTTTGTTTTGTTCTGTTCCTAAAGTGATTAGCACTAATCTCTGGGATTTTTAAGGATTGCACTACAGAAGAATGTACCCTGATGTAAATCTCTGCGGTTCTGGGAGCCAAACTCCTCTGAGAACAGTCAGTGCAAGAGACTCCAATAATCCATATTGAAAGAGTCAGCACCAGCAGAGGCTACTCGACTTAGGACGCAACAGAGGTTTTAGTATTTCCTTCCCTCCTCCAAGCACTTGTAGCAGTTTCAGGTTTTTAATTTTTTTCTGCAAATAAATCTAAACTACGTTATTAAATAGAAATAGTTTACTCGCAACAACTTAATTTCTAAGGGTCCAAGTCCCAGAGAATCCATAGTCGTCAAAGCTTTGAGAGTATCTTTCTTCCCAGCCAGTCAGTGGCTTTGAGCCCTATCTTCCACTACAAATGACCTCTCGAGGGGGGACGGCGACAGCGCGGCTCTGTGAGTGGCTGTGAGGATGCTGCACGTCCTCAGCAGAGTTTGCAAGTTGCTTTATCTCCCACGGGCTCCCCAAGAACCTCCAACCCCGAGGCTTATCGCTAGCGGATTCACACCTGAGACAGACATTTCAACAATGATACAGTCCTGTCATTTATCAGCAAAAGATTGGGAATTTTCTCCTGTCAACTTCTTTTGTATTAGGCTGTGTATTGATAGTTAATTCCGTTAAAAATTACTTGGAAAACAGTGGGAAGTGGTAGGACTCTGGAAGAGGCCACACACCCGAGAGCTGCGAGATCTGTGCAAGTCTGGTTTTGGTTAGGTAGTAATAAAAGTCCTCACTGTAGATCTCTAAATTTCAACCCACGGAAATGAAAGCCTTTTGTCTGAAATTTACGGACTTAAATCTTCAAGGTTAAAGGGAATTTTCTGCTCAAATAATACTCTTATCGAAAATGCTAAAGTCTTCAATGTTAAAATACTGATTGGTAAAATCTTGCAGTTGGGATTTTGCAGTTGGATATTTATTTTAAAAAAAATTATAATATTCAGACTATTCTTAAAATGGGACAATCAGCCTCATGAAAAATTGATGTAAATCAGAAGAATACCCTAGAATGAGGCCTTGTGATGTGAGCGTTCAATTTGAAGAGCAGTTCCTAACTTCATAGAAACTAAAGCAGAAAGTTGTTACATTTTTTTTATGACAGGCTTTTAGTAGAATTTTTTAGTTTTATTTTAGTTGAATTTTATTTCTATGCAATGCAGAATTAACAGACCTCTTCTCCTCATGGTACACAGTATTACAGTGTTGAAGTAATGGTGATGCTTATTACAACAGCTATTTAGGGGAATGTTACGTTGATCTCTTAAATTGTAAACACTACAAAATGTCAAAATAATGAGAACTGACACAACTTTGCCTTAAAGAGTACTAGACTGGACCTTCTCATATTACGTTTAAGGAAGACTTAGAGTGTTCATTGATGTTTACGATTTTAATATTTCTGAAGGCCATTACAGTGGCCTGGATATGTGCTGAAAGCCAAACTTTTAAATTTTTTGGTTTTTTTAAGCAAAGAAATATTTTAAATAAATCCTATTTCAACACTGAAATTGTTGAAAACCGTCTCATAACAAAAGGAAAAAACATTGGAATTTTTGTTTTAGTGGTCAGTATAGGGGAATGAAAGCGTCTGTTGTTACCCACGTAACTATTTTGATAAGTATTAGAGGTTAACCTTAAATCCAGCAAAACATTAAAACAGAAACTTTTCAACTTGGAGCCTGCCATTCAGCGTTGAGGTAGATGAGTTCCGACACTGTCACGGCTGTGTTCCCAGCAGCGAAGGCCTCTGCGGAGCTGCCAGTCGTCTTGAACGTGCATGGGCGGCGTGTGACATCTCCAGGGAGGCCGTCCGAAGTCGAGAATCGTCAGCTGTAAGTAGGAGCTACACAGCGCAGAGAAAATGGAACCACCCATCCGTGAGGCCTCTTTCCGGAGGGAGCCGCACACTTGGACTTGAGAGTTTGCCAGCAGCGAGCTCGGATGCATCTCTCCAAAAGCCACCAAGGTCGGCGCGTCTGAAGAGCGTTTTGCGGTCATCAGACTTCCTCATCTGAAAACACAGAACATACTGACCCTTTCAAGTACTTAGTCATTTTCCTGAAAGTGTGGTCTGTTTCAGAATGCTGTGGCAACCAGGTAGGTGTGGCACTGGCCATGTGCCACGTCTTTGCCCTTTGTAGTCTGTCAGATATTAAAGTTTCTAACCCTGTTTTTTTAATCTCCAAGAATGGGGAAAGTGGAATGTAGAGATGGAAGCAGAACGTGATGTTTGGATACAACAGCTATTTAATCCTTTTTTATTTTTTAAGCAAAACACTCAGTTTTCTACCTTATTTTCTAATGTTGATTTCATGGTAATACTGACAGTTGGAAGTGTTTAACATAAAAACTCATTGCTAAAGAGCACTGAGGAAATGGGAGCTAGCGCACTTGTAATAAAAATAAAGACAAAATATTTTCTTGAATGCATATATGTGATTGGGTATTTTAAAAACCAGTATCATCTGTCATCTCCAAAAGATTACAGGAGTCAGCTTGTTAATACAGTAGTGTTAGTAGGTTCTGTATTTTTAATTCAGTACTTAGAATTCTAGGTCCTTTATTGCCCAAAGTCAGCACAGTTAGTTTATACCACAGACTCTGTCTTGGGGCACAGTAGTGGGGCGGGGTAGTGACTTTGCCTAAACATCACCCAGCTGGAACAGAGGCTGAGCGGGGCTTTAGGCACTTGCCAGATGGGAACTGGGTTGCACCCTCCTTGCTCCCTGTCATTTTCTTGTCACTCTTCCTGCTTCCCAGTGTTTTATTTTATGCCTTGCTCGTTGTACATCATGATGACTGATGGTCTTCAAGGTTGTGAGGAAAGCCGTCTCCCTGCTTGACTCGACTGCTGTCCCAGAGGAGAGTCCTGTGCGACCTGAGCGGGGGTGGCTGCCATTTCCAGCATGCAGGTGACTTCCAAAGAATGAGTCAGGTGGCACTGAAAGCCATGGGTTCTGAAGAGGCGAATTTGTTGAAAAGTCCCAAGGGTCTGAATGAAAGCATCTTTAATCAACACTCAACACTCGCAATATTCTAGAAAACCATATACTGTGCTGGTTGAGGCCAAAGGTTAACATTGCTCCACTGTTCACCAAGGAAGGGGGCAGTGGCCATCCGCCGCGGCCTCACGTGCGTTGTAACAAGCCCTCATCACATGTGTGAGTCTTACGTGCACAAAAAGAGAAGGCTTTGGTACTGAAACTGGACACCTTGTGTACTCGATACCTTCACAGCTTCTATTGGACATATTTTCTTTTTAGGAATGAAGGAAAATTCTCCCATTTTTGAGCCATTCTTTTGTCAATTCTACAAAATTGCATGTAACTTTATAAATATTTTTAAAAGATATAGTTTTGTAAATATTTAATATTCCGCTAATTTGATTTTGAATTGTAAATGTCAAGTATTCTGTTTTTGGGGTTTTTATGTTTTATTATACTTTGTTAAAAAGGACAAATTGTACATTTTTAGAATGTTTTTATGAGTAAATTTAATGTACTGAAAATAAAAATTTTAAAAAAGGCTGTTTTATTTCACTAGGTCTTTGTCTCAGAATATGAAGCACACACCTTTTCACATCAGTCTGAATCTCCAAACTAGGGGTTCCATCCTTTCTAGCCTCTCACATTTACAGCAGGGATACCTCATTTTAAATCTGTTGATTCTCAATCAAGTTGCCAAGTGTTTTGTGTTTTTTTTTTTTTTCCAGATGGAGTTTCGCTCTTGTTGCCCAGGCTGGAATGTGGTGACACGATCTCAGCTCACGCCAACCTCCCGGGTTCCAGCGATTCTCCTGCCTCAGCCTCCCGAGTAGCTGGGATTACAGGCATGCGCCACCACGCCCGGCTAATTTTGTATTTTTTAGTAAAGACTTGGGCTTCTCCATGTTGGTCAGGCTGGTCCAGAACTTCGGAGCTCAGGTGATCCTCCCGCCTCAGCCTCCCAAAGTGCTGGGATTACAGGCGTGAGCCACCACACCTGGCCAAGTTTTGTATTTTTTTTTTTTTAAGTGTCCCTGCTAATAACAAAGACGTAAATTCCTGATTTGGGGTTAAAGATGTTCCAGCACGAGTTCACGAGTTTCCATGAAAATGAAAGTTGGCATGAATGGATCTCAAGATACCTTGGCAATGTGGCCCTACCCTGAAGTAGCTCTTTCCCAGGGAGGGAGCAGGCCTGCTGCGGAGGTGGGTGACACAGTGACACAAGCCACCAGCTGCCACATCAGCCTGTGACTGACTCGGCATTGTACAGAATCGCTTCCATGGCATCTAAGACCACACCCTTCTGGATTTGGGAGGTGGCAACATACTGAGCATGTGCTCTGGTGATGTCAGGGAAGTGAGTGGGGCTACAGCACCCACGGGGAGCTCCGAAGACGGGACAAGGGACGCAGACGCTTCTATTGAGCAGCTGGCCTGGGAAGGCAGTTTTCTCAGGTCACTCCCTTGTATTTTTCAACAGACTTTTAGGTGCCTACTTAAACGGGAGCTGGGCTCAGAGTTCCCTAGATGATGAGGTTGGCCACTTTTTGTCTGGTCTGAGTGCTGAAGTGTGTGTGTGCTGCATCTGTACACGATGCCAGCAGCTCCCCACTGGGTCCCCCAAGGGTACACTTTCTCGACCACACACACATACCTAATAAATACTTATGGTGGTGGGTGGTTTACAGCAGTAGGTTGTTGGGTGTTATAGTCCCACAAAACATGTAGGTCAATTCGCATCCATCCTGATAGCCCGTGGCACGTGAGTTCTCAAGAGGACTTGGCTTTGTAAAGGCCAGACCTGGTGGCAGGGCCTTGGCCAAGGTGGAGGGTGCCCTTGACAAGGCAGAGGCCCTCGGAGGGCAATGCTCATCCACGTGAGTGCCCCCTCTGCACGAGAGGACCAGCCTGGATGCCCCTCCTTGGAAATACAAGGACCCGCTTGGCTTTGGAAAGTACAAACAGTGTGGGATCCAAGTCTCAAATACGGAATCCCATTAAACTGGGCTTTGATGACAGTTTTTAATTGTGCCTTTATTCAACTTAGTTCATTAAAAATGTTTTAAAGATCCTATAAATAAAGTGACCACTCACATGGGATATAGGTCACCCCTCAGCATGTTATTTTTTTTCTTAAAAAGCAGTATTTCTTACAGGAATCTTACTGATCACACGGTAGTTACAATAATGTCAGATATGATGTATACAGTCTAAACGAGACAGTCCAGTTAAGAATATACATAATGTAAAAATACACATATTAAAAGTTAGCCAAGTGGACAGACGCATGCGGGGGTGGGGGGAGCAGGTGACAGGAACTCCTTTAACAATCAGTAGAGGGCCCAGATGCAAAGAATCTGGTTTTCCCCGTTACAGTAAACAGCTTTCACTAACGTATACAGGTATTTCATACACATCTAAACACACAAGGGTAAGTTGTGACCTGCTACACATAGGGTCTAAAGTGGTGTAATTGTGATTTTCCTGTGATACTCCCAAGAAAACTATAAATAGTGAACCCCATGCAAGTACTGGGAAGCACTAGTCTTTTATCACAGGTTGAACCTGAGGAGGTTTAACTCTTGACATTAGTATCTGTAAAGAGCGTACGGCTCTTTTTGCTATGTTTTCTCCACAACTGACATGCACTTGGTGTGGGAGAATTCTGATGGCTGTCTGACCTAAGAGTGATAACTACTATTCAAAATGTGGGTACCTTTTCAGTAATACTGAGTTACACATTTAACATTAAAAAAACAAAAACGTGGATCATCCACAGCTTTAAGCCGGAAGGCAGAAGGGAGTGTGTCTGAATGTTAATGTTTTCAGTTATACTATTTTGTGTTTCTCCCGCTGTACTCCAGAGTGACACTGGTACACTGCTGCTTTCCGTAACAACACAGGCACTAGTTTGAACTCAGACAAAACCTGAAACAGAAGAAATGCCACTCTTTCTCCAGGGTCTTTTAAGAAACTCGATCAAAATTATAAATTATTCAAGTTTCCTTTTGAGTGGTGTCTTTATGTGTGTAACTATCTAGAGAACAAACCAAACCAGAAATGTCTACCCCTGCAAGAGTGAGGACTTTGGGTGTGGTTCTCTTAGGAGTCAGGGACCTTCAGCAGTTTACAGTCAGGGCCGTTTTCTCACACAGCCCGTTTACCCTGCGTTTGTGCCAACTGTGATGGCAAATGCGTTTTGCGGGGGTTGCGCTTCACAACTCAGGCCTAAAGATCCTCTTAGGGAGATCTCTCTAGCTGAGTAGAAAACTTCTACCCAAAAAGGCGGCGGGTTTTGTGAACCTGAAGAGAAGACTCAGGGTCTCTCTGAAAGCCTTTAAATTACTGCTGGAATTACAAGTTCCTATTAGTGAGAAAAGAGCATTAAAATAACTTGAAGGTCTATTTTATTGGCAACTTAGAATGCAAAGTATTTTATTTTTAAACTTTTAAAATTTGAAAACAAGCTAGCCTACATTAAATAATATAGTTTCCAAAGCTGAATGTGCTCACTTGGAGCTCAGTTTTTCTGCTTGAAACACAAACACAACTTCCTAACACTCCTAGGTGGGAACACTACTGTTTCATGATCTGTGATTGGATGAACTGATCGATCTCAGTTGGTAACATCCCTTTTTTTTCCTTGGTAAGGGTTTAAACAATTCTAGAAGAGCTGCATTTTTTCTGGTTTTACACTGACAATTTCATCCCGAACGTCTCCTGGGAGGCATAGACCATGTACAGGAATCCATCTTCATCTTTCTCACTCTCATACACCTCTGAGATTGGTGTGGAGACGCTGACCATGCTGTGTCCGTTCACCAACAGGAAGAAGGCCTGATTAGCATTGAGCTGTAAGCGCCTTCTATTGAAAGAAAACAACGTGAAGAAATATTGACAACAATACAAGAAGGATGAAGCATGTGTTAAAATATCACCCACTCTGATCGGTAAAATATAAAAATGTTCTAAATGCTCTTGAATCCAATACTTCTCATAAAGCACAGGACACTTCCTTTGATTATATTGACATGAGCTATAATCACTGAAAGATTACATATTAGGCTGATTTTAAACTAGTATACTGTCTGAACAGCTGTTAAACTGTCTAATATAAGAAAGCAGTTCAAATACAGTTTCTGAACTATTCTAAGATCTAAGCCTGTGCCATTTACTGCCACTCACAGAGTCTACATTCTCTTTAACTAGCTTTGCTGTACAATACCTTAATAACTTGTAACACTGATTTTAAACAGGAAACATCTAAACGATGTTATGATGAAAGAAACGGGCTCTGCAGTCTAGCAAGTAATATAAAACCTCAAAAAAAGAAACATTTTATAGTTTAAGTTGAAATTGTTTTAATCATAACTGAATCAGAACTGAATTCAGCTGAAAAATATTTTTTAAAGATTTTAACCAGAACTAAAGATTTAACTGTAAGTTTCATAAAGAATAAGAAGTTACTCAAAGGAAATATATTATGAAACAAAGGTGACTGAATACCTAATTATCTTGATGAGCTCACTCATGTTGACATGGTCAGGTACAAGGAACTTTGTTTTATCCAGAACAGGAAGCTGCTTCTCACCCTTGTATCGTTCTATTATCACCTGGAAAAGAAGCCAGAAGTGATTTTAAAATAGTCATCAGGGCCAGGCGCGGTGGCTCACACCTGTAACCCCAGCATTTTGGGAGGCCGAGGCGGGCACATCACGAGGTCAGGAGACTGAGACCACCCTGGCTAACATGGTGAAACCCCATCTCTACTAAAAATACAAAAAAAAATTAGCCGGGCATGGTGGCGGGCGCCTGTAGTCCCAGCTACTCAGGAGGCTGAGGCAGGAGAATGGCGTGAACCCGGGAGGTGGAGCTTGCAGTGAGCCGAGATCGCGCCACCGCACTCCAGCCTGGGTGACAGAGCGAGACTCCATCTCAAAAAAAAAAAAAAGTCATCAGGCTGGGCATGGTGGCACATGCCTGTAATCCCAGCACTTTGGGAGGGTGAGGCCAGCAGATCACCTGAGGTCAGGAGTTCGAGACCAGCCTGGTCAACATGGCAAAACCCCGACTCTACTAAAAATACAAAAATTATCCAGGTGTGGTGGCAGGTGCCTGTAATGCCTTCCAGCTACTCGGGAGGCTGAGACAAGCTTGAACCTAGGAGGCGGAGGTTGCAGTGAGCTGAGGTTGCGCCACTGCACTCCAGCCTAGGGCATAGAGCTAGACTGTCTCCAATAAATAAATAAAATAGTCATCAACAATTAAAAATATACAAAATGCCTCCTACAGTCTAACTGGCACATGCCAAAATGGGCTTTGAAACAGCACATTCACTAGTTTCCTCATAGCTCTCCTGTGAAGAGTGATCATTTGCTAGCTTAGACATCTACCCCTTACAAAATATAGTACAAGAGAGACAATATGTCTGCCGTCAGGTAGGAAGTGGGGGAAGATACTTGGCTATGTATCCTTTCATTCTGTTTCAGTTTTGGAACCATGAAAAATACATACCTAGTCAGAAAAAGACCTCAAGCCTTACCGAGGCAGAGAGGCTGGGAACCAGCTTCAAGCACAAAACATCTGAAACTCTCAATTCCAAAACTACCATATCCTGAGACATGGCTGAAGTTTTTTTTTTTTTTTTTTTTTTTTGAGACAGAGTCTTGCTCTGTCGCCCAGGCTGGAATGCAGTGGCACGATCTTGGCTCACTGCAACCTCCGACTCCCGGGTTCAAGCAATTCTCCTGCCTCAGCCTCCTGAGTAGCTGGGATTACAGGCACCCGCCACCACGCCCAGCTAATTTTTGTATTTTTAGTAGAGATGGGGTTTCACCATGTTGGTCAGGCTGGTCTCGAACCCCTGACTTCGTGATCCACCCGCCTCGGCCTTCCAAAGTGCTGGGATACAGGCGTGAGCCACCGCGTCCGGCCAGCTGAAGTTCTAATGAAAGTAAATGCATGTGTTTTGGGAGCCACGGTGACTCAGGCTGGTTGTTCTGGTGCATAAGGAGGTGAGGCTATGCGTTCCAGGCCCACCTGGGAAACATAAAAACCTTTCATCCATTAAAAAAAAAAAAAAAGTAAATGCCTGTGTTTTAATAAATGTGTAAGTTCCTAATTATAGTAATATGCTCAATGTTTTTCCACACTAGAGACTGTCTAGTTGACATGAAAAAATTATATTTGACAAGGCAAGTAGAGTCCATTATTAGCTGGTTCTAGAGACAAAGTTTTGTGCATAATGACCTGGTACTTTCATTCTGATAACATATTTCTTTAAATGAGGTTAAAAATACAAATATTTGAGGCCAGGTGCGGTGGCTCACGCCTGTAATCCCAGCATTTTGGGAGGCCAAGGCAGGCAGATCATGAGGTCAGGAGACTGAGACCATCCTGGCTAACATGGTGAAACCCCGTCTCTACTAAAAATACAAAAAAAATTAGCCGCGCATGGTGGTGGGCGCCTGCAGTCCCAGCTACTCAGGAGGCTGAGGCAGGAGAATGGCGTGAACCCGGGAGGTGGAGCTTGCAGTGAGCCGAGATCACGCCACTGCACTCCAGCCTGGGTGACAGAGCGAGACTGCATCTCAAAAAAAAAAAAAAAATTTTATACACACACACACACACACACACACACACACACACACACACACGTATTTGAACTACACAGGGAACACATATAGTTTCATATTATGAATTTAAATAAAGCCATCAGGCCGGCGTGGTGACTCACGCCTGTAATCCCAGCACTTTGGGAGGCCGAGGTGGGCGGATCATGAGGTCAAGAGATCAAGACCATCCTGGCCAACATGGTGAAACCCTGTCTCTACTAAAAATACAAAAATTAGCTGGGCGTAGTGGCACGTGCCTGTAGTCCCAGCTATTCAGGAGGCTGAGGCAGGAGAATCACTTGAACCTGGGAGGCGGAGGTTGCAGTGAGCCGAGATCGCGCCACTACACTCCAGCCTGGGCGACACAGCAAGACTCCGTCTCAAAATAAATAAATAAATAAATAAATAATCCATTGGCTCCTCACTATGCTTCCTTTCCATGGAGCAAAATATTTTGTTTTTTTTTAGTTTTAAGCTGTTATAATACCTGACCACAGATGAGCCTCTGAGTCTCATTAGTGTCTGTGTTTACTGAACGCTGCGGACATCTTTTCTATATACAGTAATTCTTCCACCCTGTCACAACAAAGAGAAGTTGAGTGGCAGGAATGGGAAATCTTTACATGCTTCTTTGGGAAAGAAAAATGCTTATTTGTACATTGTTCTATTGTGTGAGACCTACATAGGGTTCTGTGTAAGGCCGAGTCAAGCTGTCATCACTTTCCTTGGTAAGTTTGAGAGCTTTATCTAGCGGACACGTTCTGAAGTGTGATATCCACAAGGAAATATCAGTGTGTAGGCTCCACCTGCCTGAGTTTAAGTGGTAGCAGAAATTAGAGGCAGTACAGAAATCTTGGCACCTGAGGCCAGCCAGTGGCTCATGCCTATAATCCCAACACTTTGAGAGGTCAAGGTGGAGGATCATTTGAGCCCAGGAGTTTGAGATCAGCCTGGGTTGTTAAACATAGCAAGACCCTGTCTCTACAAAAAACTTAAAAAATTAGCCAGGTGTAGTGGTGTGTGCCTCTAGTCAGAGCTACTCAGGAGGCTGAGGAGGGAGGACTGCTTGAGCACAAGGTGGCTGAGACTGCACTGAGCTACGATCGCACCACTGCACTCCAGCCTGGGAAAGAGAGTGAGACCCTGTCTCTTAAAAAAAGGATACCTCTCTCTAGGTTGTGAAACTGACACCCAGGGTTTGGCTGTCTGGTGATTCCTGTAAAAACCCGTCAAGTGGATGCACTTATGCGGTGCTCTCCTCTGCGTACATTCATGACTGAAACCGAGGCCTGAGACTACCTACCGGGATTTTGGTTGGATGCTGCTCTCGAATAAGTCGGACATCTTCTACTCTTTGTTCTGCAATGAAATGAAGAGACAGAAGCATTACTAAGGGCCAGGCAGCTTCTTCCCAGCACTGCTGCTGGTTCTCCATCCAAGTTCAGCTGCTAGCTGTGGCACAGCAGAACACTGAAGACATCTTTCCTAGGACTTAAAGAAACAAAACACGAACACTTCAAACCTGATAAAGGTTTGTATCTAAGGCCAAGAGCAACATAACATACATGGCTCTATCAGGTGATAGGACAAAGACCAGGAATATGGGACAACTAGTTTCAAGGAATTGGGAGCCCAAAGTTTGTGGTCAGACATACAAGGCAGACCCACTGCATGAGACCCAGTCCTTCCTCCAAAGACCACTACCACCTATAATATTAACTTCAATTTTTGTTAATTTTCCACACTTTAAGTTGGAAATGGAATCCATTATAAACCAGGAAATGCAATTTTTCCCTTATCACTTCCAGCTTTTTAATGATATGGTGCCTAAGAGAAAATAAACTGCTCAAGAGAATGGAATATGATGCCTGTAATCCCAGCACCTTGGGAGGCTGAGGTGGGCAGATCACTTGAGGTCAGGAGTTCGAGACCAGCCTGGCCAACATGGTGAAACCCTGTCCCGTCTCTACTAAAAGTATAAAAATTAGCCGGGCGTGATGGCACATGCCTGTAATCCCAGCTACTCGGGAGGCTGAGGCAGGAGAATCACTTGAACCTGGGACACGGAGGTTGCAGTGAGCGGACATTGCACCACTGCACTCCAGCATGGGCGACAGAGCCAGACTCCATCTCAAAAAAAAAAAAAAATTCTTTTCTCCCTTTTAATAGAATCACTTATTGATAATTTCAACAACTGTACTAGACTGTGGGCAATACAGGGAAAAAAAAACAAGCCAAGTCCAGTTCCCAGAAACCCAAAAATACAGTTAGAGAGAAGTCATTTACAAAGCAATATGTGTGTTAAAAAAAAAAAGGCAATATGTGAACATATGACTTAGATGGCATTATTTAAAACCTCCAAAAAAAAAAATGAGCAAAATAACCTTGATTTACTATGGTAGGATTGATTCTCACGGTAAGCGCAAATAAATAATCAATGTCACGAACTTCCTGAGACAGAAAAAATATGGTGTGACCTACATAAATATGACGTTACTCTAATATCATTGCCAATCTCATTTGGATTAAAAAAAATTTTAGTATCATTCTTTTTTTGAGACAGAGTCTCACTCTGTTGCCCAGGCTGGAGTGCAGTGCTGCAATCTCCGCTCACTGCAAGCTCCGCCTCCTGGGTTCACACCATTCTCCTGCCTCAGCCTCCCGAGTAGCTGGGACTACAGGCACCCGACACCATGCTCGGCTAATTTTTTTGTATTTTTAGTAGAGACGGGTTTCACCCTGTTAACCAGGATGGTCTCCATCTCCTGACCTCGTGATCCGCCCACCTCAGCCTCCCAAAGTGCTGGGATTACAGGCGTGAGCCACCAAGCCCAGCCCAATTTTAGTATCACTCTTTATAAAAACTTTTAAAATTCCTGTGTTCAAGTACAGCCATAAGTTCGACTTCTGTTTCCCCATCCAAAACTTTAAAATCAGCTTCTAAGATACATTGCTAAATATAAACATCTTTGCAACAAAGATTGCAAACTCATGGATTTCTACCAGTGCATATTCCTATTGAATATATATGCAAATGATAAATTTGGTGGCTGGGCGCAGTGGCTCATGCCTGTAACCCCAGCACTTTGGGAGGCCGAGGCGGGTGGATCACGAGGTCAGGAGTTTGAGACTAGCCTGGCCACAATGGTGATAGCCCATCTCTACTAAAAATACAAAAATGAGCTGGGCGCGGCGTCCGGCGCCTGTAATCCCAGCTACTAGGGAGGCTGAGGTAGGAGAATCGCTTGAACCCGGGAGGCACAGGTTGCAGTCAGCCGAGATCACGCCACTGCACTCTAGTCTGGGCGACAGAGCAAGACTTTTGTCTCAAAAAAATGAAAAATAAAAATAATAATGACAAATTTCGCTATTGTTAACAGTAAAATTAACCTAGTGGCTCTTATCCTTTGACTCCTTCTCTACTTCCCAGCGAGATTCTCAGTGACCCCTCATCATCACCTCTCCTAAGTATGAGACATCTTCCTATGCCTGTCCTACCCCAGACCCTCTTCACAATAAAAACGTCCATTGTGTCAGTGTGGATTCAGTGTATAGGGTAAATCACGATTTAATTCACTCCAGCGAATAAGTGATACCTCTTTCATATATCCTGGAATGTTTCACATTTAAAAGCTTATCCTAATAAATCTAAAAGTAGAAACGTTCAGGCAGAGGGGAAAGAATTTTTTTTTTTTTTTTGAGATGGAGTCTTGCTCTGTCACTCAGGCTGGAGTGCAGTGGCGCGATCTCTGCTCACTGCAAGCTACGCCTCCCAGGTTCATGCCATTCTCCTCCCTCAGCATCCCAAGTAGCTGGGACTACAGGCGCCCGCCACCACGCCCGGCTAATTTTTTGTATTTTTAGTAAAGACGGGGTTTCATCATGTTAGCCAGGATGGTCTCAATCTCCTGACCTTGTGATCCGCCCACCTTGGCCTACCAAAATGTTGGGATTACAGGCATGTGCCACCACACCCGGCTGGAAACATTTTTTTAATATAGGAAACTAGGTTTGGCTGGGTGCGGTGGCTCACGCTCGTAAACCCAGCACTTTGGGAGGCCAAGGCGGGCGGATCACCTGAGGTCAGGAGTTAGAGACCATCCTGGCCAACACGGTGAAACCCTGTCTTTACTAAAAATACAAAAATTAGCTGGGCGTGATGGCGGGCACCCGTA
The DNA here is from genome assembly GCF_000001405.40 of Homo sapiens. NCBI lineage: Eukaryota > Metazoa > Chordata > Mammalia > Primates > Hominidae > Homo > Homo sapiens. Next base: position 87,395,998 of record NC_000016.10, on the reverse strand, counting down.
ATCCCAGCTACTCAGGAGGCTAAGGCAGGAGAATCACTTGAACCCAGGAGGCGGAGGTTGCAGTGAGCTGAGATCATGCCACTGCACTCCAGCCTGGGTGACAGCGCGAGATCCTGTCTCAAAAAAAAAAAAAAAAAAAAAAAAAAGGAAAGAAGGAAAAAACAGGCTCTATGAAGTTTCAAAGTCTGAAACTATAGTGTTTAAAGTTATCTTTATCCTGATTTATTCCCAAAACACGACCTAAAAAGACAAAAATGATTATTTTCATGAAAGGTGGGAAGTATATAAAAGACAAGTTACTTCCTTAAGCTGTAAAGAATAACACCCAAGTCCCATAGGAGCATCTTAGCACGCTGTCCAGCAGCAATGAAAATCCAGTGCTGAGCCTGGAGTAACTAACTGGCTGTACACGGTACACACGGATGCTCCACTCTCATTCTTCAGGAGACAGCTGTTTTAGAGGCTAACAGTATATTTAACAAAAGCATTATCAACAGCACAGTCAATGGCATAGAAGGAGGGCAAGTCTTTTACTCCCTGTTTCCTAATGCTGTAATCATCTGTTTTTGTCTTTCTCAACAGACTGCCCCGCTGGCAGTCAAGGACCCAGCTCCAGTCCAATCTGTGTCCCCCCAGGGCTCAGGCTTGTACACAGAAGAGAGTTCATCAACAACTGAATGAAAGCTGTAAAACAGAAATGAACACGGCTCCACATGCACAGCAAAATCTAACCTGCTTCCCCAGATTCCTTTCTTCTAAAACAAAAAAGATCCTTAAGAGCCTTTACAAACATTAAAACAAACGGTAGGAGCCTAAGGTGTCCTATTTTTAAGAACACGTTCTTTGCAAAGTTGTTTTGAGATATCTTCAGTCATTTTAAGTAAAATTTCAGTTTTTCCAGGATTTTCCAGGATTTACTTCTCAGAGAGAAACTGAAGCACTCCCCCTCCCCCAGGCCAGGCGTGGTGGCTCACACCTGTAATCCCAGGACTTTGGGAAACCAAGGTGGGAGGATCACTTGAGGCCAATAGTTAAAGCTGGCCTGGGCCACACAGCAACAACTCTTATTTGTCTGTTTGGTTTCTTTTTTTGGTAGAGATGAGCTCTCACTATGTTGCCCAGGCTGGTCTTGAACTCCCAAACTCAAGCGATCCTGCCTTGGCCTCCCAAAGTGCTGGGATTACAGGTGTGAGCCACCATGCCCCACACAATTTTAATTTTTGAAGTTCATTCAATATTTCCAACACATCTCCAAGGACACACTATGTCTCCTGACTCACACAGTCTTGGTCCACTTAATATACTGGAAATGATGGCTACCTACTGGAGACTGGAAGAATTCATGCCAGGTTAAAGGTACCAGTCCAGACTCTGCCACTAGGTGGACCATGATCTTCACCACCAGGCCCCACCCAGTTTCTTTAGCTACAAAAGGAAGGCGTTGTTTTCAGTGAGCCTTAAAATCCATTTCAACTTTGAGAACCCTGTCAATCCTGGTAGAGTTTATCAGCAGAGCTATATTCAGTATTAACCTTAAACTCACTCACTTGGAAAGAGAAAACACCACTCAAGCTAACTGGGGCTTATCTTAGGCTCCATAAAGAGGTTCTCTCTAAGGATTCATTTCCCTCACTTACTGTGCTACACATGTCTGAAAACTGTCAGTACTCATGATCAACATTACCAAAATATTCATGAACTAGAAAGATTTTTTTTTTTAATTACCAAAATCAGAAGCAAGGAAAGGTAACAGCTGTTAAGATATTTGACACATTTCTACAAAGTGACTATTAAAGAGATATTTAAAGGGGAGGGGGCAAAATAAAGGTGAGCCAAGGGAAAAAACCCTGAAAATACAGTATATACAAGGTCCATACATCAATGGGAAAAAAATGGGGCATTATTGCTGGTCTACCCTCAGGGCCACTTTTAGGTTCCAGGAAATTCCTTGTTCGGATGTGTTAGTCTCACATTTCCTACCCTTACTACCCACTCTTCGCAGAGACTTTTCCAGAATAACCCAAAAGTACTAAGCAAAAAAGAAAATAACTATAGTTTCTGTTATGAGAAAAAGGGCATCTCTCCTACATAAATGTTCCCAGTTAACTTTTCATTGGTGAAAACAGAAGCCAGGTCTGAGGGGGGCCGCTGGATCGCTTTAGCCCGGGAGGTCGAGGCTGCAGTGGGCTGTGATTGCACCACTGCACTCCAGCCCAGGTGACAGAGTGAGACCCTGTCTCAAAATAAAAAAGAAAAGAAAATCTGTCTTTAATGCTGCTCTCAGGGCTCAATAAGCCTAGACACTACAGTAAAGAGTTCATTAAGGTGACTAACAAGAAAACTACTAACAAAAAAGGCACGTGTAAGTCTTGCTAACCAACGGACTGCCTCAAGAGGCTGTCTGAAAAGATATGCTTGGCAAGCTAAGGTCCATTTTAATTTGCTTAAGTTTCTCAGGCATAAGAAAAAAAATAATGGTCAATGAGACCTGCAAAACTATATCCAAACTCAAATGAATGCTAAACTCTTTCTAGACTCCGGGAAACTAGGCAAAAGCAGACAAACAGCACCACTGTGTGGGCTCCTGACGAGGATGGCGGCAGGCATTCGCAGTCCACCGCGATGAACACGGTGCTTCCCTTCCAAACCGGTGTCTGGAACTTAGGCAACAACAGATACCTGGATCTGCGGCGTTCTCTTGCTCAAGCGGGAAATAATCACTTCGCATCATCTGCGTGGAGTAAATATTGTGATGGTGACACCTGCACGTTTAACCAAATGCCAGCACACCTAAGCTGGGTTTCCAGTCTGAACCGGCAGAAAAGGGATGTATTCGGTATTCCTGGTGCCAAGGTGAGAACGTAATCGCAAACCCAAGAGAAGTCTCCCACCCCAGCTCCTGGGCTACAGACAGGAACTGGCAACACCGCTGTGGGCCGTCCCGGGCGCGGCGAGGCCGGGGCCCAGCACATTCCCCTCCTCTCGACCGAGGCACTGAGGTCTGTAAGAGGCACTCGCACCCGGGCGGGCTCCCTCGACGGGAAAACCAGCCCTGAAGGTGACGCGCTGGGTCCCGGCGCAGCCCCGCTTCAGAGCCGAACGGCCCAGCGCGGCCCCGGGGGCTGTTGGGCCCCAGAAGCGCGACCCTCGCCCGCAGCGCGCTTGCGGGGGCGGCGGTGGCCGGGGTACGGCAGGCACCCCGCCGCGGAGGGCGCGGGGTGATTCAGCAGGCCCGGGGCCCCGAGCGCACCGGCCCCCGCCCGCCCTCCGCCGGCTGCCTCCTCCCAGGCCTCCGAGAGGTCCGCAGGCCGCCCCGGCCCAGACCAGCCCCTGGCCCTCCCGGCTCGGTCCCGGCCTGGGTCCCTCACGGGGCCCCGGGCCCCGCATCCCTCGGCCCCGCCGGCCGGCAGCCACCGGCCCCGCTCGGCCTCCCGGCTCGGCCCCGACCCCTCACGGCGTCCCAGGCCCTGCCGCCCTCCACAGCTCGGACCCCGGCCCCGCCGCACCCGCCGCCCTCGCGGCGACACTCACCGAAGGTGCGGCGCTGCTTGAAGGTCTTCTCCGACGGCATGGTGCAGGGATCTGGGCGGCGGCGGCGGCGACGACGCGAGGGTCCCGGCGGCTCCCGGGGGCGGCGGCTGCTGCGGCGGCGAATCCGACTCTGGCGATAGCCACTTCCCTTGTATCTCCTCAGCCCGCAGCCTGGTCAGGTGACTCGCGACGCGTCACCGAGGGGCGGGGCCAGAGCCGGCCGGGGCCGCCGCCATGACGGGCGTGGCGGAACCCAGCAGCGGCACGCAGCGTGGGGGCGGAGCAGGTGTGTGCGCGTGCGCGATGGGCGAAACGCGCGCTCTGCGCATGCTCCCGGTCGTGCCCCAGCCCCGCCCAGCACCGCTGGGCGCCTGAGGCCCCTGAGGTGACGGTTGTGGGCTGGGCCGCACCCCGGGTCTGTGGGCGCTCGGGAGCCTGCTGCCCGGCCCTGAGGAGATGGCAGCGCGGGGCGGGGGAGGCTGAGCCACAGGCGGGGTGTCCCGGGGCACTCTTGAGGGAGGGGTCAGAGGAAGGGACATGGGGCAAATCCGACCATCCTTTCCCCTCCAGAGAGACTTGGTGGTGCTGCCCGAGACGCCGGCACCCGGGGCTGAGGCGCGCAGGGCAGGCCGCGCCGTCTCCGGGAGGCAGGGTCGCCGCTCGCCCGTGGAGCCCTGGCCCCCTCTGCGTGCAGGGGCGCGCGTGGTCCGTGGGTGGCTTCCGGGGAGTGGCCGCTGGTGACCTCCGCCCGCGGTCACTCGACGCCCAGCCTTGGCGCGTTTGCGCAACTGCTTTTGTCCCGAGCCTTCATTCTGGGCGCAGTCCCCTCTCCCAGTCCCCCTGCCGCGGCGCCTGGAACTCTCCTGGTGGCTGTAAGATTTTCCTACCGTTAGGTCGTCTGTGGCGACTGCCAGGCCTGCCCCACATCGCTAGCCGCCCTGTCTACCCCTCAGCCTCCCAGCCACTAAACTCGCTGGACAACCTTACGCTAGTGACAGTTTTTGAGTCTCAGACTCATCTGTGAAAGGGCAGTCATATTTGAGGACTCCAAATGGGCTGCAGTGCGTAAACCACCATGCGATATTTGGTTGCTATTGCCCACCTCAGCCTGTGGCCAATGTGTCTCTGTAGGAACAGCACTAGATTCTTTGGGGTTTTTTTGAGACAGGGTCTTGCTCTGTTGCCCAGCCTGGAATGCAGTGGCACGATCATAGCTCGCGGCGGCCTCGGTCGCCTGGGCTCAAGGGATCCTCCTGCCTCAGCCTCCCGAGAAGCTGGGAGTAGAGCCGGGATCTCGCTGTGTTGCCCGGGCTGGTCTTGAACTCCTGGCCTCAAGCAACCCTCCCGCCTCGGCCTCCTTAAGAGTTGGGATTACAGGCGTGAGCCACTGCTCCCGGCTATTTGGCTGTTTTTGTTCTTTAACATCTAATACTTTGAAAGAGCCCCATAGTTCCAGGATTTCTCCTTTTGACTTTGTAAAAGCCTTTCTTCTATCCCAATTGGATAAAGTAATTGGATTAGGCTAATACACTCTACACTGTAAGCTTGAATCATACAAAACATGAAAATAGCGGGGGGCGGTGGCTCCAAGCCTGTAAACCCAGCTCTCAGGGAGGCAGAGGCTGGGAGGATCGCTTGAGCCCAGGAGTTTGAGACCTGACTGGGCAACATAGCAAGACCCCGTCCTCCACAAAAAAGAAGAAAAAAAGTATGAAAATATATTTCTCGCGCCAGGTGCGGCGACTCATGCCTGTAATTCCAGCACTTTGGGAGGTCAAGGCAGGAGGATCACGAGGTCAAGAGTTCGAGACCAGCCTGGTCAACATGGCGAAACCCCCATCTCTACTAAAAATACAAAAATTAGCCGGGTGTGGTGGCAGGCGCCTGTAATCCCAGCTACTCGGGAGGCTGAGGCAGGAGAATCGCTTGAAACCGGAAGGCAGAGGTTGCAGCGAGCCAAGATCCTGCCACTGCACTCCAGCCTGGGGGAAAGAGCGAAACTCCATCTCAAAAAAAAAAAGAAAGAAAATATATTTCTCAAAGTGCTTTTATACAGTTGGGATTTCTTCTAGAGAAGCCAACTACTGTCATAGATCCTTGTATAATTAATTTACTCCCACCATCAGAAGAATGACGTTAGTTGTAGTTCTTTATTACACCACTGTTTATTTTATTTATTTGTTTTTTGAGACAGAGCCTTGCACTGTTGCCCAGGCTGGAGTGCAGTGGCGTGATCTCAGCTCACTGCAACCTCCACCTCCCGGGTTCAGGTGATTCTCCTGCCTCAGCCTCCCCAGTAGCTGGGAATACAGGTGCCTGCCACCACGCCCAGCTAATTTTTGTATTTGTAGTAGAGAGAGGGTGTCACCATGTTGGCCAGGCTGGTCTTGAACTCCCGACCTCAGGTGATCCACACGCCTTGGCCTCCCAAAGTGCTGGGATTACAGGCACGAGCCACCGCGCCCAGCCAATTGTACCACTTTTTGTGAAATAACGGTGCATTTGTGCAGGTGGCACTTTCTGTCCCTGATTTTTTTGTCATAGTTCTTTACCTCAGACATCTCTGATAGTCATACAATTAATAAAGAAGAGTACTTAAACATTCTCTCTGGTTTCCAGATTCCGAAATTTTTAACCTCTGAAGCTGTGCCTTCACATGATCTAGGACAGCGTTCAGAAGATGGCTACAGTCTGTTGGTTTGTATTCTGTGAAAATAGAAAAAAAAATCCGGTAAGCGCATATTATGTACCTACCTTCTGCCAAACAACAAAGTATCAGTTTTGAAGTCTTAAAGAGTGGAGTCTGTGTTGCTTTCTTTTCTGGATTTTTATGATATTAAGTATTGACTGGTGAGTGCGTTCTTGGCTGAGTTGCTGCTTTGTAAGAAATGGGCTTTTTCTTTCTCTTGCTGGACAACTGTTCCAAATGCAAGAAGAAGGGAAAAAATCGATATCTGGCATATGGAGATGGGGGAGGGGAAGCAGAGTCTCATATTTTCCCACCCTTGGGCATCCATAAAGCTTTACCAAATTACTCCAGGCCTTGGGTTCATTGCCAGAGGAAGTAGCATCGACAGTTGTGTAGTAATGGGCCAGGGTTACTCTGCGTGTTTTTGAAATATAGGACTGAAGTCCACATTTGCAAAGCTGACACTTCTACGCCTAACTTCTAATTCCAACTTGAATCTAAAGCCACATATCCTTCCATGGCTCTCAGAAAAGAATCCAAAATGATTGGGGTTTAAAGATGGCTCATAGGTTTCATTCCCATGTAAGAATAACACATTTAGTTAAATAATATATATCTATTGTATATATATTATAATAATGTACATTCATATACAAATAAATATAAGAAACAACTTCATGTAACTTTTGGAAGCATAAGTGTGCTTGAGTATTTATGAAACATTTCATGTGACCCAAAAGACTGCAGTTTAGTAGAAATTTAATATAGTAGTGAACAATATTCAGAGTGGTAAATTAATATTACTCATGAATTATTTTAAGCTAGTTAATATAAGCATAGTGTAATATAAACGTTAATGTTCCCTGTAATAATCCATGTAAAGTAGAAAAGCAAGAACACATCTTTCATTTTAATTTACTCAGTGTTTTCTCTAGGAATTTCATGGTGCCTTTAAACTACCAAATAATCATTCATTCTTCAAAGTCCAGCAGTGGCACCCTATTCCTTTTTTCAAACCAGGAAATGACCATAACCGTGGGGAAATGATGTAACTGCTAAGAATTGAATGTGATGGCCCAGCTTGAGTGATGTAAGTGGCTGTAAATCATGCTGTCTAGCTGTGTGTAAGAACCTGTCAAATGAATCACAAAACATTAACCTGACCTACAGAAAGCATCGGGGTTATTTTTTGCCACACTCAATATGGACGGCAAGTCACGCGGAGAATTTGCTCCAGGCCTCAGGCCTCCTCGGCCTCTCCCTCCTCTCCTCTTTCTGATTGGAAGAGAGAGGCCACCGGCTTTGTCGTCTGCACCACTATAGGCCCAGTGTCCTATCCATCGTGGTGTCATCGCTTTGCTCTTGAGAGCAAGTAAACAAACAAGTATTGCTCAAGAGGAGTGCAGGGAGCTATTCTCAGAAAGGATTTGGTCAGGAGGATTTAGGGGTTGACACTGAATAGACTGCAGTCTTCAGAATGTCTTCCCTGGAGAATCCAGGGAATAAGTAGCTAGAGCAGGCTGTATGTTCAGTGTCTTCCTCCCCAGGGAAGTCTGGCCTGTTCAGCTTCAAGAATCTGCAAAGTAGAACGCGTGGTAAAGCACTGACAAATCAGTCACGCGACCCGCAGCTGTTTCCTAAATGAGTGTGTAACACCAGGTGGAACGGGCTGAGGTTCCACCATGTTTTTGTTTGCCTGTTTGTTTAATTCTAAACAAATTCTGTAGGACTGCTGTGTTTATAGCTTTTGCTCCATTCTGGGACTGTTAACGTGTGCAACTGTGGAGGCTCCATCAGCCCGCTTATTTTAAACTGCAATCCTCTTGTTCAAAGTTTGAATATTTTCCCTTCTTTCCAGTTAGTGTGACTAGTTCTTTTGAGCAGTGGGTAAGATCCCATTTTTTCACATCCGGATGTTGAGAACTCATTGGGATACAGTTAACGTGGCTTTCTTTCTTTCTTTTTTTTCTCTCTGTCGCCCAGGCTGGAATGCACCATTGCCCAGTGCATGTGGCGCCATCTCGGCTCACTGCAAGCTCCGCCTCCCGGGTTCACACCATTCTCCTGCTTCAGCCTCCTGAGTAGCTGGGACTATAGGCGCCCGCCAACACGCCCAGCTAATTTTTTGTACTTTTAGTAGAGACGGGGTTTCACTGTGTTAGCCAGGATGGTCTCGATCTGACCTCATGATCCACCCGCCTCGGCCTCCCAAAGTGCTGGGATTACAGGTGTAAGCCACCGCGCCCTGCCCAGTTAACATGGTTTTCCTCAGTCCAAGAAATACTACTTGTGACCTTTGAGGCAACCAATTGGAAAATGCCCAGCCCTATATTCGACTTACTTCCTTAGATGTTATCAGTTCTCACTAACAAAGAGGTCATTATTGTAAAGCCTCATCATAGTGTTAAAACAAATGATCTCTTCTATCTAGTTCTTCCTCGTTTTAGAATGCACGCACCTTCCTTATTCTTTAAAGGATACATTTCTACATAAAGGATTGTAAACGTGTTCCAAGGACGTATTCAGCTGTCAGGATTCAATGTGTAGTAGTTTTCTGCTGGCACTGTCTTTCCCCTTGGGTTCCTTCCCACCAACAGGTATTGCTGAAGCGCTCACGGTCATTCTTTTCTTTCTATTATTATTATTTTTGTAGAGATGGGGTTTCACTTCGTTGCCCAAGCTAGTCTCCTGGGCTCAAGCAATCTTCCCTGCTCAGCCTCCCAAAGTGTTGGGATTCTGGGTGTGAGCCACCACTCCCAGCCTTTTCTTTCTATTCTAAATGGTCAGTGCTAATTCCATCCTTCCACAACTTTGGGTACACAGCCTTCCATTATTCTTGCTGTCTGTCTTTTGTCCCTCTAATCCTGTGCTTTTCATCCTTGGTTATTCATATATCACCAACCATCTTCTATGGTTACTATTTTCTTTCAAACAGCTCATTTTTTATTTAAGGTATATTAAAATAGATTTGCCATTGCAGTAATGACCCTGCAATCATAAGTCTGATGTACTAGTTACATGTCTCAAATACTAAACCAGAATAAAGGCCGGGTGCAGTGGCTCGTGCCTGTAATCCTAGCACTTTGGGATGCCGAGGTGGGTGGATCGCCTCTGGTCAGGAATTCAAGACCAGCCTGGCCAACATGGCAAAAACCCATCTCTATTAAAAATACAAAAATTAGCCAAGTGTGGTGGCACTCGCCTGTAATCCCAGCTACTCGGGGAGGCTGAGGCAGGACAATAGCTTGAACCCGGGAGGCGGGGGCTGCAGTGAGCTGAGATTGTGCCACTGCACTCCAGCCTGGGTGACAGAGTGAGACTCCGTCTCTAAATAAATAAATACATAAATATAAAATGTTTCTGTACCACATAAAATCGTCCTGCATACAATTCATCTGCATACCACGCTGCTCACTGAAGCCTGAGTTGGCTTCCCAAAACACCACTTTCATCACTGTGTCATTCCCGAATTTGCGAGGGCTTCATCTGTCTTCCACGAGTTCACATTCTAACTCCAACCTATATTTTATCTCTTTTTCTTGTCATTTTTCATTTCCATCCTATATTTTCAGCTTCTGCTCAGACCACACCCTGGACTGAACCAGCCTCCTGTTTCCCTCAGGCCTCCTGAGGTCCCTGATCTCCGGCAAGTGATGCTCCTTCTCACCATCGTCTGTGCCATTGCCTTGAAAACTCCCTTCCTGGCCTCGCCTACTACATGAGCCAGGGACAACCAGCTGTCCTTTTATTCTTTTCTTTTTTTTTTTTGAGAAAGAGTCTTGCTCTGTCGCCTAGGCTGGAGTGCAGTGGCTCAATCTCGGCTCACTGCAACCTCCACCTCCCGGGTTCAAGTAATTCTTCTGCCTCAGCCTCCTGAGTAGCTGGGATTACAGGTGCCCGCCACCATGCCCGGCTAATTTTTGCATTTTTTCAGTAGAGACAAGGTTTCACCATGTTGGCCAGGCTGATCTTGAACTCCCAACCTCAGGTGATCTGCCCGCCTTGGCCTCCCAAAGTTCTGGGATTACAGGTGTGAGCCACCAGGCCTGGCCGCTATCCTTTTTTTCTAGAACATTCTCCCATCAAGTGTTCTCCTCCTGGCTAACTCCAAATTTTCCTTTGATTTATAAATGTCATTTCCTCAAAGAACCTTTGATCATCCAAAGTCTGGTCTCTGCTATAAGATCTTGTTAGTTTTACTTATTGTTAGAGCATTACAATTTATAATTTATGTATTTATCTATGTGGTTACTTGTTTAATGGCTGATCTCCCTGGTAGATAGCAGGATGTTATTAGTTGAAACCATTTTTTTTTTTTTTTGAGACAGAGTCTTGCTCTGTCGCCCAGGCTGGAGTGCAGTGGCACGATCTTGGCTCACTGCAAGCTCTGCCTCCCGGGTTCACACCATTCTCCTGCCTCAGCCTCCCGAGTAGCTGGGACTACAGGCACCTGCCACCACACCTGGCTAATTTTTTGTATTTTTAGTAGAGACGGGGTTTCACCGTGTTAGCCAGGATGGTCTCAATCTCCTGACCTCATGATCTGCCCGCCTCGGCCTCCCAAAGTGCTGGGATTACAGGCGTGAGCCACCGCGCCCGGCCTAATTTTTTAAATTATTTGTAGAGATGGGGGCGTCTCACTATGTGGGTAGGCTGGTCTCCGACTCCTGGGCTTAACCGATCTACCCGCCTCGGCCTCCCAAAGTGCTAGAATTACAGGCGTGAGCCACTGCGCCTGGCCTGTGTGGTTTGTTTGTTTGTTTGTTTGAAGAGACAGGGTTTCACCATGTTGGTCAGGCGGGTCTCAAACTCCTGACCTCAGGTGATGCACCCTTCTCCGCCTCCCAAAGTGCTGGGATTACAGACGTGAGCCACCGCGCCCAGCCATTTGTGGCTATTTTTGTTTTTTGTTTGTTTTGGAGACAGGGTCACGCTGTGTTGCCCAGGCTGAAGTGCAGTGGCACCATCACGGGTCACTACAGCCTCGGCCTCCTGGGATCAAGCGATCCTCCCGTCTCAGCTTCTCTTTCTAAAATTTTGTTTTGTAGACAGGGTCTCGCTGTATTGCCCAGGCCGGTCTCGAGCTCCTGGCCTCGATTGATACTCCCGCCTGGGCCTCCAAGAGATGGGGTCCGAGGCGAGCCCACGGCGACGTGCGCGGCTGCTCAGGTGAGAGGACGCCTTCGCGGTCACCACCCGCGGACCTGGGAGACGACCCCGCTCAGCGGCCTCGGCGGAGCCCAGCTGGAGCAGGCGTGCGCGGCTCCCAGCAGCTGCAGGAACAGGCGCCCTTTGGGCGGCGCCGCATGGCAGGGCCTCCCTTTCCAGACCGGGCGCGCATCCCCGGATCTCTTGGGCCGCGCCGGCCGCCGCCCCTCCAAGCCCTCCCCGGGGCTTCCGCAGGGAGCTCGGGATCCCCGAAGGTCCCTGCAGAGCTCCGCAGCTCGGGCCTTTTGGTTACCATAAGGCGGAGACGATGGAACGCGCGTTGTTTCAATGGACAAAAGGGCTTCTAGGCGCCCTTTGGGGTTCTGGCTGCTGCCTCTGTATTTGGAGGCTGTAAGGCGCATCTTTCTACTCACCGGCCGGCGCGGCACAGTTTCGGGCGCCGGAAGCGGGACGCACGGGCGCGAGGGGCGACCCCTATCTCCACAAAAGCCGCGGCGCGAAGTGGTCGCCGAGCAGCCTCGTTAGCGCAGTAGGCAGCGCGTCAGTCTCATAATCTGAAGGTCGTGAGTTCGAGCCTCACACGGGGCAGTCTAACGTTTTGCACTCGGCATCACCACTTTCTTTTCTCATGCCCGTCACGGGCGGCGCCCTCACGCTGGAGGGGAGGGCAGCAGTGCGGGGTCTCTGAGGTCGCCGCCCCGCGGGGAGGGGGTGGCGCGGCCGGGGCGGAGCTCTACGTAGGGGCGGGGCTAGGCTCTCCAGGGGGCGTGGCGAGCTCTGCGGCGGGGGCGTGGCTCGGCGCTGGCGGGGCGGGGCCGCGCTGGAGCGTGCGCACAGGCGGCAGCAGTGGCCGTCACTGGGCGGCATGGCGGTGTGTGCTCGCCTTTGCGGCGTGGGCCCGTCGCGCGGATGTCGGCGCCGCCAGCAGCGCCGGGGCCCGGCCGAGACGGCGGCGGCCGACAGCGAGCCGGACACAGACCCCGAGGAGGAGCGCATCGAGGCTAGCGCCGGGGTCGGGGGCGGCTTGTGCGCGGGCCCCTCGCCGCCGCCCCCGCGCTGCTCGCTGCTGGAGCTGCCGCCCGAGCTGCTGGTGGAGATCTTCGCGTCGCTGCCGGGCACGGACCTACCCAGCTTGGCCCAGGTCTGCACGAAGTTCCGGCGCATCCTCCACACCGACACCATCTGGAGGAGGCGTTGCCGTGAGGGTGAGCGCGCGGGGGTGGCGGGGCCGGGAGGGGCGGGGGGTCCCTGCCAGGTGGAGGCCTCGGAGCTGGGAGTGGCGGGGGCGGTGGCCCCGGCCGGGGGCCACCAGTTGGGCGCGGGGCCCGGCGATGTGGTGTTTTGGGTGTGGGTGGGGAGCGGCCGCGGTGACACCACGTTGAGGGGGCCAGGGAGGTATTTGAGGCGGTTAGGGAGGGTCCGAGGGGTCCAAGAGAGGCAGACGGGGTAGGGAGGGGTTGAGGGCGTCAGGGAGGCATCGAAGAGGCCCTGACGCGGGGCACGGGACACCACGGGGCCGAGGCCGTGCCGGGAGCTGGGGCTGGGATCCCTCGAGGTCTGCGCGGGGCCTAAGCTGACGCCTGGGGGCCGCCTCCTCTGCCCCTGTCTTGAAGGCGAGCCGAGGGTGCCCCGCTGGCCCTGACCAGAGACGAGGTGAACTTGAAGAAATGGGAGCAGGCCGGGCGCGGTTTCACGCCTGTAATCTCAGCACTTAGGGAGGCCGAGGCGGGCGGGTCACCTGAGGTCAGGAGTTCGAGACCAGCCTGGTGAAGATGGTAAAACCCCGTCTCTACTTACAAAAATACAAAAATTAGCCGGGCGTGGTAGCGGGCGCCTGTAATCCCAGCTACTCGGGAGGGTGAGGCAGAAGAATGGCTTGAACCCGGGAGGCGGAGGTTGCACTGAGCCAACATCTGGGCCATTGCACTCCACCCTAGGCGACAGAGTGCGACTTGGTCTCAAACAACAGCAACAAAAAAAATTACGGGAGTAGGGGAAGCCCAGTGTCGGGGGCTCCTGATGGTGGGGGCGTAGAGAGACGGATGGATCACAGCGGTGCGGGCTGGACTTTTGCCTTCAGCAATATTGGATGTAACAGATCACAGGAGGAGATGTTTATTTAATCTGGAGTTCAAGGCTCTCTCTGTTTAAAGGTTGACAGCTCTTTGATGTTCAAGCAGCTCATATTTAGGTAAAAAGGACAGGTTAGAAAACATCCAAGCGATGCAGAACAGCAAAAGGAACAAAGTAAATACCATCAGAGACCCCAGCAGTCAAAAATAAACCACTCTTAACATTTTAAAAAACCTCTGAGTCGTGTGTACCTTCTTCCCTAAAGGATATAATGCAATATATATTCTCTTAGAGACAGTGTAGTGTAAACAATGCTACATAGTATTTCACTCCCTGCATGTAGCACAGACTCGTCCCTCACTGATAAGCTTTGAAGTCTGCATTTTTTCCATGCATAAACAGTGCTTTGAAGACTGCTTTGTGCATTTTATAGAAATTTAGGAGATTGACATGTATCCTTGGGAACTTCTGAGATTGTCTCGGTGGGATGCACTTCCTTCTTTTTTTTTTTTGAGACGGAGTCTCACTCTGTCACCCAGGCTGTGGAGTGCAGTGGCGCGGTCTTGGCTCACTGCAACCTCCGTCTCCCAGGTTCAAGTGATTCTCCCGCATCAGCCTCCAAGTAGCTGGGACTACAGATGCGTGCCACCGTGCCCGGCTAATTTTTGTATTTTTAGTAGAGACGGGGGTTTCACTATGTTGGCCAGGATGCTCTGGAACTCCTGACCTTGTGATTCACCCGCCTCGGCCTCCCAAAGTGTTGGGATTACAGGCGCGAGCCCCCACGCTGGCTGGTAGGGTGCAGTTCCTCAAGTGGGATTGTGGATTTGTAGGACTGCATGTTGATGAAACCTTTGCAGCCTGTTGTCGGGCTCTTTGAGTTTGCACCCCAAGGAGGTCTGCATGAGAAGAACCCTTTCTCCAAGTCCTCCCGGACAGAGTTCGTCATAAATTATTTTTGTTGCTTAATGGTCGAGGCCCCTGATTTGGAGTCAGCTGACTTGGGCCCCAGCCCAGGCTCGTGTTTATCTGCTGTGAGATCCTGGACAAGCTGCTTCACCTTCCCAAGTCCTGTTGGGAGCATGAGTGGGAAGTGCTGCTCCCGGAGGTGCTTGGAGGGTGAATGAGGTAGGTGATGCCTGTGAAGCCCTCTCCCCTAAATGGTAGCTAGTGGGTGTTGATGATTCTTGGCTATTTTTATTGTGCCTTTTTGCGAATTCCTTATTTGTGGCTTTTTTTGGTCTTTTTTCTCTTAAGATGTCTATTTTTGTCTTTTTCTCTTAGAGTGTCTATTTTTGTCTTACAAATTGTGAGAACTGAGTATTAGTAATACAAGATTTTTGTCATGTACATGGAAAGTGAAGTTCTTTTTACATTTTAAGATTGAGACAAAGGCAGTTCCACTTTCTCTTTCCCTGTGAAGTCTACCCATTTGCTCTGGTTTGCACTTTGTGTAGCTGTAAGACTCAGATTCCCCAAGGATGTGTCGTTGTGCTTTGAAGTTTCTCCATTAGGCGGCCAGACCTGTGTGGTGACCTCTGGGGGGTTTGTTTGGGAAACCGTAAGGTATATATGGCTCAGCAGAGGGATAACAAGGTTTTTTGTGTAATCAAAAATTCAAAGGTATACTGTAGAATAGAACAACCGGAATTACAACTCAGAATAAATTCTTAGAATTACTAACAGAAATGTGAAAAGTCCTGATGGAGATGTAGAAAGCGACTGGGGACAGATATAGGACCCTTCAATCCTTTCTTTCCCACTGCTGCGGTTCTCAGCGCAGCTGTCCTGGGACACCAGACACCGTGATGTAGAATGAAAGCATCTTGTTCACCCAAGTGACCTGCTAACGTGAGAATTCTCATTTTGAGACATTAAAAACACACTTTGGCAGGCCAAGGCTGGCAGATCACTTGAGCCCAGGAGTTCAAGACCAGCCTCGGCAACATGGTAAAACCCATCTCTACAAAAAATACAAAAGTTAGCCAGTCATGGTGGTGCGTGCCTGTGGAAGGCTGAGGTGGGAGGATCACCTGACCCTGAGGCGGTCGAGGCTGCAGTGAGCTGTGAACATGCTACTGCACTCCAGTCCGGGTGACAGAGTGAGACCCTTTCGCAAAAAAAACCCATGAAAAACAAAAATGATGAACCAGGCATATTTCCGGCCATCCCCAATAAAGGACTTAAATCATTTGTCATATTTGCTTTTGGTTCCTTTGTCTTTTTTTTTTTTTTTTTTTGAGACGGAGTCTCGCTCTGTCACCAGGCTGGAGTGCAGTGGTGCATTCTTGGCTCACTACAGCCTCTGCCTCCTGAGTTCAAGCAATTCTCCTGCCTCAGCCTCTTAAGTAGCTGGGACTACAGGCGCCCGCCACTATGCCCGGCTAATTTTTGTATTTTTAGTAGAGACGGGGTTTCACCGTGTTGGCCAGAATGGTCTTGATATCCTCACCTTGTGATCTGCCTGCCTCGGCCTCCCAAAGTGCTGGGATTACAGGCGTGAGCCACCGCGGCAGGCCTTTTTTTTTTTTTTTCTTTTGGAGCGGAGTCTCGCTCTCTTGCCCAGGCTGGAGTGCAGTGGCCCAAGTTGTATTTTTAAGTTCTATTCATGTTAATACATTTTAGTTCTGTCTTTTTAAATGGTATGCGGGCTGGGCGCAGTGGCTCACACCTGTAATTCCAGCACTTTGGGAGGCCAAGGCGGGCAGATCACCCGAGATCAGGAGTTGGAGACCAGCCTGGCCGACATGGTGAAACCCCGTCTCTACTAAAAATTCAAAAATTAGCTGGGTGTGGTGGTGGGCGTCTGTAATCCCAGCTATTCTGGAGGCTGAGGCAAGAGAATTGCCGGGTCTGTCCCACAGACCCTGGCTGATGGATGAAATGAGTACTCAGACACAGGTATGCAGTGTTAAGAGCAGCTAGGTGACTTCCTGGCTTTAGTGGCCAGAGAGCAGCCCTGAGAAGCTGGAGCTGCTTGCTTTTATTCAGTGCAGGCACAATGCGGAAAACCTGGGGCAAACACAACCTGCAGGTAATTAACATTTATTGTTCCCCTTTCAGGGAACATCATGTGCTGAGGTTCAAAGGTCAGTTCCTGGTCAACATAAGTAAACAAGCCTGTTTAAGATGAATTCCTCCACACTCCTTGTACCTACCCCATGCCCTCTGCCTCAGGGTTATAGAACAGCTGCCTTCAGCTATTCTCCCCCCAGCTCTGCAGAACCTTCCCACCTTTCAGAAGGTTTGCGTCCTTTCCCTGTAGATTTTCCCACCACTCTGACTGATCTGTCCTACAGAGAATTGCTTGAACCTGGGATGTGGAGGTTGCAGTGAGCCAAGATCATGCATGCCATTGCACTCCAGCCTGGGCTACAAGAGTGAGACTCCATCTCAAAAAAACAAAACAAAACAAAAGGGTATGTGATGGTTCATAACTCTGAGTGGTCACAGAGTTCTTTTGCTTATTTTTATTTTTTCACTAGGTGCAGTGTGGCAGTGAACTCTCATATCTTTGGATACATATATATCTATATCTATGTCTATATCTATATATTTTGTTTTTTTTTTTTTTTGAGATGGAGTCTTGCTTTGTCGCCCTGGCTGGAGTGCAGTGGCGCCATCTCTGCTCATTGCAAGCTCCGCCTCCTGGGTTCACGCCATTCTCCTGCCTCAGCCTCCCGAGTAGCTGGGACTACAGGCGCCCGCCACCGTGCCCTGCTAAATTTTTTGTCTTTTTAGTAGAGACGGGGTTTCACCGTGTTAGCCAGGTTGGTCTCGATCTCCTGACCTCATGATCCACCCGCCTCTGCCTCCCAAAGTGCTGGGATTACAGGCGTGAGCCACCGCGCCCAGCCAGGATGCGTATATATTTGAACATTTTTCTGAGGATTATATCCAGGAGTGGTGTTGCCTGGGTAGGCAGGGGTGAGATAAGCAGTTTTGCTAGGTGCTTCCCAGAGTGATTTCCCTTTGTACCCCTGTCACCAGGCCATGGATGGGCAAGTCCCAGAAGGAGAAACTTAACTGCCCGGATGCAGTATTGCACAGTAGCTGCCAGCACTTTAAGTTTCTCATTTAATCCAGTGAATTCTCTAATTCCGCTAAGTTCTCTCTAATTTTAATGATTCCTCTTTAAAAATCGATGCCAATTTGGGTGAATTTTATTCACCATTTATTTTGCATTTTTATTTTGTGCCATTTTATTTTGCATTTGCCTGATAACTAGTGAGGGTGCACATTTAAAAAATATATTTATTGATCATTTGGATTTATTTTATTTATCTTTCATTTTTGCTTCTTTTTTCCTTTCTTTGATTTGTGGATTTTATTTATGTAATCTGGATAGATTTCTGGTTTTGTTTTGTTTTTTTTTTTGAGATGGAGTTTTGCTCTTGTTGCCCAGGCTGTAGTGCAATGGCGCTATCTTGGCTCACCGCAACCTCTGCCTCCCGGGTTCAAGCAGTTCTCCTGCCTCAGCCTCCTGAATAACTGGGATTACAGGTGTGCACCACCATGCTTGGCTAATTTTTTGTATTTTTAGTAGAGATGGGGTTTCTCCAGGTTGGTCAGGCTGGTCTCGAACTCCCAACCTCAGGTGATCCGCCTGCCTCGGGCTCCCAAAGTGCTGGGATTACAGGCATGAGCCACTGTGCCTGGCCTAGATTTCTGTTTTTTTATATATACATGTTTTTTCTTTTTTTTTTTTGAGACTGGGTCTCTTTCTGTCACCCAGGCTAGAGTGTAGTGGTGCAGTCACAGCTCACTACAGCCTCAACCTCCCTGGCTGAAGTAATCCTCCCACCTCAGCCTCCCAAGAAGCTGGGAGTACAGGCGTGCACCACCACACCCAGCTAATTTTTTTGTATTATTTTGTAGAGATGGGGTCTCACTGTGTTGCCCCCGCTGGTCTTGAACTCGTGGCCTCAAGTGATCTGCCCACCTTGGCCTCCTAAAGTACTGGGATTACAGGCGTGAGCTGCTGCCTCTGGATTGTTTAATATATTGAAAAACATTTTCTCATTGTCTATAGTCATTTGCTTTTCAACTTCATTTATAGTGACTTTGGCAAAATTTCCAACTTTTTTGAGACAGGGTCTCCCTCGTGATGTCACCCAGGTTGGAGTGTAGTGGCGCTATTATGGCTCACTGTGGCCTTGACTTCTCCGGCGTAAATGATCCTCCCACCTCAGCCTCCTGAGTAGCTGAGACTATAGGCACGTGCCAACACACCTGGCTAATTTTTGTATCTTTTTATAGAGACAGATTTTTACCACGTTGCCCAGGCTGGTCTGGAACTCCTGGGCTCAAGTGGTCCGCCCGCCTCGGCCTCCCAAAGTGCTAGGATTACTGGCGTGAGCCACCGTCCCCAGCCTAAAATTTCCAACTTTAATCAAAATTATAGATTTCAAACTTTATGCTTAAATGATCAGTTTACACCCCAAAGTTACGAACGTGGTAAACAACTAGATTTTCAGTTTCACGAGTTCATTGTGGCAGCTTTAATTCCACCTCATCTAGGTCAGGTATCAGACCGTGGGCAAGCCTGTGTGGTATTACAGGTGTCTTACTTTGTTAGTCTAATTGTGCTTGGAAATACAGATAGGAATAGTCGTATATGAGATAGATCGGGTCTTAGTTTTCTGAGCCCTGAAACTTCATCTTTCCTAACATTTCGTTATGGTGGATACTGATAAGGCCAAGGGCAGGCCAGTTCAAGTGAGAAACAGGGCTGGCCCCAGCCTTGTGAGGAGGAGCAGAGCTTGGGCTGCCTGGGAGGTGCATGGTCCTTGCCCACCTGGCGTCCTGGCAGAGGTATAAGGGTGGCTCCACTTTTTAGTGTCTTGGGGGTTGGTGAGTGAGGCTGATTTCTGTGTTTACCACCCAGTTTCAACTTGTCTGCTTTCTGTGTTTATTTTCTTCTTTTCACAGATGTTGAATACTTTCTGCCATTTAATAATGGGGCCAGGTGTGGTGTCTCATACCTGTAATCCCAGCACTTTGGGAGGCCAAGTTGGGCAGATCATATGAGGTCAGGAGTTCGAGACCAGCCTGGCCAACCTGGTGAAACCCCTGTCTCTACTAAAAATACAAAAATTAGCTGGACGTGGTGACTCACACCTGTAATCCCAGTTACTTGGGTGACTGAGGCAGGAGAATAGCTTGAACCTTGGAGGCAGAGGTTACAGTGAGCTGAGATCGCGCCACTGCACTCCAGCCTGGGCGACAGAGTAAGACTCTGTCTTAACAAAAAAAAAAAAGAAAGAAAAAAAGAAAATTGAGTTTCCCACAACAGAGAGCAAGCAACAAAAATGGGAGTGGGAAAAAGGGAACCTCTGCCTGTCTTTTAATGCTTCAGATAATTTTGGGCCATGACTGACTTTAGGATGTGGGTGAGGCTTGCGTGTTTAAGGCTCTTTCTAAAGGGATAGGATGCTGTGGCAGTGGAGGGCAGGGGGAATACACTGGCAACTGGAAATGAGGTGGTTATTTATAATATGTTTGGTCAGTGAGAAGCTGAAGATTTCCATTGTCCTGTTGGCAATAGTAAGTTGGTTATTTTTATACTACTGTGGCCTCTCTGGCCCCTGCATGTGGGGAAGTGGAGTGACTCAGGCTGAGGGTGGCGGCAGGGGCAGCTTGGAGCTGGTGGGTTAAATCTTTTCTAATAGTGTTTCTTTGGGCAGGTGAAGGGAGTTCCCACTGAAAGCCATGTCTGTACTTCTGATGTTGGGGCAGGCAGATCACAAATAAGGGCTCCTTCTCCGGATAGGAAACAAAACCAAACTCACTCCAGCCTGCAGGGCCTGGCAGGGTGGGTGTGGGACCCTTCTTTGATGTGTCGCCCTCGGCCTCTGGCAGTTCCTTGCCTGAGGAATATAAAGAAGCCTTCACTTTCTGGGGTGCTGGGGCAGGAGCTGGCTGCCTCTCTTGCCGTGGCCCTGCCTGGGCTTGTTTTGGTTAGTCGTTGCCCTTTTAGTTGATGTGTTGTGAAATGCCAGCCCATTTTGGCACTGTTCATTTATTTATTTATTTATTTATTTTTTGAGACAGAGTCTTGCTCTGTTGCCCAGGCTGGAGGGCAGTGGCGTGATCTCGGCTCACTTCATCCTCTACCTCCCGGGTTCAAGCATTTCTCTGCCTCAGCCTCCCAGGTAGCTGGGATCACAAACATGCACCACCATGCCCAGCTAATTTTTGTTTTGTTTTTTGTTTTTGTTTTTGTTTTTTGAGACGGCGTCTCGCTCTGTCACCCAGGCTGGAGTGCAGTGGCGCGATCTTGGCTCACTGCAAGCTCTGCCTCCCGGGTTCACGCCATTCTCCTGCCTCAGCCTCTCCAAGTAGGTGGGACTACAGGCGCCCGCTACCACGCCCGGCTAATTTTTTGTATTTTTAGTAGAGATGGGGTTTAACCGTGTTCTTGATCTCCTAACCTTGTGATCCGCCTGCCTCGGCCTCCCAAAGTGCTGGGATTACAAGCGTGAGCCACCGCACCTGGCCTAACTTTTGTATTTTTTGTAGAGCCAGGGTTTCACTATGTTGGCCAGGCTAGTCTTGAACTCCTGATCTCAGGTGATCTGCCCACCCCGGCCTCTCAAAGTGTTGGGATTACAGGCGTGAGCCATTACGCCCAGTCGGCACTGTTCATTTATGAGCTACTTCATGAAGTCTGCCTAAAGCTGATATGCTTTGGAAATTCATAGCATCATTCTGAATAAAAATATTCAAATAATAACAAAAGATTACATTTAAAAACAGGAATGACTCAGGCGCGTACTCCTCCCTGAACTCCGGAGAGTGAGGCACACTAGCCAGCATGGTCCCTGCAGTGCCCAGTTTTGAATTTAGAATTCATAGCTTGCCGTTTTCTCCGTGAATGGTAAATACTTTAATGTTACGTGGAATACTATTTGTACAACATTTTTGTCTGTTGTAAGCCTAAGGTGGGTCTAAATTTCATCATCGCTAGAAATACCCTTTTCCTATACAGACAGTCGGGCTTAGGACTGTCCGGCTGGCATGAGAGTGACACACATTCAGTAGGAACTGCTGCGCGTGCCCATGCAGCCATTCTGTTTCCACTTTCAGTGCAGTACCCAATAAATCACAAGATAGTCAACGCTTTATTATACAATAAAGCGATTTTCGATGATTTTGCGCAGCTGTAGGCTAAGTTTTCTGAGTTCATTTAAGGTGGGCTAGGCTAAGCTGTGATGTTCCGTAGGTTAGGGGTAGTCAAGTAGTCAGTGCATTTTCAACTTACCACATTTTCCTCTCTTTTTTTTTTTTTCTTTTTGTGGAGACAGGGCCTCTGTTGCTCAGGTTGGAGTGTAGTGGCGCGATCATGGCTCACGGCAACTTTGACCTCCTAGGCTCGAGGAATCCTCCTGCCTTAGCCTCTCAAGTAGTTGGGACTGTAGGCATGTGCCACCACACCTGGCTACATTTTTTGTATTTTTTGTAGAGATGGGTTCTCACAGTGTTGCCCGGGCTGGTCTGGAAGTCCTGGCCTCAAGGGAACCTCCTGCCTTGGTCTCCCAAAGTGCATTACAGGTGTGAACCACCATGCCCGGCCTTCATATTTACAGTGGGTTTATTGGAATGTAATCCTGTCACAAGTTGAAAAGCATCTGTACTGTTTGATCTGTATGATAAAAATGAGAAATTTAAAGCCAGCGTTTAATGTTGTTTTTGAATGCAGAAGAAAGTGCTATTTCTGTTCTCTTTTGATTTGCTGATGCACAGTATGAGAGCTATGGCTTTGGTTAAACGTGGCTGAAACTGGAGGGGTCATCTCGGGAAGAAGTGAAAGGGACAAGTTAGTGGTTTAAAACTTGGCTTTAGGGTGTGGTGGTGCACACCTGTAGTCCCAGTTCCTCCGGAGGCTGAGGGAGGCTGGAGGATTGCTTGTGCCCAGGAGTTCAAGGCTGCAGTGAGCTTGTTCATACCGCTGCACTCCAGCCTGGATGACAAAGTGAGACCCTGTCAAAAAAAAAAAGAAAAGTTGGCTTCAGGTATGTATGTGTATATATATATTCAGGTATGTATGTGTGTGTATATATGTATATATATAATTATTTTTTTTGAGACAGCGTCTCGCTCTGTCGCCCAGGCTGGAGTGCAGTGGCGCGATCTCGGCTCACTGCAAGCTCCACCTCCTGGGTTCACGCCATTCTCCTGCCTCAGCCTCCTGAGTAGCTGGGACTACAGGCACCCGACACCATGCTCGGCTAATTTTTTTGTATTTTTAGTAGAGACAGGGTTTCACTGTGTTAGCCAAGATGGTCTCGATCTCCTGACCTTGTGATCTGCCCGCCTCGGCCTCCCAAAGTGCTGGGATTACAGGCGTGAGCCACTGTGCCCGGCCAGCTTCAGGAATTGGCTGGGTGTTGTGGATCACATCTGTTATCTCAGCACTTTGGGAGGCTGAGGCAGGAGGATCACCTGAGGCCAGGAGTTGGAGACCAGCCTGGGCAACATGGCAAGGCCATGTGAAAAAAGAGGCCGGGTGCAGTGGCTCACGCCTGTAATCCCAGCACTTTGGGAGGCTGAGGCGGGTAGATCACCTGAGGTCAGTATTTCGAGACCAGCCTGGTCAATATGGTGAAACCCCGTCTCTACAGAAAGTACAAAAATTAGTGGGGTGTGGTGGCGTGCCTGTAGTCCCAGCTACTTGGGAGGCTGAGGCAGAAGAACTAAGTGCTTGAACCCAGGAGGCAGAGGTTGCAGTGAGCCAAGATCACACCACTGCACTCCAGCCCTGGTGACAGAGTGAGACTCTGTCTCAAAAAAAAAAAAAAAAAAGGAAATTAACCAGGTGTGGTGGCACACGCCTGTGGCCCCAGCTACTCAGGTGGCTGAAGTGGGAGAATCACATGAGCCCAGGAGTTTGAGTCTGCAGTGACCTGCGATCTTACCACTGCACTCCAGCCTGAGTGATGGAGTGAGACTCTACCTCTAAAAAAACAAAAAGAAATGCTTCATGATTCTTGTTAGCAGACAGTTGTTGAGCCCACTGGTTCTGATGGAATGGGTGGCGGGTGGGCAGCTGGATAAACGCACTGTCCAGGCAGTAGCAACACCATGACTGAGCCAGGAGATGGGAACACTGGCCCGTGTCCTGACATACAGTGGGGTCTCAGCACTGTGGGGAAAGCCTTTTTCCTTTTCCTCTGCCTTTTCAATGGGAAGGAGGGCAGTTCTCTATATTTTTGCAAGTTGAATATCATCCACCACTGTCTAGAGAAACGTAGTCATTTCACTTAGCAAAGCACAAGGAGAATAAAGGAAAATGGTGCTTATTAGGGGAGCATTTCATTTTTCCCTACTCTGTTGCCTAGACTGCAGTGCAATGGCATGATCTCGGCTCACTGCCACCTCCACATCCTGGGTTCATATGATCCTCCTTCCTCAGCCTCCCCAGTAGCTAGGACTACATGCATGTGCCACCATACCTGGCTAATTTTTGTGTTTTTAGTAGAAATGGGGTTTTGCCATGTTGTCCAGACTGGTCTCGAACTCCTGAGCTCAAGCAGTCTGCCCACCTCGGCCTCCTAAAGTGCTGGGATTACATACATGAGCCACTGCACCCAGCCCAAACATTTTTTAAGACTATTTTTTTTTAACTTAAAAAAAAAAAATTTAAAAACAAAAGTGAATCTGGCACCCGGAAGGTGTTGAGTCGAGGTTTCCCCTTCCCCACTTGTCATGGGACACTCCCTGAGACTTGCCCAGCAGAACTAATTGGTTGCTAGAGGTCCTGGCGCTGCGCGCTCACTGATCCTGTTTGTAATGCAATGACGTAATGCATCTGAGGGTCTGGGGTTTGTCTTTCTGTCTGGAAAGGCCATGTACACACAGGGCATCTTGGGATCTTGCAGGGGAACGAGTGTCCTCTCAAAAAACAAGTGTGTCCCTGCTGTCTCTCCCCTTTCTGGGTCAGCGTCCTTTGACAGGAACGCCGTCCCTGGCCACCGGGGTGATGGAGAGAATTAGCCACGACTCGTCAGGCCTGCCTGGCATGAATGGAGGAAGAGGACGCATTTGAAATCTCGGGAAGGTCCTGGGTGATAGGATTGTAGAGTCAGACTCACAGAAGGGTCGTGAACAGTGTCACCGAGTGATTGCTTGTGCCCTTTGGGAAGGAGTGGTATCGGGGATGACCACTGCATCTTAGCGAGAGGGGACTCCCTTGGCCAGTGGGTGCCTGTCGTGGGTGCCAGAGGAGGGGCGGAAGTCCTGGCTGGAGGAGGCAGTCTTCTCAAGTCTCCTGTCCACATGGCTACTGTCATTGCAGGGATGAGATTGTTTGAGCAGGAGCTACGCTGGCTCAGTGGTCACCTCATTGTTTAGCACCCACATACTCTGATGTTTGATAGGAGATGCCTGGGGGCTGCGCCCAGGCTTTGTTTTTTCCATTCTATCCTGAGGGGATGCTGGCTGTGGGAGTGTTTGCAGATCTGCTGCATTATTTAAAAACAGCAAGTTTTCCATGCAGTCAGGCTGGTGGCTGCAGAGCTGGGAGTGTTGGGGAGTGCCGGGCCGCAGTTGGGGCGCTGTTCTTGGAGCCCGGGGGCATGTCCCCCCTGCCACCGCCAGCTCATTCCCTGTGCCTTAACTTCCTTTTTAGCCTCAGAAGCAGAAAAATTTAAGCCATGTTTCCTATGGATTGTAATTATCCCCTAATTTAGCGCAAGTACAAACGCAGTCTTTCCAATCAGTGTCGTCTTTTGGTTTTATTTGGAAAACTGAGTGTAAAGCGGGTAGGACACCAGCCAGCAGGTCCCTCAGCACTCGCCGCCCCCTCTGCTCCTGGCTTCACTCTGCTCCAGGGAGGCTGAGACCCAGCAGTGTCCCAGGGGCCGCAGTGGCTGCCTCTGCCTGTCTCACAGGGCCCTCTCCCTCGGGTTCCCTGCCTGCATGCCCAGGGTCACCCCACTGCCTCCTCAGTCATCCCCACCCACAGGCTCCTATTCCCCTGGGTCTGGCGGCCCGGTGGCTGGCGCAGCCCTACCAGCTGAACTCTGCAGTGCTGACTGCAGTCCCTGGTGTCGAGTGCCCCAGGGCTGGGCAAAGCTCTCTCCACACTCAGGCACCTGCCAAGTTGCCCCAGATGGCATCTTAGTGTGGTGCCTTTCTCAAGTGGTGCTTTTGGGAGGAAGATGCCAAGTGCCTTCTTACTGCAGTCCCCCTAGTGCCAGTGCCGTGCACAGAATAGTGACTCTGTGTGTCCCTGTCCCTCCCATCCCAGTGTGCTGAGTGCGGGCTCGGCCACGCTGGCCAGGCTGCCACCTCCCGTCCTCTTCATCTTCCCTTCCCAGGGGTAGGGGGTGCTCACGAAGCAGATGAGTCTTCCCCGGGCCCCTGAGAGGGAGGGGAGAGTGGGACAGGGGGACAGTAAGGGCTCTTCCAAAGCATTCCCACCAGAGAGATGGACTAGATGCAGGCCCCATTCAGGCCTGTGCTGCAGGGACGGGGTTTCCAGTAAGTGCCACCACTCAGCAATGAGCTCTGTTGGACAAGAAGATGGTGTGCAGAGGTTGGTGGCCCCTGGCAGTTGAGTCATGAAAGGGCACAGCTTCAGTGTAGCTGGACTCAGGTCAGGTCACTGGGCTGTTTTGTTCCTCTTGGCAAAACAGCTTTTAAATAGCATTTTTTTTTTGAAATTTTCTTATTTATTTATTTATTTTTGAGACGGAGTCTCAGTCTGTCGCCTGGCTGACAGAAAGTGAGACCCTGTCTCAAAAACAAGAGAAATTTATGAAAAATAGTCACGCTGTGGAAAACAGTATTGTAGTTCCTAAAAAATTTAAACTTAGAAATACCATCTGATCTAAAAAGTCTCCTTCTGGGTATATTCCCCCCATAAAAGAAAGGAAGGGACTCAGATATCTTGACACCTATGTCTGAAGCAGTTTTATTCACAGTAGCCAAAAGGCGGAGCCATCCCAGGTGCTCATCCATGAATAAACGGATGAACACAGCGTGGTCCCTGCAGGCTGGAATACAATCCATTCTTAAAAAGGAAGGAAATCCTGATGATGCACGCAGCTGAAGGACATTATGCTAAGTGAAATAAACTGTCACCAAAGGACAAGTACGGCATGCTTCCACTTGGATGAGGTGTCTTAGAGTAGTCAAAAGCAGAGAGACAGAAGGCAGAATGGTGGGTGCCGAGGACGGGGCTGGGGAAGTGTGGAGTTGCCGCTCCATGGGGACAGTTTGTCTGGGAAGATGAAAAGGTTCTTCACGTGGATGGTGGAGGAGGCTGCACGGCGATATGGAGGTGCTGAGTCCCCGTGAGCCGTACAGTCAACAGTGGGTAAAATGGTAGCTTTTATGTTTATTTTTACCATGATAACAAAACTAAATTGCCACTTCACATATTCCAATCAGAAGATGACCTCTTACAAGAGGAAATGAAAAAAATAAAAAATAAAAAAAATAAAGGCCGGGTGCAGTGGTTCACGCCTGTATTCCTAGCACTTTGGGAGGCCGAGGCAGGCAGATCACTTGAGGTCAGGAGTTCGAGACATGGCGAAACCCCGTCACTACTAAAAATACAAAAATTGGGGCCAGGTGTGGTGGCGGGCACGTGTAATCCCAGCTACTTGGTAGGCTGAGGCAGGAGAATCACTTGAACTTGGGAGGTGGAGGTTGCAGTGAGCCGAGATGGTGCCACTGCACTCCGGCCTGGGCAACAAGAGCGAAACTCTATTTCAAAAAGACAAATAAACAAAAAACAAAGAAACTATCTAAATTAAATCCTTAGCAATCAGAACAGCTGCTTCAGTAGATTTTGCCAACCTCCAATCATGTTGGACTGAGGTTATCTGTTCCTCTTTCTGAAACTATTAAGATGGATAATTACCCAGCACACTTCCTCTTATAAAGGCAAAAAAAAAAAAAAAAAGGAAATAGATTAGTAAGGAAACTTTTAGCAAGCACACTGTGCATTAACAGCCTGCAACACTGAACCTGTTGCCTGGAAGCGGGTAGGCAGCACAGGTCGTGCTGGCCGTCTGGAGTTGGGTTGGATCTGTGCAGCAGGATGGGAGTTATCACTTGCCAGTCTTTCTGGAAGGAAGGGTGCATAGTTGCTGGAAAGGACACTGGCCTGAGAGCTGTGTTAAGGGCAGTTTCCCTTGATGACTTATGAGAAGGTTTATAGAACAATAAAAGGATGTGTAATTGTTCTTAACCCCTATTTTTTAAAAGACTTTTTTCATCATGTGGAAAATATCGAACATTACTTAAAGGAGCAGTTGGGTCAGAATGACATTTATTCTCCTCTGGTTCATTTGTCGTGACCTTTTGGTGACAGTAGGAAAAACCCACTAAGGATTGTTGTATTCATTAGCACTGTGCCATCATTTTGCTTTTCTTCTGAATTTGAATAGCATTTTTGTGGATGCTTTATCAAGTTGTTGATTTCATCTCCTACTTGGTATTAGCAATACATTTGCTGGTGAGGTATACAGAGAATGATGGTGGCCATGGGCTCTGTTGATGTGGCTATCCTAGCTAAAAACCTTGGACTCATTCAGAAGTCCAAGCAGTTAATAAAAGGCTACGTGCATTGTTTCTGACAGGTTAGAGGATGCATTGGGCTCAGTGAAAATTCATGAAACTAAGTCACCAGCCTTCAGCAATCTGAGCAAAGATAAACTGCCTCAGGAACAGTATTGATGGCTTGCAGAGGACTGGCTTATGACTTCAGGCGGCATAAACAACAAGCACAAATGGATGCGTTTTCCGGTGTCCACCCATCTGGCCGTTGGCGCAGGGAATCAGAGCATCTTGTCTGCAGCATTAAGGCAACTACGAAAATGCGTCAGAGGAGAAGCACCCCCAGTCCAGACTCCTTTGTCAGTGAGGTGTCATGTGCACTGGTGGCATCTGGAACCTGGAAAGGGGCTGTCCTTTAAACCACGCAGCAAACTGAAGCTCCAGTCTCATTATGCAGTAACTAACGATTTTGAAGTGCATCATTTGTGTAAGAAGAGGATAAAGTACTTATGGAGAGTCAGAGGAAATAGTGGCAGCTGACTGGTGGGTCTCAGGAAGAGCCACCTGATCATCAGGGCACTGGCAGGACCCCCCTGGGAATCTTGATGTGCTTCAGTGGTCGGGGGTTGGTGCGGAGCTCGGCTCAGTGAGAGCAGGTAGGCCAGTTGTTATTATTTCCTGACTTCAGTGAGTGTGACCCACTGAGCTGGTCTGAGGGTGAGTGGTCTGCAGGGATATTGACAACCCACAGTCCCTCAGATTGACAACCCATGTTACATGCAAGTATCATTTCATCCCTGCTTTGGATTCACAAACACCATATTTCTTTCTGTTTGTTTGTTTATTTATTTATTTTTTTGAGACAGGGTCTCACTGTGTTGCCCAGGCTGGAGTGCAGTGGCTTGATTGTCACTCACAGCAGCCTTGAACTCCTGGGCTCAAGAATCCTCCCACATCAAACTGCCGGTGTTACAGGTGTGCCACTGTGCCTGGCTAATTTTTAAAAAAAATTTTGTAGAGCTGGGGTCTCACTGTGTTGCTCAGATTGGTCTTGAACTCCTGGGTTCAAGCAAGCCTTCTGCCTTGGCCTCCCAAAGTGCTGGGATTACAAGTGTGAGCCCTTGCGCCCGTCTTGTTGTTTCTTTTTTATTTTCCGCATTGCTATTTTGGAGGTCGCCAGAGAGTGCTCCATCTACCCCTAGATGTGTGTGCCCCTTTCTTTGCAGAAGAGTGGACGTCACACTCCCAGCAGCCGGCCCGTCTGCCCTCTGCCTCCCCTCTCTCCATGTAGCAGCCCATCGTGGATGATCCTGTTGGCTGGAGCTCTTTCATCAGTTTCTTTACCAGCAACTGTGGTACATAAATATTTTCCCATTTTTCGTCAGTGGCAATCTCTGTGTCCACTCCTTTCCTGAAAGCCAGTCCTGCTCCCTGGCTGTTTCCAGGTGACCCCTGCATGCCTCCCTTTGCCTCCCAGCTCTGCCCTCCCAGCTCTGCCACACCTGGAGTGCTCAGGGCCCTTCCCACTCTGGGCGTTTCCAGGCCTCTGCACTGCTCTGCTCTGATCTTGCCCGCTCTCTTCACCTCTGTCTGGGCCCTTGCCACCACAGCCGTGGGTGTTGCCTCCTAGGAGGTGTTTTATGATAAGGAGCATTATTTTTTCCTAAATAAACTAAATATTATAGGATTTATTAAAAAATTGCAAGGAAGGGCAGAGAGTTCCCATATGCTCTGATTTCCCCAGTTGTGACCGTCTTCTCTTAGTATGGCATATTTGTCACAGTTAACAAACCAATAATGATGTGTTATGATTAACCACGCCTGCACTTGGTTCAGATTTCCGCAGTTTTCACTCACATCCTTTTCTTCTCCCAGAATCCCATCTGGGAGCCCCCGTGGCATTCAGTCCTCGTGCCTCCTCTGGGCTGTGACAGTTTGTTAGACTCTGCTTGGTTTTGGTGACGTTGACCGATTTGTTTTTTGTTTTGTTTTGTGTTTTTGAGAAGCAGTCTCACACTGTTGCCCAGGCTGGAGTGCAGTGGCGCAATCTTGGCTCACGGCAACCTCCGCCTCCCGGATTCCCAGCGATTCTTCTGCCTCAGCCTCCTGAGTAGCTGGGATTACAGGTGGCTGCCACCACACCCGGCTAATTTTTGTATTTTCAATAGAGACCGGGTTTCATCATGTTGGCCAGGCTGGCCTTGAACTCCTGACCTCAAGTGATTTGCCTGGCCTCCCAAAGTGCTGGGATTACAGGCGTGAACCACCTTGCCCGGCCTACACCCAGCGTTTTTCATACAGTTGTTTCATACATTGTCAACTAAGAGAAAAGTGTATTTTGCTCAGAACTTTTCCAGAAATTGTTTGGAAATGCATGTTACCATGGCAGCGCTGAATATGGTGGGCCGCATGGGCAGAGATGTTCACAGCCCGTGCAGGGCTCCTCCAGCCATCCCGGGTATCTTGCTGAGATGGTGATGCCTGGGACTCCCTGCCGAGCTCCCAAGGAGGCCATGCTGCAGGTCCCTGGACCACGCCCAGAGCGGCCTGGCTCTGCTGAAGTCTCACCTGAGCATCACATGTCAAAACGTACCTTGATGGATTTCTGTATTCCTTCCTGTTACAATTAGGGCAATATTAATTGTTTACAATTGTGTGTAGAATCGTTTCTTTGCTTTCATGAGGATCTAGGACGTGTTAGTAATATTTGTTTTAAGGAGTGGGATTGGTCTGAGGGGTTGAGAGCCACTGCCTTGCCAGGGAGCTCGCTGCCCCTGCTCAGGAGCCTTTTGAGGCTCCCCTCTGCCTGCAGCAGAAGTCCTGACCCCTTGGCCTGGCCCAGAGGCTCATTCCGCCTGCCTCTGTTTACCTCCTTCTACTCCCAGTTTGAATCTCGCCTTAAAGCAAATTGGTTTTCTCTTTCTGTCATCACTGCAAAGACCTTTATATCCTCACAGAAAATGCTGTAATTATTGGGTGGCCTGCCTGATATATATATATATATATATATATATATATTTAAGAGACGGGGTCTCGCTCTGTCACTCAGGCTGGATTGCAGTGGTGTTATCTTGGCCCACTGCAGGCTCGACCTCCTGGACTCAGATGATCTTCCCACATCAGCCTCCTGAGTAGTGTGCCACCATGCCTGGCTAATTATTGTATTCTTTGTAGAGATGGGCTCTCGCCATGTTGCCCAGGCTGGTCTCTAACTCCTGAGCTCAGGTAATCCGCCTGCCCTGGCCTCCCAAAGTGCTGGGATTACAGGCATGAGCCACCAGATAAAATGTTTTGTAATCTGCAAAGTGAAACTAAATGATGGTATCAGCGGTGGGATTTCCTCCCGGAGTTCACTGTAGCTGATAAGTCATACCTAGTGGTTGTACTGCATTCTGGAGGGCTGTGGCCTGGGGTGACGCGTCCCTCAGTCTGACGGGTGGGCAGTTGGATGCCCCCGCCCAGGCCTCTGGTTCAACCTGAATAGTTAGTTGATCTCGGTATTTGGCCTGAGCATTCTGACTTCCACATTGACAGGTGCTTCCTGGACCTCTGGAATGGAGAAGAGTCGGCGCGAACTGGCCCAGGTCTGGCTGCGTCCTGGTGCACCCCCTGTGCCTCCCCACTGCACACCTGGCCATCCAGGGCCTGCTGGCTGCTGCAGCGCTCACTAGAGTGCCCTGTGATTCTTCAGGGCAGAGTCTGGCAGCTGCACAGAGCATGCTAGCCCCTTTTGAGCTTCGTGCTGTGTCCTGGTGACACGTTTCCCTGGGGTCAGCCCTCCTGTGCGGTGAGGCGTCTTGTGGGATGAGCTCCATGGCCTGGTGGAGTCCCTGTTGCCGCACTTTGTCTGCAGCCCCTTCCTGGTTGGCTGACTTGACAGAAATATCTGGACTCCGGTGATCACTTGGAAGGACAGATTGTGTTGTATCAACATAACCAAAATAAGATTATAATGGAACAGGAGGTGGGGCGGCTGCCAGCCTGCGGCCGCAGCTCTCACCCCGCCAGCCCTGCCCTCCCCGTCCTTGCTCTGCATCAGCGTCTTTCCCCTTCCCCCTCCCATTTGTAAACATTTGCTGGTGAATATTCTTTTATCTCCAACTAGAATCGTAGGATGTTGAGAGCTCGGAAGGGGGAGCTGACAGATGATCCGGTCCAGTTCCTTTAACTTACAGATGAAAAATGAAGATGTTGTTGCTCCAGTTATTTGTAACACAGACTAAGTCTTTTATTATCATTTGCCTTTTTCCTCCACAGCTCAAGACAGTGTTGGTTTTGCTGAGAGTCCCTCTCAGGAGACTCTCACAGAGTCCCTGTCCAGTTCTCTCATGATTCTTTGATTTCCCCGTAGCACTTAACCATGTAGCAAGAGATTTTCATTAAAAAACTATTTATTCCTGCCATTCTTGCCAGTCACCCTGGACAGTTGGAGAGCTCCTCTAAAACAAAATTCTCTGGAGGCAATTGCTGAATTTTCTTCATTATTATTCTATCATTGACAAATTTTCACTTAAGAAATTCTTACCAGTCCTTGGTCCTCCTTGGCAGGCAAGCCTCAGATGCCCCAGGTCACCCAGGAGGCCCCTAGACCGTGAGGCAAAGGAGATGAGCCGGTGTTGATTTATTTTTATTTTTATTTTTTTTGAGGCAGAGTCTTGCTCTTGTTGCCCAGGCTGTAGTGCAGTGGTGCGATCTTGGCTCACTGCCACCTCTGCCTCCTGAGTTCAAGCGATTCTCCTGCCTCAGCCTCCCTAGCAGCTGGGATTACAGGCATGCACCACCATGCCCGGCTAATTTTGTATTTTCAGTAGAGACGGGGTTTCTCCATGTTGGTCAGGCTGATCTCGAACTCCCAACCTCAGGTGATCTTCCCACCTCGACCTCCCAAAGTGGTGGGATTACAGGCATGAGCCACCGCGCCCGGCTTTTGTTTTATTTTTAACCTGCACCTGGTGTTGGTTTTTTCTCTGTCATTACTAGCAGGAGTCAGCCTGGATGGTTGTCAGAGCGGCCCTTGGGCTGCTTCATGCTGCATGTCAGCTCCTCATCCCTGGCCCTGACTGAAGGGAGGACAAAGGTCCTGGTCCCCAGGCCTGTTTGTAGTAAAGACAGGGGTCCCTGACTCCCCTGGTCATAAGGACAAAGTAATTGATAAATAAATGTTTAAACTCTGGCCATGCACAGTGGCTCACGCCTGTAATCCCAGCACTTTGGGAGGCCAGATCACTTGTGGTCAGGAGTTGGAGACCAGCCTGGCCAACATGGTGAATTAAAACCCCATCTCTACTAAAAATACAAAAATTGGCCCAGCATGGTGTTGTGTGCCTGTAGGCCCAGCTACTCAGGAGGGTGAGGCAGGAGAATCGCTTGAACCTGGGAGGCGGAGGTTGCAGTGACCCGAGATTGCACCAGTGCACTTCAGCCTGGGCAACAGAGCGAGACTCCATCCATCCATCCATCAATCAATCAATAAATGTATGTATGTATGTTTTACCTGTAGCCACTATACTACAGCCTGGGCAACAGAGCGAGACTCCATCTCTAAATAAATGAATGAATGGTATGTTTTAACTATAGCCACTACACTACAGCCTGGGCAACATAGTGGGACATGAGACTCCATTTCTAAATAAATAAATGTATGTATGTATGTATGTTTTACCTGTAGCCACTACATTACAGCCTGGGCAACATAGTGAGACCCTATCTCTAAAAAAAAAAAGATAACTCAGTAATGACTGCACATTGAAAAGATAATAATTAGTTATGCTGAGTTAAATAAAATATTACCATGAATTTTACCTGTTTAATTGTACCCTTTTTGATGTGGCTACTAGAAAATGTGAATGCTATTTGTGGCTCACGTTGTGTTTCCATCAGGGCAGCCCCGGCCTAGATCTGGAATCAGCAGCTTCCTGGGCTCTGTGGGAGATCTTCAAGTGACTCACTCTTCTCATTCCTGTTTTCTTCTCCAAAGAACTAAAATGCGTCTCCTCGCTGGGTGTATTTATTAGGGGACCCACTCTGGGCACTCCTCACTGGAGCCTACTGGATTTAGGATGTAGTTTCCCAGGTCCTCCCGCTAAGGGGGACCCGTAGACCACAACTGAGAGGAGACACAGGCCTTCTAGGAGCCTTGAGGTTCAGAAGTGGAGGCAGGGGACATGCTGTCAAGGCACAAGCCTGGAACGGTCCCGCTGGAAAGAGGTTTGCTGAGTAGCAGCCACCTCGCCTTGACTGCTGTCTCCACCCTGTCTGCTTCTCGAGCTTTACTTTGAGTACGGTCAGTGCTTCCAGTTAGAGAAGCATTTGGGGTAATAGCATCCATGCTATTGAAAAGAAGGGATGAGGCCTCTGCGCGAGTAGGGCTTATCAAAAGGCATGTGATGAGGGGCAGCACTTTGGAGCTACCTGGCTAGCCTGACCGCATCGTATCGACGTTCCTGTATTGTGACTGCTGAATGAGCTCTGATGGCCATCAACTTCACTGGGCCTCGGTTTCCCTCGCTGCCACAGGGAGGGTCCTGACCTTCAAGGTCACTGTCAGGCTCTCACGCCTGCACAGGGCATAACACAGTCAGTGTGAGCTGCAGTGGTCCATGTGGAGACCCAGCCACCTCGTCCCGTCTCCTGTGTTGTGCCCCTGCCACATTCTCACTGCGAAGGAAGCTTTTTGATCTAGGCTTCAATTCTTGGTCCCAGCTGACCATAAGCTCCAGGTCCTTTGTGGAGTCATGTCACCTCTCTGCACTTGTTTTCTCTGTTAAAATGGAGATGACAGTGGTGACTCTCTTATGGGACTGCTGTAGGATGCAGTGAGGTGATGCCCAGCATGGCTTGGCATGGTACACAGCACGTGGAAAGCTCAATGCAGGTGTTGCCAGTAGCAGCTCTTGGCCCATGTGCAGTTCTGTAGTTGTGTGGATTAGTCCCTGGCGGTCTTTCCTTTCAAAGGCTAGCGGAGACCCAAGCCGGAGGACCTGGGATTTTGCTTGGGACGTGCTGGGTGTTGGTGATTGTGAAAAGTGCAGCTGTGGTGGGGTGGGAGTAGGGGACAAAGAGGAAGGTGCTGTCAGCAGGTGAGGGTGTGAGGACAGGGGTTGCGGGAGGTGTCCAGGGCCCTGCACTGGGCCCTGGCCAAGCCTAGCCAGTGGAGAAGGGACAATGTTCACCCCTTCCCCCATGTCTTGCACGGTCCCCTCTTGGCCTTGGGCTGAGTTGAACACACAGGCAGCACAGGGAAGTACATGGGGTGGACTGGCCTCTGGCACTGTCTGAACCCTAACACCAGTGGTGAATTTGTTTCCATGGAAACATGGCACTGTGTCCAGACAACTGAATTCTGCCTCACCTTGTTCATAAACTAGGGATTGTCTGATATTGGTTTGTGTGGTTAGGCTTCTAGAGCTTATTAGAATAGACATTGCAGATTATTATTTTGTAAAGGGTGACATTGACTAAAATAGAATAATGTCTTCATCGGTGAACAAGGGTGTTTACTGAATGTGGAGAAGTCAGTGAAATCTCCACAGTGACAGATGCACTCTGGAGATGGGGCTGAGGCTAGGTGTGCACCTCCCCTGCCAGCCATCAGCAGCCTGCCCACGTCTGTCGCGTTATGAGTTGTTGATCTTAAATTTCTGCAAATGTTTCTTGTTACAGAGTATGGTGTTTGCGAAAACTTGCGGAAGCTGGAGATCACAGGCGTGTCTTGTCGGGACGTCTATGCGAAGCGTGAGTGAATCTATTTGTTACCATCCATGATTAACTTTGTACCAGAAGCAGACAGTGCACATCAATGACAAATAATCAAAGTGATTTAGTCCACACTTTTGTTTTCTCAGACACCATCTTACAGTCACATTTTGAATAGAGCACTGGTAGTAACAGCACTAAAATTAGGGAGGGGACACCGTATTCTCCCATTCTGGGCATCGTAGATACTAGTGTCTTTTACCAGGCATCGAGGCCCTTTAGAGCTGAGAAATGTAGGCTGCACCAGAGCGACTTGGGTGTTCCTGGAGGCTGCCTGTTTCTCTGGCTTCTGGGCCTCCAGCCTTCAGGATGGGACTGCCTGTGGTCATTGGGAAATGAAGCTGTGGTGCCTTCTGTCCAAGCCCCAGGTACGGAGAACAGCCCCCCTGCTAGAGTTCTCCTTCCCTTTAGCATTCTGTGAGCAGGCTGAGCCCCCCAGCCCCGTTTCATGTTTCTCTGGTTCACCCGCTTTCCAGAGTCAACTGTGACACTCACCGATCAGGCAGAGGCTCCTTGGCCCCAGGCTGTCTTCCCGCGGGTGTTTCTTCAGTGCCAGGGACTTTCCCATTTCTTGCTCACTGGACGAAGCTCTTGGCTTTTTTGGATGGTCAGAGGGTTTCTGTGAGTGTCTCATACCCCACGTTTT
Organism: Homo sapiens; assembly: GCF_000001405.40. Classification (NCBI taxonomy): domain Eukaryota; kingdom Metazoa; phylum Chordata; class Mammalia; order Primates; family Hominidae; genus Homo; species Homo sapiens. Next base: position 87,359,627 of record NC_000016.10, on the reverse strand, counting down.
CATCTTCTGACCATTCTTTGAGCTTCTTTTCTTTTTTCTTTTTCATTTCTGCAAGGCAGTTGCTCTTTGAGTTTCTTAGGCCATTTGGGTCATATCATCTCAAAGTGACATGAAGACATATTTCTCTCTAAGAGTTGTCAGCACCAAAAGTCATGTCCCGGTAGGGACACAGGTGTTTGGCCTGCCCAGGTGTTAGGGTTTCCTGTAACAGCCATAGGAGTGTACACATGGATGCTCCTTCCAGCTGTGGGGGTCGGAGGTGTTGCCTGAGCACTGAGTCCTCCTGTCCTGTGGGAGAGGCCATCCGGGCATAGGCAGGCAGGAGGCAGTGTGGCCGAGGGTAGGGCAGGGGGTGGGCACAGAAGAGGGGATAGGAGGACAGGGCATTGGGAGATTTCTTTTCACTGCTGATTCTTGACCCCTTGAAAGTGTTTGCAAAATGCGGAGAATTCACATGATCTGTTTCCGACAGTGTTTATTCCCCGCAGTGTTAGTCTGCAGTGGCCAAAGCAAATGTCAGTGTTCATTTTCACAGCGCAGCAACTGTGTTTCTGTGAATTTGCTTTAAGGCTTATCCAGGAGAAAATTACTTAGCTTTGGGAACAGGTGGTGGAAGAAAATCAGCCTTAGCTCCAGAAACGGGTGGTGTAGTTGGGCAACCTTGGATGACCTGTGACGAGGCTGGCCTGAGTTAGCAGGCTGGGAAACGCCAGGTGGGTGCTGGGCAAAGTGAGTATGTTAGCCGGGGTAAGTGTTCTCTAGACGGTCATCCCAGATGCTCACCTGCCAGGACACCTGCCCTCCCACCTCCTGAGCCCCAGTGAGCTGTGGCCTGGGGCCTGCCGGGAGTGTGCTGGCCCCGGGAGGAGTGTGATCAAATATGGAAAGGATTTCCAAGCTTGCTGCCACCGTGAGTTTCTGGTGGCACCACTGATGGAAGGAAAACGTGTCACAGTGTTGTTCTCTCCAGCAGGTTTCTCAGAGCCACCTCTCTGTGTCCTGGGTGGCTGCATAAACACGAGGGGATTGTATCACACTGGTGAGGGGCAGGCATTGGGTCGTATTCACGCTGTTTGCACAGTCCTGTAAAGGGAGCCATCCTTAGCCCTTTCCCTGCTGTGTCTGTTCAGGTATAAACCCTCGCGTGAAGTCGGGACGTTTTGTGAAAATTCTCCCTGATTATGAGCACATGGCGTACAGAGACGTTTACACCTGCCGTATGTACCTCCTGCGAGCTTTGGCTTCTGCGGCAGCCAGCACGGCCAAGAACTGCATGGGGAGGGCCCTCTGATTCACACATGGGACAGCTTTGGTCCTGGAGCAAGCGGACCTCGTGGCTTTTTGTCATCCTTTCACGTTCACTTGCTGCAGCGTGGCTCTGCTTCAGCTGTGACAGAGATCACACCTGTGTGTTGGACCCAGGCTGCATTTGGCTTACCTTTCTGCAGTGGTTTCTGGGTACTACCAGTCGAGATCACTTTAATGCACATTTTCACATGTATCGTTTATTGAGGAGCTACTGCAGACACAGAGAGGAACGAACAGAGTAGAAGCTTTAAAATTTTATTCTAAAGTGAAATATGAATATTTGACTTCTGACCTTTATTAGTTTTAATCACATTTTAATAGCCTATGTGAATTAAAAATCACATATGCATATACCCTCAATAGACAAAGGCAGGTAGCAACAGTTGACTCCTTTTTTTTTTTTGAGGCAGAGTCTCACTCTGTCACCCAAGCTGGAGTGCAGTGTCACAACCTCTGCCTCCTCGGTTCAAGTAATACTGCCACCTCAGCCTCCCAGGTAGCTAGGATTACAGGCATACACCACCATGCCCAGCAAATTTTTTTGTATTTTTAGTAGAGATGGGGTTTCATCATGTTGGCCAGGCTGGTCTCAAGTGATCTGCCCATCTCGGCCTCCCAGAGTTCTGGGATTACAGGCATGAGGTACCGTGCCTGGCTAACAGTTGACTCTTTAGAACTTAATTCTTCTTTTTGGCCAGACATGGTGGCTAATGCCTGTAATCCCAGTGCTTTGGGAGGCCGAGGCAGGTGGATCATCTGAGGTCAGGAGTTCGAGACCTGTCTGGCCAACATGGTGAAACTCATCTCTACTAAAAGTACAAAAATTAGCTGGGTGTGGTGGCGTGTGCTTGTAATCCCAGGTACCCAGAGGCTGAGGTGGGGGAATCGCTTGAACCCGGGAGGTGAAGGTTGCAGTGAGCCGAGATCACGCCATTGCACTCCAGCCTGGGAGACAAGAGCGAGACTCTGTCTCAAAAAAAAAAAAAAAAAAAGAACCGAATTCTTTTGATGGAGCTCTGGAAATTTTTCTAAGCCACAGTTATAGGAATTTAATGCTGTCTCCACTTTTTTTTTTTGAGACAGGGTCTGTCTTGTTGCCCAGGTTGGAGTGCAGTGGCACAATTACAGCTCATTGTATCCTTGAACTCCTGGGCTGAAGCGATCCTCCTGCCTCAGCCTCCCTAGTAGCTGGGACTAGAGGCGTGTGCCACCATGCCTGGTTAATTTTTCAGTTTTTTGTAGTGACGGGTCTCACTATGTTGCCCAGGCTGGTCTTGTACTCTTGGGCTCATTCATTCCTCCCACCTTGGCCTCTCAAAGTGTTGGGATTGCAGGTGTAGCCATTGCACCTGGCCTGTTTCCACTTTTTATTAGCTCAGAGTGGTTGAGTGGTGATGGAGACAATGAATTTCAGCTGTCCAGAAAGAGATTGAAAACACCTACCTGCCCTAAAAGCTGTGTTGCAGTTTCTAGAGGCTCGTGGAGCCCCTACTACTGCTTTCAGTCCACCCCGATGGCCCATGGGTCAGCATGGTCTGTTGGGAGCAGACCTACATCTTAAGTTTCATAAATGCCCGATTTCTAAAAACACCAACTGAAAGCAGAAAGAGTAATTTCACCTAATGTCCTGCCAGATCTCAGCAGATCACTGCAGCTGGGGAACTGGGTCCCGCTTTACTGAGGGGACCTTCGTGTAGTTGGTGCGGAGGTGCCTGGATTTGGTTAGCACGCTTCAGGGTGGTGTCTGAACCCTTTACACGCCTGCTAACAGCACTGCCTTGTTGAGGTGTGAACTGTCTAGCTGAGTGGAGGCCAGAGCCAGGGGACCTCTCAGGAGTCTGTGGACCTCTCAGGAGTCTGTGGACGGGGAACACGGGGCTGGAAGGGGCCGAGGTGGAAAAGGAGGGGTGGGCAACGTTTGAAGACATTTGTGCCGTTCTAGACTGACCAGCCCTTCCTCTGAGCAGTCAGTGAGGAGAGCTGTGGGAGGGAACAGTCGACTTAGTGAGCGTTGACAACAGTCTCTCCTTGGTGCTGACAGGAATGTGCTGGCTTTTCTTTTCTTTCTTTCTTTTCTTTTTTTTTTTTTTTGAGATGGAGTCTCACTCTGTCACCCAGGCTGGAGTGCAGTGGTGTGATCTCAGCTCACTACAGCCTCTGCCTCCCGGGTTCAAGCAGTTCTCGTGCCTCAGCGTCCCAAGTAGCTGGGACTCCAGGCGCCTGCCACCACGCCCGGCTAATTTTTGTATTTTTAGTAGAGACAGGGTTTCACCATGTTGGCCAGGCTGGTTTTGAACTCCTGACCTCAGGTGATTGGGCAAGGGCTTTTCAATACAAGGGGACAAGCACTGAGAGGCTCCTCATGTCGCATGTCTGTCTCACTATTTCTCTGGAATGTGCACTGTGGACCTGGGATGGAATTCTGACCAGCCTCTGGGGAGGCCGCGCAGCTGGGGCCTAGCGAGTCTTCAGAGTTGCACTGGGGGCAGGGGACATTCCTTTTGTCCCCGAGGCAGGTGGAGGGAAGCTTCATGTAGCTCACGAGGAAGAGACCTCCTCCCCACGCTGCCGGGCTGGCCTCTCGAGCATCCAGGCTGCGCAGCCTCCTATTGTGATGTAGCGCCAGTTGCTTCGAGCTGGCGGCTTTATCATATGTGGGTTTTGATTGACATACTGTTGTTCATGCTGAAGTTTGAGTGTCGTTATAAAAACACAAAGTCATTGTAGAAAACTTGAAAAATTTAGAAAATAAAATGAAAAACAGCAGTTAAACATTGGTTGCATTTCTCTTTGGACAAATTTAAGTGGATGACCTACTAGAATATCAGGAAGAAAAAGTTCTTGTGTGTGAAAAAAGAAAGCCAATTTCAACAGCCTCAACCTATGCCTGTGATGTGTGGGTTTTCAGTATTCAGCTGCTCTTAGTGTGTCTTCATGGAGAGCGTCTCAAAATTTGTTCTCTCACAGCATCCAAACCTTTCGGAAAAGTCTGCCCTGATTGGCTTCTGAGTATTTTGGGGCCGTGCGTGGCTTGTGTTTCCATCATTCACGTGGGCCGTTAACTGGTCGTGTTGAAGTCCTTTGGACCTTGCGCTGTGGGCCCAACATCTTATTTTATTTTATGATAGAGATGGGGGTCTTGCTTTATTGCCCAGGCTGGTCTTAAACTCCTGGCTTCAAGCAATCCTTCTGCCTTGACCTCCCAAAGTGTTGGGATTACAGGCGTGAGCCACTGCGCCTGGCTGAGCTAACATCCCTGAGTGTAGGACTGTCCTGGGTGGGAACAAGCCCATACGGTAGAAGGCTGGGACCCTAATGTTGAGGAATAGTTTCTTTTATTTTTATTTTTTTGAGATTGAGTCTCACCCAGTGTCACCCAGGCTGGAGTGCAGTGGCGCGATCTTGGCTCATTGCAACCTCCACCTCCCGGTTCAAGTGACTCTCTTGCCTCAGCCTCTTGAGTAGCTGGGATTACAGGCATATGCCACCATGCCCAGCTACTTTTTGTATTTTTAGTAGAGACGGGGTTTTGCCAGTTTGGCCAGGCTTGTCTCAAACTCCTGACCTCAGGTGATCCATCTACCTCGGCCACCCAAAGTGCTGGGATTACAGGTGTGAGCCAGTGTGCCCGGCCTGTGGAGTAGTTTTGTGACCTCAGAGTCACTACTTTTGGGGTATCTTTTCTTTTTTCCTTGGGTGCATGAGGTTGCCTGGCACTCTGGATAATACGCATTTGTAAGGTGTTGGGAGTGTTAAGGGGAAGCCTGTTGTCCTGACAGCAGATCTGATACATCTGCTTCTCTGCACGTTGGTGAAGCCAGTCAAAGTGCATTTTTGGGTTTTTTTTTTTTGAGACAGGATCTCGCTCTGTTGCCCAGGCTGGAGTACTGGCGCGGTTATGGCTCACTGCAGCCTTCATCTCCCCGGGCTCAGATGACTGACCTCAGCTCCTAGTTAGCTGGGACTACAGGTGTGTGCCACCACACCTGGCTAATTTTTCTGTTGTTTTTGTAGAGACAAGGGCTCCCTATGTTACCCAGGCCAGTCTGGAACTCCTGGGCTCAAGCGATTATCCCGCCTCAGCTTCCCAAAGTGTTGGGATTACAGGCGTGAGCCACCGCGCCTGGACAATGTTCTGTACTTTTTAAAATATGTAAAACTCCAATTCATTTTAGCCTTTACTCAGATATTAACAATGATATCTTCTAAAAATATGGAGTGCCTTGCTTAGAAATGTAGTAGAATTCCTTACAAATGTCCATTCCTCTGAAACTGGAGGTGAACGCGGAGCAGGCGCACATGAGGCAGAATCCCATTATGTAGCTGTGGGAGCACAGCGGGGGCCGCAGAGACGTCCGCATCCTAGTCCCCAAGCCTGTGGAGTTGTCATCTAATCGGTGTGGGAGTCTGCCAGGGCTGCTGGAGCAGATGAACACAAAGAGGGTCTAAAATAACAGAAACCCACTTTCTCACAGGCTGGAGGCCAGAGGTTCAAGACAAGGTGTCCGGGGCCCTGCTCCCGCCGAAGGGTCTTGCGGAGCCTCCTTCCCGCCTCTCACAGGCTGGAGGCCACAGGTTCAAGACAAGGTGTCTGGGGCCCTGCTCCCGCCGAAGGGTCTTGCGGAGCCTCCTTCCCGCCTCTCACAGGCTGGAGGCCACAGGTTCAAGACACGGTGTCCGGGGCCCTGCTGCCTCCGAAGGCTCTTGCGGAGCCTCCTTACCGCCTCTTCCTGCTCTGGCCACGTTGCCGCAGCCCCTGCCTCTGTCCCCACGTGGCCCCCTCTGTCTCTGAGTCTCTGTCTTCTCGGAAGGACAACAGTCAGTGGATCGGGCACTTTCTGCGCAAGCATTCGTTTACCCTAACGTGCTCACGGCTACATTACATCTTGATTACTTCCACAGAGGGCCACATTCTGAGGTTCTAGGGGACGTGAATTTTGAGGGAGACCACTCAGCCCAGCCTCCACAGTAATGGGGACTTTGTGGGTAAAGGTGCGGGTCCTGAGGCAAGGGGGGCATCCTGGACCACCTAGGCAGGCCTTGTGTCATCACAGGGTCTTTGTACAAGGCGGGTTCTCCGTGGGAGTAACAGTGAGAGGCAGGAGAGGCTGCATGCGGCTCTGAAAGTGGAGGAGGACCCAGGAGCCGAGCAGGGCAGCAGCCTCGGAAGCTGGACAAGGCGGGGAGTGGACCCCTGCAGCCTCCAGGAGGCAGCAGCCCTGGCCACGCCTCGGCTGACGGAAATAGAGCTCATGTTAATCCAATTTCTTCCGTAGAGTCCCCTGAGCAACACAGGCCAACACCTTTAGTGAGGGGCATCCACCCACAAAATCTCCATCCCCGCCGGTCTCCTAGCATGGAGCCCACCTGTGGCACGTGGGCCAAGGTTCAGGGACTCTGAGTCAGGATGGGTGTGCACCAGAACCCAGATGTGCCGGCGCCTGGGCCGGTGCTGGAAGGAGAAAGTGTAACCTCACCTTTCACGGTACTTTCCCATTTGGCTTCATTTTGAATTCATTTCGGGAGCATTTATGCCGGGGCTCCCAGGGCAGATAGATGCCTTCTTTCAGTGCCTGGAATTAGAGGAATGAGTTGACCTCAAAAGATTATTCTGACGTTTCCCAGGCTCTCCTGTGAGGCCAGATCTGTGCTCCCAGAGTGGGGTCCTGGACAGCAGCATCCATGTCTTCTGGGAACTTGATGGACACGGCTTCCCTGGCCTCTTCCCACACCTGTCGTGTCTGGACCTCCGGGCTGGACCTGAACAGGCCTGTGGGATTCGGGTGATACTCCAGTTTGCGGACTTCTGGCCTGGATTATTTTCTTTCGTTTTAGCCTTTACCCAGATATTAACAATTTTTTTTTTGGTTATGTTATTTTCTTTTTAATAAGGGTTAAAATCTTACAAGTCTCAGCATCTGGTAATCTACTACCAGATGTTAAAACAACATTTAGTAAGAGGTAGCGATGTCCTTATTCACATTCTCATCTTTTAAATCATCTATTTAATTTTTGGTACTGAAAAACTGCGTAACGTTCAAAGCAGAAATAAGGTTGTTGGTTTTCCTGTGTAGTTGTTTAGCCTCCTAGATTGTCAGAGAAGTGTTTATTTCTTTATAACTGACAGATAATAATTGTGTATATTATGTCTTTATGGGGCACAGTGTGATGTGTTGGCATCTGTGTATGTTGTGGAATGATTAAATTGCACTGAGCTGCTCAGCTTGGCCACACATCACAGTCACCTGGGAGCTTCTCAGAAACCCTGACAGGGGCCCCCCACCCCACCCCACATCGCCTTGCTGATTGACTTGGCTGCTGTGGAGCCTGGCGTTGACGTTTTCTCGTGTCCCTAGTGATTCTGACGCGCAGTCAGGGTGGAGAGCCACTGTACAAACGAAGAGCGTCTCTCCATGTGAAGCTGATGTATATATATATTTTTGTTGTTGTTGAGACAGAGTCTCGGTCTGTCGCCCAGGCTGGAGTGCAGTGGCATGATCTTGGCTCACTTCAACCTCCGCCTCCTGGGTTCAAGCGATTCTCCTGCCTCCGCCTCCCACGTAGCTGGGATTATAGGCGTACGCCACGATGTCTGGCTAATTTTTTTATTTTTAGTAGAGACGGGATTTCACCATGTTGGCCAGGCTGGTCTTAAACTCCTGACCTCAGGTAATCCGCCTGCCTCGGCCTCCTAAAGTTCTGGGATTATAGGCTTGAGTGAGCCACCGCACCCAGCCCTATCCCTTGCTATTTCATATGGGAAGATAATGTGGCAGCTGCCCAGAAGTGAGCCCTCGAAGTGGCCTGGGCTTGCAGGAAGGCCTGACCATCTGCTGCCCTTGACTGAGACACTCAGGAGCCTTGTGGGGCACTGAAGTGCGGGGAACGTTGTTCCTGGCTCCTTTCCCCCGCCACCAGAGCCCAATTTAGGGAGGACTGCATCCTCCGAATTTAGAAAGATAGGCATCTAGATGACATGTTTATAATAAAAATGGTGAGGCATTAGGGTATAGAGATCACGCTCACACTCGTACGTGTCCAGCTCTGCTCTTGACCGTTTGAATGGGAGCTTAATTCCTATTGAAATCCATGGATTCATCTCTTGAATGAATCCGTTTGCTTGTGCGATAGCCATGCTTCGTAAGGACTCTTTTTAAAGTGCGTGTTCTCAGACACAGGCTTTGCGATTCCACGAGGAAGTCTGTGTCCCCTCTGGGTCTGTGCGCTGGCAGCCCATCTGGCCACGCTGTTTCTCTGACTCATCTCTTGGGATGGTTTTGGTGGCCGTCACAGACTAAAGGAGCCGACATCTGGTCAGCAGCGGCCGTTGCTTCCAAAGTACAGCGAAGGTGTTGTCGCTTTGACCAACACGCAGAGCTTCAAGATGCATGGAGGATGTCGCTTTAGAACTGGCATCTCGCAGGCTGCTGGGTTTTTATTTCAGAAATGCTGCTTTTCAGCACAACAGGGAACTCCCACTTTGGGATTGCCAGGCGTCTGAGGCAGGCTCATTGGGCAGTGTTCCTAGCACTTAAAGCGGGAGCTGAGGGGAGGGGATAGGAGGAGAGAGTGCAATGCTGAATAGTGTTTTTTTTTTAACCCCAGTATTTCATGATGAAATTTTGAAAACAGAAAAGTTGGAAGAATTGTCCAGTGAACCTCCATTTTGTTATCACCCAGCCGCCCAGCAGTCCATCCCTGCAGCCATCTGTGGACTTATTTTCTGATGCATTTCACACTTGCAGGCGTCAGTACGTTTCACTCCTAAATGCTTCAGTGTGCATTTCATTGTCAAGATCAGTGTGTGTTTATGGTTCCTGATCACACACCCGTCTAGGTGTGACCGTAAAGTAACAAGACTGGCTTGACTGTGTCCTGTAAATGGACTCAGGATTGTTCCTAAAGGGGTGTCTGTGTGTGGGATGGCTGGCAGCAGCCTGCACACAGCCGGGGCTCATTTAGGAACTTCCTAAACCATGGTCTGGGCTGAATCTTGGGAGCTGTTGGTGGAGTCTAGCGTCTTCTCCAAAGGCTTGAGAAGTTTCTTACTCCCTGTGCCTTAGATCCAGGTGGCGACCTACTTGCTGCCGTCCTGGCTTTCTTGCCCTCCCTGCTCCATCTTCCTTCCTGTGGTCTGGAGTGGTCTTGCCACTCCAGTGCTCCGAAACCCCCATGGCCCCCACTGCCTGCAGAGCCCCGAGATCCTGCCCATTCGTCCAGTCACACATGCTCACTCAAGCAGATACAGGTGCAGGACAGCAGACATAAACCATGTTCGCCAACATGTGGACTGTGCATGTGGTCTCTGAGTGATGGGATTACTGGTGAGCTTTAGGTTTCCTTTTTCTAAATTGTCTTCAGTGACTGTGTATGTGCTGCTTTTGAAATAGAGGGGATTTTTTTTTTTTTTTGAGATAGGGTCTTGCTCTGTTGCACAGGCTGGAGTGCAGTGGCACGATCATAGCTCACTACAGCCTCCGCCTCCCGGGCTCAAGTGGTCCTCCCACCTCAACCTCCTGGGTAGCTGGGACCATAACTCATGCCACCACACCGGGCTGATGGAAATTTATTTTAAAAAAATAGCTGATCCAGTTGATTTTTTTTTTTTTTCAGATGGAGTCTTGCTCTGTTGCCCAGGCTGGAGTGCAGTGGCGTGGTCTCGGCTCACTGCAGCCTCCGCCTCCCTGTTCAAGTGATTCTCCTGCCTCAGCCTCCCGAGTAGCTGGGATTACAGGCACTTGCCACTATGCCTGGCTAATTTTTTGTATTTTAAGTAGAGACGGGGTTTCACCATGTTGGCCAGGCTGGTCTCGAACTCCTCGTGATCCATCTGCCTTGGCCTCTCAAAGTACTGGGATTACAGGCGTGAGCCACCATGCCCAGCCTGCAGCTGAAATTTTAATCTGCAGGCCCATGACATTTTGTTCTCTGCCCCAACGTGTTCCACAATCCCTGCCTTTCACGGTTGTGTCAGCTGCCACTGGGGCTTCCGGGGGATTATATTTTATTTTCTTCATATCTCATTCTGTTCTTGTTTTGATTGCTGTAGTTAGAATAGTTCATTTTCATAGCACTTGTCTTTTAAAATTTGGAGTGTCACTGGCTGCTCTCACCTCTTCACATGGACTTTGGAATCATTTTGTTAAATTATTTTTTAAAACCTGTGGATTTGAGTTGGGATGACATTATTGATGATTAGCTGAGTGTGGATTTGAGTTGGGATGACATTATTGATGATTAGCTGGGGGAGTTTTTGTCTTCACAGTGTTTTCTCCCCATGTATGAATGTTTCCTGTCTCTGTCTTTACTGAAGTCTTGTAAAGCTGTGAGTGGACTTATGTGCCTCCTGCTGCCGAGGCTTGGTCTGCTGCTCCTCCTACCGAGTGAGCGATGCTTCTGCTGGATTCCGGTGTACTCCCTCATTACCTGCCTTGCTGAGTGCTCAGTTGTTCTGCGGGATCCAGGGTTTGCGGGAGCTTTCCAGGTACACAGGCGCCAGGCCTGCTTCTCCACCCTGCGCTGGTCCTGCCTGCTGCTCTGGTGGGTGTCCCGGGTGAGTGCAGGCCGCCCTCTCATAGGCAGCCCTCATATGATGGCTCCCAGCACTTTCTGTCCCACCGTTAGGGGCCCTGGGACCTGTGCTTCCAGCGACCCAGATGGGTGAGGCTGTAACAGCCTGGGCCGGCTGCCTCTGCCCTTTGGTGACCGTGATGGGGAGGTGTCCACAAAGCACCCTATATGTTGGCTTATCCTCCCGCCAGGTCTGTAGTCTCTACCCGGTCACCCCTTCTTCCTGGGACCATGCCCCAGATCAGCTGCTACCCTCAAGCTCTACCATTAGGGGGCCCAGGCGTGTTCAGGGAAGGTCACTGGGTGCCACCTTCTCCCCCATCATCACGCTCACTGCTTTCTCTTGATGGGTAAGGCTTCCCGAATGATGGGAACTAACAGTGGTGGTGAAGTCGAGGCAGACTTCATCAGGCATTTAGCATCCAAGGGGTGGCTCATGAGTGCAGATACAGTGCAGGGGCCGGAGAGGGGCTGGGCTGGGCTGACCTGGGAGGCTGAGGCTGATGGAGAGCGGGCAGGTAGGGTGGAGAGGCAGGAAGGTTGGTGGCAGCCACATGGCTGAGGGCCTAGAGCCTGGCCAGGGAGTCGTGGAGAGAGGCAGTGGGTGGGCTGGGGGTTCAGGCCTGCCTGAAGGGGAGGCAGCTGGTGCAGTGGCCCATACCCCATGGGGTGAAGGCCTGGGCAGGGCCCAGGGGCAGCTTCGAGGGTGACCTGGAGCTGCTCAGGAAGTGAGATGGCCCAGCCTGACCTGACCATTGGCTGGCAAGGAACGGGATGGAGAAGTTGTGTCCTGGGCCTTCAGCGAGTGTGACATTGTCATTGTTGGGATAGCTTTAAAGATCTGATTGCTTATGACATGCCTTGTAGCGCTACCAGCATCTTGGCATTTGGCAGGTCTAGTCCAGCTCGCTGTTTGCACGTCTTCTGTCTTATTCCTAGAAGAGAGAGTTCCCAGCCTTGCTTGATTTCCCCCCATTGATGGGAGGCTCATCACTTCATGGGAGACTCATTTTACTTAGGCCTTCTGAGGATAGTTTCATTCTGATAGTTTTTTTTTTTTTTTTTTTTTGGAGACTGAGTTTCCCTCTGTCGCCCGGGCTGGAGTGCAGTTGTGTGATCTCGGCTCACTGCAAGCTCCACCTCCCAGGTTCATGCCATTCTCCTGCCTCAGCCTCCCAAGTAGCTGGGACTACAGGCACCCGCCACCACACCCGGCTAATTTTTTGTAGTTTTAGTAGAGACGGGGTTTCACCGTGTTAGCCAGGATGGTCTGAATCTCCTGACCTTGTAATCCGCCCAAAGTGCTGGGATTAAAGGCGTGAGCCACCGCACCCGGCCTCATTCTGATACATCTTTAGAGGCTTGGTGTGCATGTGTTTGGAGGGCTCTTGCAAGCCTTTTGTGAGTCCTCATGGTTCCTTCCTCCCTCTCGGGGTTCCTGGGCTCCCTGCGGCACGCTGGGTCTAACACAGAGACTTGCTCTTTCTCTCCTCCTGTAGTGCTTCACCGATATAGACACATTTTGGGATTGTGGCAGCCAGATATCGGGCCATACGGAGGACTGCTGAACGTGGTGGTAAGTCCCGGAGCCTCGCGACGAGGTCTGTGCACGGGCAGGAGTGGTGCCTTACGTGGAGGAATTTGAGGGCCTCTTCTACCTGGGTACAAGCTGGCCCAGATGTGCGTTTGAGGTAATTACCAAAAAATTCTTGCTCTGTCACTTTTCAGGAGCCAATTTTATTTTCCAAATGAGCAAAGGTTTGCTTAGAGCAACACTTCGGCCTTGTGGCCCGTCCTTGGACTCTCTGGTCTGAGGGGGTGGCTTGTGAGGGCCTTTGCTTCCTGGACGCTGAGGCCCATCGCGCACATGTTGGCGGGGTCTGGAGCCCGCCCTCAGCCAGGTCCTTCCGTTCCTGGTCTTTGCCCCCCATGTTCCAGCCATGGTGCACTCTGACGTCTGTTTCCTTGGGTTCTGCTGTGGACCCGCTCTGACCACCCTGCCTCCCGCCCCCTGTGCCCTCCTACTGGAGCCTCTCGAACGGAAAGCCCTGCTCTGACTTTGTTGAGCTCTGGGCAGGTGGCTGGCCCCTGCTAGAAAGTGCTAGAACGTTGCAGGCGGAAGTCCAGGCTGGTGGCAGAGTCGTCTCCGTTTCCCTTCTCCCGGCAGCCTGCTTGCCGTTGGGGTCTGAGGACCCGTGAGGACATTTCTTTCCTGTTCGTTGGGTCTGCCATGGCAGTGCCTGTCTAGTCCTGGGTACTTGATCATGGCTGGAGATGGAAGTCTGGCTTTCTTTTTTATTAAATTCCCGTTTTTCGGTGAAGTTTTCCTTCTCTTTGTTAATCTTTTTGGGTACAGTAGTGAAAGTTTCTTTCGAGTCTAGCCCCCGCCTTTTCTCCTGATCTCCAGGCGTGTTGGATGCCCCCCACCCCTCACTGTGCGCCTGGGCACTTGCTGGGTGCCGTGGCCTGGTCTCCTCAAGAGGCCCTGGCCCCGGCCTGCGGGCAAAGTGGAGTCAGGGCACCTGCTCTGCGCAGGCCCGGGGTATGCGCGCGTCTCAGGCTTGGGGAAGCGTCCCGTTCTCATTCCGGGTCTCTCTCCTTCCCAGGACACAACCCTCTGTAGGGCCCAGCCGGAGGCCGTCCGTGACTCTATCCCCAGGCCCTGATTCCTCCTTTTCTCTTCCTGGCTTTGTGAGTCACGCTTCGCTTGGCCCCTTCTCCTCTCAGCAGCCACTCTGCTTCCCTCCTCCACCTCCCACCCCTCACTCAGGATTCCGCAGGTGCCTCGTGCAACTGCCTGTGTGCAGCATGGGGCTGTGTTCTCTGGTTGCCATCTTTGGCGTTTGGCGGCGGTAGTCCTGGCTCCTGTGTAGACCTGGTCTCCGTGTGTGCCTCTCCAGCCTGCAGGTGCCAGACATGGGCCTTCCTCCCCAGCCAGTGGTCAGTGGCCTCAGGAAGGGGGGAGAAGGCCCTGCCCCTCGCCTCTCAGCCTGTCCCTTCTCTTCAGGGCCTTGGGTCCTCGTCACTGGGCTACCTTCATTGCTCTCTGATGTGTTCAGTCTTTTTTTCTTTTTCTTGTTTTCTTTCTCCTGGAATTAGGAGAGAGTGTTCAGTCTTCGTGGCTGGTCTCAGCAGGAGGGCAGGTTTGATATGAGCTCTGGGGCCAGGGCCAGGAGCAGATGTCTGCTTGTAGTTTTAGTTTCTGTGTTTCTCGGTCACCTGCCAATTTATGTTGAAAAGTAGCTGCTCATTCAACACAGTGAAGTTGTCTGACTTTTCTTGGTATTTGCAGGTGTCCCTGTGGGGTGAGGAGGTGGTGCTCTGCGGGCTCTGCGTGGTGCCAGTGTCTGCATGGAGTCTGCATGGCTTCCGGTCCGCCCTCCCACCCTCTTCCCCTCCCTCCCTCCCACCCTGCCTCCCGCCCTCCCCGCACCCTCCTGCTGGAGCCTCTTGAACTTTCCGGAAAGCCCCGCCCTGACTTTGTTGAGCTCTGGGCAGGCAGCTGGCCCCTGAGGTGTCACTGTTGCCATCGTTCTTGCTGTGTTGAAAATCCGGTGCTGGTGTTGGGATTGTGCTCCGCTCCCTTTTGTGGGACCAGGGGCTGAGCCCAGCGAGGGCGGGTGTGTCTGTCTCCCCGTGGCCTCTGCACAGGTTCTTCCAGGCCTGGCATGCATGGCCCCTGGGCAGATGGCTCCTCTGTGGCTCTGGGCTTTGTTCCTCAGGTGGGGTTCGGGGCAGGGATGGGCTCTGCCCCCAGGTGGGGTTCGGGGCAGGGATGGGCTCTGCCCCCAGGTGGGGTTTGGGGCAGGGATGGGCTCTGCCCCCAGGTGGGGTTTGGGGAAGGGATGGGCGCTGCCGGAGGTGGGGTTTGGGGCAGGGATGGGTTTTGCCCCCAGGTGGGGTTTTCATCTGCTGGGAGCCGCTGTGGAGAAACCCGCTCTGCGTTTGTTGTGTTGGGCGTCGCGTGCTCCAGCCTTGCTTTTAGGATGTTTCCTCTGAGAGACCAGCCCGGCAGCTCACAGGGTGGGCAGATTGCTTTCCTTTCTTTTAGTGGAGGAAGGGTAATTGTTTTACTTACTGGCAGTGAGTAATAGAGTAAAAAAAAAAACCCCAAAAAACAAAAAGCAGTGGATAATTGGGGAAAGTGGAGTCTGTGAGAGAACAGCACCAGCTCACGCTTGACCCAGGCTCGTGAGCCACAGAAATGATGGAATTCTCTCCTTGGTTGCTGGAGCTGGCAGTCTCATGGGTCCCAGCTCTCCCAGAAGGGGGTGAGGCTAGGCTGTCCTTCCTTATAAGCATGTGGCTGCTGTGGCCAGAGCGTGCTGGGGCCCACCCGCCTCTGCATTTGCACGATCGGCGCCCGGACACGCGAGATCGCACGGGCAACGCACTCCTCGGCTCTTCCCGCTCCTGAGCGCCCCTCCCGGGGTCTTGGCGTCTCTCTCCTCCCCTGCACTTCGGTTTTGAAGCAAATCCCAGGCCCGTGGCATTTCAGCTGTCCGTCCCTCCGGGCAGCGCCCTAAGAAAGGGGGTGTTTCCTGCATCTCCGTGTCACTGCCACACCTGACAAAAGTGGCACACGGTCCTTGTGTTGCCTGTTGCCCAGGCCATGGGATGCTTCCCTGATCATCTCAAAGCCTCCTTTGAATGGCAATTTGTTCAGCTCAGGACGCGAACGAGGCCCTTGCACTGCTGTTGTTCACTCTTTCCTGTTGGGAGATGCACCCCCTTTCCCTCTGTCTGGTCGGCACCTCACCCCGTGTCACTTTCTGGATTATTCTGCCTCCTCCTGGTGTCCACCTGCATCTCAGAGCTGGAAGATAGTGCTGGGATTCGAGGCACCTCGAGGGTGGGCGTGCAGGTCCCATGTGCTGGTCTGGCAGGAGCTTCTCTGTGCCATTGCAGTGCGGGGAGCCGTGCGGGGCCGCCCTTGCTCTGGCCCGGGAGCCACTCATGGACCTTTGCCCATCTCCTCCTGTAGGTGGACGGCCTGTTCATCATCGGGTGGATGTACCTGCCTCCCCATGACCCCCACGTCGATGACCCTATGAGATTCAAGCCTCTGTTCAGGATCCACCTGATGGAGAGGAAGGCTGCCACAGTGGAGTGCATGTACGGCCACAAAGGGCCCCACCACGGCCACATCCAGGTGTGTGCAGCGGCGGGGCTGGGTCCTCACTGTCCCAGGGCTGTCCTGTGTGGGCTCCAGCCAGGCCTGCCGTGCTATTCTCAGCTGCAGACCTGGGCTGTAGCAGATCGGCGGGTGGGAGGGAGGCTCCGCCCTGCCCTGCTGTGCATTGTTTACGCCTCCGTGGCGCAGTGGACTCTGCAGCGGTCACTTGCTGGACCCCTCTTGATTCTGCTCTCAGTTAGAGCCGCTGTTTCTTTGCAACTTCAGTTCCTCTGTCTTTTTTTCCTGTTTGCAAGAATATCAGTGTGGAATCAAGTGCGCTCTCTGTTCTCTGATCTGGTCTGGCAGTGGCCCCCACGGTGAGCACAGCGTGTCATCTGCCACACCTTGTGTGTGAGATGCAGCCCTTTTGCTGCTCTGTGTCACGCTGGGAAATGCAAACGCCACTCTCTCAGATGTGCCACTGCCTCCTGCTCTTGGGGGAGTGTTGCTCAGGGAGACTCAGCTCCCTCCGCTGGCACCGCGTTGGTCGCATCTTGGGTGCCTGCAGTGGGGTTTGGTGGGTGTGGTGAGGGAGGGGTCGTGGCCACCTGCCTGGGGTGGGGGATGCTGTGATGGACTCTGTTCCTCACTCTTCTCTTTCCTTGTGTTGCAAACACTGAAGATTGTGAAGAAGGATGAGTTCTCCACCAAGTGCAACCAGACGGACCACCACAGGATGTCCGGCGGGAGGCAGGAGGTGAGCCCACCAGCCGGCCCTGTGTTCATATGGTGCGGACCTTTCCTTTCCCCACGGGGAAAGTACAGACCCATGCGGGAGAGAAGTCAGCAGCATGCGACCTGCATGGTGGCTGTTTCACATGGTTCAGCCGGTATTGTCAGTGCAGACCGTGCATCCGGCACACTCGAGGAACAGCATCGTGCGGGCGGGCAGGTTGCCGGTCCCCTCCCCCTGCAGAACGAACGAACCACACAGGCCGTTTCTTCAGTTAGCTCTGCTTTGCCCCTCTGGCGGGCACATCCACTTGCTGAGGGGTTGCTGGGAGGCTGCTTCTAGGATGTGAGCTGCAGGGAGACCCGAGGGCTGCACCCAGAGTTCCTGTGTTTCCCATCCTTGAGCAGACCGTGTGGAGGCTTCCGGATCGTGCCAGTGCAGCGGGGAAGCCTGTGTGTGATTGTTTGCCTGAGTATTTTAATATTGCCCTTGAGTTTTAGCTTTCAAGGATCTAAGTCTTACTGCCCTCTCAAAATACTCTTAAGAAGGAAGGTGCGGTGGCTCACACCTGTATTCCCAGCTCTTTGGGAGGCTGAGGCAAGAGGATCACTTAAAGTCAGGAGTTCAAAACCAGCCTGGGCAACATAGTGAGACCCTGTCTCTACAAAAACCAAAAATATTAGCTGGGTATGGTGGCATGCCAGCTACTCAGGAGGCTGAGGTGAGAGGATTGTCTGAGCCCAGGAGGTGGAGACTGCAGTGAGCTATGAGCGCACCACCGCACTCCCATGTGGGTGGCAGAGTGAGACCCTGCCTCAAAAGGAAAAACAAAAAATTAGCCAGGCATGCTACCATGCTACGGGGTTATGCCATGTTGCCCAGGCTGGTCACAAACTCCTGGGCTCAAGCCGTCTTCCCACCTTGACCTCCCAAAGTGCTGGGATTGCAGGTGTGAGCCATCGCGCGCGGCCAGGGTGTGCTTTTCTTAGCTAGTTTGAGTTGTGGTGGTTTCCCCATCAGCCAGAGGACTGCAGAGAAGGTTGAGATGAACCAAATGTCCTGTTTCTCGGAATTCTTTGCAAGTAAGTGACGTTCCTGTTTTCTTGAATAGATGGCATGTGAAGATGATCAGTAACGGAAATGTTTTAATTATGCTGTTATTTTAGATTTGATTTTATATACAGAAACACAACGTATGTGTGTGATTGCTGTGGTTCAATTTTTTTTTTTTTTTTTTTTTTTTTTGAGACGGAGTCTCGCTCTGTTGCCCAGGCTGGAGTGCAGTGACGTGATCTTGGCTCACTGCAACTTCCGCCTTCCCGGTTCAGGCAGTTCTACTGCCTCAGCCTCCTGAGGAGCTGGGCTTAGAGGCACCTGCCACCATGCCTGGCTAATTTTTGTATTTTTAGTAGAGATGGGGTTTCACCATGTTGGCCAGGCTGGTCTCGAACTCCTGACCTCAGGCGATCCACCCATCTCGGCCTCCCAAAGTGCCGGGATTACAGGTGTGAGCCACTGCTCCTGGCCTTATGGTTCACATTTAAGTGAAAAATGTCAACAGATTTTTCAAGAATAGAAACTCCTCAGCTGTTGAGCCCTTAAAAAAGAAAACCATATTACATTTCTGGTACTATATACTTTGGGATTAGGAAAAGTTTCTGTAAGCCTACTTCTGTGTGTGGGCTCACTGATTTTGAACTGGAGTAGTGTTTTTCCTGATTGTAAATATAACAACATGTGCTCCTTGTGGAAATGAGAGAAACACCCAGGAGTGAGGGTGAGAGGGAAGGTATTGCTGGAATCTTGATGGGGGGAGTTTATGTTTCCCTTATTCTGAGTGAGACCAGCCTAGTGTCTTGGGATCAGGAGCTCTCTGTGGTTTTATGAACTGTTTCATGAACTGTCTGGTCATAGCCTGTGCCTCTGTTTCTGTTTGGTGTTGGCGGGTTTCAAGTGGGTTTGTAGGAGCTTGTTAACTATTAGGAAATCGAAGCCCTTCCAGATAGGAGTTGCCAGGTTTTTTTCTTATTCCTTTTTTTTGTCTTTGGATTTCTCTTATGGTGTGTTTTCCATCCATGGAATTTTTTATTTTTAATGTTAATTTTTAAGAGAGAGGGTGTCTCACTTTGTTGCCCAGGCAGGTCTCAAACTCCTGGCTCGAGTGATCTTACCGCCTTGGCCTCCCAAAGTGCTGGGGCTACAGGCATGAGCCACCACGCCCAGCCGTATTTTTAATTTTTACATAAGCAGATGTATCCATCTTTCTTTAAAAGACTCTCAGTTTAGTGCCATCCTGAGATCTCTCCCTGAAGCACATATGTTTACAAATGAGCTCATGCTTTTATTTTTCTCTTGTGTCTGTGTCTGGTTCCGTTGGATCTATTCTGATGTGAAATGTAAGGCTTAGCCCCAGCCTTGGTTCTGTGCAGACCTGATCTGTTATCTCCACACTGGATGCGTGATAACCACACTTCCTACATCAATTTGTAGCGCTGCTTTTGTCCTAGGTTACCCTGTATACTTGGTTCATTTCTGGACTTGATACTCTGATCCATATGTCTGTCCACATGTCAGTACCACACTATTCTCATTCTTATAGTTTTTGTTTGTTTTTGAGATGTAGTCTCGCCCTGTCCCCCACACTGGAGTACAGTGGTATGATCTTGGCTCACTGCAACCTCCGCCTCCTGGGTTCAGGTGATTCTCCTGCCTCAGCCTCACTCCCAAGTAGCTGGTATTACAGGCGCCTGCCACCATGCCTGCCTAATTTTTATATTTTTAGCGGAGACAGGTTTTCCCCATGTTGGCCAGGTTGGTCTCGAACTCCTGACCTCAGGTGATCCGCCCACCTCGGCCTCCCAAAGTGCTGGGATTACAGGCGCGAGCCACCGCGCCCGGCCGAATTCTTGTAGTTTTATCGCTATGTTTTATTTTATTTATGGCTTAGAGATAGGGTCTCACTGTGTTGCCCAGGCTGGGCTCAAGTGATCCTCCTACCTCAGCCTCCCAAAGTGTTGGGATTATAGCTGTGAGCCATTGCACTGGCCTATCACTGTATTTTAATTGCCTGTATTCCTCTTCTATTTTGGAATGTTCCCGGCTCATCTTGTTTATTTGCTGTGTGAACTCTAGAAGCAGCTATTTCCCAGAAACATCCCCTTGCTGTCTCTTCTTGCAATTGGAATAGCAGCACGCTTACGGTCAGTGTATGGGGTGCTGCCGTTTGTGTGATGTCCACACCCCCATCCGACATACTCCCTCGGCTCGTCCCGCTTCTGAGCTCCCCCTCCGGGAGTTGACAGGGTGAGGGTGCCACTGTCCCAGGTAGGGCAGAGGCTGGGGCTGCTGACGGTGCTGTACCACCTATCCTCGAGTGAGAGCAGCCTCTCCTCTTCTGCAGGGGCTGCACTGGCTGCGCCCTCCTGTGGGGCTTGTCACCTGCTCCCACAGTCACTTCGTTCATCTTGAGGCCTGCAGTGTCCTCGCTGCTTTTCTCTCACGACGTGTAGGGGTTCAGAGGGTGGGGCTGTCTGTGGATTCATGCATCAGCTGGGAGCTCCTCTCCACTAAAGGCCAGAGAGCAGGTAGGTCACCAGGAGAGCTGCATTCCAGGAAGAGGACATCCCAGGAGGTCTGGACATGGTGACACATCCTGATAATTTTCACAACTGAGGTGAAAGATCAGGGACAGGAATTCGGTACTGCCCTGAGCTCTGCTGGCTGAGAACTTCTGGATCAGCACTGTATTAGTCCATTTTCACGCTGCTGATAAAGACATACCCAAGACTGGGTAATTTATAAGGGAAAGAGGTTGCATGGACTCACAGTTCCATGTGGCTGGGGAGGCCTCAAATCATGGTGGAAGGCGAAAGGCGCATCTTACATGGCGGCAGGCAAAAAAAGAGAGAACTTGTGCAGGGGAACTCCCCTTTATAAAACCATTGCATCTCGTGAGACTTATTCACTATCATGAGAGCAGCATGGAAAAGACCCCACCCCCATGATTCAGTTACCTCCTGGGGTCCCTCCCATGACATGGGAATTGGAAGAGCTACAGTTCAAGATGAGATTTGGGTGGGGACACAGCCAAACCACATCAAGCAGGTTCCAAGGGAGTGGAGTCCTGTCTGCCCAGGGAGGTTGGAGGGGCCAGGCTCTGGACAGGGGAGGCTTCGAGGGCAATGCAGTCTCTTTGGCATCCCTGCATCTCTGTGTGGGTCACCCCCACCCCGGGAGGCCATTCCTTGTACCCAGGCTGCGTCACTGGCATGATCTGATGATGTTCCCAGGGTTGTGGGTTCCCTCAGCCGTGGGTCCTTGTGAGAAATGGGACGCTCGGGCCCACCCAGACCTGGCCTTTTCTGTATGGGTGCCGGGCCAGGGCAAGCCACCATGTCCCTTCCCACCCCTGTGTGTTTCAGGCCCGCCTCCCCCGCCCCAAGACTGAGGCTTTTGGAAATCTCAGACCTGTGAAAGGAGCAGAGAAGGGAGGATGGGCCATGCTCCTGTTTCAAGCAGCCAGCAGGCATCCTTGTCACCCTCAGCCCCCTCTGCCGGCGCTGCCACGAGGGTCGCGAGTACAATGTGTTGAGTGAGCAGGCCCTGGGTCAACGTGAAGTTGATCGTTGTCGTGCATGTCCTGGGCTCCCTGTTTTTTTTTTTTTCTTGTGGCTTGTATGTGTTGCTCTGATGAGTAATTTCATAATAAACATGCTTGGGACGGCCTTATTCTGGGTAACAGGGTCTGGTTGGTGGTCCCGTTGCTTGGACCTCTTTATGTAAAGCGAGGTCATGGCTACACATGCTCATCTTCCTGATGGTGTCAAGTTGAAGTCGCAGTACTCACAGCGGTAACATTGAAATCTTTGTTCATTACATTCAGTTACTTTTGTTTCTATCTGTTATTTAAAGAGCCTTTCCTCAAGTTCAGCCACTCAGGTTTTAATTTTGATGAGGTCCAATTTGTGAAACTTTTTGTTTTCTTTTATGGTTATTTTCTGAATCCTAAAAAAGTCCTAAAAATTGAGTCCTAAAATACTCAGTTTGCAAAGATAGGCTCCATTTTTTTTTTTTTTAATAGAAGTTTGGTAGCATCACATCAGGTTCTGCATTTGTGTGGAGGCCTGTGCCCCATCTTGAATGATCTTGTGTGTGGCATAAGGCGGGGTCGTGGTTCCTTCTTCTCCATATGAAAACCCAACTGACGGAGCACCTTGCTGAAAACCTTCCTTTCCTGAGGGGCAGGTGTGGGCACCTCCGCTGCAATCAGGCAGCTGGGTCCACATGAGGGTTTCTGGGCTCCTGGCTCTGTTGGTGCCCGTGTGAGGCCTGAGGCTTGCACGCCGTGTCATGACGGGAGCTTATACTGGGCAAGTCCTGAGAGCAGCCTGGTCCTCCCGTTTGCTCTTCGTTTTCCTGATGGCCTGTCTGTCCCAGTTCTTTGCTTTTCCGTAGGAATTTCAGACTTGGCGAGTCCAGTCTGTGTAGTGCCTGGTGGGCTTGTGGTTGGCGTGAGGTCGGATCTGTAGATCAATCTGGAGAGAAGTGCTCTTGGAATGAGGCCAAGATGGGTCCCAGACCCCACACGTGGCATCTCTGTGTACCCAGGCATTTTTACTTCCTTTCAGCGGTGGTTAGTGGTTTTCAGAATAGATCTTAAACGTATTTTGTAACATTTATTCCCAAGTCTTATGTTTTTTTGAGGATTTTGTACATAGAATTTTTTTAAATTTTATTTTTATATTTTGTGCTGCTAGGACATAAAAATCCAGGTGGCTTCTGTGTTGACCATGTGGTCCTGCCAGGTGCTCAGTGCAGCTCCTGCAGTGATTTCTGTTTCTTGTCGGAGTTTGGAGCAGTGATGTATGAAAGCGATTGACCATCGTGTTTCCTCTTTTTTGTGAGTTGCTTATGCGTCCCTTTCAGAGTTAGGTCTAGATAATGACTGGAAACACTGTATTGAGCTGGGAACTTGGAAGTTTGGGTGAATTCTGTAAATTGTGTAGAATCAAACCATTAAGCACGAAATATCCTCAGCACCATGTGATGGCAGAATGCAGGGCGGACTGGTGGGGCTGCGGAGTTTTTGGGAACCGCCTTAACATACCTGCTTTTCCTTTGAAAAAGGAAAATCCACCCAGTCACTGGCCGAGGGCTCAGTGCATCGTCCTTGGCTGACTCGCACGGCTCAGGGTTGGTGGTGAGGGCTTCTGGAACACTCAGGCTCCCAGGAGCCAGAGAAGCAGGCTGAGGGGCTGTGCTGTGCAGGGCCAGAGTCTGTGTAGATGCTGTTCCTGCCCCACCGGTGGGCATGGAAGGGAGGCCCACCCTGAGTTCTGGTCATGGCTGTGGCCCCCGCCTCACCTGGGCTCCCTGTAGCCCCTGCTGCCTCCGACCCAGCAGACCAAGGGCCCGGAACCTTCACTTTTTGTTGGCAGGCACCTCTGACGTGGGGTCAAATCCGGCAGCTCCCCTTTCTCTTCCCAGCGCCAAGTCCATCCTCCCCCACCAAGAGGGCCCTGCAGGTGCCTGTGCACTGACAAAGAAGGACACACTGTGTCCTCTCAGCGGCACAGCCGGCAGCCTCTTCACAGCCTCCTGTCATATGGATATTCATGACCTGTGTTCTTTTGGAAGGAGTTTCGGACGTGGCTGAGGGAGGAATGGGGGCGCACGCTGGAGGACATCTTCCACGAGCACATGCAGGAGCTCATCCTGATGAAGTTCATCTACACCAGTCAGTACGAGTGAGTGCGGCTCCTGCTCGGTGCTGGGGTAGCCCTCTCCTGGTGTGTGCTGGGGACCAGCCCTGTCCCGGTGGGTGCTGGGGCATAGTCCTTTGTCTCAGTGGGTGCTGGGGTTCAGCCCTCTCTCCTGCTGGGGGCTGGGAGTACAGCCCCTCTCTCTCTGGGTGCTTGGAGCATAGTTCGCTCTTTCTGTGGGTACTTGGAACACAGCCCCTCTCTCTGTGGGTGCTGGGAGTGCAGGCCTCCCTGTAGCTGCTGTGGCACAGCCCCAGACCCCATCCTTCACCCGGGTGTCTGTTTTTATCTGATTTCCTGTCACCCCTGCCAACACTGGCACTCTAGAGCTCAGCCCCGCTCAGCCCAGTGCGGGGATCCCCTCCATGGTGACTTGGGCTCCTTTCTCCTGGGTAATGGAGCAAACTGGCACTTCCTTTTCCCTCCCACCTAAAGCTCTGCCCTGGCGCTGATGCCCCCCTTAACCCCAGAAGTCCTGTTGGAAGCGTGCGTGCTGGTGGGTGGTGGGGGTGAGGGCTCCCCTGGGCGCATTGCTGCCCACAGGCCTGGTGGACACCTGGCCCTGGTTGAGCTGAGCTGCCCGCCCTACCCCGCCCTGCAAAGCTCATCCCTGGCACCTTGGGCGTTCTCAGTCCTGCCTGCCCCACGAGGTCTCCTGTACTGACCCGTCCGCTCCCCACAGCAACTGCCTGACCTACCGCCGCATCTACCTGCCGCCCAGCCGCCCCGACGACCTCATCAAGCCTGGCCTCTTCAAAGGTACCTATGGCAGCCACGGCCTGGAGATTGTGATGCTCAGCTTCCACGGCCGGCGTGCCAGGGGCACCAAGATCACGGTGAGTGGCGGCTGACCTGGTTGGTGGGGCTCTGGGGGCACCTGGCCCAAGTGGGCTGTGGAGTCAGGGAACTTGGGCAGACACTGATCCCCGGCACCCTTGCTCCTCAGAGTGGGCTTGCACCTGCAGCCCCGGGAGCTTGGGAAAGCAGATTCTCGGGCCCCAGCCAGCCCCACTGAACCAGAATTGCATTTCCACGAGACCCTCAGGGAGTCTGTGTGCTTCCAAGGTGGCCTTCCCACAGCACCGCTCAGCCCCGGCCACCCTGGCAGCCCTGTGGGGTTTAGGAAGTCTGGACAGCAGACCCCACACAGAGGCTCAGATTTAACTGGGGACAGCCTGGGAAAGGGGCCCCTCCAGCAGCTGCATGGAGACCCTTGTGCTTGCAGACAGCTCCCACCCTGTCTGAGCTTCAGCAGCTCCTCTCCTTGGAGTGGCCTGAGGGTGGGCTGTGTGGTGAGCCCAGCAGTGAACAGGGGCTCATTGTCCCATGCCAGGGCTCCTGGCACATGCTGCCCGCCTGCCCTGAATGGTTATTGGGGATCCTGGCAGACAGCGCCTGAAGGGGCGAAGCCTATTCCCCGAGCCTCCAGGGATCAGGGCCACATCTGGCATAATGGGGCATTCCCTGGACCCCAGAGTTTTGGCTCCTGGACTCCTCACGGAGTTTTGGGGCTGACGCATCTTCCCAGGGCTCGGCTCCCGAGCTCTGCCTTTCAGGCAGACAGATGTGGGCTGCCCCCTTGGGCTGCTGCCCAGCTCTGGGATGTTCTTTGAACTTCTCTGGGCGCAGTTGAGCAGGTATGAGCCACCGTCCTCAGGGGCACTCATAGGTGTTGCTGGCCCTGCCACTTTCTAAGGGATTCTGAGACTTCTTCTTCTGTAAGGGACGTTGCTAAGTCAGTAGGAGGGCTGGTGCCAGCTCGCTCAGCCAGAGGTGGATCTGGGCTGGAGCCCACACAGTGGTACTGCTGCTGCTGCTGGCCTGAGCCCTGCTGACTGCCACCTGCTCCACAGGGCGACCCCAACATCCCCGCTGGGCAGCAGACAGTGGAGATCGACCTGAGGCATCGGATCCAGCTGCCCGACCTCGAGAACCAGCGCAACTTCAATGAGCTCTCCCGCATCGTCCTGGAGGTGCGCGAGAGGGTGCGCCAGGAGCAGCAGGAAGGCGGGCACGAGGCGGGCGAGGGTCGTGGCCGGCAGGGCCCCCGGGAGTCCCAGCCAAGCCCTGCCCAGCCCAGGGCAGAGGCGCCCAGCAAGGGCCCAGATGGGACACCTGGTGAGGATGGTGGCGAGCCTGGGGATGCCGTAGCTGCGGCCGAGCAGCCTGCCCAGTGTGGGCAGGGGCAGCCGTTCGTGCTGCCCGTGGGCGTGAGCTCCAGGAATGAGGACTACCCCCGAACCTGCAGGATGTGGTAAGGATGCGGCGGGTACTGGGGCCTGAAGGTGGGACAGCATGGGCTTCAGCGAGGGCCCCAGCCCCACACCTAGCACAGGCGGAGAGGGCCTGTGACCTCACAGAGGGCGGCAGCCGGTGCTTTGGGACAGGAGTGCGGCCTCTGACCCCTTGGGCCATGTTCCCCAGCACCTGAGCAAGCGGCCGCGCAGCTGGGTCCCGTCTTGGAGGCTCCTGTCCTTCCACCCCTTCTGGGGTACCTCAGAGCTGCAGGGGCATGAGGCTTCCAGATGCCTCACATCCCTGCAATAGTGCCGCTCCCCCAGGGGCTTCTAAAGCTACTTGTTTGCAGTCAATCAAGTGAAATATCATGTAAACTGTCCAGCAGCTTTGAAAGTAGAGAATGAACAAGGCCCCTTCCCCACCCACCCTGTGGAAAGCCCGTCTGGTTTGGTGTCCTCCTGGACAGCGTCTTGCCGGTCACCTTTGGCCATCTCCCGGTGCGTGGTTCAGATGTGGGTCCTGCTTTCCTGCCCCCTCCCTCCTCTGTGCCTGCCTGCCTCTGCTGTGCCGGGCCAGTGCCTTGGTGGCCAGTGGAGTGGACACCAGCTGCGACTGCGTGGGAGGGGCTGGCATTGCCGCTGCCACTGCAGGGCTTGGGCGGCTGACATGGGACGAGGCTTGCACAGCTGCCAGCTCCTGTCTCGCTGACTTTTTTTATACAGTTTTGTCTGGGCCACCGCCTTCAGTGCCACGGGCCCCTTGCCGTTCAGGCTGCTCCTCATAGATGAACAAGGCCCTGCCCCGTGTCCTTACCCTTTAGAGCTGTTTAAATTCAAATGAACTGAAACTGAATATGAAAAATCCAGGCCCTCAGCCGCCCAGGCCATGTTTCAAGTGCTCCATGGCCACATGTGGCTGGTGGACAGTGCAGCTCTAGAACATTCCATCACCACAGAGGGTTCTGCTGGACAGTGGCCTTGGGGGCTGTTTTGAGGGTCCGCCTGTCAGTCTCCTGGCATCAAAGTCATTCTGCCATTGTCAAGTTACAGTTATTTTCCTTTTACCTCCAAGCCACTATGTGCGTATGCTGCTATGTGTCTGTATTTCCCGCTAAACTTCCTGTCACGGAGGGAAGGGTGCCACAGGCCCAGCTCCTGGAGGGGGTTTGGATGTCTGGGTGGGGGGAAGGGTGCCACAGGCCCAGCTCCCGGAGGGGGTTTGGATGTCTGGGTGGGGGGAAGGGTGCCACAGTTCCAGCTCCCGGAGGGGGTTTGGATGTCTGGGCGGGGCTTTCTTCATGTTCCATGTATGATAACGGTGACTGGGGGGTTTACAGAGAGAGGCATACAAATAGTGTTGGAGTGTTGTTTTCGCTAATATAAATGTTTGAATAGCTAAAAAAGGAAAAAGCTCTGTTACCCTTCAAACATCTCAGAACTCCTAATACCTCACAGTGGGCTCAGAGCCAGTTTGCGAGTCACAGCACGTGCTGCAGCCACTGACCAGGAAGACCTGTCCAGCCTCCGTCCCCAGCTAACCTGCAGGACAGTCCCTGACGTGCTGAATATGGGGGCTCCCGGGCCCTTCCCTGTCTAGTTTATGGATCTGCAGGGCCTGGCCACGGCACCTGTACAGGGAATGCCTGTTGCTTTTTTTCTGACCACAGTGCCGATGGCTGCACCTGCCTCTGGGCCCTGGAACTTCTCCCCGAGCTTGAGAAGCCCTCTGAGGCCAGGCCCTGGTCCACGGGGCTGTTCTTTCCCCCGGCCTTTGGAGCCTCAGTGGGTGATTCCAGGCCAGCCCCTTA
Organism: Homo sapiens; assembly: GCF_000001405.40. Classification (NCBI taxonomy): domain Eukaryota; kingdom Metazoa; phylum Chordata; class Mammalia; order Primates; family Hominidae; genus Homo; species Homo sapiens. The sequence goes on along the minus strand of NC_000016.10, from coordinate 87,332,094 downwards.
CTTCTCGTCATCTGTTGGAAGAATTTAGCTGCTTGCAAGACAGACATAAGTGTCTTCCTGTCTGATGTTGACCTCAAAGCCATAAATGGGTGTTTGCGACTTCTGAGTTAATGTCAGCTGCAGGCTGCCTGTATTAGAGCTAATTGTATGGGGACATAACTCCCAGACATTAAGATTTTTTTTCACATTGGGCCTCCTTTATGAAATGTGTGTTTTGGAACAGAGCTCTCTGGGCCTGCAGAGACCTCGTTTTAGTTCAGTGTTTCAGCATTGTGCAGTCAGTGGGTGAATCCCTCACGGGTGCTGCGAGTCAGCGCCCATCCCCCGAGCAGCCCCGAGCTCTGGCCTCTGCGTCCATCATCAGGTGGGCTCGGCCTGCGCCCTTAGCTACCCCTTCAGAGACAGGCTCAGCCCACACCCCCAGCTGCCCCTGCAGAGACAGGCTGGCTCTGGGAGTCAGCTTCTGGCTGATGAACAGTGGATGTGGCTCTTGCGGCACAGAGCGGGGTCGCAGAATGCTGTACGTGGCGTGCATTTGACTCAGCCCTCCCCCAGCTCACAGTTTCCCTCTTGTTTCTGCTCAGTTTTTATGGCACAGGCCTCATCGCGGGCCACGGCTTCACCAGCCCTGAACGCACCCCCGGGGTCTTCATCCTCTTCGATGAGGACCGCTTCGGGTTCGTCTGGCTGGAGCTGAAATCCTTCAGCCTGTACAGCCGGGTCCAGGCCACCTTCCGGAACGCAGATGCGCCGTCCCCACAGGCCTTCGATGAGATGCTCAAGAACATTCAGTCCCTCACCTCCTGACCGGCCACATCCTTGCCGCCACATCCCGGGTGGCTCTGGGGCTCTGAACTCTGACCTGTGAATAGAAGCAGCATGCACTTTGGAAATCCGGCCTTTTGACCAGAACGCACACCTCGTCGGGGGGCCCAGTCCAGCCACCCCCCAGCACTTTATGTAGAGAGTGTGACATAGACCTGCATATTTGTCAGTGCCATGATGGAAGAAGCTGAGCATGTCTTACCAAAAACAGAGAGAACGAGCCTGAATACAGCAGATGTAGGGGACAGCCGTGGGACCGCGTGAGAATTGAAGCGGTGGGGTTCCCGCACCCTGGGCTGGCTGGTGGTTTTCTCGGGAAGCAGGACCCTCCTGACTGGTGCTCTTCCTGTGAGCGGATAGAGTGATAGACTGGGTCGTGTGTGAGACGCATGTGCTCCACCCCACTCCTTTTGGGGGAAGCCAGGCAACAGTGGCCTCTGGGAGGGGGTCAGGAAGAGGCGAACAGCTCAGGCAGCGCAGGTGTGATGGGCACAGTACGCAGAGCAAGCTCGGGAAGTTGGTAGGATCTCAGGCTTGGGGCCGGGACTCTGGAGTGAATCCCCATTTCTCTACCGGCTTGCTTGGAGTTTGGACAGAAGCATTTCACCTCTGATCTCAGCTTCCCCACCTGTGGAGTGGGTTTAGTGACCTGAGTCACTAGGGAATGTCACCTGAATGCACAGCCCAGCCCATGCACCTGCCCCAGCCCCTCCAGCTTTGGAGCCAAGGCCATCGTTCCAGCCACTTGACTGTCCTCGACGGCCTGTTCCAGACAGGGCGTTTGTTTTGTCCATGCCTTCCTCCCTGCACGCACACGGCGTCAAAACCAAGCTGCCGGCCACTGTCTCCAGAACGCAAGGCTCCAGGCCCGTGTGTCTGAAGCAGTGAGTGGTCCACACAGGTGCCAGGAGTGCCCATATGAGATGACGAGGAAACCCCTTTGCAGGTGAGGGGACAGCTTTCTAGAAAAGCCACACCTGCATCTGGGGACACACTTTGGAAAGTGGGACCCTCCAGCCTGGAGACCCCATGGACTGATGCCTCCACTGCTGTGTGCCCCATGTTGTGTTAACACCTGCGTGTGGGGACCCCATCTGAGGTCTTGGCTGAGGTTGGCATCTCCTGAAGAACAGAGAGCACGGTGTCCAGAGCTGGCCCTTCCCCCAGCCCACAGCCAGCTCCGTGCCCGAGTGGGCGTCCCCAGCGAGCCTTCCCTCTCTGCCGCTTGTCCTTGTGTCTGGGCTGCTCCAAGTCCTTGTGCTGGGCACCCTGGACACGTCCTGCTGGTGAGGGACCTCGGGAAGGTGACAGTCTGTGTGCCTTGGTGTGGAGACCAACCTGAGGATGTCCTGGGAAATGTTTTCCTGATGAATTTCTCCTTGACTGGCCTTTAAAGAACATAAGAATTCCCATTGCCCAGCCTCAGTGCATTTGGCAAATGCTTACTTTGCTTCCCAGAGTCAGAGAATTGGCAAAGGTTCCTAAATGGTAATCTGGCCGGCCTGGGAGAAAGACTCACGAGAAAAGCCAGTGGAGAAAGCGCCCTTCCAGGGCGGCAGCAGCGGGAGCCACGCAGACCCCGAGGCGCACCTGCTGGCTCTTGTGTGTGGCCCCAGTTTCTAGCGGCTTTTGCAGCATTAGCCTACAAGCTTTGTCACTCCCTGCCCTCTGTGGTGGTCACTGTTTTTCTCTCTTGCCAAATGAGGCAGTCTCTGAGTGACGGTGACTGTGGCCTTGAAGCCTGGAGGACTGTTGGGCATGTAGACTGGCACCTTGAAGATTCACCATTGTTTAAATAAAATCAAGCAAATGCTTTTTTACCAAGAGCCCGAGCCTCGCTCTAAGGGACGCAGTCCTAGAGGCGTGCCCTTTGGGGCTTGAAGAGCACACTGTGGGACGCACGTGCTTCTGATTAAAGGAATCTCAGATCTCAATTACGCTTCCAGTGTTTGGGTATAGAAATAGCTTCCACCCATCATGTCTCAGCCATGGGCTGTTGGTCAGTTCATGTGGCTCCTGGTTCTGGTGTGTATGTTGGGGGCGGGGGTCTCTCCATGGTGGTGACCTGCAGTGATGCCAGGCAGGGCCAGAGCCACACAGCCAGGAAAGGGAGGCCTTTTTGGCCGCACAGCCAGTCCCTTCAGTCGTGACTACAGGTCTTGTTTTTTCCGCTCCGATGTGTCCTTAGCCAGTTCTTGGCTCCGGTTCTGTAGGGACAGGCACTGAATCTGCGCGCCTCAAAACAGCAGCTTCCCTTCCGGGGGAGGGCATCCACCCTCTCAGGGGATCCTGCAGGTGGCCCATTTCCTGCAGGTGAGAACTCGGAAGGGCTGATGTCGTCATCAGAGGCCTAAGGGCAGCTGAGAGTTGGATAAAACCGTTTCCAAGGAGGAGGCTGAGTAACCCAGTTCAGGACAGCCAAGCGCATTAGGCTTGATTGGGGAAGGTGGCAGGTGGAGTTGGGAGGTTGGGACTCTCCATCTTTTGCACCACGGATGCCTTTCTGTCGCTGTCTCACTCTGGGGCAGGATCAAGTCTGCTCTCTGGAGTGGGGCTGCCTGCAGTGCAGCTCTGCACACCTGAACGTGTTCTTTGTCACTTGTTTGGAAATGATGTGATTGAAGATTTCAGAGAGGTCATTGGAGGCTTTTCTGTGCCGGCACTGAATGTTCATTTGCATGAGGAAGTTGCAAACGACTTCTGCAGGCTGAGATTCAAGGCAGGTGGTATTGGGGTCCCTCAGCCCACCTGGGCCGTGACCTCAAGTGTCCACTGCTGAGTGTGAGTGGCTTTGCAGGCCTGGTGGTGGGAGAGCCTCAGGCTCCCTCCTTCTTCGTTCCTGACCATGCCCTGGGCCCCTTCAGTCTGCCTGCGGCTCTGTGGCATCCCTGCCCTGACACTGGGCACCTGTGCCCCTAGCAAGCCCACCTGGCACACGAGGAGGGAGGGGTGGGTGGCCATGTCCTTCCTCTAGCCACATGCCCTGCTGGCCGCTCCATTCTGAGCTTTGTGCAGAACCGGGTCTGAGCTGGAGATTTTTCTCTGAGAACCTGCAGTTGTGCTGCAGCCGCACGCAAGGGCCCTTCAGCCGCTGGCTCTGGCTTCCCTGACTCCTCAGGGCGTGTTCACCCCCAGGCTTTCTCACCTGCACACGGTTAGGCCATTTTCAGTGCTCGTGGGCAGTCACGGACAGCAGCAGAAACTCCTCAGCCCCTTTGTTACTTCAGAACGCCTGCCCACATGCATCTTCTGAGCTCGTGTTGTCCTCATGGCCGTGGGGTCTTGGGTGCGAACAGGAGATGCTGAGCTGTGGTCCACCGTCCAAGGTGCTGCAGAAAGCAGCTAGGCTCTTTTAGGATGTTTCTATTCTGGTTGCTGCCTTCGTGGTGTAACTTTTAAGAACACTTACGGGAATGTGCTCATAGAACCATCACCTGTCCTGAGAATAAAACTCCTGGAATCATGATCAAGTCCAGTGTTAACGTGGCCCAACCTGTCTGTACTTCTGGGGAGAGACCAGGAACATCACTGGACTCCTCATCCCCGTAATTATTTAGAGAAGATGCAAGCAGCAGATAGTCTCCATGCGGCTGGTACTTTTTTTGTTGTTTTTTGAGACAGGGTCTTGCTCTGTCACCTGGGCTGGAGTGCAGAGCGGCGATCATGGCTCCCTGAGGCCTCAACCTACTAGGCTCAAGCTGTCTGCCCGCCTTAGCCTCCCAAGTAGCTGGGACCACAGGCACCCACCACCACCATGCTTGGCTAACTTGTTTTTGTAGAGATGGAGTTTTGCCATGTTGCTCAGGTTGGTCTCGAACTCCCGATCTCAGGTGATCCACCCGCCTCGGCCTCCCAAAGTGCTGGGATTACAGGCGTGAGCCCCTGCGCCCCAGCCTTGGGGCCTGTCTTTGAATGGGAATGAGACTGTGCAAACCGTGGACTACCCTGTGTCACCCACAGCTCAGTGGCCTGCCTGCCGGCCCTCAGGGGCTGCTGACCGGGAGACCAGCCAGAGCACGAGGGGGTCAGGGCTGTGTGGGTTTTGGCCTGATTCTGCATTTGGTTGTTTCTGGGGGCCATGTAGCCTGCCTGCATTAGGAAAGCGCTGTGCCATCTGATCATGAGCACCTCTGCACCCCCTGGTAAGGTGACCTTGCAGCAGGAGCTGTGCCCTGCCTGGGTAGGCACCCACTAGGTAGGACCGGAGCAATCCTGGCAGCCGCCACCTGCACCCGTGCACTTGTTTCTCCTCACAGTTTCAAGTAAATCCGTTTTTGAAGGCTTGTTGTGTGTTTTGTGATTTCTTTGGGAATATGAGTTGGACGGAGGCGAGAGCCTTAAGCCATGCGAGCTGTCGGCCTGGGAACCCAGACTTCCCAGCTTCTTGAGGAAGTGTCAGATTTCCCGCGTTGACAGAAGGGAGCATTGAAGGGATGCCTTGGAGCCCAGACAGTGGTTGTCCCTGTGTCCTTCCCTTTGACCTGGCATCAGAGGTGTCTCGAGTCCCTACCCAGGGACCCAGAGGAGTTCGGGCCCCAGTAGATTTTCTTAGATTTAAGCCAAAGTGAGTTGCATTATCTGCAACGAGGACAGATATGGGAGGGAATGTGCTGAGAGCCAGGCAGATGAACTGAGGATCTCATTGATCTTTCTTTTGTGTTTACTAAACTCATATGTTCTTGTAAACAGTTCTTTAGCATAGACAGTGAAAGTACCCCCTGTTCTCATCCCAGCCTCCCCGTGAGTCACTGCTGCTAATTAATGCTGTTAGCTTGGAATTGTAGAAACAGGATGTTTTCCATGGTAATGCACTCAAAGTACACCCTCGATTGGCAGAAATTGGCAAGTGTGATTTTCCAAGTGTTGGCAGTGATGCAGGGGAACAGGAACGCAGGTGGGGCAGCTGTTTTGGGGACAGCTGGTACTAGCTCATGGCACTAAGGACACGGGCCCAGGGACTGGCATCTGCATCCTGAGGTGTCCACCCTCGGGCAACGCGAGAGCCCAGGCATGGGCCACGCAGGGATGTTCATTGCTACACTGTGACAACTGTCACAGGCCGGAAGGAGGCAGGTGGACTACGGTGGAGCCACCCATGCTGTCACCTGGCAGACGGGCACACAGCCTTGTTCCGTTGCAAAACAAGTGAGAGATGGTATTGGTGTAACATGTAAAAATGCAAATACTTAATTTTTATCAATTCATGTGTGGGGAAAAGCTGAAGATACGCGTGGGAATGGTGTGGTCACTTCTAGGGGTGTCGGAGGGTAGAACTTCAACTGTTTTGCTTTAAAAAGTAAGGATCGCATGGCAGAACTAGCATCTGTTCACCTGTTGATCCTGATACCGTGGATTACGAGACCCCCCCTCTTTTCTGTGTGGTTCAGAAACAAGCCCCTCAGACAGGACACAGTGCCCAGGGGCAGTGACCTGCAGGCCCACCCACTGCCATCTCCGCTGGTCTCGGGGTTGCCACATAGCCTGCCAGCTGCGGCTGCTTCCTGGGTGCCCTCCAGGGAGAGCAGGGGATCGTGGGTCCCCGGCGGTGGGTGTTTCCTTCTCCGGGGAGAGCAGGGGATCGTGGGTCCCCGGTGGTGGGTGTTTCCTTCTCTAAGGTTTGCTGCTGTTTCCAGGCCTTTCTGTGGGGCCTGGGTCCTGTCCTGGGGCCAAGCCACGGGGTCATCCTCAGCTGCACTGGGCGTGCCAACCACAAACGAGTCACTTGCTACAAGCAGCACCATGCAGCCTCCTGTCTGGACGAGACCCTGCCCCCCACAGACTGGAGACGCACCCCGATTTCCCAGGTCACAGGGGGAAGTGTGGATCTGATAAGGGACTAAATGTGGCGTCTTTCATATGTTTCTCTTACATATTTTATTTTAAAATGAAAAAAAAAATAAGGTCATGGGGAACGAGTAGAAGGCTGCTTCCTGCTGCAGTTCCCCTCTTGCTCCAAGAGTGGGGATGGCCCAGCTGGGGGGACCTGCTCCGGGCCTGGGTGCCGCAGCCTCACCTAGACACAAGGGCACAGGCTTTGTTCTCCAGGGATCTGTCCGACACCAGCATCCCCCCGGGGGCTCAGACCCTGCACTTTTCTGTCTGCTGCTGGGGTTGAGGGGACAGCAGATGGGCAGCGAGGGCTGGTGGCTGCCCAGGCTGGCCATGCCCAACACCAGCAGGTGAGGCGGAGGCCGAGAGGGTGTTGTGGCCGGGTCACCTGGGCCCATATGGAGCTCACTCCTCCCTGTGGGGGCCGCTTGGCTGTGCTGCCGGAGGCATGGCGCTTTCCCCACCCGATGGATGGCGGGGCTTCATCCTTCCTCCCCTTGCAGGAGGCACGGTGCCCAGGGTCCTCCGTTTGTCCCCCCTCCTTAGGGGAGGTCCCCTTTTGTGGTGTGACCTCTAGTGGGCATGTAGGGTCACTGCAGAGGGCTTGCCCCCAGCCAGCAATGTGAAACAAAATGCCATTTGGATAGTTTCCAAACCTACCCCGGCCCCCTCCCCATTTTGACTTGAAAATCCCCAAGTGACAGAAGGCACAATGCGTGTCCTTCCTATCTTTGCCTCCGTCCCTCTTCTTCCTGAGGGGTGCGATCCCTGGCGCCTTCCCTTCTTCCTTGTGTGCCGGCGTGGGCCCTCCCTGCCGTCCCTGAAGCCCACCTGCACTGCCTCTGAGCCGCGGAGGTCCTGGAAGCAAGGTGGAAAGGTGCTGGAGGGCCAGGGGGAGGCGCCCCTGCAGCGCTGTCCCTCCCCAGCAAACAAGCAGCTGGGCTCTGCTGGGTGTTCTCCATGGCACCGTGTTTGGCAGACATTAACCACGGAACAACCAGGAGTGCTGGTGTGGCTGGGATCAGCCCACTCCACAGGAGAGGAAGCAGCAGCTCAGAGAGGCTGAGTAATTTGCCCAGGGTCACACAGCCAGGGAGTATTAGCCCAGGGCCCCAGCCCCGCAGCCTCACCTCTCCTGAACATGCTCCTCTAGGAAGAGCCGCCGCCGGTGACGCTCAGTGTCAGTTGCTCTGGGACCCTTTCACCGAGTGTGGGGTGGAATCAGAAGCGCCAGCTCACACAGCAGTGGGGCCAGAGCAGTCCCGGCTGAAGCTAGGCGCTGATGAACTTGGACTGGAAATCTTAACTTGGGCTCAGCCAGAGTGTATTGCTTATAAAACCACGACTTTTCCCTTCCCATATGAGGACTTCTAGTACCTTGAATTCGGTTCTCATATAAAAACACGAGGGTGCTGTTTTACAGAAACACAGGGAGGCTAAGCCTGGCATGCTGCGGCCACGTGGGAATAAAACTTGGGCTCTTGGGACTCACATTTCAAGCCCGGAGCCAGCTAAGGCCTCTGACGGCGCAGCCCCCATGCCCCTCACAAATGTGGGTAGAGCTGGGTCAGCATCTGGCTTCCGCATCCCCATCTGCCGTGCGCCCCTGCCTTTCCAGCCTGTGGCTCACCTTGCCCAGCCCCACGGCCTGATGCCCTGGCTGCATCTGCCTTGGCTGGGGCTCCTCTGGGCATCTGGAGTTGCTGCTTCCTGGCTCCTTACAGGATGTTTACAGAAACTGCAGGTCTGCAGAGGACAGACGGCTCTGCCCGCAGGGAGGACAGGCACCTGGTGCCCCTTCCCACACGTACCTATGCCACTGGCCCCAGGTCTGGCTGTCCTGAGCTCTCCCTGCCTGGCTCTGCTGATGAACATGCCCTTGTCAAGGAGCAGAGTCGGTGGAAAGAGGCAATGGACCTACCCAGGTTGTGAAGATGCTTCTCAGAGTGAGGCCTGAGAAGCAGCTTCCGGCCCCAGGGCCAAGCAGTAGGAACTGACAAAGCACGGAGGGTCCACCTGTGTGCACAGCCGAGCTGCAAACCCAGGGTCGTCATGTGAGAGCCCTACCCACTGCCTGAAGGGAGAAAACGGCTTGGCTCTAGGAGTCAGGCCTGCGGCGGGGCCCAGGCAGCCCCTCACTGGCTGAGACCCTTGCAGTGTTCTCGACGCTCAAGCCTTGTACGCTCGCCTCAGGGCAGGGCATCACCTCGGCACAGTTGGTGTTTGGGGCCGGGTGAGTCGTGCGCCGGGCCGCTCCATGCGTTGTGGGAGGTTGAGCAGCATCCTTTGCCCCAACAATGGATGGCAGTCCCTCCTACCTGTCAGCCAACAGGCCCAGACAAGCCAGGTGTCCCCCGGGCCACTAGGCGCTACCGGGTTGTGACCTGCATCTCCCATGCGGCAAACAGTGCTAAGCACTGGGCACGCGGCAGTGAACACTGACGGCTCTGACCCCACACAGACCACAACACATCATGTCCCGGGATACGTGCTCTTGGGGCTGCCCCGATCACAGACACATCAGGAGGCGGTGGACTCCCAGGTGCAGGGAGGGTCAGGGCTGAGGTGGAAGTGGGCAGGGGCGGTCGTGTGCTGCTTGGCTCAGGTGACACCTGGCCTGGCACCTGGTGGGTGAGGAGGGGCTAGTGAGATGCTGTGTCCTCAGCTGTCTTCCTCTCCTCCTGGGAGACACATAATTCCCAGAAACCTCAGCAGGGGCTGACTCCTCACTGGCCAGAGCCAGCCCCACGCCACCCAGGAACCAACTCTGGCCCAGGGAAAGGGGTTTCCGTGAGGCTTGAGTCTGTCGTGGCTCCCCTGCAGTTCTGGGGCTACCTTCCCCGGGCACATTCCACCCAGTTCCTGAGCAAAGCAAAGAGGCAATGGCCAGTGGGCCACCGTCTGCCATGCAGTCCAGTCGGTTTGCTCCCATGGATTGGGTGGGTGTGAAGCTTGGCGTCACCAGGAAGCTGTTGGGAGAGATGCACACCCCAGTTCCCGCACGCTGAGATGTGGCCTGGGGAGGGGGTTTGAGCATTTGTAGTTTCCAAGGCCCCCAGAGCAGCTGTCCTGTGGCTGTCATCTGCCGCCACTGCACTAAACAAAGCACCTCCGTTTCAACATCTCTGGGGAAGAGGATTCCAGAGAACACACTTCAGGAAAATGCACACTTTTACATGCCCAGCTAGCAGTCCTTTGCCCTTTAGTGAGAAAGGGTTGAGCTGTCCTTCTTTTTCCTTCCTTTTAAAAAGCATTTGGGCTGGAGCAGTGCCTCACCCCTGTAATCCCAGCATTTTGGGAGGCCGAGGCAGGGGGATCACTTGAGGTCAGGAGTTTAAGACCAGCCTGGCCAACATGGTGAAGCTCTGTCTCTACCAAAAAATACAAAAATTAGCCGAGTGTGGTGGTGCACGCCTGTAATCCCAGCTACTCGGGAGACTGAGGTGGGAGAATTGCTTAAACCTGAGAGGCAGAGGTTGCAGTCAGCCGAGATTGTGCCACTGCACTCCAGCCTGCGCGACAAAATGAGACGTTGTCTCAAAAAGATAAATAGCTGGGTGTGGTGGTGGTGGTGATGGGGGGTGCCTGTTATCCCAGCTACGTGGGAGGCTGAGGCAGGAGGATCACTTGAATCCGGGAAGCAGAGGTTGCAGTGAGTAGAGATCGCACCACTGCACTCCGGTCTGGGCGATAATGAGAGATTCCATTCCCCCACCCCCCGCCCCGAAAAAAAAGAAATTAAAAAAAATAAAAAGGGTTTGGTTAGGTTTTTGAGGTGTAAGCTATTTATAGTGAAATTTTACCGTGTGTGCAGTTCTGAGATGACAGATGGTTGTAAATAAGCACCATCAGGACATGGAGTGCTCCAGCCCCCATCAAAATCCCTTCATGCTGACGCTGCAGTCTCTGCCTCCCCAGATCTCCAGCCCCTGGCGCCCCTGATCTGCTCTCCACCCCGTAGTTCAGCCTCAACCAGAACGTCTGGGGAGTGGGCTCTCCCAGCAGGGAGTCTGTCTGCCTTTCTCCTTTGGCAGGGTGCGGCTCAGCCTTTGTGCATTATTGCTCCTCTAATAATGCACAATTATTGCTCCTCCAAGGAGCCTCATCAGACGTTTTTCCAATACCCTCGTGAAATTCTACCACCACAGACATACTGTTTGTGTACTGTGTGTATACCTGTGCTTCCTACTTCAAGAGAGGAAGACAGTTCCAGCTACTCAGGAGGAGGCAGGAGGATTGCTTGAGCCCAGGAGGTTGAGGCTGCAGTGAGCCACTATCACACCCCTGCACTCCAGCCTGGGTGACAGTGGGACACCCTGTCTCCAAAAAAAGGCAAGATGTGTTTCCCCCTACCTGCCAAGGACCAGTGTTTGCCCATCTGCAGGAAGCAGCACCTTGCTAGAATGTGGGACTTCAGCACGATGCCCTGAGATCCATCCGCGGTGTTGCCTGAATCAACCGCTCATCCCTCGGATTGCTGAGCAGGATTCACAGGGTGGAGGCACCACAATGTATCTGTGTCCCCAGAAAGAATACTTGCAGTTTCCAGTTGGACACTTTATCAATAAAATCACTATAAACATCTGTGTGATTTTTTGTGTGGACATAAGTTTTCATTCCTTTAAATACCTAAAAGTGGGACTGCTGTGTCACATGTTAAGCACATGTTGCATCAGAGGAGAAACTGCCACATTTTCCAGAGCGGATGAAGGAGTCCCCCTGTGCCACATCCTCGCCATCCCTTACGGTGTACTCAGTGTTCTTTTTTTGAGACGGGGTCTCGCTCTGTTGCCCAGGCTGGAATGCAGTGGCCTGATCTCAGCCCACTGCAACCTCTGCCTCCCGGGTTCAAGTGATTCTCCTGCCTCAGCCTCCCCAGTAGCTGGGACTACAGGCATGCACCACCATGCCCGGCTAATTTTTTGTATTTTCAGTAGAGACGGGGTTTCACCGTGTTAGTCAGGATGGCCTCGAACAACAGGAGGCGGAACTACAGGCATGACCAAGAAGGTCAGGACACAGGCGGCTGGAGCCATCCTGCGGGGGATGCCAGGAGCCAGTGCAGAACATGTCCTGAAGTTGTCCTGACTGCAGAGTGGAGTGGCTGGAACATTCACCCCACCCTGTCACTGCTGATGGCTGTCCCCACACATGGGTCAAGCAACTCTCGCAGTTGGAAGGAGCCATTAGCAGGTGAAAGTGAGGCTGTTTGCCTCAGTGGCCCACTGCTTCTCTGCCCTGTCTAGCCAGGTTGATGGTCCCCTCTGGTCTGGTGGTAGCTTCTGCTGCTCAGGTGTCAGGCCTCTCTGCAGGGCCACCACTAGCCCAGGGTGCTCCTGTGTAAGTTCACATATGGCGCTGCTTTGGAGCAGGCTAAGGCCCAGGCTGGGGTGCATGACTTGGTTAGCTGAGCACAGGATAAATGCAAGCCTCACTTGTGTTCTTGGCAAGGGACCCTTGATTAGTGAAGAAACCACACAACTGTGCCCAGGAACCCTGCTTCTGTCTGGGTATAGGCTGCCTGGGGAGGTGTGATCTGGGAGGAACCTGCAACTCTCTCCCTGGGATCAAGGAGGTTCTGTGGGTTTGGCTTGGGTACCCATTACCTTGGGTTCACAAAGATCTCATTCTGCTCCTCTTTCCCTCTACTTGGGGGCTTTGGAAACAAAAGCCTAAAACAGGCAGTGGTAGTGGCCAAACTTCCAGCCTGAAGCACACTCACGTCACAAACTGACGTGTGCTGGACTCTGTCTGGCTTTTTTTTTTTTTTTCCTTGAGACAGGGTCTGGCCCTGTCACCCGGGCTGGATGGAATCATGGCTCATTACATCCTCAACCCCCTGGGCTTAAGTGATCCTCCCACCTCAAACTCCCAAGTAGCTGGGACCACAGGCATGTGCCACCATGCCTAATTTTTAAATTTTTTGCAGAGATGAGGTCTCACTACGTTGCCAAGGCTGGTCTCAAACTCCTGGGCTCAAGAGATCTTCCCACCTTGGCCTCCCAAAGTGCTGGGATTACAGATGTGAGCTACCATGACAGTCCCTGGTTTTTGAGCACCTTTCATGCTCTTTCATATTTGATCTTCTGAAACTTCCTTGGGATTGGTTCTATGGTTATCATTATTTTAGACATAAAACTGAAGCTCAGAAAAGTTAGGCAACTTGTCTGATACCTGTCTCTGATAAGAGGCAGAGCAAGGATTGGGATCTAGGCCTTGTTACTCAGAGCACAGGGGCAGGGTGGCTGGAGTTTCCTTCACATCCCCAGCCTGTGTCATGATGGATTTGCTTTCCTGGTTTTGAACATCACACACATGGAATTGTCTGTACATTCTGGGGTCTGACTTCATTGTACACTTCATCCACATTGTTGTGGGTTGTGGTTGTGTGCCCATTTCCATTGTTGTACAGAATTTCCTCTCTGTGAACATGCCATACTTTCTTTTTAAAATCTTTTTTTCCTATGGATGGACATCTGGATCATTTCCAGTTTGGGGCCATCAGGAAGAAAGCTGCTGTGGGTAGTTTTGTTCATGTCTTCTGGTACACATAAGCTCTCATTTCTCTTGGGTGAGTTGAGGAATTAGTTGGTCATCAGGTATTCATATGTTTAGGTTTTGTAAATACTACCAGTTTGCCAATGTGGTTTTATCAATTTCATGAGCCATGTATGAGGGTTCCAGCTGTGACATCCTCGACAAACTAGGTATTGTCAGTCCTTTTAATTTTAGCCATTCTTGGGTGGGTGAGGGCAGTGAAGAGCTATTCTTGACATGGAATGACAAGACCTAGTGTGCCCGAGGTGAAGGCCTGAGCGTCCAGGGGAGCATGAGCCTGTCTTCTATGCCCTGCTGTGCTATGGCAGTGTTTCAGTGTGCTCTGGAGGAAAACAGCAGAGAAGCCGAGTGCTCCAAAGTGGGCAGAAATGAGACAGGCATAATGTGCTAGGCTAATGGTGACTCTTGGAATTTTGTCATTAGCTACAAAGAGGGCAGTGACATGATTTACACACACACACGGGGTGGGGTATCTGAAATATTAGGCAGCTAGTATGGCAGGGGCACCGTCTAATCAGCATGGATGCTGGCCAGGAGAGGACATGTGTATGTGCTGGCTGGAAACAGTCCTGCTCATAGGTCACGATCTTAATGATTAAATAACAAGGCAAGAAATCCGAGAGGGCAGTGCCTGGGAGCACCCTGTTTGCTCTGTGGCCAGAACGCAGCACACTGAAGTATTGCCCATCAGGGTAAGAGGTGCTCGTGATGGTTTGGGCAAATACAAATATTAATCCAGAGTATTTGAGTCTACATGAAAATACTGAAAAGTGAGGGAAGACCCAACCGTTTCCAAGAAATACAAATTGGAACTGGCGATAACTTAAAGAACATAATCAGAGAGGCAGAGGGCATTGGGTTTTACTAAAATATGAAGACATACGTCCTGTCTCCACGTCAGCAACTGCCCAAAGTACACGCGTTCCAGCGAAAAGAGCGGGTGGGGTGGGGAGGCTCAGGGCCAGCCAGAGCTTCGGTGCTTGCACGCCCAGGCCTCCGGGTGACGACTGCTTCCAATTCCGCGCCCTTTAAACCCCATGTTGTTAAAAAAAAAAAAAAAGAAAGAAAACCTATTTCTCTAAAAGTCACGATTCGAGCCCCACCTGAGGACGCAGCGATCCAGCGCCAACTCATTATCTGAGATAAAGGAGTGATTTTACCAGAAGCGCCTATGCAAGACGCAGGGCCCCGCGCGGGCTGCTCCCACCTCTTTCTCTCCTTGCAGGCTACCGAGACCCTGGCTGGGGCGGCCGGCGGCCCCTCCGGCCCATCCGTCGGAAATGATGAGTGGCTCCAGTGGCCGGGGTCCGCAGGACCTACCCCAGCGGGCATGGCGGGAGCCCCGCAGCCCCACACAGCCGCGCTCTGAGCCGCTGACCCCGCGTCTCTCGTGAGGGACCAATCAGCTGCCAGCTAAGGTCACATACCTAGAAGGCCAATTTTGATTGGCTGGGCGCGGGCTAGTCAGCGGGACGGGCGGGCGCGCGGGCGTTGTTGGGCTCCTCTGAGCGGTTGAGGTTGGGGCTGGGGTTGAGCTCGGGTTGGGTTCCTCCTGGGGCAGGAGGGAAAGGCGGGAGCCAGGGCGTCAGGGCCTGCGGACGATGTGTGTGTGAAAGGGCGCGTCAGCCATAAGAAGCCATATGCGTGCGAGCCGGTCCCCACCGTCCCCGCGGCGTTGTCACCATCATCATGAGGCCACTGGAGCAGCCTCAGGCGCTGCTGCCGGGGGGCCGGGCGCGGGGTGCGTCGGGCTCTGCAGGTTGGCACTCACACCCAGCGCGCAGGATGGCAGGCAAGTGAGTCCTGAATCCTGCCCGCGGCTACCCGACACCTCGCCTGTGAGTTCCCGGCCCGGCATTGCTCCATGACCTATGCACAGGCAGAACTCTTGACCGCCACCCACAGGAACCTCACTTACATTGGCTTAACAAAAACGCAACTGATGGTTCCACATAACTGAAAATGTCAGAAGTAGGCCTTCAGGCATGGATGTATCCAGGTACACATTGACCATGGTCCTGGAAGGTTTCTCTCCATCTCTCAGCTTCCTTCCTTTTTGCTGGCTTCCCTTGTGGAGGCAAGATGATCACCAGGACCTCCTGAGGTTTACATGTTATCAGATTATCAACCTCAACAAAAAGGAGATTCTTTTTTTTCCCAGCTTTCCAGGCTGGGCAGTGGTGAGTTTGGCCCACCTGAACTACAAGGACTGAGATGGCTGTGGCCCCCCCCCTCCCCACCAGGAATATAGCAGTGCTGTCATTACCAGAAGGGGCCTCGGATGCTGTGGAGGGCAGTGCCCCATCCTCTGTTTTCAAGCATTATCTGGGAGAGTTGATGCGTGAACCTATTACTCTCACAAAAATAGCAATAATAATAATGGTTATTATGACAATGAAACCCAAAAACACTTATATCGCTCTTACGGTTTCCACATACAAAGCACTTTGACCCACTACTGTCAGGGAAGCAGGGCTTTGCACCCACTGGAGACGCTTCATCCAGCCAACATTCAAGCAGTTTGTTGGGGAGTGGAACAGGGAAGAGCCACACAGGCTGTGTAACCCCAAGTGCTTTGTCATCCCAGAGACAAAGCACCCGGGTTTTTATAGTGGAAGGAGGTTCATTAATGGACAGTTTGACGATGTTTTTTCTTCAGTATTTCAGTAAGTTGAGGGTGTCTGACAGATCATCCTAGGTGATGTGATTGGCAGCTACATGTCTTGGAAAGTTCTCAGCAGGTTGGAATGCTCCTGTCTTTTCTGATGCTCCAAGCACAAGTGTAGCTGGAGTCAGCTTGAAGCTGGTTGGCTTGGGAATGCAGGATTCCATGACAGCCAGCCCCCAGGAGCCCCTAGACATTCACGCATGAGCTAGCACACGCCTGCTTCTGATGTCACCCTCTCACTCTTCTTGGGCTCAGAGGATCCCCCCATCCCCACCACCCGTGGGCTTTATTATTAAGAGTCAGTTCTGAGAAGACAGGTCCAGGCCTGTGCTCTAGCATCCCTGCCCCCTAGTTTACACAAACCCTAAGCTTTTCTGTTCTTCTCTTCTAGGAATAGCACATTTCAAACCTACAAGAAAGAAGTGTGCCTCCCCCGTCATTCGGTAAGGAAAGCAAATCCTCAGCCACTGGCCCTGACCCCAACATATCCCTGTGGGGTGAGGAGAGCAGGGAATGTGGGTCCAGAAGCTGCATCCCATGAGAGAATCCTCCAAACACAAAAGTGTGGTTGCAGGAGCTATCCCTGGGCCTCCAGAACACCTCCCAGGCCCTCACAACACCTCAGAGTTCAGGAGGCCACCTAATATACCTGCTCTGGGCATCAGCTTCTCCGTGTGCCCCTGGAGGTGATGGCAGCACCTCTCCTTCCTGCCTGAGGGTGTTGCGAAGGTCACATGGGATGGATGTGGAAGCTCTTGCACACCAGAGTGTGACAGATGGCCATAAAGGCAGCACTCATGTGCGCATAAGCTCTAGAGCTGCTTGTACATGCCCATTTTCAGAGGGGACCACGAGACTTGCTCATTGTAGCACAGCAGGAAGCAGCTGAGAATCCCAGCGCACCTGATTTGCAAGCTCCGGGGGATCCCCCTCCAAATGACCTTGGAGGCCTCAGGGCGAGCCACGGTAGCCTGCCTCTTTCCAAGCTGCAGTAGGAGCTGGGGACCCTGCCCCCGGACACCATCTTCCTGAGCACGGATCTACTGTGCTTGAGAGCCTCCTGTCTCCCTGCAAATGCAGCATCAAGCTCAGTTCTGTCATTTCTGGATCTTACTCAGATGCACCCTGGCCCCTGGGCCATCTGCTGTGAATGCCAGACCAGATTCGGGGGCCGCCTGCCTGTGTCCAGGGTGGAAGCAGCACTGCCTTACTGGGTCCCTCTGTCCCTGAGACCCCGAAAGCAGGTAGGTGACTTGAACCAGGAGGTCTTCCCCTAGGGTCCAGGGTGAATGTCAGTTGACCAGTCACCCCTCAGAATTAGAAGTATTATATGAATGGATATTTTAACATTTCAGGGAGACAGTTTGATATTATTTATTTATTTATTTTCATGTCAGATGGGTAATGTGCTGTCGTTGTAGCAAGGTCTGAGGGAGGCACACCTCACACATGTGCATGAGTACCCAGTTATCATGCTTATGAACTATAAAAGGATCTGTGATTTTTAAACAGTTTTTTCTAAAAACTAGACTTCTAGAGGTTTGATTGGCATGTGATAAACTGCACGTGTGTCAAATGTACAATGTGGTAAGTCTTGCCGTAGGTATTCCCCCCTGAACCCACCACCACCATCAAGATAATGAGCATATACACAACCCTTAATCATGTCCGTGGGCTCCTTTGTAACTTTACCCAACATTCCATACCCTGACATCCCCAGGCAACCACTGACCTGCTTTCTGTCACTGTAGATTAATTTGCATTTTTGATGATTTTATATAAATGGGGTCATAGACTTTGTACTCTTTTGTCTGGCTTCTTTCACTTGGCATAATTATTTTGAGATTCTTCTATGTGATCATGGGCATCAATAGTCATTCTTTTTATTATTGAGTAATGCTGCATTATGTGAATAGGCCACAGTTTATTCATTCGCCCAGAAGGACATTTGGGTTGTTTCTACTTCTTATGTGTTACACACAAAGCTGCTATGAACATTTGTGTACAAGGCTTTGTATGCACATATGCCGTCATTCTTCTTGGGTAAATACCAAGGAGTGGAATTCCTGAATCATATGGTAGGTGTATGTTTAACTTTAAAAAAGAAACCTGTTGACTGTTTTCCACCATTTTACATCTCTACTAGCAGTGTCTAAAGTTCCAGTTCCTCACATCGTCACCAACACTTGGTTTAGCTGATGTTTTTAATTTGAGCCATCTTAATGGGTATCTGTCTCATCGTAGTTTTCATTTGTATACCCGTGATAATTGGTGATGTCAAGGATCTCTTCATGTGCTTTTGCCATCTGCATGTCTTACTCGATGAGGCATCTGTTTGTTTTGCCCCTTTAAAAGAATTGCTTTTTTAAATTACTGAGTTTTGATAGTTCTTTATATATTCTAGATACAAATTCTAGATACAAGTTCTTGATCCGAGATTCAATTTGTAAATGTCTTTCCATGTCTTTGGCCTGCCTTTCCTTTTTTGAGACCGGGCCTCACTCTGTTGCCCAGATTGGAGTGCACAATCATGGCTCACTACAAACTTGAACTCCCTAGCTCAAGCAATCCTCCCCCCTCACCCCCCAAGTAGCTGGGACCACAGGCGTGCACCACCATACGAGGCTAATTTTGTTTATTTTTCGTGGAGATGAGGTCTCACTATGTTGCCCTGGCTAGTCTCAAACACCTGGACTCAAGTGACCCACCCGCCTCGGCCTCCCAAAGTGCTGGGATTACAGGCATGAGCTGCCACCACACCTGGCCAAGCCTCTTTTCTTAATAAATTACACTGCCTCAGCTATTCCTTTATGGCCATACAAGTGGACTGACAGTTGTTCATATATGTATGAATTTATTTCTGAACCCTCTTCTCTTCTGATCTAATTGTCTATCTTTATGCTAATACTACACTGTCTTGATTATTGTGTCTTGACTTTATAATGCCTGGAAATCAAGTAGTGTTCATTTTCAAACTTTGTTTTTCTTTTTCAGACTTGGCTTTTCTCTTTTTTTTTTTTTAATTTCCATGTGAATTTTAGAATCAGTTTGTCAGTTTCTACAAAAGTACCCTACTGGAATTTTGATTGGGACTGTGTGGGCTTTGTAGATCAGTTTGAAGAGAACTGTCTTTTGAAAAATATTGAATCTTTTGACCCATAAACATGATACATTTCTATGTTTATTTAGGTTTTCTCTAATATTTCCCATAAATATTTTGTAGCTCTTATTATATAGGCTTTACACATCTTTTGTCAGATTTACCCATAAGTATTTCATAATTTTGATGACATTGTTTTTGAATTTCAATTTATGACTTTTCATTGCTGGTATTAGAAGTACAACTGATTTTTTGTCTATTGTTCTTGTATTCTACAATATTGCTAAACCTATTTATTCTAGTAGCTCTTTTTGTGGATTCCATCAGCTATTCTATGTAGATGATTGTGTCATCTGCAAATAGAGATGGCTTTCTTTCTCCCTTTTCAATTTGGAGACTTTTATTTTTCTTGCTTGATACACTGGCTAGACCTTTCAGTACAGTGTTGAAGAGAGCAGTGAGAGGAGACATTCTTGTCCTGCTTATGAGGGATGGCATTCAGTTTTTCTTTTTCTTTTCTTTTCTTTCTTTTTTTTTTTTTTTTTTGAGATGGAGTCTCACTCTGCTGCTCAGGCTGGAGTGCAGTGGCATGATTTCGGCTCACTGCAAACTCCGTCTCCCAGGTTCAAGCGATTCTCCTGCCTCAGTCTCCCGGGTAGCTGAGATTACAGGTGCCCACCACCACTCCCGGCTAATTTTTGTATTTTTAGTAGAGATGGGGTTTCACCATGTTGGCTAGTCTGGTCTCAAACACCTGATCTCAAGTGATCCACCTGCCTTGGCCTCCCAAAATGCTGGGATTATTGGCATGAGCCACTGCTCCCGGCCTTCCTCCCGTGTCTAATAGCCTCTACCACTACGTGCAGAGCTGTAACTCCTCCTCCTGCTGTAACCTCCTCCTCATCCTGTTGCCCGAACCATGTGCCTCGTTGAACCCGCAGCTGAGAGGTGGGACCACCCTGTCTTTCCGCTGGAGAAGCTGCAGGGTCACAGTGCCAAGGGTGGGCTTTAGGGAGGGTGAGGAACTGAGGCAAGAGTGTAATTTGCAATAATTCACATACATGTGATTGCATGTACATTCTTTTTTGAAAAATGCAAATGGTAGTGTAGTGAACTCACGGTGCTGCATCTTCCTCACTTTACAGCCTGTCTCAGAGTTTATTCCGTGTCAGTCCGGACAGCTCTGTTCCATTATTCCCAAGGCTGCCTATACCCTGTTGCCCGATGTCTGTCATTTATTGTCTCTTACTGAAAGGTATTCGGGCTGTCCATTCACTCCTGACAATGGTGCAACAAATATTTCTGTGCATAGGACACTTTGCAGATGTGAAAGTATCCTCATGGGACACATTCCTGCAAGTGGAATTGCCGCATCAAAGGCTGTCTATTTTAGAACCTGATAAACTTTGTTAAGATGCCAGCAGAGCCCTCTTCATAGCTGAGAGCACTGCGGCACAGGGATGCTAAGTGTCATGCCCAAGGGCCCCAGCTGGAGACCACCAGACCAGGACAGAGCCAGGTCTCCCAATACCAACCTGTGTGCTCCGCCAGGGCACAGGTGCAGATGGTGGGTAGGGAGGCCAGGTGAGCCACGGAGGTCCCGTGTCTCCCAACAGTGGGCATGTTGTAGAGGGTAGACCACAGTCCCATATCTGGAGTGGTTGGGTGTGCTTGTGGGTGGGAACAGCTCTCCAGGGCCTGCCCTGATACTAAGACCCAGCCAGGGGATCTTCTGGGGGATGGCTCCATCAGGGAGTCATTGGGGACAGGCATGGCTCCATCCCCTTCTGAATCTTCTCCTCCCATCCTCTCTGTTAGAGTCAAAAGACGGTTCAATTTCCTATCCCCCAAACCGCCAAGATGTGCCCCTGCCTATGCCACCGCTTTGGGGGCCGCCTCCCGATGCCTAGGGACCAGGCAGTGATGCCCTACTGGGTGCCCCAGGTCCTGAGGTCTCAGCAGCAGGTAAGGAGGAGGCGCACACTGCAGTGAGAACTGAAGAGTGAGGTGGGGGCCGGGGGAAGGGGAGATGGGAGGAAGAAGGGGAAGAGGGGTACCTGGGCTCTGCTCCCACAAAGGCCTCTGCTGGTGTCCAGAGAAGATCCCCTGGCAGCTGTGGCCATGGGCTTGGGAGCACAGAGGGCAGGTGTGGCTCAGGGAGGGCTGGCTCAGGTCTCCCAGTTGGCACTGGAAGGGCAGGGCCGCGCTGCTCTCTGCAGAGGGGTGATTGTTCTGGCACCCACTGCTGCTGCTGCTGCTTTCCTCCCTCTCTTCCTCCCCCTCTGCACTCTCCCTGACCTCTCTCACCTCCCTGCCTCCTCCTTCCCACACTACCTCCCTTCCCTGGCCCAGCCCCTCCTCTGACTCTCTCCCCTGGCCCTGGCTGCATGGAGGGAGGTGGGAAGGAGGGTGCCCGGGACGGACCACCAGTAGATGGCCTGTCCTCTCTGCTCTTGCTGGCCGCCTCCACAGCGCTAGTTCTGGGCAGCGGCAGCAGGTCTCTTCCTAGCCCCCTGGGCCTCTCGCTCCCCTGCTTTCCCTGTGTCCTGGGTGGTAGACAAGGGCTTCCTTCCTTCCCCCTGACTTCCAGTTGCTGGTTTTCCATTACTGGGTGGCAGGCTGTCCTCAGAGAAAAGAGCCCGCAGACCTCATAAGGAGGAGCCCTTGGCTTTTATCTTGAGCTGGCCAGTGCCCCTCCTGGAGGTTTGGAGTCCCAATCACCAGGCCTTCCCCCTTGGAGGGTCGCCAGGCTGACTGCTTGCCTCCATTCTTGTCTTTTAGATAGTCAGGAGGCAGCAGAGTTTGAAAGGCATCCAAGGTAACTCCAGTGTGTGTGTGTCTCATATCATCCCCCTCCCCAGAAAGGTGGGGTTCGTGAGCATCATGATGGTGGGGGCAGACCTCTCATCACCAGACACCTGCCCACAGTGTGACAGTGACATGAATGTGGCTTCCCTTCCCCTGCTCAACAGCCATCCCTGGTCACCCACTGCCTTCCCCCAGTGAGCCCAGAGAAACCTCTGCTCTACAGGCAGACCCTACCCATCTGCCAGCATCGGTTCTCTGGATGAAACCAACTCCCCGCCTGGGCTTGGATGAGACCTCAAGTGGTTTTATTAAGCTCTAATCTTCTATAATTTATGACATAGTATGTGTGTGTATATATATTTATGACATAGTACATATTCCTATGTGTACCCTATTATATACTCATACATTCATATATTCATGGCATATTGTATATTCAAAACATAATAATTATGTATCTATTCATTACATAGTATGCTCATACATTCATATATTTGTGACCTAGTGTATGTACATTCACATGTTCATGATAGACATAGTATATACTCACATTCATGTATTCACAATACAATATGTATTCATGTGAGGGGCCTTGAAAAAGTTTATGGAAAATGCATATAATATGCTGGGTGCAGTGGCTCACACCTGTAGTCCCAGCACTTTGGGTAGCTGAAGAGGCTGGAATGCCCGAGCTTAGGAGTTTGAGACCAGCCTGGGCAACATAGTGAAACCTTGTCTCTACTAAAATACAAAAAATTAGCTGGGTGTGGTGGCACATGTCTGTAGTCCCAGCTACTTAGGAGGCTGAGGCATGAGAATTGCTTGAACCTGGGAGGCAGAGGTTGCAGTGAGCTGAGATCACACCATTGCACTCCAGCCTGGGCAACAGAGTGAGACTCTGTCTACAAAAAAAAAAAAAAAAAAAAAAAAAAAAGAAAAGAAAGAAAAAGAAAATGCATATAATAAAAAAAGCAGTGAAACAATGTATGGATTTCAGTTTTTTTTTGCACCAAACTAAACTGATACTAACTTATTATAACATATCTGAACAGGATCTAATTTGAGGTGCTAAGAAGGAAAAGACATCAGTTTAAAAAGAGTCCCTATCAGAGCAGCATGAACTCTGCTAAAATTGAACCCAAAACAAACATCACATTTATGGTGAAGTTTGAGTGGAACAATGGTAAACTCACTGATGCTTTATGACAAGTTTATGGTGACAGTGTACCACAGAACAGCAGTTTCCAGATGGGTGACTCATTTAAGAAGGGATGAGGCGATGTTGAAGGTGCAGCCTGCATCGCCAGCCCATCCACATCAGTTTGTGAGAAAAAACATTCATCGTGTTCATGCCCTAACTGAAGAGGACTGATGATTACCAGCAGAAACACTAGCCAACAGCGTAGACATCTCAACTGGCTCAGCTTACACAATTCTGACTGCAAAATCAAAGTTGAGCAAACCTTCCACTCAGAGGGCACCAAACCCATTGTGTCCAGATCAGCTGCAGACAAGAATAGAGCTTTCAGTGGAAATTCTAAAGAAGTGGGATCAAGATCCTAAAACATTTCTTTGAAGAATTGTAACAGGAGTGAAAACATGGCTTTGCCAGTACCATCCTGAAGACAAAGCACAACCAAAGCAATGGCTATCGAGAGCTGAACGTGGTCCCATCGTGGTAAGAGTGGATGGGACAAGAGCAGAGGTCACGGCAACAGTTTTTTGGGATGCTCAAGGCATTTTGCTTGTAGACTTTCTGGAGGACCAAAGAATGGTAACATCTGCTTATTTATTTATTTATTTATTTATTTATTTATTTATTTATTTATTGAGATGCAGTCTCACTTTGTCACCCAGGCTTGCAGTGGCGCAATCTCGGCTCACCACAACTTCCGCCTCCTGGGTTCAAGTGATTCTCCTTCCTCAGCCTCCTGAGTAGCTGGGATTACAGGTGTGTGCCACCATGCCTGGCTAATTTTTGTATTTTTAGTAGAGATGGGATTTCACCATGTTGGTCAGGCTGGTCTGGAACTCCTGACCTCGTGATCCTCCCACCTTGGCCTCCCAAAGTGCTGGGATTACAGGCGTGAACCACTGTGCCCGGCCAACACCTGCTTATTATGGGAGTGTTTTGAGGAAGTTAGCCAAAGCTCTAGCAGAAAAACACTCTGGAAAGCTCCACCAGAGTCCTTCTCTACCACAGCAAGGCTCCCGCTCATTCCTCTTGTCAAACCAGTGCAACTTTGTGAGAGTTTTGATGGGAAATTATTAGGCATCCACCTTACAGCCAAATTACAGTCCTGATTTGGCTCTTTCTGTCTTCTTTCTTTTCTAATCTTAAAAAATCTTTAAAGGGCACCCATTTTCTTCAGTTAATGATGTAAAAAAAGACTGCATTGATGTGGTTAAATTCCCAGGACCCTCAGCTCTTTCAAGATGGACTAAGTAGCTGGTGTCATCACTGACAAAAGTGTCTTGACCTTGTAGAGCTTATGTTGAGAAACAAAGTTGATATTTTTTATTTTTTATTTTTATTTTTAGTTTGTTTTAGGATGGAGTCTCACTCTGTCACCCAGGCTGGAGTGCAATGACGTGATCTCGGCTCACTGCAAGCTCTGCCTCCTGGGTTCAAGCAATTCTCCTACCTCAGCCTCCCAAGTAGCTGGGACTATAGGAGTGTACCACCATACCCAGCTGATTTTTGTATTTTTATTAGAGATGGGTTTTACCATGTTGGCCAGGCTGGTCTTGAACTCCTGACCTCAGGTGATCCACCTGCCTTAGCTTCCCAAAGTGCTGGGATGACAGGCGTGAGCCACCGTGCCTGGCCTATTTTTATCTTTTAATTCCATTTTCTACAAACTTTTTGCAGTCCCTTTATGTATTCATAGTTAAGTATATTTATGTATTTGTGTGTCTGTGACCTGGTATGTAGATTGATCTGTCTGTGACCTGGCACATATGTGTATTCCTGCTCTCATGACATAGTATATGGGGAGATCAGGACCTCCACACCCACCATTACTTTCTTTGTCTCTAAAAGGAGTAGGCTAGACTTGATCTTGAAGGTGTTTTCTGTTGTGGAGGGCTGCCGTGTCTGTGTTTTCTGGGCTGGCATCATGTCCTTCTCTTGGTGCACCAACTCTTTGTAGTGAGTTTGCCTTGATGGAATCTATGAATGAGTAAATCTGTGAATGGAGTTGGGGTCCCTGGAAAAGGTGAGTGATTTGAGTGGAACCCCCAGAGGCAGGGGTCGGGGAATGCTTGGGAAACAAATAATCACCAACCAACTGCTCACCTCTTATGGCTCTTCGAACCGTAGAATCACATATGTTGGGTTTATTTTTATTAAATATTTTTGGCTTTGAAACCTTTGCATCTTTTAAGAAAAGCTAAAAGCTTAGTTGACATGCATCATCTGGTATCTGATACTTAAAATAAAAATGGCATTAATTTTTACTCCAATCATTGTTTTGTAGTTTAGGTGACTTATATAAGTAATGTTTCAAGCCTCAAACCCATTCACGCCAGAAGATTTCCCAGCACAGAATTAAGAGAGCAGATCTCATTGCTGCCAGGAGAATTATGACAGTTCTTCCCTCTGGCCGCAAGTACGGAGTGATTTAAAAATGTGAGACACTTTCTTTGGCTGCAAATCTGACTGGTTTCCATTTTAATGAGAAAGTCCACATTTCTGATCTTACATTTTTTCTTGTAAAGACAGACTTAGGTGCTTTTCTCCTCTATGTTTTTGTGGCATAATTTTTCATAAGGAAAGTATATTTATGATATTTACATTAATATAATTAATGTATATTTTATATTAGTAGCATATTAACAGTGTAATAAAAAATAAAAACAAACTCTAGTATCCAGAGGATCACATGCTGACCAGACCCCGTGTAGAAAGTGCCGAAGAGCATCAAGGAAATGGAAACGTTGGAATTCCATCCGTGCTTGTGGCTTTCCTTAAACTTTTGTTATGGAAAATTTCAAATATACCCCGAAGTGGAGATTGGCTTAAATCAGCCCCACGTGCCCATCACTCGGCTCCAGTCATTATCCAGTGTGGTTCCTCTGATCTTCACCACCCACTCCCGCTCCAAAAAAGAGGATTTGGAAACAAGTCCCAGCTAGACATTGCACATGTTCCATATGCTGTTCTAAAAGAGCAAGCCTCTTGAAAAACAGCCCCAAGGCTGCCGTTACCCAGGATATCATAAACCCGCAAGACGGCCTTTATCTCGTGAGCTCCGGGTCAGTGTCCCCACCCCGGGGCTGTGGCTGGGTCCTGGAAGTCCCCATTTCCCGGAGGCTCTGGGGCTGGTGTTGCAGCCTCCTCGTGGCTCACAGAGTCCCGGAGAACACGCCCTGTCCTCAACCCACCTTTTCTTTGCCTAGCACCCCTGCTGGATGCATGCTGCTGGCACAACTGCTGGCGGATCTGCGGTGATGAGTGCCTGTTGTCCAAGTTCCAGCAGCTCCAGGCCCCCTACCAGGACCAGCTACCGGCTCCTGCAGCGCGTCTGCTGCCCCTCGGCCTCCTGACCCTCCTCCAGGCCATCCCGAGGGTCATCATGGCCATTCGGTGAGCAGGTGGGGGATGGGGGACAGTGGGTGGCCCTGGCATGGTGACGTCCACCTGAGGGAGGCTTGGTGGCCATCAGGGATGTGGAAGAGTGGGGGGTGGGGCTTAACTTGACAGGCGTCCAAGGCCCGGCACTGTGAGTGTGTCCTGTGGTGCTCTGCACAGCGCAGGCTCTGCCCCGCGTCACCTAGAGATGCCAGGGCAGCCTGGGGGCGGCGGGGGCCTCGTGGGGCACTTCCACCCCTTCCCTCTTCCCAAGTTCTAAAATGGCCCTGCTCCCAGAAGGACACGGGTCCCAGTTTCCATAAATTTTCATTGTTATGTTGGGGTTGACGGTGCATCTTAACAGCCACTCACCCTCCAGCCTCTGAGCTCTGAGCACCCCCTCAGGTATGGGGACCTCTTGCCTGTCCCCAGCTTGAGCCCCAGCCGCCAGTCTCCATACTAGAAAGCCCCTTCCCCTGGTCTCTAGTCCCTATCCTCGCCCAGGCTTCGAGTTTCGCCCCTGGCACCCTTGCTGCCCACAGCCATGGCTTTCTGCTGGGATACCTCCCCCAGGAAGCCTCCGGGGCCACTCCCCGGGCCACAGCTGGGCTTCGGGGAACAGCTACTTCCTCTTACTCCTTTACTCTCGGCCTAGGCGGTGGCTCCTCTGCAAAGCCTCTCTCCTCTCCTCCTCCTCCTCATTGCCCAGTGCAGCTCCTTCCTGCCTGGGGGCCTGCATCACACTGCATGGATGAGGAGACCTGTGAACAAACGCACACACACAGTCGAATTTACATGCATTTACTTGTTTGCTCGTTGTCTCCTCCATGCAATTGCAAGAGGAAGATTCTAGAAAATGTGCAGCGTCTGCAGGTAGCTGCCAGGTGTCCTGTCCTGTTTTCTAGTTGTTCACAGCAGGAGCTTAGCCCGGTCTTGGTCACTCTGCCACGGCTGGGAGCGGGAGCGGGAGGCTCTCCCCTGTTTTTTGGGTTATCCATTCTCCTAGAGTTGGACGTTGCCTCCCACTCCCTGGGCAGTCACAGTTGAGGCTGTGATGTGCATCGGGGTACGGGTCCCTTGTGGGCCTGGGCGCCAGCCTCTCCAGGCCATGCACTGGGAAGGGGGCCAGGAGCGGGCGCGGTGAGCTCTGTTTGGTCTCTGAGCATGAGCAGTACCTGGGCAACAGCGAGAGCTTTCCTTCTTTGTCGTTTTTCTTGTGGATTTATCTTTCTTTTTATGTTTGGCAGCTTGATGATCACATTTAGTTTGACTCCTTTGTACCCACACTGGGAGAAGCAAAGAAGAACACTTGGCCTTAAAGGATGGGCAAGGCTGGGCATGGTGGCCCACACCTGGATCCCAGCCTTAGAGGATGGGCGAGGCCGGGCACAGTGGCCCACACCTGGATCCCAGCCTTAGAGGATGGGCAAGGTGTGGTGGCCTACACCTGGATCCCAGCACTTTCGGAGGCCAAGGTGGGAGGATCACTTGAGCCCAGGAGTTCAAGACCAGCTTGGGCAACATAGTGAGACCCCATCTCCACACAAAATAAAAAAATTAGCTGAGTGTAGTGCTGTGGTCCCAGCTACTTGGGAGAACGAGGTGGGAAGATTGCTTGAGCCCAGGAGAGTGCAGTTGCAGTGAGCTGATTGTGCCAGTGCACTCCAGCCTGGGCAACAGAGCAAGATCCTATCTCTAAAAGAAATTTAAGAAACAATTTTAAAGGATCAATGTTAAGTAGATGGTCAGGGGGCCCAAAAGGGAATTGCTAAGCCCTGGCCTCAGGCTCAAATTACTTGGTAAGATGGAAGGAATGGAAGGAAGGAGAGGGGAAGAAAAAGAGAAAGATGCCTGGGCTTTGTCTAGAGATTTGGAGTAACTGTTCTGGGGAGGGCCTGGGCATGCTCTTGTTTTGAAGTTCCCCAGAAGTGCAGTCCAGGTGGAGACCCGCCTGCATGTTGGTGCAGCTTCCTGTTTTCCAGCCCCTGAATTCTGGCACTTGGAGGGCCCCATCTCTTCCTGTCCTTATCAACAGCTTGTCTAGAAAGACCCAGGAAGTCACTCACTCTGTGGTGTTGGTGATTCATATGCTTCCATAGCAGGTGTCTGCTTCTGAGCCAAGCTCCCAGGGCAGCGGAGCAGGCACCAACCAGCATCCCAGGGGAGGGCACAGCTTGTCCAGCTGGGATGTTTGGGTGCCCTGTGAGATGCCCCAAGCCACCAACCCAGCTTATCTCAGGAGAAGCCTCGGCGGCCCGTCTGCCGGCCTGGAGAGATGTGCTACAGCAGCCGGGGGTGGGGGGAGAGGGTGGGCTTAGAATCTCTTGGCAGGGAGCCCCCAAGAGCAGGGTGAGACCTGCCTTCATTTCACCTGTCCCCTTCACAGTTCTGCAAAGCCAGCATTATCATCCCTTTTCAGAAGGAGTGGGCACTCAGGTGGAATGCCTCACCCCAGTCCTGCGGCTGGAAAGCGATATGGCCAGGACTGCACCCCACCCCTCATCCCTGCACCCCTTCCCTGCCTGGGATTCCTCCAGCCCTGTGCACTGTGGAGCGCCTCTGCCTTCCGCTCATGGAGGTTTCCCAAGGGCACGCGCTGAGGGCAGCTGGTCTCAGCCTGGGGCCGGGTCCTAGTAACTGTCTCTCTTTGCTTTCCAGCCAGTGTTTTGGGGTTTGAAGTTGGAATCTTCAGCTACTGTCAAGAACAGCCACAAAAATGTGTCACGATCAAGATCTTTGAGAGTCCACCAATCAGGAGGCGTCTGTGACAGTCGCTGTCTTCTCAGAACAGAATCCACACCCAGGATTCAACCCAAATGATTTCTCATCAGGTGATTCTTGGTTGTAGCAAAGTTCATGTGAATGTGGGTGAGTTTCTGTTATGAATGTGGTCAATAAATGTTATTTGTGAAACTCTAAACTGGCCACCTCTTAAATGATGACCTCTGATTTCCCTTCATTAAGGGGGGACTTGTCCCCATGTCCGTGTCCCTGGGGGAGGGCAGCTATTTCCGAGTGTCTCTTCAGGGACAGCAGACCCACTGGATGAGGGCCCGAAAATGGTTTCAGCACCTGTGTCAGGTGGGTCTCCCTTTAAGTAGCATAACATTGTATATGTGAATTGAATTTTAAAATCTGAGATCTCTTTTATATGTCATAAAATTCACTCTTTTAGAGTATACGATTCAGTGGTTTTTAATATATTTACAGAGTTTTGCAACCATCACTGCTCATTCTAGAACATTCACTGCAAAAAGTCCCATACCATTAAGCAGTCACTCCTTCCCGTCTCCCCCAATCCCTGGTGACTTCTGATCTACTTTCTGACTCTGGATTTGCCTGTTCTGGGACATTTTATCTTAATGCTGTCGTCCGATAAGTGGTCTTTTATGACTGGCTTCTTTCACTCCGTATTAGGCTTCATCTGTGTTGAGGCATATGTCAGTATGTCATTTCTTTTGATGGTTGAATTTTGGGTTGTTTCTGCTTTTCGGTGATTCTACTTTGTGAATAATGTGGTTATGAACATTTGTGTACAAGTGTTTGTGTGGACAGAGGTTTGCGTTTCTCTGGGGTGTACACCTGGGAGTGGAATTGCTGGATCATATATTACTCCATGTTTCATGTTTTGAGGAACTGCCCAGCTCTTGTCCGCAGCAGCTCTGCCATTTTATATGCCCACCAGCAGGCATGAGGGTTCCCATTTCCCTGCATCCTCATGACACTTGTTTCATCTGTGACTTTGCTGATAGCCATCCTAGCAGGTATGGAGTGGTATCTCATTGTGGTTTCCATTTGCATTTTCCTAATGACTAATGATGTTGAACATCTTTCCATGTGCGTATTGGACATTCGTATAACTTCTTTGGAGAAGCGTCTATTCAAATACTTTGTCTATATATAGATATATAGATACACACATACACACACACACACACACACACACACACACACACACACAGACATATACATATATATAGATATGTCCCCCTAACACAGATATATATTTTTGAGACAGGGTCTCACTCTGTCACCCAGGCTGGAGTGCAGTGGTACAATCATAACTCACCAAAGCCTTGACCTCCTGTGCTCAAGCAATCCTCCCGCCTCAGCCTCTCATGTAGTTGGGACCACAGGCACATGCCACCATACCTGGCTATTAATAGTTTTTTAAATTTTTGTAGAGACGGGTCTCACTTTGTTGCCTAGACTGGTCTTGAACTCCTGGGCTCAAATGATCTTCCTGCCTCTGCCTCCCACAGTGCTAGGATTACAGGCATAAGCCACCATGCCTGGCCGTTTGTCTATATTTTAATTGGGTTGTCTATCCATCTTTTTATTATTGACTTGTAAGTATTCTGTGTATTTTCTGGATACTAGACCCATTTTCTTGATGATGTCCTTCGAAGTAGATGTGGGTTTTAAATTGTTGTGAAATACGGTTTATATTTTTCTAGGTTGCATGGACTTTAGGTCGTATGCTCATATCTAAGAAACCGTTGCTGGATTCGAGATCACAAGGACTTGCACTTGTGTTTTCTTCTTTTTTTTTTTTTTGAGACAGAGTCTCGCTCTGTTGCCCAGGCTGGAGTGCAGTGGTGCGATCTTGGCTCACTGCAAGCTCCATCTCTTAGGTTCAGGCGATTCTCCTGCCTCAGCCTCCCAAGTAGCTGGGATTACAGGTGCCTGCCACCAGGCCCGGCTAATTTTTGTATTTTTAGTAGAGACAGGGTTTCTCCATGTTGGCCAGGCTGGTCTTGAACTCCTGACCTCAAGTGATCTGCCCATCTCGGCCTCTGAAAGTGCTGGGATTACAGGGGTGAGCCACTGCACCCAGCCTTGTGTTTTCTTCTAAGAGTGTTATTGTTTTAGCTCTTACATTTAGGTTTCTAAAATCTATTTCGAGTTTAATTTCTGTATATGGTATGAGGTAGGGGTCCAGCTTCATTCTTTTGCTTGTGGATATCCAGTTGTCCTGCATAACACCATGAAATGATAAAATTATAGAAATGGAGGCAGATTAGTGGTTTCTGGGAGCTCAGGAAGGGTCTGGGTCTGGTGGGAAGGAAGGGCCTGTGTTTATAGAGGGGCAGCGCGAGGCATTCTTGTGGCTGGAAACACATCAGTGGCAGTGTTCTGGTTGCAGTATTGTACTATGGTTTTGCCATGTGTTACCAATTGGGGCAAACCGAATAAAGGATAACATGGGGCTTCTCTGTATTATCTCTCTTTTTTTTTTTTTTTTTTTTTGAGACCGGGTCTCACTCTGTCGCCCAGGCTGGAGTGCAGTGGTGCGATCTTGCCTCACTGCAACCTCCGTCCCTGGGGCTCAGGTGATCCTCCCACCTTAGCCTCCTGAGTAGCTGGGATTACAGGCTCACACCACCACGCCTGGCTAAGTTTTGTATTTTTAGTAGAGATGGGGTTTCACCATGTTGGCCTGGCTGGTCTCAAACTCCTGACCTCAAGTGATCTGCCTGCCTTGGCCTCCCAAAGTGCTGGGATTACAGGTGTGAGCCACTGTTCCTGGCCTCTCTGTATTATTTATTATATGTGTACATGACTCTGTAATTATCTCAAAATGATAAGTTTAATTGTAGAAGCAACACAATTCACTGTGAAAGACTTTAAGGATACAGAAAACTACAAAGAAGAAAATAGAAACCACTCAGTTCCTCCCCTGAGCAGATCTCTGTTATTACTGCCTGGGCAGGAAGGAAAGGACACATTCCTCCGGGGGTGACCAAACGGAGGACCTAAAGGTGACAAACAGGCTCAGACAGTAGTTCGCACCTGTAATCCCAGCTACTCAAGAGGCTGGGGAAGATTACTTGAGGCCAGGAGTTCGAGACCAGACTGAGTAACATAGCGAGACCCTGTCTCTACAAAAAATATAAAAATTAGCCAGGCATAGTGGTGCATGCCTCTAGTCCCAACTACTTGGGAGTCTGAGGTGGGAAGATCTCTTGAGCCCAGGAGTTTAAGGCTACAATGAACTGTGATCACACCCCTGCAACTCCTGCCTGGGCAACACAGTAAGACCCTGTCTCTCTAAAAAAAAGTGTCAAACAGGAACCAGACTCTGGGATGCTTGAACTGGGGGGTTCACCTTAGAGACAAGGAAGAAAGACGTGGGAGTCTCAGATATACAGAACAAAGAGGGCTACAGTGACGGGCCAGGGCCTCGGTGTATCTTGGGCACATCCGTATCTGCAGTGGCCACCGTGGAGGGAGTGGAAGCCGTGTTCTCCAGGGGCACATCTTCAGTGGCCCTAGGGCAACTTTAAACATCATTTATTCAATCAGCACATATTTATTGGATGCCTGGCACCAGGGAGACAGCATAAGAAGACATGTGCTGCCTCCAGGGTGCCACTGCGCAGCGAGGGTATTGTAATTCAGGTGGGGGTCGTTGCCATCCTGCCTGAGGCACACATGAACACAAGGAGGGCCCAGGAGCTCCGTCAGTGACCTGCTAACCATTCCCACGTTGCCACAAGGACCAGCAACCTCTTTCTGGGGTGTTCTTGCTGTGGGAGCCACTGCAGGGACAGGCTGGATGTACAGGACGTGATGCCCCAGGAGCAGCCCTTGGCCGATGATGGGTGGGAGGTGTGGGTCAGCACTTCTGCCCCCGCATCCTTCGATGGGGATGACTCTGGGCCGTGTTCCCAGCAGGACTGAGCCCGTACCGCCCACTGGGGCCACCTTCTTGCTAATTTCCTTCATCCCAGCTCTCCTTCCTCCCCTCACCTTCCCACTCCCTCACAGGGCTTCCTGCATCACCTCCCCCAGAAAACACTTGCGCTCAATCCTTGCCTCAGGCTCTGCTTTTGGGGTGAACTCAAGATAAGACAAGGTGAGCAGATCCCATCTCACCAGTCAGGGAGGAAGCGCCATCGGAGCAGAGACCTGAAGACAATTCCAGGAAACCTGGCAATGAAAGGTGAGACCAGAGTGCCAGGGCACAGGCACAGCAGGGGTGGACAGTCTGGAGGTGACAGGTGGGGGCATTCCGGCCACTTAATCCAGTTAGGGTGGCTGGGTCGTGGCATGGGCAGCCAAGAGCACTGGAGGATGAAGCGGATGGCAGAGAGCATGGGAGGCTTTGGGAGGCTGTCAGGGCTTCACATTTGTGTGGCTAAATCCTGCACCACAGCCAGGTTCAGGGCATATTCGAGAAGGCCATGAAGGCTTGGGTCCCCTGGCCGTGTCAGTGGCAAGGGAGGACAGGTCAAGGCAGCGGCCACAGCAGCCCGTGACCACAGGCTGCATTTTGGAGAAACCACTCCAGCTGAAGAGTGTTGGATGGAATAGAGTGGCAAGAGTGGACACGGGAAACCAGCTTGGAGGCTGCAGCAGGAAACCTGGTGGGGGACGATGGTGTCTGGACCTCGGTGGTGGTGGCAGTGGCTGTGTTCCAGGTGGGTGGGGTTATTTGGCTCTGTTGTCTACATCTGTGCAGGTGTGCTCTTGGGGAGTGGTACCTGAGGCTGCACCACATGTCCTGAATAACCCAGTGACAATGTTGCTGCAGCCCACACGGGACCACGGCTTCCATAGACGGACCCCAGGCAGCTCTCCGCCTGCAGGCGTTGTCGTGAAACTTGGCGTTAGGAGCCACAAGAGGGCACTGTTGAGAGACTTTAGCATAGAAGCCCCAGAAGGCCAGGGCTGGAGGGGGCTTCAGTTGCCCAGGTCAGCCCATGGTTTGTGGGAGAGGGAGCTGTGACTTCCTGGACCTGGTGGGGCCAGGGGAGGTGAAATGTGGGGTAACCGTTTAAAGGGTTTTGGAGAAGATGCTCCTGTTGTCTGCACCCTGGACTCAAGTCAGGAGCCCAGAGAAACACTCTGTCCCTTCCTCCCCATCTCCCTTCCACCCAGCCACACAGCCCTCCCTTCCTCCTCCCCTGCTCCCTTCCTTTTTCCTCCCCTCTGCCTCTCTTCCCCTCACTCTGCCCCAGGCCATTAACTGGGTAATGACCACACAGCCCAGCCCTGCCCAGTGGAACTTTCTGTGATGGTGGAAAAGTTGATCTGTACCGTCTGGTTCAGGAGCCATGAACCACATGTGGCTGGAGTCCCACTGGCCCAGCCAGGCCGCCATGGCAGGTGGAGGCACTGCAGTCTGCCCAGCCTGGCCCAGTCCAGGCCTTGGTGGCTTCTCGGGCTGCTCCTGGCAGTGCCTGGCCCCACCTTCTGAGAGCTCTCTGGTGACCCATGTGCCAAGACTTGAGGCCTGGGAGGGGCCGTGGGGACACTGGTCCAATCACCTCATTCGCAGATGGGGACAGTGAGGCCCAGAGAGGGCCATGCCCTGTCCCAAGCCCCACAAAAGCTGGTGGCAGATGCGAGACTTGGCCTTGGCTCTCCTGCAGCCCATCCAGGCCACCTTTCCTTCGGCGGCCTCCCAGTTCCAGGTGCTGCCTCTCCACTTGTCCACTCTGGGGAGACCCTTTCCAAGCCTCCCCGTTAGAGGAATTGCAAATGGGTTGTGCTGCCTGGGCACTGTAGCAAAGACCCCTGAGGTCACCAGGCCCTTGAGGAAGAACCTCTGTGATCACTTAGTGATGTTTGGTCCAGGCTGGGCTGAGGCTCAGTGGTGTTGAGTGTCATGGAGCTTTTGTAGCTGTCCCAGGGACTCTTGCCATGCTTGACACACAACAGGTGCCGCATAAGTACTTGTTGATTTTGGATACCTGCTGTTTTCTCTGGTGGGCATTGCACTGGGGGATCTGGGAGCCCTGGGAGTCCACTGGGGCACTTGGAAGCTTCCTGTTTTCACTTTTGTCATTTCCAAGAGAGATAGTGCTGTTTGAGGCCCCCCCACCGCTTTTTTTTTTTTTTTTTTTGAGACGGAGTCTCGCTCTGTCGCCCAGGCTGGAGTGCAGTGGTGCAATCTCAGCTCACTGCAAGCTCCGCCTCCTGGTTTCACACCATTCTCCTGCCTCAGCCTCCTGAGTAGCTGGGACTACAGGCACCTGCCACCATGCCTGGCTAACTTTTTGTATTTTTAGTAGAGATGGGGTTTCACCGTGTTAGCCAGGATGGTCTCGATCTCCTGACCTCGTGATCTGCCTGCCTCGGCCTCCCATAGTGCTGGGATTACAGGCGTGAGCCACCGTGCCCTGCCGAGGCCCCGTTTTTATGTTAAAACAACAAACCTTCAGGCCAACCCATGAGCAGTGGAAGGGGCGGCATTCCGGAGGAGGCCACCTTGGCATTCCAGATGTGGGGATGTCGTCTCAGCACCAGCCAGGCAATTGTGTCCTTCCCAGCACACTGGCAGGGTGTGAGATTCCAGAAATCACAGGACACCAGCTCCCTGGTCCCAGGTGGGGAGCAGGAGGTGGTGGAGAGCAGGTGTCCGCGTGTGTCTTCGGCCACTCTGCCCTGGCTGCTGAGGTTCGCCCCTCACATCGCCGACAGCATGGGCTCTGGGCAGTGGGAGATCCTGGGTTCTGGGGTGCTTGCAGCGCCAGGCAGAGTCCCCTAGGAGGTGATTGTGAAGCACAGCTCCTTGCCCACGTGAGCTTCAGGAGCCTCAGCCTCCACCCTGCACCCCCAGCTGACCTCTGCTCTCTGTCTGAGCAAGGTCCTCCACCCACTGCCCTTTATCCTACCTTCTCTCCTTCCTCCCAGAAACCGTTCTGCCTATAAAAACAGGTATATGAATCTGAAATTTTTAAAAGGGGCAAAGTTTAAAAAAAAATCTAACCACCTTGCATTTTCCCTCTTCTCTGCTCCGTGTTTCCTGTAAACTTGTAGTTGACCTAAAGGTTTGATAGACTGGCCTGTCATATTTTCTGTAAGGCGGCTTCCTGGGCCGGGCTCCGTGCCCGCCATGCATGTGTCAGCAGGCTCACGACGCTGTAGGCCTCACTCTTGAAATGCAAAGACTGACCAGGAGGCCCTGGCAAGTCAGCCCGAGCCCAGCAGACCTTGCCCATGGCTTTAGCATCCCTTGGTGATCATGAACTGGATACACTGTTTCACTGGGGCCTACAAAATAGGACTCAAAAGCTTTTAGAGCCGGGCACAGTGGCTCATACCTGTTATCTCAGCTCTTAGGGAGGCAGAGATGGGAGGATCGCTTGAGCCCAGGAGTTTGAGAACTGCCTGGGCAATATACCGAGACCCTGTTCTCCACAAAAAGGTGTGTAAACTCCTGTGGTGTAATGAACATTCAGCAGGCTCCTCCCCTTAGATAAGGGAGTGTCTGTAAATTCCTGTGGTGTAATGAACCTTCAATAGGCTCCTCCCCCTAGATAAGGGAGTGTGTGTAAGCACCTGTGGTATAATGAACCTTCATCAGGCTCCTCCTCTTTGCTGTCTGTTTCAGACATGAACTGTGAGCTGAATAGTCTGGTTCACATCCTGATTCCGTAGCTTACTGTGTGTTGGATCTCTGCGCCTCAGTTTCCTCATATTTAAAATGGGGATAATAATGGCTTCTACCTCATAAGGTTGCTATGATGATTTAATGAATTAATAATTATAAAGCACTTTTAACAGTGCCTGGCAGGCAAGTGCTCAGGAAGTGTTTGATAAATAAATGACTAAATCATTGGTATTTACCATTGAGGTGCATTGTTTGCTCTGTGTGTTCATGAATGGTCCTGGACTCTTGAGCATTGTGGTCCATGTTGCACGCGGCCCAGGGGATGATGAAGGGCAGTGTTCCAGATAGCCCTGTTGTTGGACTGCTAATCTGACTCTCTTGTTTTGGTTTACGCATTTTACGAGGTGCCTACTATGTGCTAGGGGACGTCCCAGCACCTCGTGGGCTGCTGACAACCGGTGTGAGTCCTCTTAATTGGCTTCTAACATAACTGCACTCTTCCTGAGCTGTTTAATGGCCTTGAGTAACGAGCTCTCCCCATCTCAGTATTTGTTTAATGCCGTATTCATGGTCATAAATAGTGGCACCATTACTTTCAGGAGAACTGTAATGATGTATGTGTTTGGTGAAGTTTCCAGCTCCTGACCCTTAGGTGCTAGATCTGTTTGAGGCCATGTGAAATGTTTTGCGTCACTTGCAAGAAAGAAAAAAGAGGTGCTGTTTTTCCTCAGAAAAGGAAGAGGCATTTTACAGCCAGACCTTGTTCGACTGTAGAACATTTGTCAAAGACTGCAGAAAACAAACATGGACATTTCTAGTACTTCTCCTAAAGGAAGGAGTTGGGCTTCTTACAACCAGAACAATGATTCTGTTCCTCCATTTGCTAATCTGTTCATCAGTACCCTCATCCACTCATCCATCCATCCATCCACCCACCTATCCATCTGTTCATCATTCGTCTACCTATCCATCCATTCATCCTTCAGGCACTCATTCATCCTTCAGTCACTCATTCATCCATCCACTGACCCATTCACCCAGCCAGCCAGCCAGCCACCATCCATTCATCTACCTATCACTCGTCCATCAACTCGCCCATCCACTCAACAATTCATCCACTGTCCTTTCATTTACCCCTCCATTTACCCACCTACTCACCCACCCATCTACCCACTCATCCATTTATCCATTCACTCACACACACTCTCATTCACCCACCCACTCATCTGTTCATCCATTCATCCATTCATCCATCCATCCATCCACCCACTCACCCACCCAGCCACCCACCTATCCACATACTCACCCATTCACCCAGCCACTCATTCATGTATTATCTGTCTATCTATACACCTACTGATTGACTCATCCACGCATCTATGTAAAGTCAAAACATGGTTAGGCCCAGCCATCGTAAGCCAGGGCTGCCCGTCTGTTTTCTTTGTTTTGTGCATCTTGCGTCCCATGTGTCCCCTTGCACTGGAGTGTCAGCTCCCAGAGACTGGGTACTGCAGCTGATTTGCTCATCCTGAATGGGACACAGGTGAGGACAGGATGGAAGAGGGGCAGGTGGGGCTGTGTCGGGGAGGGGCAGGGGCAGAGGAGTGGAGGAGAGGAGGAGCTCAGTTGGAGGGGCCTCTGAGACACTGAGGGGTGACACTGGCTCGCTGGTTGGATGAAGAGTAACACTGAGCTGCCCAGGCTGAGACGCAGTCTGGGGTCCAACAGCCCTGGTGGCAATTGGTGAACATAGCCCTCTGGGCAAGGCCAGCGACTTCAAATTTCTGGATGTTCATTTTTTTACCTGCTAAGTGAGGTAGTGCTGGTGACGTGCTCAGCCAGTGCCAGGCACAGATTGAGCTGCAGGTATTGAATGCATCCTCCATAGTAATGTCATACTCTGAAGCAGGTACCATTGGCATCCCCATTTTCTAGATGAGGAAATGGGGGTGCAAAGCTTGGATTTTGGCTCTGCTGCCTCTCACGGTGTAGATGTGAAATGTGCAGGGGCCTGGGAGAGCCAGAGCCCTGGAACTGCCCTTTGCTACCCAAGTCACTGTGACTTCCTTTCAGATCCCTGGGGTCCCTTAGGGTCCTGGTTCAAGGGCTCGATTGGAAGGAAACCAAGAGGCTGTAATTGTCTACCTCTGGAAACAGTGAAAAGATGTAAAACGAAAATATTATCATGTCATCATTTCTTTTCTATGGAAATAGTTACTTTCCTTCCCACCCACCCCACCTTCAACTGCTCTAAATACGTTTTCTTGGGGTTTCCAAACATCTCTTTTACTTTTGTCCTCCCAGGTGAGAGAGAAGCTGATTATGGCCAGGTCTGGCACAGAAAGCCCCTGTTTGTGCAATCCTGCATTCTTCCTTTTTAAATAAAATTTAAGACCATCTGAAACGACTTGCCAGCTTGACCTCCCGGCTCTGGTTCTCACTTGAGTTTCTGAAATGCTTATGAGTCCAGCCTGCTAATGTGCTGAAATGACTGTGCTCACCTTAGGGAAGTGTTAATGCCTTGAGCATTTTCCCACCAGTTGTCTTGCAGCTGGTGAGAAAAATACGCACCAACCTCCCCCATGGACTGTGAGGTCACAGCCTTCCCATCCTTTTCAGGAGCTGCCATCTCAGCTCTTGATTCTAATGGATGGCAGCCACACTTGAAGACGCACCAGAGGAAGACGTAGCTGCTCCCATCTGTGTTCCCAGATGGGATGGTGTCCTTGGGAACTGATCTCAGACATGTCGTGGTAGCCAGCCTCCAGGATAGCCCCCAGCAGTCCCACACCCTGGAATTCACGTGCTTGTGTAGCCCCTCCTACATTATATCACATAGGTCTGTGTGACCAATAGAATCTGCAGAAGTGATGCCACAGTACTTCCAAGATTAGGTCATAAAAGGTCCTGTTGCTTCCCTCTTGGTTTCTTTCCCTCTCTCTCTCCTCTCTCCTTTCTCTTGGACCCTTTGCTCTGGGGAAACCAGCTGCTACATCACCATCAGCCTTGTGACCATGCCACATGGTAAGGAGCTGAAATCTCAGCAGCCACATGAGTGAGCTCGGCAGCGGATCCTTTAGGCCCCGTCATGCAATCCTGGATTGCAGCCCTGGACATCCACTTAACTAGCAAGACTGAGCCAGAACCACCCAGATGAGCTGCTCCTGGATTCCCAACTCTCAAAAACTGTGAGAGATGTTCAACGGTGGTTGTTTGAAACTGCTGAGTCTCAGTATAATTTGTTACACAGCACTAGCTAACTCATACACGTCACGTTTCTGCAGCAGAATACCTTGGACCTGGGGAGAGCTGGAGATAATTACTCAGTACCACCCAGTACATGGGAAAGTGATTACTGACAGGCTCAGAAATGTTAAGAAGATGCTTAAAAGAAATGGGCTCATGAGCCTTCTTTGCTGAAGTATTAATTACTAGATCTGAATGTTTTGCTTTTCTGTGATGGAAAACGTGAAGAAAATAGGGCTTTTTTTTTTCTTTTGAAGAGATGGGATTTCCCTCTGTCGCTTAGGCTTAACTGCAGTGATTCAGTCATAGCTCACGGCAGCCTCAAACTCCTGGACTCAAGCAAATGACTGATATTTTTTGAGCACCAGCAGTAACGATAGTTACTATTCACTGTTTTCTCCCTGCCAGGTGTTCCACAGACATCCTACATGCATGACATTGATTCACTCTTACATTTGACAGGTGAGGAGACCGAGGCTCAGACAGCCACACCATTCCATGGGTTTTGTTCAAAGGGGTTTGGGGCCAGAGTAGGACTGAGTGCAACTTCATGGAGGTAGACCATGGGGAGGGCAGGGCACCTGCATGCCTGAGAGAATCTCTGCAGGAGGCAGGAGTTCAGAAACTAGCTACTTAAAGGGGTAATGATCTGTGTCAGGGGTGCTAATTAAAATTTGGGGTTTTAAAGAAAAAGTTGGCTGAGTGTGGTAGCTCATGTCTGTAATCCCAACACTTTGGGAGGCCAAGGAAGGTGGATCATTTGAGGTCAGGAGTTCGAGACCAGCCTGGCCAACATGACGAAACCTCGTTTCTACTAAAAATACAAAAATTAGCTGGCCGTGGTGGCGGGTGCCTGTAATCCCAGCTACTTGGGAGGCTGAGGCAGTAGAATTGCTTGAACCTGGGAGGCGGAGGTTGTAGTGAGCCAAGATCATGTCACTGCATTGCAGCCTGGGGGACAGTGTGAGACCCCATCTCAAAAAAAAAGAAAAAAACAACTTTCCAGTTCACAAAAGGAGTGCTTTCACTGAATGCAAGAATAGATTTTCCCTCTTGGTGTGTAAAGTTCTCAGTCATCTGACCCTCTCTGCCAAGAGAGCCCTTCCCGCCCCATTTCTGCCCGTTTGGGCTCCTCTTCCTGGAGAGGCTGCTCCCTGGTGCTGTCCCGTGCTCCCAGCCTGTCTTCCTTCAGGGTCCAGGCCGGAAGCCTTTGGGGGCAGTGTTGGGGCTCCGCATGTGCCCAGTGCTCAGCCCAGTGCTGGGGCAGAGATGGTGCTCAGGAAAGATCTTGAAAAATGAGCAGGTCTCCAGCCGAGGGGAATCTTACACCTTCCACCTGTTTCCTCAGGATTGCAGGAGCTCCTCAGACAAGATCTGTGGCAACAGTAACAATAAAAGCATCCCATGCGGACCAAACTCCTGCTGCAGTAAGAGCTAAACATATGGTGTCTTACTTTGCCCTCGTTATTACCCCTGAGGGCAGATGGTGCAGTCCCTCTTTATAGAGAAGGCTATAGAAGCCCCAGAGCCATCAGGAATTGGAGGTGATGCCTAAAGCCGGCAGCGCCCAGAGCGGGGTGTTCAACCTGGCAGGGTTGTTAGGGCAAGAGGATTGCGGGGGGAGGGGGGGTGGGCGCAGCACACCCTCCTCCTCATACCACCTCACTTTGTCTCCCACTGCCCCTCCAAGCGTCAGCAGCCCAGGCCACTGTGTGTGCCAAGTCTCCTGTATGTCTTTCGCCTTTTGCTGAGGAAATGCTATTGTGAAGACAAAATGAGAATCAGTCACTTAGGGGCCAGGTGCAGTGGCTCATGCCTGCAATCCCAGCACTTTGGGAGGCCAAGGAGGGCAGATAACTTGAGCCTGGAAGTTTGAGACCAACCTGGGCAACATAGTGAGACCCCGTTCTATAAAAATTAAAAAATTAGCCAGGCATGATGGCACACGCCTGTAGTCCCAGCTACTCAGGAGGCCGAGGAAGATCTCTTGAACCCAGGAGGTCAAGGCTGCAGTGAGCCGTGATTGCGCCACTGCACTCAGGCTTGGGTGACAAAGTGAGACCCTGTCTCAAAAATAAGCCCCACCCCCCAAAAAACCCAGTTACTTAGAGCTTTGCAGAAATCTTCAAAATCTATCAAAACCATCCCATCCAATATAAATTACTGTATACATTATAACGAGCTAAAATAAGCACATTTTTGGTAAATTACTAAATTTCATAAGTTCCTCAAGTTGGTTTCATCCAGTAAAATGCTCCCTTTGGGGAAGTGGCACGAGGAGAATCAACTGAAGCCAGGACTGTCGCTCGTCCTGGCAGGCAGTTGGGACCCGGTTCCATCAGGGACTTTCTGAGGACGTGTGCAGGCTCCACGGGGGTTACTGCTCTCTCCCTGCGCTGGTGTGGGCTGTCCCACAGGGTGACGTGTCCTTGGCATTTCTGTGGCTGGATGGCTTCTGCAGGTCCCATGAGGCGGTGGCAGAGAGGCTGGGCTGAAAGCAAGATGTACATGGTGCAGCTAGGCAGTGTGCTGGCTACACCTGTGCACAGCTGGTTGGTGCAGAAATTTCTGGAGCAAAATGGCGTCAAGGTCATGGAGTGTCCAACATGCCAGCCTCAGAGACTGACCTGCTCCTCCCCGCCATGCCCTGGGCTTTCCCACACACCTCCTTTGCTCACACAACTCCCTTTCTATCCAAGCAGGATCACGTTTGTCCTATGCAAAGTGGAAAATGGGCCATTCCATTGACCAACACCCCATTTGAACATCTTTCCGTGGACTTTACTGGCTGCTCCTAGGCCTAGGATTCGGGCATAAAGCCATTAAGATTCATGGTAACATTTACATGTCAAGGGCAGTTTGGAGAATATTTATTGGTTGGTTTGCTGTGAAATTTGCGTGTGGTTTATACATTTGTCTTCAAACCGGCCAGACTTTCCAGGGTCTTCCCAAGGTCAGACACAGAAGTGCAATTGCTCATCACAGGATAAATGTGCATTACAGATGTTGAGGAGATGAAAACATTCCTTTTCCCGACATAAGCTGTTTGTGGTTCTCTTTGTCCCTTTCTCTAGGCAAGTTTATTTTTCCTGACTGCCATTACTAACTAAACTCTGTCTGCCTCACTTACAAGCTCCTGGGAGGGAACCGAGTCTTGGGAGGTAAAATTGATGATGGACTGTTTTCCAGACCAGGGCTTGAAGACACAACGCTTGTTGGCAGTTAACCAACTTCCTGGTGAGCCCCATATAGGAAATCCACATTCAGCTTCTTAGGGAGAGATCCTGACTTTCTTATAATGAATAAATGTATGACACTAAACACTTCACTTGTCCATTTAACAAATATTTGCCAAGCACTCATCACACATCAGGCGCTGGGCTTGGTACTGTACGTGTGTGAAGTCATTTAGTTCTTTTCATAATCCTATGTCATAGACTTTGTTCTCATTTTACAGGTGTGGTTGGTTGGTCAAAGAGAGAAGAGTAAAAATTTCTTCTACCCCTTCCTTTCTGCTATTTTTTCATACATTTCACTTCTACATGTATTACAAATGCCACAGTACATTGTTATTGTATTTGTATTTTTATTATTTAATGTTTTATTATTAGTAGTATTATTTGAAATGGAGTCTCGCTCTGTCACCCAGGCTGGAGTGCAATGGTGTGATCTCGACTCACTGCAACCTCCGCCTCCTGGGTTCAAGCGATTCTTCTGCCTCAGCCTCCCGAGTAGCTGGGATTACAGGTGCCTACCATGCCTGGCTAATTTTTGTATTTTTAGTAGAGGTGGATTTTCACCATATTGGTCAGTCTGGTCGCAAACTCCTGACCCCAAGTGATCTGCCCACCTCAGCCTCCCAAAGTGCTGGGAATACAGGTGTGAGCCACTGCACCTGGCCAGTATTGTTATTTTTATTCCTGTTTTTCCAAATAATTGTATTTGTATTAAACAGTTAACAATATCTCTTTGGCTATCCTAGGGTTTACAGTATACATCCATCTTTAATTTTTCACCATCTACCTACAAATAAGATATCATGCATGTGTAATGGAAGAATTTCATAGTTCCAGTTTGTCCCTCCCATCTTTTGTATATTGTCATACATGCATTTAAGAATCCAGAATCCTTTGCTTCTATTTTTGCCTTAGACCAGGGGCGTCCAATCTTTTGGCTTCTCTGGGCCACATTGGAAGAAGAATTGTCTTGGGCCACACATAAAATACACTAACTAACACTAACTATAGCTGATGAGCTAAAACAAAAAAAAAAAAAAGAAAAAGAAAAAAAAATATCTGATCATGTTTTTAAAAAGTCTACAAATTTGTGTTGGGCCACATTCAAAGCTGCCCTGGGCTGTGTGTGGCCTGTGGGCCATGGGTTGGACAAGCTTGCTTTAGACTTTAAATATTTTAGAGTGATTTAAAAGTTCTTTCATCCAAACCTTCATCGGGACAATTTCCAGAGCTCTTTGTTTCTGTGTATGAACCGAGTTTCTGTCTGGTTTCATGTTCCTTCTACCTGAAAAAGTTCCTTTAATTTATTGTAGCACAAGTCTACTGATACTTAGTCATCTCAGATTTTATTTTTCTGAAATTAAAAAGTTACTTTCACTTATGAAAGATATTTTTCCCTGGGGTAGAAATCTGTGCTGACAGTTATTTATCTCTCAGCACTTTAAAGATGACACTTCATTATCTTCTGGATTATATAGTTTCTGATGAGAAATCTGCTGTCATTCTTAACTTTGCTCTTTAGTTTCTTGGGCTGCCCTTAAATATGTTCTCTTTCTCTTTATTTTTTAGTAGTTTAAATATTATGTGTCTTTAAAATCCTGCTTGGGATTCTCTAATCTTCTTGGATTTATGACTTGATGTCTTTGATTAATTTTGTAAAATTCTCAGCCATTGACTACGAATATATCTTCCACCGTTATTGTTCCCTCTTTTTCCTTCTTAGATTCCAGTCACATGTGTGTTAGATTATTTATATTGTCCCAAGGGTTTTTAAAACATCATCGTCATCATCGTTGCCCTCCTACCCCT
This sequence comes from Homo sapiens, assembly GCF_000001405.40. Lineage (NCBI taxonomy): Eukaryota > Metazoa > Chordata > Mammalia > Primates > Hominidae > Homo > Homo sapiens. The sequence continues at coordinate 87,287,100 of NC_000016.10, read as the reverse complement.
CTCCCTCCTCCTCCCCTCCATCTCCTTCCCTTCCCCCTCTCCTCTCCTCTTTCCCACCTCTTCCTCCTTCCCTCCTGCTCTTTCCCCACTCCTCCCCCGATCTTCCTCCCCTTCTCCCGCTCCTCTCCCTTCCCTCCTCTTCCTCTTCCTCCCCTTCTCCTTCCCCTCCTCCCACCCCTCCCCTGCCCCTTCCTCCTTGTGTTTAGTTTGGATAATTTCTATTATGCTGTCTTAAGTTCGTTCCTTTCCTCCACTGTGCGGAGTCTACTGATGTTCATGAGAAGGACATTCTTTATATCTGTCACCACCTATTTTATTTCATAGGCCTCACCTCATTTGTTTCTCCTCCCTCAGGCATGATCTCTTAAATTGATGACCGTTTCATCAGTTTCATTTTCTTAGCTCTATAGTATGGCAGGATGAGTCTTGTATTTATTATTCTAGCATTGCCAGAAACATGCCTTTATTTCAAACTTGTCTTTGCCTTTAATGTTTATTTCTTGTAGGTAGCATATCATTGGTCTCCTACCTGCTTGGATCAGAATGAGCAGGATTTTTCTGAGTCTGGGCCAGCATTGAGAACAATCTCAGATACATTCTTTATGTGCTCATAGAGACTGCAGCTTGATGTTTCTGAGGTGAAAAGGGAGTGATGGGTGTGCAGTGTTAGGACTGCTGACTCTGGGATCAGACAGACCAGGTTCACATCCCAGCTGGGCAGGACACTTAGCCTGTCTGAGGCTTGTTTTCCTCATGCATGGAAAAGAATGACAAATGATTGTTGTGAGAATTAACTGGAGTGATCCCTATCACCCTCTCTCTCCTTTACCACAGGACTGGTGTTCAATAGATTTTTTTTTTGAGATGGAGTCTCGCTCTGTCACCTAGGCTAGAGTGCAGTGGCACAATCTTAGCTCACTGCAACCTCTGCCTCCCGGGTTCAAGGGATTCTCCTGCCTCAGCCTCCTGAGGGGCTGAGATTATGGGTATGCACCATCATGCACAGCTGATTTTTGTATTTTTCGTAGAGACAGGGTTTTACCATGTTGGCCAGGCTGGTCTTGAACTCCTGACCTCAGGTGATCCACCCGCTTCAGCCTCCCAGAGTGCTAGGATTACAGGCATGAGCCACTGCACCTGGCCTCTTCAACAGATGCTTATTAAATACTTTTGAATGAATGGGAGCTTTTTAAAGTTCTACTGGTTTCTTAAGATAAATATGTAGTTCCAAATCATTCATTCTGTTCCTTAAGATCCTATATCTGGAAGATTCCACTTACCTTGCCACCAGTTTTACTGCCTCCCCTCATGCTTGCTTTCTCCAACATGCTTTTTCAAATTAATTGGAATATGTCCATTTATGCAGCTCCTATCCTGTGATGTGCCATTTGTACTTTGCTTTACCTGCTAATAGAGACATTCGATTTAGGAGACTCTGATATTATAGAAAGAGCCTGACTTAGGAGTCATGACAACAAACATTTTTTGCCAGCTTGCTTGCCATGTGACCTTGGACAAATCTTTTAGCCTTTTTTGAGCCTCAGTGTCTTAGTCTGTAGAAGAGGGGGATAATAATTATAAAGAGGGATAAGGGGCCTGAGGTGTCAGAACCAGATCAGAGGAAGTCCTCAAATACTTTTCTTTCTCATCCTCCAACCCCCAACCCCCATTTCTCCTGTGATTCCATTAGATGTAGGCAGGGGCTCGAGCCAACCAAAGATCCCCAGTGAGGACGGGTGGGAGAGGTAAGGAAAGAGAGGTGTGCACTGTGTTTTCTGGTCATCACCTGGCATTAGCTGTTACCTTTTTTTTTTTTTTTTTTTTGAGATGAAGTCTCGCTCTGTTGTCAAGGCTGGAGTACAGTGGCGTGATCTCGGCTCACTGCAACTCTGCCTCCCGGGTTCAAGCAATTCTCCTGCCTCAGTCTCCCAAGTAGCTGGGACTACAGGCGCATGCCGCTACGCCTGGCTAATTTTTTGTATTTTAGTAGAGACCGAGTTTCACCGTGTTGCCCAGGCTGGTAGTGAACTCCTGAGCTCAGGCAATCCGCCCGCCTTGGCCTCCCAAAGTGCTGGGATTATGGGCGTGAGCCACTATGCTGGGCCTTTTGTTTTGTTTTGTTTTGTTTTGTTTCTTTTTTTTTGAGACAGAGTCTCACTCTGTCATCCAGGCTGGAGTGCAGTGGCGTGATCTCAGCTCACTGCAACCTCCATCTTCCATGTTCAAGTGATCCTCCTGCCTCAGCTTCCCAAGTAGCTGGGATTACAGGTGTTTACCACCACGCCCGGCTAATTTTTGTATTTTTAGTAGAGACAGGGTTTCAGCATGTTGGCTAGGCTGGTGTCGAACTCCTGACCTTGTGATCTGCCCATCTCAGCCTCCCAAAGTGCTGGGACTATAGGCATGAGCCATCGCGCCCAGCCTAGCTGTTACTTTTGATCTCCTTTCACACTCAGCTAAACTAACTTTTAGTTCACTTCCTGTATTTGTCTCTACCCTCCTGAAAAGAAAGCAGAATATCAACCTTAGAATGCACAAGAATTGCAAAATTCTACCCCTAAAGTAAGATGGTTGTCTTTCTTTAGAGAACAAGCTCTGGGGGTGGGAAATTACTCTGCCAGTGCTCCCCAGGCCCCTCCCCTTCCATATCTCCAAATCCTGACAGCCTAATTGTCAGCAAGGAGACAAATCTGATCCACAGACACTGCCGCAGAGCAGAGCAGCCTCCCCAGGGCCTCTGGACAGCATGGGGAAGCAGGTGGTCCAGGAAGAGAACCTCATATCCCATTACTTGACTCAGTAGGAGGGTTTTCATGATCTTGTAACTCAATGTGTGTTCCATGGATCAGGCTTTGGCATCCCTTGGAGCTTAGAAAGACAGAAATGCAGCCTCATTCCCGACTCCAGATGCAGAATCTGCACCTTAACCGGACCCAGGTGACATGTCTGTGCCGTAAGGTTTCAGATGTGCTGCTTTGTATGGCCAATGAGGGGAGTTTGGGACGAGCCAGAGCTGCAGGCATGGAGTGGGTGGCATTTGGTACAGTCTGGGGCTGTCAGGCAGGCTGCACAGCAGGTCCACAGGAGCCTGTGGAGAGGTAGCTCGAGTGGGGACAGCTCTGTGCCCAACAGGCTGTGACCCAGTTGAAACCCTGCCTCCCATTGCTCCCCTAGTTATGGGGGCAGGGAAAGTGTCACCCTGTAGACAGGGACAAAGAGACTGCCTGGGTGTTCAGGGGATGCTGGAAATGCCAGCCTTTTGACATCTGGAGACCTGGAGGGGGTCTTGTGCCCTGGTGGTGGTTGGGGGTAAGGAGCAGCCTCTCCTGCTGCAGGGAGAGGAAACCCAGTTCAACCCTTTCCCCAGTCTACTGAACAGAGAGACCCTGGGCAGCTGTTCTTTGGAGATTCGCTTGTCTCTACTTCTTTTCTTTTTTTCTTTTTCTTTTTTTTTTGAGACGGTTTCACTTTGTCACCCAGGCTGGAGTGCAGTGGTGTAATCTCAGCTTACTGCAACCTCTGCCTCTCAGGCTCAAGCCATCCTCCCACCTCAGCTTCCCTAGTAGCTGACACTACAGGCACATACCACCATGCCTGCCTAATTTTTGTATTTTTTTGTAGAGACAGAATTTCACTATGTCGCCCAGGCTGGTCTTGAACTACTAGACTCAAGTGATTCGTCTGCCTTGGCCTCCCAAAGTGCTGGGATTACACGTGTGAGCCACAGCACCTGGCCACATTATTTCTTTTTAAGAGATGGCTCTGTTGCCCAAGCTGGAGTGCAGTGGTGCAATTATAGCTGACTGCAGCCTCGACCTCCCTGGCTCAAACTATCCTCCCGCCTCAACCTCCTGAGTAGCTGGTACTACAGGCATGCACCACCAAGCCTGACTAATTTAAAGAAAAAAAATTTTTTAGAGACAGGTTCTTGCTATGTTGCCCAGGCTGGTCTCAAACTCCTGGCCTCAAGTGATCCTCTCGCCTTGGCCTCCAAAAGCATTGAGATAACAAGTGTGAGCCACCATGCCCAGCCCATGTACATGTTTTTTATGGACAGAGGTTTGCATTTCTCTTGGGTATATACCTAGGAGTGGAATTGATGAATCATATGGTAAATCTATAGCTAACATTTTGAGGCACTGCCAAGCTGCTTTCAACAGCAGCTCCACTACTGCCTTCCTACCAGCATTGCGTGTGGATTCTAATTTCTCCTCATCCTTACCAACTATTGTCTGTCTTTTTGATTCTGGCCACCCTAGCAGACATGGCGTGTGGTATCTCGTTGTGATTGCGACTTGCTTTTTTCCTGATACATCCTCTCGTGTGCTTATTGGTATCTATCCATTTCTGAATCTTCTTTGGAGAAATGTCTCCTCAATGCTTTGCCCCATTTTATTTGTTTGTTTGTTTGTTTGTTTATTTATTTATTTATTTAGAGACAGAGTCTCCCTCTGTCTCCCAGGCTGGCGTGCAATGGCGCCACCTTGACTCACTGCAACCTCTGCCTCCTGGGTTCAAGCGATTCTCCTGCCTCAGCCTCCCAAGTAGCTGGGGACAGGCACGTGCCGCCACCCAGATAATTTTTGTATTTTTAGTAGAGATGGGGTTTTACCATGTTGGCTAGGCTGGTCTCGAACTCCTGACTTCAGGTGATCAGCCCACCTCGGCCTCCCAAAGTGCTGGGATTACAGGCGTGAGCCACTGCCCCTGGCCCTTTGCCCCATTTTAAATTAGCTATCATTTTATTTTTACATTGTAACATTCTTTCTGTATCTTGGATACAAGTCCTTTATTTGTTATATCTACATAATATTTTACAACCCACTTTTTTTCCCCACTACACAATACGCTATGACAATTTCCATGTCAGATTTCCTTTATGATTTCATCTTCAGAAGCATAGCACTCCATGGCATGGCTTGGTGCACCCTGATGCATTTAATCACTACCTAACGTTAGTCATTTAGGTAACATCTCATCTTCTGATATTATGAACACGGCTACAAGAAACGTCTTCGTTGTCCAGTCTTTATATCAAACTGTGACTATTCCTTTGGTGTAATTTTCTAGAACTTTCCTGGGTAAAGGGGTGTACCTGGGTTTAAGGCTTATGGTTGACAAATCACCCTCTGGAAAGATGGTTCCAATGTTCACTCCCCACCCAGGCGTGCATGAAAACGCTCGTTTTGCTCATACCATATTGAGTCTTGGGTCTAATTTTGGCAACTATTGAGAGTCTTGGTGAACAGCAAACTCCTGGTGTGGAATTTCCCAAACTCTGTGCTATGAAAACACTAATCTAGAAGATGGTTGTTGGGGGGAAATCAATGCTAGTACAATAGTAGTTTTCTCTCTAAAAATGACTATTGTCTTGAATGTAAGCACCATAGTAAATTGTGTGTGTGTGTGTGTGTGTGTGTGTGTGTGTGTGTGTATGGTTTTCATTAGTTCATTTATTGGACAAGTATTTATCAGGCACCTGGGTTATTTATCTTTTTTTTATTGAGTTGTAAAAATTATTGATATATTCTAGGCACAAATCTCATACTAGATATATGACAAGATGTCTAGTACAAGGTACTGTAAATATTTATTTCCATCCATGGATTATCTGTTTCCTCTTTGACAGTGTCCTCTGACGCTTTTTAGGTTTGATGAGGTTTATATATACATTTTTCCTTTTGTTGCTTGTGGTTTTGGTGCCATAGCTCAGAATCCTTTGGAAATCCCCAGTGTCATGAATATTTATCCCCATGTTTTAAGAGCTTAAAGTTTGGGCTCTTACATTTAAGGGCTTGATCCACTTTGAGTTAATTTCTTGTGTATGGAGTGGGATGGAGGTTCCCCCTTCACTCTCTTGTAGGTGAACATGTTTTGGCTTCCTTGTTTAGAAGTCCTCTCTGAGTATTGTGGGGAGAACGAATTGTAGGGACAAGAAGGATGCCGGGAGACGGATTTCCCACTCCTCGGTGAAAATCTGCCTTGAAGAAGGTGTGCTCCAGAGCCAGCTGATGAAGATAGAATGTGATTAGAAAACCACAACTCGGCCGCCATCATGGTAATGATTGATGTTGGAAAGAGTCATCAGTAGATGCTAAAACTAGTGTGTGAAAATTTCATAGGTAACAGGATTTTTACATAGTCTCAAAGAACCTCTTCACAGGATACTAATTACAAAGGGTGAAGTCTTAACTTTAAAGTGAAGAAAGCTGGCAGACAACACCTTAATCAATATCAGCATCATCCATGCATGCACAGATAGACTTCATGGCCTCCCGACACGCGGCACCGAGAAGGATGCAATGGAACTTCTGCGGATTTCCTGCCCGGAATGCAAACCCTGAGTCTAACCATCGGGAAATATCAGACAAACTCCAACTGAAGAACTTTCTATCAAATACCTGGCCTGAGAGAAAGACCAGAAAGACTGAGGAATGTCCCAGATGAAGAAGACTAAAGAGATAAAAAAGATGTGACAACTGACTGCAACGCATAGTTCAGTATTTTCTTTGGTACACAAGCCTTTATTGGGACACTTGGTAAAATGGAAGTCAGGTCAGCAGATTTGATAGTAACACTGTATCCAAGCAATTCTGCTGGTTTTGAGGATTGTGCTGTCTTGAGAAAGAGAATGTCTTTGCTTTCAGGAAATACACATTGAAGTATTTAGGGGCACCAGGGGTGTTATGTCTTGGGTATCAGATTTTTTTAAATTTTCACACCAGCTTATTTTTATCCCTGTTTTCCAGATGAGAAAACTGAGGCTCAGAGCCGTGAGATGCGAGCCGGGGTGGAGGCAGCTCTGCTTGGTGCCTCTTCTCTTGCTGGTTTGTGCATCCACGACTTACCTCTGCCCATCTGCTTGGTGTGAGCAGGTGCAGCTCTGTTCTGGTCCCTGGTGTAGCCCCTGAGCCTGGCTCAACTGCCTGCCCCATGACAGGAGCTCAGTAAATACCTTCTGCGTGAAGGGCCACCATGGAACTTAGCACAATTAATATCTTGGCTTTGGGGCTGAACCTTGGCTCAAATTCCAGCTCTGCTACTCAGAAGCTGTGTAACTTTGGATAAGTTAACTAACTTATCTGGGACACAATTTTTCATATCTCATTCCTATTGCATGGCGGTTATGCTGAAGATCTAATAACACAGGCTGGGCATGGTGGCTCACGCCTGTAATCCCAGTACTTTGGGAGGCTGAGGCGGATGGATCATCTGAGGTCAGGAGTTCGAGAGCAGCCTGACCAATATGGTGAAACCCCATCTCTACTAAAAATACAAAAATTAGCCAGGTGTGGTGGTGTGCACCTGTAATCCCAGCTGCTCGGGAGGCTGAGACAGGAAAATTGCTTGAACGCAGGAGGTGGAGGTTGCAGTGAGCTGAGATTGCACCATTGCACTGCAGCCTGGGTGACAGAGCAAGACTCCTAAAAAAAAAACAAATCTAATGACACAATGATGCGGATAAAGTGCTTACTGCAACACCTGGCCTGGCACAGAAGTGCAGTTCACATTTACTGAATGAATGAGTGAGCAGGTTAGTGAATGAATGAAAGGTTCAAGTGACCTCTACCTCCGGGGGACGCTAGCTTGCCCTTCAGCAGTATTTATCGGAAGTGCCAGGGAGAGATTTGCTTGGAAATTTAATTGAACAAATGATGCATCCCCATCATCTGTGTGCTTCTGCGTGTCCTTCCTGCTCTCTCTCCCACCCCGTGGAAGCTCCGGGCAGCAGCCCCTGCCTACCTCATCCGTGTCTTTCCCCAGCACACACACACTGTCACGCGCGGCCGGCACACACGCCTCCTTGCTGACAACTCCTCCTGTTTCTCTTTAGGACGTATTGGCTAGGTGTGTCCCGGTGCCAGGTCATACCCAGGGCACTGAGCGACTGTGGCTTCTGATTTTGTCTGCCCTGCACCTCTAATTTCTTCCCCTGTGGCCCCCCAATCTTGCTTATGGACGGGGCTCCCTTGGCTCGGTCATCCTCCTCCTGGAGCTCCCCTGGGCTCCTCTCCAAGGTGCTCCTTGCTCCCAGCTGCAGGAAGCCCGCATCCTCTGGCTCATGGGCCAGGCTGGTGGTGCCTGTCCTTTGACGGTGCAGCACCTGCACTCTCGCACTGCTGCCCGAGCCCAGTGAGGCCAGCCCACCCTGCTTTCCTTACGAGCACGAGGTACTCGTGCCCTATTGACTTCCTCTGCTAACTGGGACTGGAGAGGCTGGCAGCTCAGGACGTCCGAGGCGGCTGCTGGGTTCTGCAAGCCGGACACCAAGCGGGCGCCACATCTCTGCCGGCCAGGAGGTGGTGCTGTCCCCTGGTTTATGGCCCGAGGTGAAGGCAAGTAGAGACTCTCCTGCTTGTCCTGAAAATGCTGCCTTAAGATCAAGGGAAAACAATAGGTATTTGAGCCAGTTATCTAGAAGGAAAAATCAAATCAAATCAATGAGCGCAGGCCTCTATTCAGGTCCTGCATCCGAGCTTTGAGGACCCGTCTTAGAGTGAGGAAGGGACTTCTTTGAGCCCTGCCTGGAAATCCTGTGGGAAAGGATGGCAGGGCTGAGACTCAGGGCTGCTTTTCTGAGAGACGGAGACGGCAGCTCTGGGCTGTGCACAGTCCCTGCCTCTTGCCCAATGCCCCTAGGAAAGTGACGGGGCCACCCGAGCCTCAGGTCCTCACCTGAGAAATGGAGATAAAAGTTCAGGCGCCGTGGCATGGTCGAGGCGTGGTCGGGCTCCGTGGCGTGGTTGGGCGCCGTGGCGTGGTCGACGGCTATAACTGAGCCTGTGAACATGCGGCGTGGTCCTGGCCTGCTGCCTGGGACACCCCTGCTTCGACTGGGATGTTGGTCCTGTTGCTATGGTCAGAGACTGTGGGGGCTCTGAGATACGCTTGTCACTGAGAGGGGCTTTGTTGGAGGATGCAGCCCTCTTGATGTCTAGGGGAGTGGGCCTGACATTTATGGAGCACCTGCCGTGTTCAGGGACCAAGTGCACACAGATGAACACCCAACCCCGCCTCTCAGACTCACAGGGGTAAGCGTGTCCTGCTCCCTCTGGAGTTTCTGGGGAACGTGGGCAGAGTGTGGTCTCTTCTGTCCCAGGTGCGTTGGAGGAAATGACTTTTGAGCTGAGTGTTAAGGGACAATTAGGATTTCTTAGGGGGAAGTCGTGTGGGAAGGGCATTTGACAGAGGGAACAGCCTAGGTGGAGGTGTGGAGGCAGGAAAGCATCCTGCATGGCTGAAGGGCTGCGGGGCAGCCTGGAGGAGGAGGACAGGCGGTGTGTGGTGGGTCCCTGCAAGTGTGGGCATCGCCCTAGGCCCATTAGTGCAGGCTGGGGTGTTCTTTAAGCCAGGGCAAAGAAATCCCTGACAAGGAGGGACAAGTGCAGGCTGCGCCAGTGTTTGCTCTCCTCTGAAAAAGGGTGGAGGCCACTGGCGAGGTTCCAAGTGGCTTTTCTCAGAGCTCAGAGATCTCAGCCTGAAAGTGCAGAAAGGGAAAGAATCCTCAGATTCAGCAAATCTACTATTTATGTCTCTTCTCTTCCTGCTCCTTTTTTTTTTTTTTTTTTTTTTTTTTTTTTTTTTTTTGAGATGGGGTCTTTCTCTGTTGCCTAGGCTGGAATGCAATGGCGCGATCTTGGCTCACTGCAACCTCTGCCTCCCAGGTTCAAGCAATTCTCCTGCCTCAGCCTCCCGAGTAGCTGGGATTACAGGTGCCTGCCACGATGCCCAGCTAATTTTTGTATTTTTAGTAGAGAAAGGGTTTCGCCATGTTGGCCAGGCTGGTCTCAAACTCCTGACCTCAAACGATCTGCCTGCCTCAGCCTCCCAAAGTGCTGGGATTATAGGCGTGAGCCACCATGCCCGGCCTTCTGCTCCTTTCTTTTCATTTTTATTTTTTTTTGGCGATGGAGTCTTGCTCTGTTACCCAGGCTGGAATGCAGTGGTGAAGTCACAGCTCGCTGCAACCTCAACCTGCTGGCCTCAAACAATTCTCTGGCCTCAGCTTCCCGAAGTGCTGGGATTATGGGTGTGAGCTGCCGCACCCGGCCATTGCTTCATGGTTTCTCCCTCTGGTCTCAAGGCCTGGGTGTTTTTTCTTTTCCTCCGATGCTCTCTGCAGCTTCATGCTTGGGCAGGCGACTTGCGGAGCTGTTTTTGCTCTGGGTTCCTGGGCCTGGGGCCTAGGGTACCTCTGTCCCTCGGACACCTCAGTCTTATGCTCAAAGAACCACCCCTAGACTTCAGAGGCGGTCACGGGAGGTGGTCTTAGGCCCCAGGCCCCTTCCGATGCCTCCTCTGTGCTTTCTCCCGCCCGCCTGCGCCCACCACCCAGGCAAGGTTAAGTTTGTAAAAGCTCCTTTTGAATCTCCCAGAGTTTTATCTGGAGGGCCGTCTAAATCACTTCGGAGGCTGTTGGCTGAACTCAGTAAATAAACACAGGGAGCCCTGGGGGCACTGTGACTTACGGTCTCCTTGTCATTTACCCCAGAATGCACATCAGCGAACAGTGCCTGCCATTCTAAGGGGCTCTTTGACTCTGAACACACACAGAGTCTCCTCCTGGGCTGATTCCCTGCACGCTGGCATTTGGCTTTCTGTAGAGAGCCAGCATCAGCCATGGCCAGGGTTAATTCACTATGGTGGGGACAGTGCCAGGGTTGTCTGGGCTCAGGACCCAGGGATGGTGTGGCTGCCCCCATGCGTCCATATGGAGGGCAGGAGGGATCTTGCTGGTGGGAGCAGGATTTAAATGCTTCGAGGTGACACAGGGCAAGATGACTGTCCCCAGTCACGAAATCATCTCACTGGAGTGCTTGGGGGAGGGGGCAGGGCCAAGCGTCCGCCTTGCCTCGCAGAACAACATTTTGGTTTTCACACTCACCACTGAAAAGTCATTAAATTGAAAGGAAACCTGTGCCCCGTTCCCTCCGCAGTCACGCCAGCGCCGTCCCCAGGCACCTCACAGTGTAGCTTTTGTTCAGGAGTCCGGAGTGTAAAATTGGAGTGGCAGATTGTCGGTGCACACATTTAGAATTTCCTGGCTTTCATCAGCTGCGCCACTCAAATGACAATATTTAATCCCAAATGTTTCCTTCCCTTACCCTACCCCCCCATTTCATGAGTCAGAGGGCTTCCCCCCACATTTGCAAAGTAGACTTCTCTTCCATTTCTTCAACCGTAATGAAAAGTATATTTACGATTTTTTTCCCCTATGTATTTGTGATTATACAAACTCTCCTGAACATTTTAAGGGGCCTTTCTTAGGAGAAGTTGACTTCCTGGTTTTGAGTTGAATGTAACTCTCCTTTGCTGGCTTCTCCGCTCCCACCATTCATTTCATAAGGACAAGGTCATGCACATTTGAATTCTACGGGTCGGATCTCATAGCAGTAATCTTGTGCCGTTTCATTCCATTGGATGTGGCTGGAGTGATATTGCTCATTGATTTGAGTCAGGCGGCTTTTTTGTTATTTAGGGATTTTTTCATTGCAGTCATTTTTATTAAAGAAGGGTTTGTTGTAGATGAGAGAATTAGCTGAAATTTAAAACTCGAAGTTTCTTTTTATTGCTTGGTCACTTTGTAGAATCCATTGTTTAGCAAGACAGCCCTTCTGAGGCAACCCAACAAAAAGATTTTCAACAACACATCTCATGTTGGTCCTCTGATATACAGGCGCATATGCATACCATCACAGTTTACATTTTGCAGTGTGCTGGAGAGTCTCCCAAGTAACATTTCATGTCAAAGAAAGCCTGTAAAAGCGTGTCTACGAGAAGCACTTTGGAGTGAGAAGCAGGTGTGACTCCTTGGTGTGTCAACCCGAGCGGGTTCCGATCCTCTGGTATCACTGGGTCCTGGGTTCTGACACGCGAGTGGATTCTTATACCTGGGCGGGTTCTGATACCTGGCTCAGACCCTGATGGGCTGACGGTGGGGTTCACATGTCCTGTGGCCAGGCTCCCGTGCCCAATGGTCCAGTCAGACACCCATCTGGGTGCTGCTGAGAAGGTGCTGGTGGATGTGGTCAGCCTCTCCCATCAGCTGACCTCAAGGGAAGCAGATTACCCTTGACAGTGTGGGTGGGCCTTATCCAATCAGGGGAGGACCTTATGAGCAAACTCCGAGGTATTTCTGGGAGGGAGGAATTCTGCCTCAAGACCATAGCATCAGCTCCTGCCTGGGTTTCCAGCCTGCCGGCTTGCCCTGCACATTTCAGACTTACCAGCCTCCACAGTTATATGAGGAATTCCTAAAAATCTGTCTCTCTCTCTTTACACACACAGGCACACACATATTAAACCTCCTGCTAGTTCTGTTTCTCCGGAGAGCTGTGGCTGACACTGGCTGAGAGGAGCAAGGGTTTCAGGCTAGAGCTGCATAACAGTGGTCTCTGGCCACTGGGTGTCTGCAAAAATCAGAAATGTGCTTCTCCATGCCTCTCTAGCTCTTCTAGGGATTTTGGGTTGCTTTCCAGTACACACGTGTTCATGTGTGTGCATGTGTGTGGGCAGTGGCGTGTGCATGTTCATTCAGGACACACGCCACTGCAGGTGAGTTCCCTGGTGGACACACCCCCTTCAGTAGACACAGGCTATAACGCCCACAGTCACTGCCTTGGGCAGGGTCCTGGGAGAGGGCATCTGAGGCAGTGAACTTTTGAGTGGGCCATGATGACCTCTTATGGACCAAGGCTAAATCAATGGTGGCAAGCCCCAAATATCTACTAGGATGGCACTGTATGTGGGCCAAATGCAGAAGATGTTGGGGAACCATGCAGCCACATCGTCAGGTCCCCACCCAGCTCCTCCCGTCGTGAACTTGTACCGGAGCCAGCTGGCTGACCCCCTACCCCCCGGGCTGCAGGTATAAAAGGGGGATGAAATTAGCAGTTGTCTCATTGGATGGTGGGGAACGGGGGTGGGGTGGGAATGCGTTAATGCAGGTGAAGCCCTCAGAAAGGTCCCCCACTTTGGGGCACCACATAGGACGAGTGCTTTCATTCTTAGGAGGACAAGCTCCTGCTTGGAGGTCAGGTGGAGTTGGGCTCATGCTCCAGGCTGGCCCCCACATGCTCTGTGGCTTTAGGGAAGCTCCTAAACCTCTCTGAGGCTCATCTGTAGGAGGAAAGCTAAGAGACTGAGATGTCTCATAAACTTGCTGAGATGATTATGTTCAAAGAGAAGGAGGACAGTCTGTGGTGAGATGCCAGGCCTGGAGGAAGCTGTCATTGGCAGCCTGCTGTGCTGGGCACTGCTGTGTGTGCACACATTGTTAGGGCCCGGGCCAGGACAGTGAGGCACCGAGGTGTAAAACTGGAGGTGACACCTGGTCTCAGGTGCCAACCCTGCATTGCATGGCTCTGAGAGTGAGCACCTCCTTAAATTTTGCACCGGCGGGTACCTCTCTTGCTTCACCCTAGTCCTGGCCCTGCACGTTACCCCATGGAAATGCCATAACAGTTTTGCAAGGCCAGGGGATCGGACCCTTGCACAGATTAGGACAGAGGCTCAAAGAGATGGGAAAACAGACCCAAGCCCCCTGCCCCCCGACCTCCCTGGTTACTGAGATCTCGCAAGGTGGTGACCGCACCTTATTCATCTCATGTAATCACATACGGCACCTGGCATGTAGTGGGTGTCAAATAGATGCTTACAAGTATTCAGTGAATGAAAGGGAAAAGGGAGGACTCAAACTCTGATATGGCTTCATAGGAACCTGGCCGTCCACTCCACCCACGTGCCTTAGCAAAGTGCCCTTGGTGAGGCTGAGGGACTAGGCAGCCAGGACTCCTGAGGGGACCTTATCAGAGAGGGAAGCCACCTCGGACTGAGTGGTGAGTGCTGCTCTAGGACTGCCCTAAAACTGGATTTGAACAAAAGACCACATGCCGTATGACTCCATTGGAATGAAACATCCAGAACAGGCAAAGCCACAGAGGCAGGAAGCAGGTGAGTGGTTGCCAGGGGCTGGGAGAGTGGGGCCAGGAAGTGGCTGCTCAGGGAATGGGCTTCCTTTTGGGGTGATGAAAATGTTCTATAACTAGAGGGTGGCAATGGTGGCATAGCTTTATAAATGGGCTAAATGCTACAGAATTCTACATTTTGAAAATAGTTAAAATGATACATTTTCTTTTGAGACAGGGTCTTACTGTGTCTGGCAGTCTGGACTGAGTGTGGCTCACTGCAGACTCAACCTCTCTGGGCGTAGGTGATTCTCCTGCCTCAGCCTCCCAAGTAGCTGGGACAACAAGTGTGCGCCACTACATCCCAACTATTTTTTTTTTTTTTGGTAGAGATGGGGCTTCTGTGTGTTGCCCAGGTTGTTTTTTTTTTGTTTTTTTTGAGATGGAGTTTCGCTGTTATAGCCCAGGCTGGAGTGCAATAGCGTGATCTCGGCTCACTGTAACCTTGTCCTCCCGGGTTCAAGCAATTCTCCTGCCTCAGCCTCCCAAGTAGCTGGGATTATAGCCATGCATCACCACATCCAGCTAATTTCTTGTATTTTTTTTTTTTTTTTTTTTTTTTGTAGAGACGGGGTTTCATCTTGTTGGCCAGGCTGGTCTTGAACTCCTGACCTCAAGTGATCTGCTTGCTTCTGCCCGCCTCAGCTTCTCAAAGTGTTGGGATTACAGGCGTGAGCCAGGCTAGTCTTGAACTCCTGGGCTTAAGCAGTCTACCCACTTTGGCCTCCCAAAGTGCTGAGATTACAGGTGTGAACCACCATGCCCAGCCTAAATTTTACGTTATGTGTATTGTACCACAATAAAAACCCTGGAATCAACATAACTCTTTGGGTTTAAGTGACAGAAACAAGATTCAGGCAAGGCAGTGAGTAGTTCCTAGAATGGAAGCTGAGGCTGAGCAACCAGATTGCAGGAAGGGTCTCAAAACTGCCAGACTCTGTGACATCTCCACTCCTGCCTGGTTTTCCTCCATGACCAGCATCCCCCCAGGTCAGCAACACCTCTGGAGCTGAGGCTGGCAGAATGTGGCGGGGGCTCCTCTGAGAGCATGGCAGCTTCTAATGGACCCACGTGGTTAGTTTGAGAGAAACAGTCACCAGAAGACAGCCATATGTGTCCGGGCTGGGAGACCTAACATTTCAGAGCCACCAACCCTGCATCACTGGCTGACAGGTGGCTGGACATCGTGTCACCACTGTCTTCTGGGAATAAACATTTCTCAGCTTTCCATGGGAAGTCTCTGTCTGTGTCTTGTTCCAGCTCATTTAGAGCAACTATCATTTATCAAATATCCTCCCCTCCAAAGCCTCCTGGATGCCTACAAAGGCTTGGGCCAGATGGCAGAATTCACCAAAGATACAAAGGCCCCAACACGGGGATGTACTTGGAGAGGGAGAGGGATGAGGAGGTTCATGTGGGGAAGGGGTCGTCCGTGGGAGAGTCGGGATGGGAGAAGGAGAAGATGCTTCTAAGCTTCAGTCTGAGACGCAGCTGGGGGTTTTCCAGCTCATGGAGTGTTTGTGCCAAGGCAAGACAATGGAATAGGTCCCCACAAGAACAGAAACAGTCCCCACACCCAGAAGCTGCGAGTCTCCAGGGAGAACTGGGCAGTTAACGGATAAATTGGGGCCTTGCAGACTTGCAGCTCTGCTCACCCGCAGCGTGGTCCCCGGAGTGCACAGCGTGGGTTTGGGGCGTGGCTGTGCCGGTTTGCAAATCCTTAGGTGCTTGTCCAACAATGGGTCTTGGTGGTTGGGTCTGTTGCTGCTGGAATGTCTGTCGGCTCAGCTTTTGACTAAAAGCCAGTGGAAGATCTCCTTGCCGGATCCCCCAAAATAGTTTCACCCATTGCTCAGGAAAGAGATTGTAAGAGCTCTAAGAGAAACAAACAGAAAACCAACATCAAACATGAGTAGTGTCCTGGGGGATTTCCTTCCTAACCTTGGTTTTGGAGTTAATCTGCTTCAAAAGTTCTTTGACTGGTGTGTGTGTGTGTGTGTGTGTGTGTGTGTGTGTGTGTGTGTGTGTGTGTGTATGTGGGCGTGTGTATCGTGTGTGTGTGTGTATATGAAAAGAAATACTGAGAATAAAATATTCTTATTTATTTAGTTATTTTGAGGCAGGTCTTGCTCCGTCACCTAGGCTGGAGTGCAGTGACCCAGTCACGGCTTGCTGCGGCCTTGACTTCCAGTGATCCTCCGACCTCAGCCTCCCGAACAGCTGGTCCCACAGGTGTGCGCCACTATGCCTGGCTACTTTTTGCATTTTTTGGTAGAGATGGCATTTCGCCATGTTGTCCAGGCTGGTCTCGAACTCCTGGGCTCAAGTGATCCTTCTGCCTTGGCCTCCTAAAGTACTGGGATTACAGGCATGAGCCACTACACCCAGCCTATCATGGTCTAATAAAGCCTTGTTGCTCGCCAGAGTTTCCTCTCTGTACCTTGGGGATACCCCTTGCTTGGGTAGAGAGGAGGGAAATTACTTTCCTTCTTACCTCTCCATTCTTCTTGTGCACAGGCTTTGAAGGAATGAGAGAGAAGTGGGCCACTGCATTCTCATTCCTGTAAGGCTCTGTGCCAGGACTCGCCCCATCTGTATATTTTGAGCCTTTTATTATTAACCAAAGTGATCTTGATTGATAACAATACAAAGGCAAAGCTGGGAGTGCTCTGATTTCTAGCTTCAGCTCCTTATTCATTGATTCATTATTCATTATTGATTAATACATAATAATTCTTTATTTTATTTGCCTTATCAGTTCCTCACTCCTGGAAGGTTGGAGAAGGGAAGGGTGCTGCACAAATTTCTTCTTGGAATTTTAAATTTTACTTTTAAATTATGGATCCTTAATGACTCTTTTTCTAATAACTCCTGAATTCTTGTGATTCAACAGAGGGTATTAATTACAAATGTGTTTCTTTCTCCTTTTTTTGGCGGGGGTGGAGTCTTTATTTCTTTATAGATTGCTTTATAGATTATACAAGCCAGGCAGTAATTTATCTTCAAGGTTAAACATTCAGATAATTCTGAAGTTCAGAGAAAAAGGTGATATCCCCTTTCCTCCCCGGATAGTTGAAACCTGAATGGTTTAGATGGCTCCTTCCTGGGCACTTCTGCACGTGAACGGAGAGTAAGCCTTTTCTCACAGGTTGCCGCATCAGTGGAAAAGTCCCATACCTATTAATAGGTTCAATGGCATTTCCCAGCACCTGTTGTGTGTCAGGTGTAAAGCTGGGAGCTGCAGATTGAATAACGAACAAAAATGGGAGGCCGAGGCAGGCGGATCATGAGGTCAGGAGATGGAGACCATCCTGGCTAACATGGTGAAACCCCGTCTCTACTAAAAATACAAAAAATTAGCTGGGCGAGGTGGCGGGCACCTATAGTCCCAGCTACTCGGGAGGCTGAGGCAGGAGAATGGCATGAACCTGGGGGGAGGAGCCTGCAGTGAGCTGAGATCGCACCACTGCACTCCAGCCTGGGTGACAGCGAGACTCCGTCTCAAAAAAAAAGAAAAAAAGAAAAAATGGTCCCCTCCTTCCACAGCTCACAGGCTCCAGGCATATGATGCTGGAACTTAGTTTTTCCTTCCCATTTCACAATATATCTAGGATTTCTCCCCATGTCTGTCTGCCCTGTACTCTTTAATGTCCAGAGGCAACATTGAATTTTGATGGACCTCAAATTGACTTCTGATTGATTTGCCATTATTAAAAAGCAAAGCAGCAGAAGTCTTGGTTTACATCTCTTTGAGAACCTGAGTGTTTGATAAGATTTAAAGATTTTTTTGATGGCAGGACACACAGTACCCTGATAGGACAGGACACTATTACTTACAGCTGCAAATGGGAGCTGGCTGCCAGGCAGGGCCATGCAGGGGGCTGCACCCAAGGATGGGTAACAGTGAGCGGCTGTAGCCAGCAGCTTATATGTGGTCAGCGGAGTGTACTTAACCAGGTTTTGTGGGCTCCTGTGGACCAATTTGAAAAATTTTGTGGGCTCCAAAGCATAGGGCTATCCCTAGCTGTCAGGTACCTGGCCCTGGGGAGACAGGTAAGGTGTGTAGGGGCTCAGGGCATGAGCTCTGATAGGACAGTGGATGGAGCGTGGGCTTGTTCAAGAGGGGACTTGACAGCATCTCAAACTGGTTCAGGACAGAATTTTTATTTTATTTTATTTTTAAAAAATTATTTATTTATTTATTTATTTTTGAGACAGAGTCTTACTCTGTTGCCCAAACTGGATTGCAGTGGCATGGTCTTGGCTCACTGCAACCTCCACCTCCCAGATTCAAGTGATTCTTGTGCCTTAGTCTCCTGAGTAGCTGGGATTACAGGTGTGCACCACTACCCCCAGCTAATTTTTACATTTTTAGTAGAGACGGGGTTTCGCCATGTTTTCCAGGCTGGTCTCAAACTCCTGACCTCAACTGATTTGCCCGCCCTGGCCTCCCAAAGTGCTGGGATTACAGGCGTGAGCCACTGTGCCTGGCCAGGACAGGATTCTGAAGGAACACTGTATTACACCTGACCAATGCATGGTAGACTTTAAATGAGTCTCAACTGGGGGAATCACTGCATAGATTTCATTTTTTTTTTAAATCAAAGGTCTCACATATTTATTACTAAACCCAGCCAAACAACGTGTTCATAACAGATTCAGAGAAAAAAATACATATTCCCAATAAAACATGTCCAACTCTCCTGATAGTGGTGACATTTTCAGCTTGATATGGTAACATGATTGTGACCTTCAGACAGCATAAATGTGTGTGCCATCCAATGTGCAATTCCTAGTAGACCCAGTTTAGTTCTTCTCCAATGTCTCCTTTTGGAGTTGTACCTGATTTTATTACCAGTTTTCATCCAAATCCACTGAGGAATGGGACGATTTTGCTTTTGTTTCTTGGCCAGGAATCACTTAATTCTGAAAGTCTTCTGAGAAGACATAGCAAGAAGTGGAGTCAAGCACACATCATGATGGCAGAGAAAGGAAGGTGGGGGGCTACTCCATAGATTTCTGAGACTGACCTTCTTTCCTACGAAGCTTTACTCTCTACACTCATAGTCAGTGAATGACAAGTGGTATATCTGGTTCATTCCTGGGCATGAATGAAAAGAGAACAAACAAATCCATTTTCTGGGTAAGAACAGTAACAGCTCCCATTTGAATGTTGTCTTAACAGTTTATAAAACATCTTCAAGTACAAGCTCTCACTGAATCTTCACTGCAAACCTGTGAAGTGGGTAAGGATATTTCTGTCATCGAACAGATAAGGAAATAGAGGCTCAGAGAAGTCAAGAAACTGGCCCAGGGTTACACAGCTCAGAAGTGGAGAGCGAAGTCTTGAATTGGGGTTTTGTGGTGCTTCATCTATGAGCTTTCAATTTCAGCCATCATGGGTTGTAGCTTCTCTGCTCCGTGTTTGATCTTTGCTCCACGTGGGTATCTCTGGCTGTTGCCATGGGTCTGAAGAACATGCGCATGGTCACGTAGGACAACCACAGTCTTCAACAGAAAGCGCCATCTCTCTGCTTCATGCCCGTGGTTGATTTTATACCTGTAGCAAGGACACTTTCCTATTCTAGGGCTGCTGAGCCATGGCAACCTTGAAAGGTTATAATACCACAGTACGAACGATTTCCAAATGTCCCTTGTCAACGCCCAGCACAGCCCTAATACCTGGAGAAGTGAAGAAGGTTCCAGAGGAGGAAAGAAAGCCTTTGAATCATTTTGTCAGGCACATGTCACTCCACTTGAATTATTTTTCATGAAGGTGAATGCTTTTCAATCGTCCAAGGCAGGGGTCCATCACTTTCAAGCGCACTTGATGTGTTGCTGTTTTAAAAATTAAATACGCAGAGTTTGCAGAATGGACACGGCCTTTCGGTTTTTTAATTTAAGGTTTAAAAAGTGCTTTCACGCTGTAATCCCTGGGGGGACAGGAAAGGCTGTTTGCTCCAGCCCTTGGCCTCCAGGAAATCTGGCCAGACCACCTACGGGAAATTAGCCTCCAGCACTTGGCTTAGCTGGGAGGTGACAGCAGCCCCCTCTCTCCACTGTGGCCCTGCAGTCCGAGCTACATAATCTAATCTTTCAAGATATTTTTCTCTGGACAGGCAGGGAGCTGAGTAACTAAACAGACACACCACTGCTAATCCCTTTTTCCTGAGGCTGAAGGGTTTAACTCCTTGCCTTCTGTGTTAAGGCAGTGAGCTCAAAATGGGCTGTTGGGATTGACATCAGAATATTTTTTTTTTTTTGAGATGGAGTCTTGCTTTGTCGCCCAGGCTGGAGTGCAGTGGTGCGATCTCAGCTCACTGCAAGCCCCACCTCCTGGGTTCACGCCATTCTCCTGCCTCAGCCTCCCGAGTAGCTGGGACTACAGGCGCCCACCACCACGCCCGGCTAATTTTTTGTATTTTTAGTAGAGACGGGGTTTCACCATGTTAGCCAGGATGGTCTTCATCTCCTGACCTCGTGATCTGCCTGCCTCAGCCTCCCAAAGTGCTGGGATTACAGGCGTGAGCCACCGCGCCCGGCTGACGTCAGAATTTTTTAAGCAGCACTTGGTTTTGTGTTCTTTGTTCAAACAGAATAATCAGAGCCGACGCTCCTCGATTTCCCTGGACCTACCGTGTGTCTGGCACTGCTCTAAGTGCTTCAAATAGAGAAACTAGGTTACTCCTACCTCAAGAAGTGGGTACTATAATTATGCACAGAGATGTTAAGTACCTTGCCCAAGTTCACACAGTGGTGGGGAGTGGGTTCAAAGCCAGGCCACTGCATGGGAGTCTGTGCTCTTCATCCCTGTGCTGCTTGTTAAACAGGAAGAGCTCAAAATGGCTCTGAACTGTCCACTAGTCAATTTTCTTTCACTCATTGATTCATTCACTCGCTGTTTGTATTCAGCACCTGCAGTATGCAAATGCCAAGATGGTATAGATCGAGGCACTCATGGTCTTCCCAGAAGCTGACAGCCAGCTGTGGAAATGAACAAATCCATAACTAATTATGCTGCAGAAGGCAGAGGGCACCCATAGCTGTGCTGGAGCCAGCGGAGCAAGGGGAACTTTTAGCCCAGAGGAAGCAGGAGAGCCAGGGAAGGCTTTCCTGCAGGGTCAGGAGGAGGGAGAGATGGCACCTTCCAGGATGAGGTGATGGGGTGCATTCAGGGCAGTGCACTCTGGGAAACTCCCTGGGCCCAGCTGGTATTGCCCCCTCCCTTGGAAGCTGGTGATCAGCATGGGGCCTACAAGAGGGAGTAGAGCCACGGCAGAGAGGAACCTATGTTTTATTAGCTTGGCATGGGCAGGGTCTTAATCAGACTCTCTTGAAAAGGCAGGTCAAATGAAGGATTTCACCTGACCTTATAGGTCAATGTCTTTGGAGACAGCATTTCCAGGTATTATATGGTGCAGAGGGGTCCCTCGTGACACCGCGTGATGTAGGACTCTATTTCTGCTTGTCAAAGTATGCGTAGACTGCCCCGACAAAGGCTTCTCTAGACAGCTCATCAGCTTTTGCTGTGAGGCTCAGCTGGCTTTATTTCCCTCCCCCTAGAAGACTCTGGGGCTCCAGTAAAGCCCCTCCCACTCCAGGACACAGGCTGGGGGCAGGTTCTTGACCCTCATCCATCACAGTGCATCTGCTTGCTGGTGTAGGATGTGAGTGGGTTCCAGCTGGTTCCATCCCAGTGGCAGCAGACAAACCATCCCTGCATTCTCTTGCCATGGTCTCAGCCTGGGGTGGCACATGGAGCGACCCCGGTGGAATGCCCCTTGCTTCAAGCTGAGGCTGAGATGTTTTCCTTCAGCTTGGCAGAGCTAATGCTGAAAGCTGCTCTCAGCCTGCTGGGTTTAGAGGCCAATAGGCTCTGCAACAGGGGAGCACAAAGATATTTGGAACTGGAAGTTGCTGTCTGTTGTTTTGAAAGGTGCAAAATGTTTAAATAATTACTTCCAAACCTGGAGACCACTTTCCTCCTCCCACCTGAGCTGGGCGCTCCTTCCTCCAGATTTGGCCTCCCTTTTGATTTCTCCCTGCTCGATTTCCTTCCCCGTCTTTATAGCCCCTTTCTTCCACCTGGTTTCTCCTTTGCTCCCCTGCCTCCCACTTGGAGCTTGGAGTGATTTCTAAGGGTGCCTCATTAACAACTTGGATATCTCTTGACTACTTCTTTCTTCTCTTGTTTGTTTTCACTGTTTCTCTTAAATAACCATGTGGACGGGGCCCTGTTTGTTTTTCTTGCCTAGTGTCTCCCTGCCAGTCAGTTCTTCAGCAAACAAAGGCTTTGTGAGTCCCCAGGGCTTGCCAAGATGAGAGGGAAGGGAAGAGCTTTTCCCAGAGGAGAGGATTCCATCAGACACACCTGGGGAAAGGGCCCATTTGGAAGTGCTCTTTTCCAGGTGGTGGAACGTGTGGAACAGCTGTCATGTATAGATCAGGAAGCTGGGGGGCCAGTTGTGCAGGGTCACACAGTCCATGATGCAAGTGGTGTGAATCCATGGTCTGTCTACCCCAGCACCGTCCTACAGAAACATAATATGATCCACACGTGTGATTTGAAATTTTTCAGCAGCCACATTCTAAAAAGTGAAAGTGAAATTACATTTATTTATTTATTTATTTATTTATTTATTTATTTTGAGATGGAGCCTCACTCTGTCGCCCAGGCTGGAGTGCAGTGGTACAATCTTGGCTCACTGCAACCTCCGCCTCCTGGGTTCAAGTGTTTCTTCTGCCTCAGTCTCCTCAGTAGCTGGGATTACAGGCACGTACCACCATGCCTGGCTAATTTTTGTATTTTTAGTAGAGATGGGGTCTCCCCATGTTGCTCAGGTTGGTCTCAAACTCCTGGCTTCAAGTGATCTGCCAGCCTCGGCCTCCCAAAGTGCTGGGATTACAGATGTGAACCACTGCACCCGGCTGAAATTAATTTTAATAATATATTTTATTTAACTCATCGTATCCAAAGTATTACCCTGTCCACATGTAAGCAACAGTGGAATATTAATGAGATATTTACATTCTCTTTTTCATATGAAGCCTTTGAAATCCAGTGTGTGACTTATTCTGAGGGCATGTCTCAGTTCCAGCTGTGTTTCAGGTGCTCTGAAGCCACAGTACGAACCATTTTCTGCACCACGGTGTTTACGACGCCTTCTGTGTTCCTCATCCTTAGTTCCTGTGGGAGCCTGTGTCTGTGTGGCTTAGTGGGGCTGGTGCTGACTCCGGGGCTGGTGCTGACTCTAGGGCTGGACAGCGCCATCTGAATCCTGCACCGCCTCTGGGTGGTTTGGGATTCTTTGAATCTCAGCCACGTGCTTCCCCTACTTTTTCTCTTACACCCTTCACAGTTCTGCAGTGGGCCTTTCTCTTTTACAAACGAGGTAACTGAGGCTCAGAGGGGAAGAGCTGCTGACTCACCCAAGGTCACACAGTACGTGGCAAGGTGGGGACAGAAAAAAAATCCCTTCCATCCAGGTCACCTGACGCCAAGCCCTGCCCTCCTGATGACGTGGTTTGCAGTGTCAGGTCCTAGAAGCTTTATGGGTTCCTGGATGCCCGATGCCCTTTGTATCCACTTCTGAGACATTCTGGGTTTCCCCGGCTCAGGGCAAGCAGCAGGACTCAGCCTTCCACTGAGGGCCCCCTTTTGCCAAGCCCCGGGACTGGTTGTCCAGCTTCCCCTGTGCCCAGTGCTCAGGGAATGCCCTGGCAGGCTGGTGGGGATAGTGCGTGAGAATGCACCAGGGTGTCAGATTCTTCCTCAAGGGAACAGTTACTAAAGAATAGGTCACCAACCGGGCACGGTGGCTCACACACCTGTAATCCCAGTACGTTGGGAGGCTGAGGCAGGAGGATCCCTTGAGCCCAGGAGTTTGAGACCAGCCTGAGCAACACAGCAAGACCCATCTCTAGAAAAAAAATACAAAAATAAGCTGGGGATGGTGATGCACACCTGTAGTTCCAGCTATTTGGGAGGCTGAGGTGGGGAGGACTGCATGACCCCAGGAGGTCTAGGCTGCAGTGGGCCACGGTCATGCCACTGCACTCCAGCCTGGGCAAGAGAGCAAGTCCTGTCTCAAAAAAAAAAAAAGAAAGAAAAGAATGGGTCAGCATCCAGTGATAGAATCTAACATTTATGGAACAATTACTATGCACAATGAACCGGGCAGGAGATTATAGATCCCCCTCACACGGTATCCCTTTGATGTGTTCCGCCTGCAGTCTGGGAGCTGGCGCAGGATACCTCTCTGGAGTGTGTACATCATGTCATGTCTGTGTGAAATCAGCTGGGCTGGTGGCATTCACACCACAGCAATTGGCAAATGCTGCGAATCAGGGTTCCCTGACTTAAAAGCCGGCTGTTGAACACTGGCCTGCACACCACTGCGTCTTCCCAGAGTAGTATCAGCTGAGCCTCTTGATTTTGTGGAAGGAAAGCTGAAGCAGCATGAGAAGTTCAAGTTCAGTGTAAAACCTGCCTGTGACCATTTCAAGGTATTTTTTTAATCAACAAGGTAAAATTAATTTCAGACCCTTTCCTTGTCAAAGACAAAGAAAAAAAAGAAAAGTGGTCATGTATGTTCTTAGTCTTTCACTTTTATTTGCCTAGAGTGACCCTGTTTTTTTTTATTTCTCGAGAACTTTATTATATATTTTAATAGCAAAAAATATGACTTTAGAACAATGGGGAAATATTGAAAGCATATCATAAAAATATTAAGTTGTCCTTAGGGGCAAATTTGCACACATGTGGATTAGTAGTTTTATAAAATATATAATGTAACTATTTTTTTTGATGCTAATTAAATACACCAGTCACTGAAAAACTTTTTTTTTTAAATAAAGAGATTAGTCCTTTATGTGAACTCACTTTACCTAGGTTTCTAATTTGGAAAGCAAGAAAACGGGAAGATATAAGAGAAAAAAAGGTGAAAACATTACTTTTCCTATTGATGTAATGCTACTGAGCTTCAACATCATCTTTGGAATCAGAGAATTCTGCTTGCACATTTTGTTTTCTTTCTAGTCATTTATTCAACAAATATCTGAGTCAGACTTTGTGCTAGGAACTGGGGAAACCCCAGAGAATAAGACCAATGTGGTCCCAGCTCACATAGGCCTGAGCCCAGGAGGGGAGATGGACGAATGCTGTAGAACCACAACGTGGTTAGAATTGTAAGGGGAAGGTGCAGGTGCACGTGAGTTTGTGAAAGGGAGCCCTAAGCTAGTAGAGGGCGAGATTGGTGTCTGCGCCCTGGGGCGTTGTCCCTGGAAAGTCATGCTTATGCTGAAACCTGAGGAAGGAAGGAGATGGCTGGTGAAGAGCAGAGGGAAGGATGTTGTAGGTTGGGGGAACAGCGTGTGCCAGTAGGAGGGTTAGCATTTGCGAAGACCCTGAGGATGGAAGGCGCTTGGTGAGTTTGACTCAAGTCTGCCCCAGGTATAAAGTGATGGAGAAAGCCCCTCGTGGGAGGCCTAAGCTGTGGAAGGAGCCATATCCTTCAGTGCCCCGTCCGCACCCAACTGCCCAGTGGGCAGGCTTCGTGCCATGGTTGCCTGTGTTGTTAGATGCCGGGTTTCCATCCCAGAAGGCAGACCTGGAACTGGGTGTGTGGAGAATCCTGGGAGCAGCATGGAGAAAGGGTGTCTTCCCGTGACAGCCTCTCCTCCTCTCCTGTGAGCACCATGAACCCCTGGCAGGGCTCTTCCTCCACTGGGCAATGCCTGGCTCTGGTTGTCTGCTGTGCTGTGCAGCTCCTGGCACACAGATTTAGCTTGGTGGTTGTGTCACATTCTGTTAGTACTTTACCCACTATCCATCCCTCCTTTTCCTTTTTGCCAAAACTGTGCCTTAGTCAGAGCACCCAGCCCCACTGCTGGTCCGTGGTATGGTTTGGTCCCCACCCGAATCCCATGTCGAATTGTAATCCTTAGTGTTGGAGGAGAGGCCTGATGGAAGGTGATTGGATCATGGGGGCGGACTTCCCCCTTGCTGTTCTCGTGATAGTGAGTTCTCATGAGATCTCGTTGTTTGAAAGTGTGTAGCACCTCCCTCTTGCCTCTCTCTCTCCTGCTGCCATGTGAAGATGTGCCTGCTTTCCTTTCGCCTTCCACCATGACTGTAAGTTTCCTGAGGCCTCCCCAGTTATGCTCCCTGTACAGCCTGTGGAACTGTGAGTCAATTCAACCTCTTTTCTTTATAAATTACCCAGTCTCAGATAGTTCCTTATAGTAATGTGAGAATGAGCTAATACAGACCATGACCTGTCTGACCCTGCAGCCCCCATTCATAAGTGAAGTATTATTGGAACGCAGCCACCCTCATTCACTGAGGGGCTGTCTGTGTCTGCTTTTGCATTACAACAACAGGGTTGAGTAGTTTTTGTTTGTTTGTTTGCTTAATTTGGGAAGGAGAGCTTTATTTCTCATAAAGGGTTGCAGCCTGCAGGGTGGCCAGTCTGACAGGCTGGGAAGCAGAAACAGATACTTCAAGGGAGGGGAAAAGGGAACAGGAATTTATGTAGAGCAGGGAGGCCAAATATACATATTCAATAAGCTATAGGAGGAGTCATGAATATTTATGAAAGGAGAAACACACGTGCACGATTGAGCTTCATGCTCCTTCGTGGGCTCCATGTAGAAAAAATGGCGGCCTTGGCGTAATCTGAGGGTGGAGTTTGCAGCGCTGTGACGTCAAGGGTGAAGTGGAGGACAGGAAAACCCTCACTGCGCATCCTCCATACACTGGCAAGAACCACTCCGTGGTCGGTGGTCTCTTATCAGGCAAAAAGGAGGGGCAGCATCAGGCTGTAGGTTGATGTCAGCGGTGGAGGCTTTTGTAAGGACTGCTTTCTGTTTAGCCCTTAGGGGAGAAAGCGTGATCATGGCTAGTGAGGGAGGGGTATAACGAGTGTGTCTGACCCTCCACGCCATCATGGCTGAGAACTCAGTTTTCAAGTTTGCTCTGGGGTCCAGGGTTGAGTAGTTTTGATGGAAACTTTTACTTCCTCTTCCGAAGTATTATTGTTATTTATTTATTTATTTATTTATTTATTTATTTATTGAGATGAGGTCTCGCTCTGTCACCCAGGCTGGAGTGCATTGGCATGATCACGGCTCATGGCAGCCTGGAATTCCTGGGCTCAAGTGATCCTCATGCCTTGCTCTCCCAAAGTGCTGGGACCACAGGGCTTAGCTACCACGACCAACCTCCAATTATTTTGGAGGCCCACAAATTTCTACCATCTGGTCCTTTATGAAAACGTTTGCTGCCCCTGATCTGAGTCAACCATGATGATCCTGTACTCGGATTTTCTGGTGTCCCTGGTGGCTGGTGCGCAGACCTGGAGTGTGAAACATTGAATGAGTTCAGTAGCTTCCCTGAATCTCCATCTGGATCTGTGCACACTCTACGTACGTTATTTCAGATGATAGTCACAACAGCCTGTGAGGCAGGCACTATTGTTATCTGAGAGCTGAGGAGATGGAGGAACAGAGAGGCCTAGTAACCCACCTGAGATCACACAGCTTGTGAATGGTAGCTGGGATTTTTTTTTTTTTTTTTTTTGAGACAAGGGCTTGCTCTGTTGCTCAGGCTGGAGTGCAGTGGTGCAATCTTGGCTCCTGACCTTTCACAGAAGATCCGTTAGCATGGAGTAGGAGTTAAGCTCAGGGGCTTTAGGGTCTAACCGCCGGAATTGAAATCCTAGTTCTACTGCTTACTGAGCCTCAGTCTCCCTATCTGTTGAATAGGGAAATAACATCGGGAACTCACCGGGCTCCTGAAAGGGTTAGGTGGCTGATGATAGGATAAACACTTGGTATATAGTAAGTGGCCAATAAAACCAGCCATGATCGTTCACTCAAACCCAGTCTTTGGCAAAAAGAAAAATACAAGCTTAAACTCAACCGTGTGTTGAGTCATTTGTTAGGTCAGTACAAAAGTAAAAGTAATCACGGTTTACTTTTGCACCAACCTGATATTAAAAAATAACTGGAGGCTGGGCATGGTGGTTCCCATGTGTAATCCCAGCACTTTAGGAAGCTGAGGTGGGAGGATAGCTTGAGACTAGGAGTTGGAGACTGCACCACTGCACTCCAGCCTGGGTGATGGAACAACAACCCACCTCTTAAAGGAAAAAAAAAAAAGACCAAAAAACAAAAAACTGGGAAGAGGAAGTAAAAACCATTGCGTGGAGTCCAGTGTGGGGTGAACCCTTGACCTGTGAGTCCCAGTTTTATCAGTTTTTTCCTTTTTTTTTTTTTTTTGAGACAGAGTCTCACTTTGTCACCCAGGCTAGAGTGCAGTGGTACAATCATAGCTCACTGTAGCCTTGACCTCCTGGGCTCAAGGGATTCTCTAACCTCAGCCTCCTGAGTAGTTGGGACTACAGGAACATGCCACCATGCCCAGCTAATTTTTGTATTTTTTGTAGAGACGGGGTTTCGCCATGTTGCCCAGGCTACTCTCGAGCCCCTAGGGCCTCAGCCTCCCAAGGTCCTGGGATTACAGGCGTGAGCCACCATGCCTGGCCCCCTGTTTCATCTTTTAAAAAAATTTTAAACTTTTTCCTGGCCTTCCCGACTCACGCACCAATCCCAATTTTGTCTCGTTCATTTCGATAAGAGGTAAGAGGGGTGCTTTGTTACTCCCACTTTTCTGCAGAGGAAAGTGAGGCTTAGAAAGGAACATTCTCTAGCTTGTGGTCTTTAGTGGGTGAGTGGCAGGTGGGCGCTGTGTGTGGAGTCCCGACCTTGCCCTCTGTGCCCAAAGTGGACAGCAGGTGGGCGCTATGTGACCCGTCCCAGCCCTGCCAGCAGAATCCACAATGATTTTTAATTCTCTCTGCAAAGAAGTGGAAATCCAGGCCTGAGTCACCTGCCAAGGACCACAGTGGGAGTTAAATCTGAACCCAGAGCAGCACTGGGAGCCATGGGGTTTGTGGTGTGAGGCCAAGGTTACCAGTTCAGGCCTCATGTTTTTGGCCTATGAATTTCTGTGGAGTCCGTTAATAAGCAAATGGATCTATTTAAGTGAAAACGCTTAGAGGCAGGGAATTTAATTACTCAATGACTTTTTCTTTCTTTTTTATCACTGAAATTAATTAAAAAATAATTTTGAAATGTATGGCTGACACTTTGCCAGGAACATGCTATGTGTAAAATCATTCCTCTCTACATCACGTATTCATAAATTCATTTTCATGAATTCATGTATTCAGACTGGTCACCTGTTTCCATAGATCATTTGGAGCCCACCTTCAGGGATGTTTTTTTTTCCTCAAACAAATTAAGATTTTAACTTTTCCTTGAGGGAATAAAATCCTGACTGACACACACAGACTCACATTATCTATCATCTATCTATCTATCTATCTAGTATATATTTATGAATGTGCATATATGTACTCCGTATGGATGAGTATATACATTCAAATTATCTTGATACAGTTTTTTTTTTTTTTTTTTTGAGATCTCGCTCTGTCGCCCAGACTGGAGTGCAGTGGCACGATCTTGGCTCATTGGAACCTCCGCCTCCCAGGTTCAAGCGATTCTCCTGCCTCAGCGTCCCACGTAGCTGGGATTACAGACACATGCCACCGTGCCTGGCTAATTTTTGTATTTTTAGTAGAGACAAGGTTTTGCCATATTGGCCGGGCTGGTCTCAAACTCCTGACCTCAGGTGATTTGCCTGCCTTGGCCTCCCAAAGTGCTGGATTACAGTATGAGCCACCTCGCCTGGCCCCTCTTAAAACTTTTTTCTACCTACTACCTAAAGTATACATACTTATTAAAGAAACGCATTTCCGTCTTTTCAATAGGCAACCCTGTTAAATGTGGTGTCTTTCTTTCTTGTGAGTATCTGTTTTTTGGTGCCTCAGTATGCATACTTACAGTTTTATATTTTGCTTTTTTTGCTTGAAATTATAAGCATTTCCCCAGGTATTACACAATCTTTAAATTATTTTTGGTGGCTGCCTGATAGTTCATCAATTAGATACTTAGGTTAATTAATCACATTCCTATTATTGAACCTTGAGCTGCTTCTAACTTTTCAATATTACCAATAACATAAAGCCATAAATAGCATAGTATAACATATTTTCTCCCCTCATTTAGTATTATTTTCTTAGGGATAGATTCCCCAAAGTGGGATTTCTGGATCAAAGAATGTGAACATTTTCCTACATTTTTTTATTTTTATTTTTAGATTTTTTTTTTTTTTTTTTTTGAGACATGGTTTTGCTCTGTGTCCCAGGCTGGAGTGCAGTGGAAATCACAGCTCACTTGACCTCCTGGCCTCAAGTGATCCTCCTGCCTCAGTCTCCCAAAGTACTGGGATTACAGGTGTGAGCTACCACGCCTAGCAGAGTATGAATATTTTGGAGGCTCCAAAAATAACAAGAATAAAAATCATGACAGGAATTGATGTTTATTGGCATCACTGTCAATGGACGGGCCCTGCACTCCATCTTTTTATCAGCATGAGCTCGCTGACCTTTCACAAAACCCCTCTGAGGAAGGTCCTGTGCTCCCTGAGCTCAGTGAGACCCTGCATCTGGGGTGGCTGAGCCAGACCTGAATCCACATGCTTCACCACTGCCACTGGGCCTCCCGCTTGTTTACAACTTGGCCGTGTCTACACATCACCAGCTTTGCATTTTATTTTTTAATTAATTTTTTTTTTTTTTTCTGAGACAGGGTCTCGTTCTGTTACTCAGGCTGGAGAGCAGTGGCATGATCCCAGCTCACTGCAACCTCTGCCTTCCAGGCTCAAGCCATCCTCCTGCCATAACCTCATGATTAGCTGGAGCTGCAGGTATGTGCCACCATGCCTGCCTAATTAAATTTTTTTTTTTTTTTTTTTTTTAGAGATGGGGGTCTCACTATGTTGCCCAGGCTGGTCTCGAACTTCTGGCCTCAAGCGATACTCCTGCCTTGGCCTTCCAAATTGTTGAGATTACAGGCATGAGCCACCGCGCCGGGCCCAGCTTTGCATTTTATGGAACAATCGAGGGTTGCAATGAGGAGCTGTGTTGCTTCAGCCTGGAGTAGGGTCCTTCCCAGGAGGCACTGCAGTAACAAAACGAGGCACCTGCTCAGCTGGGCTGGGCCCCTCAGGCGGGGTCCTTCTTCCGAGCCGAGATTGGGGTGTCTGCGCATCTCAGGGGTCCTTCTTCCGAGCCGAGGTTAGGGTGGCTCTGTGTCTCACAGCAGCCATAGCAAAGTGCCATACATCTGGAGGCTTAGAACAAGAGGAATTTATTGTCTCACAGTTCTGGGGACCTGAAGTCCAGAGCGGAGCTGTCAGTGGGGCCGGTTCCTGGTTGTTACGGCCCCTTTAACAATGTGGGCACCTCTTAGGTTGTTCCCTGCCCAGCTTGGGAGTGGTGGCTTTGGTGAGACGCAGCGGCTGCAGCTGTGATCTGGCCCCGCATGCACAGAGATACCCCTGTCCTCTCCTTCCTCTCTGCTGCCTCCTCCATCCCTTCCTCTGTCTGGAGCTTTTCAGGCACGAATGCATCAACCAGACAAGCAAGGGTCAGAGAGAGGAACGTGTAAAAGCAAAGAAGGAGAAGCTGGCCCTCCCTGCCTACCTGCCCGAGAGAGAAGGTGCCGCTCTGTGGTTTTGCGGTGCGGGGAGGGGGTGTGAGAACACCAACCCGGTGTGGGGCTCAGTGAGGAAGGATGTGCCAGGAAGAGCAGGTAAACTCTCACCACTGTTTCAAGAGCCCCCAAATCCAGCTCCAGGAGGACCCCCTGTGTTGCCCTGTAAAATGTTGAACTGACCTCCTCTGAGAATCCACCCACTCAGCACATAATTATGGAGGCCCACCTGGTGCCAGGCCCATGGGCCCCAGCAGTGACCACAGCAGCCCCCAGCCTTGTGCCTGTGGACCTCCGATCCTCAGCCAACAACCCCCATGGCATGGATTCATGTCCCGTGGTTGCAGAAACGGGGCTTACAATAACACGAATCAATTCTTTCACAGTTCAGAAAGCCAGAAGTCACATTTCAAGGTGCCACATGCCCTCTGAAACCTGTGGGGAAAATCTGATCTGTGCCCTTTTCTCGGCTTCTTGTATGGCCGGCAGTCCTTGGCGTTCCTCGGATGGTGGCTTCGTCACTCCAGTCCTGGCTCTGTCTCCATGTGGCCTCTCCCCCCGTGTCTGTGTCCTCTCTTCTTACAAAGACAGCAGTCGTTGGATGAGGGCCCACCCCCCTCCAGTATGATCTTGTCTTCATTTCATCACATCTGCAAAGACCCTCTTCCAAATAAGGTCACGTCACAGGTACCAGCGGTTTAGGGCTTGGGTATGTCTTTGGGGACATGATTAAGCCCACCAATGGAGAAAATAAAGCAGGGAGAGGCAGTGCCAGGGTTGAAGGGGGAGCGTGATTTTGGAATCAGGGCTGCTCCAAGCATTGGCACGGTGTGTCTGAGGCACCAACATCCCCATGCCCGTGGCCTTACGGTCCAGGACAAGAGTGACCCACCTGCTTGTGACCCAGTGAGTACTGCTGCCCATCCCCACCCCCTTTTCATTTTATTCTTTCCCTTTGAAGCTGAGATGAAAGCCCCCGAGGGTGTCATTTGGTCACCAAGACCCCCTCTCCGCCTCCCACTTTCTTGCCCCTTCTTTGCGGCCCGACACTTGCCTGGCTTTGCAGGGCAGGGCTCTTTTCAGCCTGGGCTTCAGGTGAGAAGTTGACACATTCCCACTAAAGCTGCCTCATAAAAGCTGGAACTATATTGAGCAAAGGATTCCATCTCCTGTCCTCCGCCAGCGGCAGTGTGTACCCGGCTTTCATTCCTGGCCAAGTACTCCAGGGAGGTAGCACTGCAAACCATGTTTCTGAATAAATGTTTGCACCGTATAATTTTCCTTTGGTGTAAAGCATTCCGTGCATGCAGCAAGAAAGGTAGAAATAAAGCCAGTCTGGCTGCACAAAGACAGTGAATCTACGAGACTGAGGAAGGAGGAAAGAGGA
Organism: Homo sapiens; assembly: GCF_000001405.40. Classification (NCBI taxonomy): domain Eukaryota; kingdom Metazoa; phylum Chordata; class Mammalia; order Primates; family Hominidae; genus Homo; species Homo sapiens. Next base: position 87,254,127 of record NC_000016.10, on the reverse strand, counting down.
CGGACACTGAAGGAGGGAGGTTCACTGTGGCTGCTTTGGATGCCCATTGGGGTTCCTTGTCCTTGCTGTGGAGCGGTGAAACAGGGCACCCCAGGATGTATTTCCGGAGGGTGGAGAGAGGGACACATTTGTCCAGTTTCCCCTGTGCCTATTTGTTACAAATGTTTCAGATAATTTTTTCACTTGTTAATGCTCCTTTTGTTTGAGATCATGAACTAGCTCACAGATTTTTTCTTTTTTTTTCTTGTGTCAATAGACTGTTTACTGCAATTTTTCGAAAAGTGAAGCCCTTAGTAGAGTTCCCATGCACCGCCTCCCCCTCAGCCTCCCGTACTGTTACCATCTTGCCTTAGTGTGGTACACGTCTGACAGGTGATGAGCCAGCATTGACACATTGTTATTGAATGAAGTGCACAGTTTACACGAGGCTTCCCTTTGTGTTGAACATGCTGTGGGTTTGGACGCATGCATCCTGACAAGTCTCCAGCATTGTAGTATCCACAGAGGAGTTTCACGGCTCTAAACATCCTCTGTGCTCTGCCTATTCATCCCTCCCCCTGTTCCCTTTCACCCTGCCAACCCTGATCTTTTTACTGTCTCCATAGTTTTGCCTTTTCCAGAATGTCCTAGAGCTGGGAATCATATAGCGTGCGGCCTTTTCAGGCTGGCTTCTTTCTTTCTTTCGTTTTGTTTGTTTGTTTGTTTTTTGAGACGGAGTCTCACTCTGTTGCCCAGGCTGGAGTGCAGTGGTACAATCTTGGCTCACTGCAACCTCCGCCTTCCCAGGTTCAAGCAATTCTCCTGCTTCAGGCTCCTGAGTAGCTGGGATTACAGGTGCCCACCACCATGCCTGGCTAATTTTTGTATTTTTAGTAGAGATGGGCTTTCACTATGTTGGCTAGGCTGGTCTTGAATTCCTGACTTCAAGTGATCTGCCCCCCTCGGCCTCCCAAAGTATTGGGATTACAGGCATGAGCCACTGCACCTGGCCAGGCTGGCTTCTTTCTTATGCATTTTTATGCATTTAAGTTTCTTCCATGTCTCTTGAGAAAACATTTTATGGAAGTAAAACCTACATGCAGATATGTGCACCAATGATACTTGTCAGTGCACCAAATTTTCACAGCGTGAATCCACCCATGTAATCAGTCCCAGACTCAGTGGCAATCAGTGGCCAGCCCTGGGAAGGCCTCATGTGCACTCCCATCACCCCCATTTCTTCTCACTAGAGGTGTCCACTCTGGTGGTCACCACGGTTTTTCCTGTTTGTTCATCTTTCTGTGTCTGGCTTCTTTCACTCAGCGTTGTATCTGTGAGATTCATTGGTGCCATTGGGCATGGTCGTAGGTGGCTCCTTTTCACTGCTGTCTACTACTCCATGGCAAGCCTCTCCCTTGACTTTTTATCCATTCTATTGCTGATGGGCATTTGAATAGTGTCTAGTTCAGAGCTATTATAAATCGCGTTAGACCTGACTACGGGGGAGTGCAGGCATACAACTACTTTCGACCCACCAACATGGCAATTCCACATGACTCATCTAATACGTGTTTTTTGGTGAGCACATGCCCACATTTCTGTTGGGTGAGAGCAGGTTTCGACGACATCATTTTGCAGTGAGGATGTGGCGAGGGGCTGGCTGCCACCATGCAGGCACTCTTATCTGTGCATCTATGAATGATACATAATTTGGCATCTCTTGAACTATGAGGCAGACTAAGGGCGGGCTTTGGCTTAAAAATAGTTTTTCATTCTTTATGTCTATTGTCTTGGTTAATCTTTGAGTGTTATGAGGTATGTGAGTGGGACTTCAATGCCTGTCTTGATCAAGGAGGTTCTGGGGAACCCCAGATGTTTGCCCCCATACCCCTCCCCTTGTCCTCAGCTTATGTTTGGCTGTGGCTGGGTGCAGTGGCTCATGCCTGTAATCCCAGCACTTTGGGAGGCTGAGGTGGGCAAATCACTTGAGGTCAGGAGTTTGAGACCAGTCTGTCCAACATGATGAAACCCTGTCTCTACTAAAAATACAAAAATTAGCCAGGCGTGATGGCTCACGCCTATAATCCCAGCACTTTGGGAGGCTGAGGTGGGCAGATGACTTGGGGTCAGGAGTTTGAGACCAGCCTGGCTAACATGGTGAAACCCTGTCTCTACCAAAAATACACAAATTAGCTGGCTGTGGTGGTGCACACTTGTAGTCCCAGCTACTTGGGAGGCTGAGGTGGGAGAACTGCTTGAACCTGGGAGGTGGAGGCTGTAGTGAGCTGAGATTGCACCACTGCACTCCAGCCTGGGTGACAGAGTGAGACCCTGTCTCAAAAAAAAAAAAAAAAAAGAAAGAAAGAATATTGGGGGGCCCTGCTCCTCACCTGGTTATTTCATGGTCCAGCTTTGAGAGTTCTGTCACTTGATTTTCAATTTGATGAAGAAGCCATCAGGATGTGGAAGCTCTGGATTCCCCTTCACACCCAGAACCATTCTCTCTAACGACCCAGCTGGAGACATTGCTGCCTCCCACAAAGAGATGAGAAAGGGTGTCTTGGCAATAACATGTAACTGCTGTTGATTGAGCACCTGCCTGGAATGTGCTGTATCCATACCTGGATATGAGCACGTATTCTAGGCACCATGCTGAGGATGGTTGAGCCAGGTGGTTGGACTCTGCAGCCCACGTGCTTAGCTGTACCTTTCACAGGTTCTCAAAGCTTATGAAAGGGCAGCTGGGACTTTCTCAGATGACATTCTAGCTTCTCATTGGTCAGTTTCTCATAATGGTGGTTGCATTTTCTAATTCTTCTGAAGACCTTAAAATTGTTCTTAGCATTTGCTCCCCTATTCTGAAGATGCAGCCTCTTGGAAGTTAGAGGGAAGGTGCAGGCATCCCACATGGCCTTCGGGTGGATCAGATTTTTTTTTTTCACCTCTTTTAGGTTCAGTGTTGGGTGTGATTCCCAAAGACTGCTGTGTACCTTGAGGGGCTTCCCTCAGGGTCTTCCTGTTGGCGGGTTCCTGCCCCTCTCAGCTCCTGGAGTCAGCGGTGTGTAGGGGACCTCCATCTATTTCACTCTGCACTTGGCTGAGCCCTTTCAGCCCCGTTATCTCAGTCGATTGAATCTTTTCTGCGGAAGTCCATGCAGCTGCAATGATCCCTCCAGCCTCTTGCCCAAGTTCACTGCTGGCCTTGGCACTTCTGTGTGTTCACACACTCCTAGTGTTCTTCATCCTTTCACGTGAACTAATTGTGTTTGGCTGAAGGAAGATAAACACATCCAAGAACCTCAAGGATTTAAAATTGGCCAGATTATTAAGGGCTCAATCTCATAATATTTTTGGCATAAGTATACACTTAAAATTAATTTTGGTTGAATATCCCACTGGTAAAATCTGGACTTATCCATTGCATTAAATATAATCTAACTGGATATGTTAAGTATCCTTTAAGTGAGTATTTAGTGAAATGTGCTGATAGCATGCTGGCAGGGGTGGGAATACAGAGATGAACTACAGCTGGGTCTTGCGGTCAAGTTGCTCACAGACTGATGAGTATATTCCATCCATGGGGTGCTCACTATATGCAAATCCCCATGCTGAGACCCTACCTGTGTTAGTGCCAAGCTCAGTCCCATTATTTTCTAATTTTATAGGTGTTGAAGAAAGTGAGCCTTTTTGTGTTGGCATTGATGGTAAAAACCATTTCTTCCACATCATTTTCTGCCAACAATTGCTTTTTCTTTCTTTTGGGCTATGTTGTTAGGATAGATCTCTCCAAATGGAGTTATATGGCCATGGCAACATCTTTTTTTTTAAATATTTACAATTGTTTTGCAAATGTCATAAATATTTAAAAAAAACTTTTTAAAAACTTTTAGGTTTAGGGTACATGTGTAGCTTCATTATATAGGCAAGTTGCATGTCATGCGCGTTTGCTGTAAAGATTATTTCACCACCCAGGTAATAAGCATAATATCTGAGAGGTAGTTTTTCGATCCTCTCCCTCCTCTCACCCTCTACCCTCACATAGGCCCCAGTATCTATTGATCCCTTCTTTTTGTCCATACATACTCAATATTTATCTCCTACTTATAAGTGAGAACATGTGGTATTTGATTTTCTGTTCCTGTGTTAGTTTGCTTAGGATAATGGCCTCCAGCTCCATCCATGTTGCTGCAAAGGACATGATCTTGTTCTTTATTATGGCTGCACAGTATTCCATGGTGTGTATATACCACATTTTCTTTATCCAGTCTACTGCTGATGGACACTTAGATTGATTCTGTGACTTTGCTATTGTGAATAATGCTGTGATGAACACACGTGTGCATACGTCCTTCCTGTAGAATGATTTATATTCCTTTGGGTATATACCCCATTATGGGATTGCTGGGTTGGATGGTAGTTCTGCCTTAAGTTCTTTGAGAAATTGCTGCACTTCTTTCCACAGTGGCGGAACTATACGGCCCCACCAGCAGTGTGTGAGCATTCCCTTTTCTCCCAACCTCAAGAGATCCACCCACCTCGGCCTCCCAGAGTGCTGGGATTACAGGCGTGAGCCACCATGCCCGGCCGACAGGTTCCTGTTTAACAGAGTTGCTGGTCCACCCTGGCCAGCTGAACTAGAAGGTCACTAATTTGTCTGTAGTGACTCGGCTTGTGTTGCTCACAAAGCCTCGGCTCCCCTTTTCTCAGGGACAGTTTCTGGCATGTTGTCTAAACCTTCCTGGTGTCTCTCTTGAGTTTTGGCTTGCCATTGCTCATCTGTGGAGTTACCAGTGGGATGGTGGGTGACTGTCGTAAATGATGTATTCATTTACTGAAATTTGATTGTGTCTGCCGGGTGCTCGGTTCAGTGGTGGGGCAGGCAATGCAGGGGTGAGTGCAGTCAACGTGGCTCCTTACTCCGAGTGCCCAATCTCGTGGATGAATCTCAGCAAAGCCTCAGTTGCTCCATTTGCAGAAAGGGCATGGGGTTATTTCCTCGCCTCTCTCCCAAACAAAACCTCTGAAAACACACTGGAAGCCCAAACATTTCAGCCTCCTCATTACCAAAATAATTTTAGGTGTGTTACCAGTTACAAATAGTGCAACCCAAATTAAGTGGCAAGAAATGTATTGGAATAGATGAAATTGTGGGAGGGATTTTGTTTTTCACTTTTACTTTTGAAATGACTATAGCTTCATAGGAAATTACAAAAATAGTACGAAGGATCTCCCGAGCCCTCCCTGCAGCTCTCCCCAGTGGGGGTGTCTTATGTAACTGCTGCAAAATAGCAGCCCCAGGAAATTGACATTGGGACAATACTAGACTCCAGACCTTGTTCAGATTCCACTGGTTTTTACACGCATATGTGTGTGTGTGTGTGTGTGTGTGTGTGTTGCTGTGCTCTTGGTCTCTTGTATAGATCTGTGTAACCACTACCACCATCAGGATACAGGATAATTTAATCACCAGAAAGGAGCTTGCTGGGGCTACACAGGGGAGATTAAAAAAACTGACAAATAGGCTGGGCACGGTGGCTCACGCCTGTAATCCCAGCACTTTGGGAGGCTGAGGCAGGCGGATCACAAGGTCAGGTGTTTGAGACCAGCCTGGCCAACATAGTGAAACCCTGTCTCTATTAAAAATACAAAAAATTAGCCGGACGTGGTGGTGGGCACCTTTAATCCCAGCTACGCGGGAGGCTGAGGCAGGAGAATGGCTTGAACCTGGGAGGCGGAGGTGGCAGTGAGCCAAGATCACGCCATTGCACTCCAGCCCGGGCGACAGTGCGAGACTCTGTCTCAAAAAACAAACAAACAAAAAAACCCCAAAAAACAAAAAAACCGACAAATACAATTTACATATATTTATGGTGGAAAACATGTTTTGAAATTTGTGTACATGGCGAAATGGCTAAATCAAGCTAAGTAACATATATTACCTCACATACTCATTTTTTTTTTTTTTTGGTGAGAACACAATCTACTCTTGTAGCAATTTTCATGTATATGATACATTGTTGTTAACTATAGTTACCATGTTACTTACAATAGCTCTCTTGAACTTATTCTTTCTCTCTTTTTTTTTTTTCTTTTTGAGACAGAGTCTCACTCTGTCGCCCAGGCTGGAGTGCAGTGGCGCGATCTCGGCTCACTGCAAGCTCCACCTCCCAGGTTCACGCCATTCTTCTGCCTCAGCCTCCCGAGTAGCTGGGACTACAGGCGCCTGCCACCATGCCGGGCTAATTTTTTGTATTTTTAGTAGAGATGGGGTTTCACCGTGGTCTCGATCTCCTGACTTTGTGATCTGCCTGCCTCGGCCTCCCAAAGTGCTGGGATTACAGGCGTGAGCCACCGCGCCCGACCTTGAACTTATTCTTTCTATGTAACTGAAATTTTGTATCTTTGACCAAGATTTTCCCAATCTCTTTCCCCCAACCCCAGCCCCTGGTAACCACCATTCCACTCTGTACTTCTATGAGTTCAACTTTTTCAGATTCCACAGATAAGCGAGATCATGCAGAACTTGTCTTTCTATGCAATATTATGTTTATATTTTACTTAACGTAATGACCTCCAGGTTTATTGATGTTGTTGCAAATGATAGCCTGAATAGTATTCTATTGTGTATATACAACCCTACTTTTTCTTTGTCTATCCATCCATGATGAGCACTTAGGTTGATCCTGTATCTTGGCTATTATGAATAGTGTTGCAATAGACATGAGATTGCGGATGTCTCTTCAACATGCCAATTTCATTTCTTTTGGATGTATTCCCTGTGGTAGGATTCCTGGATCATATGATGGTTCTATTTTTAATTGTTTGAGGAATGTCCACACTGTTTTCCGTAGTGGCTATACTAATTTACATTCCCACCAACAGTGTATGAGGGTTCTAAGGGGGGGAGAATTTTGAATGTTAAAAAACGTTACGTGATTAGAAAATGTTTATTATCAGAGAAAGACATCTGATACATGACCTCTGCCAGTCAGAAATGGGGGTGATCTCTTTTTAGTTGTCTGCCAATTGTTGTTGCTTCCTTACTTTAATAACTGTCGTGCTTTTCTTCTAGGGACTTTCTTTAGAAACCTCTTCTCCATGGCTCCTTTCATTTTATTTTCCTAAAATGTCTACTTGCATGTTGACTTGTATATCCATCCCACCTTTCCTGGGCTTGTTTTCAGCAGGTTAGGGCTGAGGGCTTTGTTTCCTCATATCCTCCATGACGGCTAGGACTCTTGGTTGTTCAATAAATGCTTCAGTGAGTCTGTTCCTATGAGGACAATGGGCCCACTGTTGGAGGGTGGAGCGAGCAGGGCTCTGAAGTCAAAACTGCTGGGTTCAATCCCCGTTTCACCTGGTCATGGATGGGAGAGCAATTTGCTCAGCTTTCCTGCACCTTGCCTCATCCTTCTGAAAATGGAGGGAACGTACTTCCTGGTACCCAGCCCTGGGAGGGTGCTCAGAAAAGACTAAGCGGCTTCCTTTGTGTCCAGGGCAGAAGGATCTAGGGCTGCTTGAGGCATGGTTCCCCCAAATCCAGGGGTGCCACCCTCACTGTGTGTTCCTCACAGACTTGGAAGATAGAGAGAAGGACTGTGGGAAACTGGACAGAGCCGATGAGACCATTCCAAAGCAGAGGGGGCCCCGGCTGCGTGATGCACAGATAAGCATTGAGTATCTCAACCTACGGAAATTCTGTGGATGTCTTGCTGTTTGTCTCCTGTCTGCACGATCGATTGTGTCAACAAACAGTGGGCAATTAGCTGCCCTGATTTTCGGAACCGAGCCACCGGGGAGCTGGTTGAACAGTCTCCCACTGCTTTGATTAAAGAGGTGCAGTTGCTGAGCCTTTAGGCCTTATTTCTGAAAAATGGATATGAAAGCCGTGGTTGGAGCTGCTTTTCCTCTTGGGATTTTCACATAAAATCAGAGACTAATCCCTCATCTAATACCAATTTGGTAAGGGCTGGGTTAGAACATAGTCAACTCCACTGATGAACATCGGTTAAGATTTCTTTATAGAAAGCTATACTATTTTCAGAAGCATTTCAGACAAACATCCTAAGAAGACTTAGCAGGCTCAAGATGTTTACCTTGGACCTGAATCTTATTTCTAATTAACCGAGTCTTCAACAGTCCATCAGAGAATGCAGTTACCTGCCAAATTTCACACCTAAGGGGAAAAAATATTCCCAATAAAATTTTCCTTAAAAAAAAAAAATCCACTCACTTTTACCACTAAGACGTTCTCGGCATATTTAAATCAATCATTTTCCACGAACACACAGAAAACTAATGTTCTGGATCCCAAGCCTGTCTTTGTGGGTCGCAGGTTTCCGGGAAGCCATTTTATTTGACGCTAAGTTTTCAGCAGACACTAAGGCAGGATTCAGCAGAGACCCAGGGGTGTGGAGCGTGCGAATGCAGCCCGTCCAAGCTTTCCCAGCTGTGAACGGACATTCCTCTGATACCGCATATTTCGTGGGGGAAAGTTTAAATGATCACATTGTTTTAATTCACCTTACAGAAACAACCGCTAATGGAAAGCCAAGCTTTCCTTTCTCTGTGTTAAAAAAGAAATTGGTTTCATTGAGGGGCTGGGGGTTTCTCTCTCCAGTCCACATCAAGCAGAGTTTAGAGTTTATGTGGAGACATTCGGTTGGGCACGGTGTTTTTTTTTCCTCAGACGTAAGCTTCCTGGGGTTGACCTGTGAGCTCCCTGGGGGTCCCACAATTCTCTGTTTTGTTTACTGCTCTCCACCTCCGTGGTGCTGGGTAGACTCTTGTTGAGCATTTATCCAATAAAAAATGTTAACTGAAGGTGTCACAGCTTGTTTTAGCAACAATTTCCTATAGTTTAGTTATAAAGATTTTACACACACACACACACACACACACGCACATACGGAGAGAGAGAGAGAGAGAAAGCACAAGTTTGGGTATTGTCATGGACCAGCCAGTAGAAGCAGTCTTTTTCCTTTTACCTTTTAGGTTGGCCTGAAAAAACAAAAACAAAACTACTCATGTCAGTGATTTAAATTCCTGAGTCTCTCACATGGTTTGGTGGAATCAGGCACGTTGAAGAAGGAGGGCATGATACTCGAGAAAGAACCCTCAGCTTCGCAGCTTCCAAGCTGTGTGGCCGTTGAGAAGTTGCTTGCCCTCTCTGGGGCTTAGGCTCCTCATCTGAGAAATGGTGGAGCTGGAGTTGGTGCTCAGGGGTTTTCCAGTGCTGACATCCTGAGCGCAGAGGGATAAAGTGTACACAGGCTCAAGGTTAAGAATTAGAGATGTGCTTTGCTGCCTTTGTGTGGTGGTTAACCACCAGAGTAAGACAGGAGGTTTACGATGACAACTTTGTGATTTTCTAAAGGACTGGCCATTAACGAACATATTGGATTTCTTTTGCCAGCTTTTTTATGTGTGTGTGCATGGGGGAGTTCTTTTTGTAATTACTTTTGAGTTTTCCTTGCATTTGGCTATCTAGAATTGAGGGATTTTGTCACTTATTTTGGTTTGAGATCTGAGATAACAAGTATTTATTTTTCATATTTATTCTTTATCCATTTTCAGAAAAAAATGAAAATGTTTTACTTAAAAATACAAGGCATAAAAAGCATTAACCCAGAATAAAAGGCAAGTGAGAAGAGAGTAAAGTGGCAAAGACAGAAACTACATTAAAACATCTAGACTGAGGAGGCTGGGTGCGGTGGCTCATGCCTGTAATCCCAGCACTTTGGGAGGCTGAGGCGGGTGGATCATGAGGTCAGGAGTTTGAGACCAGCCTGGCTAACATGGTGAAACCCTGTCTCTACTAAAAATACAAAAATTAGCCCAGCGTGGTGGCGTGCATCTGTAATCCCAGCTACTTCGGAGGCTGAGGCAGGAGAATTGCTTGAACCTGGGAGGTGGAGGTTGCAGTGAGCTGAGATCGCGCCATTGCACTCCAGCCTGGGTGACAAGAGCAAGACTCTGTCACAAAAACAAAAAAAAAAACAACAACAAAACAAAACAAAACAAAACAAACTGAGGAAAGCTATAGCAATTAAAGACAAAATTTAGCTTTGCGCTTCCTAGCAGCCAAAGCAAAGAGTAAAAGTAGGAAAATGTTGCTCTTGACATTAAATGCAGGGAAGCAAAAATCCAGAAGAGGGTGATAGTCTTGGGTTGCTTCACCAATTGAGAGCCCTCAATAGTTCCTGGAACCTTCTCGCTCCCAGTGTGAAAGGAATATTTTTGTGGCAGTTCAGAATCTTTTGCTAAAGTTCAAATGCAAGAGGCTGAAAGTTGTTGACCTAGGTAGTCATTTCTTGACCTAGGTAGTCATTTCTTGACCTAGGTAGTCAAGAAACGTTAAAATTTGCTGCCAAAAGTGTAGATGATGTTTGTTCCAGGAATTAAGAGTTGATAAAAACAAGCTTTACTAAGAGAGGGCTCAGGAGACGGGGAAGCAAAAAAACTCTGTGGGCAAAGAGGCCTTGATTTGAGTGGCAGCTCTGCGGATCATCTTTGTGTCGTAGGGTCAGCCCTGCAGCCGCTGTGAGCCTCAGCTTCTTCATATGCAAAATAAGAAAGTTCAACCACGCTCCTTTGAGATCTCAAATAGGACGATTCTATGCATGGGTCTATAATGAGCATCAGAAGGGAGCTTTTTGTTGTTGTTGTTCTCTGCAAACAGACTTGCTGAGGACACAACCCCCATATAGCAGCGACCGCCTTCAGACCTTTGTGTCCTGCTCCCTAGAAAGTAAAATGGCCTACTTTTTATACCTCTTGAAAGAAAAGTGATCTTTTCTCATCATGTGGAATTTCCCAACTGAATCACATTTCTGTGATCCGAGGTGCACACACTTGGCTGCAGGTGAAATAACCCCATGTATTCTCAGGCCCCAACACAGCGATCCCAAGCCTGGAAGCTTGCAAAGATACTTCTCCAAGAAACTGTCCCTGGGCAGAAACGTTGCCACTTTCATTGGGGGAAAAATGGTTTCAAATATTGGCTTTTGTTTTTATGGAAAATGGTGAAAAATTTGAGGGAAAACCACAAAATCCTTTGCTTTTATTGAAACCACAAAAATTGATTAAATTTTTATTCTAAAAAAACTGTTTTTTTGCTGAGCACTGAACTTTCTTCTTTGAAAGGCTCTACTTTCCTTTCCTTTTTTTTTTTTTTTTTTTTTTGGAAATATCTCCTGAGAGCCTAATGAAAGGTCTTTCTGTTAGCTTGGCTGAGCCGAGCCCAGGCGTTCCGAAGCTCAAAACAGAAGTGTAGTTTTTGTGCCCAAACACAGCCTTGTGGGGATGTCTTCATGCACAGACCTCCAGACGCTGCTGAACTCTTCCCAAGCCCCCAGTGGGGCAGGAGCCTGTGAGGCTGTGAGCATTGCCTGGACAGCACCTGGGGCACTCACTATTGATGGCAACCTCAACCAAATCGGCTGGTTTGTCTTGTTGGGCATTGCCGCTGCCTCCTGAATAAATGGAAAACCATGTGCACAGTTTCTGCCTTCGCTAGCGAGGGCCTCGCAAGCTGACTTCATGAATTAATTGGTCCCCTGCCTGGTGGCTGGCTCGGACTGTCCCTGGGCAGGAGACAAGCTGTCTGTCCAGGGTGAAATCTGTCTTTCACTGCGTCCACAGTGGACACATCGCTAGCTCAGCCAGGGCACTGCTATATTCACAAGACATTTAATCTTTCTTAATAAAGGAAGCTGGAAGTTCTTCTGTGCCACGGGAGAGGGAGTTGGTTTCTGGCCACCAGAACAGATTTGGTCTTAAGGCAAGTTGGGAGGTGCAGGAACCAGAGGCCTCTTGGGTATCTTTGTGGAGTGTGGGGGGTCTAAATCAGCTCAGAGGCAGTCATTCAGACCTGGTGTGCAGAAGGGCCTGTTCGTGACCCAGAGGTCTCCATCTGTGTAGTGTTCCATCTACCCTGTCTCTATTTACTGATGTGTACTTTACCAAAGGGACCTTCCATTCCCGGCGCCAGACCCTTGGGCATTTGTTCCAATTGCTCACCGTCTCCTCCTGGCAGGTTCATTTGTCCTTCTGGGTTGTGGCTTCCCCTTCTGTGAAATGGGGATCATGAGAGCCCCTGCCACGTAGATTTATTGTGAGAGGTGAATGGAGCCATGGCCGGCATGTAGTAAGTATTATGTGCTATTATTTTAATGTTCTAGAAATCATTATTCCTACCCTTCCTGTTGAATCCAAGTTTTATTTTATTTTACAACTGAAAAGACAGCAAAGCAATAAAATTCAAGACAGATTTGAAGAAATAATTATCAATAATCTCCTACTATCCTGGTGCAACAATCAGATTGAACTTTTGCATTTTGCCTTAATACCGTTACTACCAATCAAGATCACCATAGTGTTGGAGTAAGTGCCATCGAGTGAGAGCTCCAGGTAAGCCTGGTAGCACGCAGCCCACTCACTGGCCCCGATGCTGGGAGATGTTCACTCCCTTTCCAGATGAGAGACCAAAGGTTTGGAAAGTTGAGCCAACCCAATGTCAACAGGCAGAGGTTGCAAGAATGTGATCCCTGATTTCAAGCTCTCCTTGTTTAACCACAATGCTACACAACTTCTGTTCCTCGTATAAGAGTTTTAAACGAATTGGGTTGCATTGTTTACAAGAAAAATCAGGGAGTTTGAGTCTGAAGCATTATTCTGATGTCTTCAAAGGAGGTGCAGAGCTGGAGAAGATTCAGTCCCTTGTCCCTCTAGGAAAATCTTTCAATCTCACGGAGGTCCAGCGGGAACAGAGCCAAGAGCACACCAGCTCTGGTGGATGTCTGTCCCCCGGCCAGCCCTGCGCGCACTGGCCCCCGACGCCATATCCAGAGCCCATGTCCAAAGTCCAGGAAAACGCCCCAGACTGCTTCCCTCCTTTTCCTTCTCGAGGTCACAAACACTGAAATGATCCACGGATACTGGATCTTTCCACAAAAGCTCACCCCTTCCCCATTCTGTCCTGGATTATTATTTTTCAAAACACAGCCTGCCCATTTGTCCGGGTAAGAAGAGTGCCTTTACAGGCAAAAACTACTCTCCTGTTGGCTGACCTGTCATTTCATTCACTTTTGAATTTAATGTAAATATTGCACGATCACGGGCTTGGGCGCAGTTCAGAGCAAATCTCTCTTTTGCTTCCTTATCTGATTATCTTTCAAGAAAACACGTCATTGTTCAGATTCAAGAATAACAAGTTTCCCCACAGCCAGCTCCTCACCTCTTCATTTTTGTCTGTCCTGCTTAGAATCCTATAATTACAGAAACATGTCTGTCAGCGATTTGTGCATCTGATAATCAGATTTTCTCTCGTTCCCAGCTCTTCCTCCATCCTCACCCCACCCCAGCCCATTCTGCCACATCTGGAGCAGTCCCCTGCCACTCCATGCCCAACTGACTCCTCAACTGTTTCCAGATCACATCTGTCTTTCCCGGTACCGGCTTCCTGACACGCTGGATCATAAATGAGTCAGACCCTAAATTCTGGTCATCTTGAATTCCTCTCTCGATAGACGATAACTGTGGAACAGAGCTATTGCCTCATTTCTTCTGGTCTGGTTTGGCCATGCTAAACTATACAGCTTTCAAAAGGTAAAATCAAGGCTCTTATGCAAGTATCAAATGGACACATTTAAGAGATTTTACATACATCATTTATAAGTGATTGACACATGAAAGCTGACTCAAAGGATGTGAAGCACAGGCATGAGGAAATCAGGAAGAACCAAAATGAATTCCTGAATAGGCACACACCTAGTTTATGCCTCTAGGGCTGAAGATGTAATGCTTGGAACCAAGTTTTCTACAGGGTGAATTAATTGTATCTCCATAGGGCAGACGTAATTTGGATTCCTAGGGGTGAGACTCATGCGTGTTACTCTCTGTGTTCTATAATGTCCAGAGTGGCTGACCAGCCTGCTCCAGCAGCGCACAGCTCTGCAGAACCAGATGACCCCGCAGGGCTTGCTAGACAATTCTCAGCATTCCAATTCATATCACTGGAATCAATAAAATTAACTGATTGAAATATCCACCGATACTTGATTCGATATCATTGGAATAAATAAAATTAATTGATTGAAGAATCCTTTGATACTTGATCGAATATTATCCGAATCAACAAAATTAATAAAATTAATTGATATTAATTGAGAAATCATTCCAATTGATATCCAATAACCTTTTTTTTGCCCACTTCAAACTGTTTTATAATTTTTCTTCACAGTCATTTTCTGTTTAAATCTATTCTGAGTATTCAGTTGAAAGAACCGCAGTTTCCAAACCTCATTTTAGGAGAAGCTTAGGAGAACACAGGCAGGCAAGGGGGGTGGGAGGGAAGTCACTCGTTCCAGGTAAAAAATGACACTTTTGCTCAGGAATTTGCTGGCTCAAAACCTTCCATTGTCCCCTCCTCCTTGCATGATAATTTCAGATTCTTCGCATGGCATTTAAGCTTCTCCACAACCTGGACGTGATATGTGTTTGATCCTCAAATACATTTGTTAAAATAATACTGGCAATGGCAAAACTTAAAGATTATGAAACCACATGAAATGAAGAGTAAAAGGCTCCCTCACTTCTGAAATCTCAGCCTGGACACAAGAAAAAAGAATAACTGGTTAATAATCATTTATTCTTGACTGAGGGTTGACTTGAAGTTTATCTGAAAATCAACTTAATGCATTTCATACAAACACCCATTTCTTCCCAGAAGGAAGTTGTGAATGACATCAGTTCTTTCCCAGGCCAGGTTTGGGGCAATTTTCCATTGTTCTCTCTAGAAAATTTCTGATGTATAAAATCATATTTATGTTTACATCTGTACTTACATAGTTTAATACATAAATAATATCATTCTACTTGTACCATTTTTTTCAATACTTTTAAAAAATGTTAACAACGGATCCTGAGTATTGTTAGTTATAAAATATATTTAATATATCTTAGAGCTTTCTCTGTATCAGCACAGACAAAGCTACTCATTCTGGAATACAGAATATTCCACTGTTTAGAGGTTCTTTAATTTATTTATTCCTCACAAATTCTTCCAGCCTAATCTCCAACTATACGGTTTCTCCCATTGAAGCCAGATAAATTCATCGGCTTTCCTTAAAAACACCTCATCCAGGCCCGGCACTGTGCTCTTGCCTGCAATCCCAGCACTTTGGGAAGCCAAGGCAGGCGGATCACTTGAGGTCAGTAGTTTGAGACCAGGCTGGCCAACATGGTGAAACTTCATCTCTACTAAAAACACAAAATAATTAGCCAGGCATGGTGGTGTGTGCCTGTAATCCCAGGTACTTGGGAGGCTGAGGCAGGAGAATTGCTTGAACCTGGGAGGTGGAGGTTGCAGTTAGCAGAGATCACACCACTGCACTCTAGCCTGGGTGACAGAGCGAGACTTTGTCTCACAAAAACCAAAACCAAAACCAAAAAAAAAAAAACCCACCTTATCCATTCCTGTGAATCTATCTTTCCATCCAATATTATTCTGCCTAATAGTAACATTCAAGATGCAGGCTCTGTTACGAGCCCCAAGTTCCTGCGTTGAAGCCCTGACCCCAGTGCGATGGTATTAGGAGCTGGGGCCTTTGGGAGGCGATTAGGCTTAGATGAGATTATGAGGGCGGGGCCTTATAAGATACGCTAATCATGGGATTAGTTTCCTTATATCACAAGGACAAGACCAACACTTAATCTTTGTCTGTCTGGGGAGGTCACAGGGAGAAGGTAGCTTTCTGCAGGTCAGGCAGAAAGCCCTCATCAGGAGCCAAATCTGCTGGCACCTTGATCTTGGACTCTACAGTCTCCAGAACTATGAGAAATAATTCCTGTTGAAGTCACCCAAGCCATGGTATTTTGTTGTGGCAATTCAAGCTGACTACGACCAGCACCAGCCAAGTGGAACGGAATGACTGGCATGGGTGTGGCTCTGCTGGTGGAGACTGGAGTCCTGCCTCTGCCTGGCATACCCGCCCTACTCAGGTGTCTAAGTCGTCTGTCCCAGCCCAGCTGAATGTAGATTTTCCTTAGGAAGCCATCCGTGATGATATTTGTTAAAGTATAGTGTTACAATTAAAACCATGACTCCACACAATTAGAAAATAAAAACATGCCAGAGACTGATGGACTAACTCATTGGTCAGGGAGATGATGTGATGGCAGGACTGGAAACAGTAAGATGGCAAGGTGCATTCAGGAACAGGGGTTTATAGATTCCATCGGGAAAGGCTTTTGGATTACTGTGTGATAAGATTAGCTACAAAGCTAGTTAATGTTATATGGGGCAATAAACAATAACCTCTGGCCGGGCACGGTGGCTCACGCTTGTAATCCCAGCACTTTGGGAGGCTGAGGCAGGCAGATCACCTGAGGTCAGGAGTTCAAGACCAGCCTGGCCAACATGGTGAAACCCTGTCTCTACTAAAAATACAAAAATTAGCCGGGCGTGGTGGCGGGTGCCTGTAATCCCAGCTACACAGGAGGCCGAGGCAGGAGAATCACTTGAACCAGGGAGGCGGAGGTTGCAATGAGCAGAGATCGCACCACTGCATTCCAGCCTGGGTAACAAGAACAAGACTCCATCTCAAAACAAAAACAAAAACAAAAACAAAAAACAATAACCTCTGGGGTTGTTTTTTCTCCCAACCAGGTTCGTTTGCATCGCTACCCACACAAAACTCATGCTCATTTCTGTCAGTGTCTTTCAAGTTAGGTGCCTCCCTTCCAAGAAGAGGGGCTTCCCTCAAGGGAGGAATAACTGGACACCAGTGCCTCCACCTCTCCTGCCAAGAGACAGGCTTCTCAAACAGCCTTTGGAAGCCCCCCCACCCGCCCACTTCCTTCAGAGTGCTAGATCCAGAGTCCCAGCACCTGCCTGGCCAGCCCCTGGGGGTCCCTCCCCTGCCCGGGTGCAGCTGGAGGTGTGGGAGGGGCTGAGGCTCAGGTCTGTGGCTGCCCGGCTCTGAGGTTGGGGTCCTTCCCTGAGCAGAGGCAGAGTGAGCTCCATTGTGCCACCTGGGGAATTAGGGTTCCCCCAATACTTGTAGAAAATGTGAGTGTTCTGTAAGTGTTAAGCGGGAGGGTGGCAGGGGTACAGGGTGCCCCCAGGGGACCTGGGGGAGAGGCCCCATGGCCAGGGCAGGGTGAGCACAGCTGGGTCATTCAGGCTCCTCTGGAGCACAGCCACAAGTTTGGACTTGACTGGATGTTGAGCCAGAGCACCATGCACAGACCCACAGCCTGACCTAACTGGGCTGTGTTTTCGGGATGTGTGTGGGGGGGTCATAGGCTGATGTGGTTAAAATGGGGGCTCAGGAGGCTGGTTGTGAGTTCAGAACTAGCTGCACTGCCCCTGGCCACGTGGCTGTGCTGAGGCTCCTCCCCTCTGTACCTTTGCTTCTTTGTCACTGAGATGGGTAAAATGACAGCTCTGATGCCCGGGGTGAGGCCGGGCCAGTCCTTGCCAATGCGCAGTGTGGCAGTACCCGCCAAGTGTACCGTCATTGCCATTGTCTTCACGTGGTCTTCCTCTGAAGACTTAAGGATGCAGATCTCTCCCCAGGCAGAGGGAGGGGCGGCACAGGTTTACCTGGAGCTCGCCGGCCTCTGCGTATGGTCCCTGTGCCAAGTCAGGCCCCGTGTTTCCCTGTAGAGTGCAGGGGATGTTAGCATCCAGTAGGGGAGGTGGCTAAGCATGAGACATTTCTCTATGGCGCCAGCTGCCCAGACCAAAAATGGGAGAGCCAGAGGCAGGACCACAGGGCAAGGCAGGTCTCAGATCCTCTGGAATGGAGTTCCTGGGTGGAGAGCACTGAGCGTGGAGGCATGGGGAGTGAAGCTGAACTCGATGGACCCAGTTGGGCTCGCCTTCCAGGGGACCTGAAAACCGGCAGCTCCTGGAGGCCCCTGCATGCCTGAGTTGCTTCTCTTTTGCAGCCTCCCAGTGGCTGCCTGTGGTCGCTGCGGTAAGGGCTAACTTCCTTCCCGTGGTCTTCACAGCACTGCCAGCCCTCCGCCCCAACCCAGTCTCCCCGGCTGCCCCCATACCTGCCTTGCCCATCCAGGGGCTGCTGCCCACCGGCCTTCCCCACCCTGTATACTGCATGCTGTTGGCCAAGCAGGCCCAGCCTAGGGTCAAGGGCAGGGCCTTGGTCTGTGCTCTGTCCTCTGCCTGGAGGCTCTTTCTCCTTCACCTGCCTGGTTAATGTCTATGCAGTGTTTTGATTTTAACTCCCGGGTCATCCCACCCCCATCTGCACCACAAGTTCTTGGCGTCGGGCACCTTTCTCTCATGGGGCTTCCAGAGGCTGGGATTTCATCTGTGACTACTGCCTCTGTATCTGCCCCTCTCACTGGGATAGCAACATCCCAAGGGCAAAGGCCAGGCCTCCTTCCTTCCTCCTTCCAGGCCTCAGGTCCCCCTCTAGCACCCTGCCTGGCATGTTGTAGGTGCTCAGTGTATTCGTCGACTGACAGGATGAGCAGTGGCTCTAGGAGGAGAAAAGGAGCAGACAGTGACATTTTGTGTGACCCCCTTGGCCATTATTAGTCAGGCTGGGGATAGACATTTGACTCCAGGTTGGCCAACAAATTCTCTCACTTAGAAATTTGGGATTCAGAGACGCTGCTCTCTGGGGGTGACCTGAATGGTGGCACATCATTTGGGGGCCATGCAGCGTTCATATTCCACTATGTGTACTCACGACCCCAGAAAGAGGGTCTGGAGTGGGAGAGAGGCAGGAGATACACACCCAAGAACACGGGACACAGAGGTGAGTGGTCAAGCAGAGGGTGGCAGACAGACAGACAGACAGACCGTGCCTGCCTCACTTCCTGAAGGCCTCTGTCTGCCTGAGGGTCTCGTGAGCTTTCTGGGTCCCCTTACAGCAAAGCCTTCTCCTTGGCCCAAGCCAATTCAAGTCCAAATCTGTCCTCTACAAGTCCGCATCTGTCCCCTGCAACCCTAGGGTACTTTTCCAAGACCCCTGTGCTCCCTCAAGCCAGCTGCTCAGGGAGCAGGCCAGAAGGAGGCCAGAAACCCAGACAGCCTCACGTGTAGCACGAGCTGTCTTCAGCCCCGGTGTGAAACCCTCCCCGCTCCCATGCTCCTAGGCAGCTGGGAGCGAAAGGGGCTCCATTCACCCTGAGCTCCAGAAAAGGATTTGCAGAACTTCATAAAGGGACACAGCAGCCCAAATGGGCAGGGTCTTGACAGGCATTCCACCCAGGGACTTGTGGGCACTCATGGAGCTGTGCAGACCTCCTTCAGTGTCCTGCCAGGGCCAGGACGCCAGGCCGGCCCCAGGAGCTTTTACTGGCACTAACTTTCCATTTAGATCCACGTGACTGCTCCAAGCTTCCCCCCAGGATGGCGCTGGCCCCCCCTCCACATTCACACCTTATAAACGACCATGGTGACCCAGCTGGCGTGCTTTTGGGAGGCAATGCACAGTCCCTGGTAACAGAGTAAATAACTCAGCGACATGTCCTTGCACTTTTTCAGCCTTCCTTCGGTCTCAGAAGAAATAAAACAACTTACTTAATGGCATTCTTTAATCTTCTGCACCAGTGGCTTTCTTTACAAGGTGTTATACAGAGTCCGTGTAAATCCAAACTGTGCAATGGGGTCAGTGTTTCTCAACAGGTGTTGGGTGGGTTTGGGGTAGGAGGTGCTCCCTCCATGGCCTGAACAAATACAGAAGCAGGAGCTTGCTTTCCAGCACCGCTCTCATTTACAAGTGAGAGAGCGGCTTGCAGCCAGCTGCTAGGACCTTTTCTTCCCTCACACCCTATTTCCACTCCAGCTTGATAGAACTCCAGACCGCGGAGAGGGCAGGAGTGGACCTGGGTCTCTGTGACAGTTCAACTAGAGAGCATGAAAAACCTCTGTCTCTCTCACACCCATTTCTCTCTGCTCGCCAACTCAGTTCTGTCTCCAAAACAGCTTCTTCCACATGGGGGCAGAAGTGACTGCACCGGAACCACGCATCTGCCGGCTTCTGCTGGCCTTGCATGGGAGGGACGGCTCCTGCTCCCAACCCTGTGAAAAATCTCAGAGGAAGACTCTGAGTGGATCATGTGGGTCATGTGTCCACTGGACCAATCAACTGTGATCCATGGAGGCAGAGTCACAGGCGAATATGGCGGCCCCTACAAGAAAACGGACTTGGAGAAGGGAGAGAGAAGTGGTTTATATCAAGAGGTGGGGTCATGCCTAGATGCTGGGTGACAAGACAGGAGAGGCCACTGCATGTCCCTAACATAGTCTTGCTCCTCCCTGGACCCCAGGGAGCTTCAGGGTTCCTGGAGCCCACAGCACCTCCAGCTGACAATGAGGGCATGGATGAAGGGGCCAAGGGTGGTAAACGTGTCCCCATCCTTGCCTCAGCCTTCCTGAACTCCATTACTGCCCAGCCGTGCCCACAGTCCAAAGGATTATCCCAGCCTGGGGTCCCAGGATTCTCATTTGTGAGAAAGCCCAGATGTCAACAGGTCCTGATGGGGTGAGTCACCCTGTTGCCCCCTGCACCCCATGTGTGGTCTCTCTGATGCTTACACTGCTGGTCCACATGCTTTCATCTGCAGGGCCCAAATCTCAAAAGATCAGTACAGGAAAACAGTTGTTGTAGGTTTGTCTCAAACTAATTCGGTGGCAAAACTTGACCTGAGCTGATATGAATCTATTTAGATCTTTGTTTATCCCAATTAGTGAGGGATGTTCATATGTCTTCCTGAAGAACTATTAATGCGCTTGATTACAGGTGCTTCTCCAGGCTCTGGTGAGGTGTTAAGGTGTACCTTATTGACTTCTAAAGTCCCCACACTCTAAACTCTGAAACACGTCTGGCCCCAGAGTTTGCAGATAAAGGTTTGTGGAGTGGGTAGAGTCCTGCCTCCTTGGCATAGTGCTGGCAACCTTAGGTGGGGTAACAGAGGAAGCACAGAACAGAGTGGAGCAAAGTGCTCCTCCTCCCGTAAATGTTAGCTGTTAGCATAACATACTTTAGGTTGTTCAGTTTTTGCAGTATCTCCCTGAGGCTTAGTCACTTTACCCATGCAAAAGCTGAGGCTGGGAGAGGTGAAGTAACTTGTCTAAGGCAGCAAAGCTAGGAAGCAGGACCACCATGATGGCTGATTCCAGAACAAAGCACTTCTTAAATCACCATGCAAGAAGTTGCATGGTTGCTAGTCCTTCTTGTGCTCACTGGGATTCATTTGTAGGTGAAACCGTCAAAGGTCATGTAATGGAAGCCAGCGCGTGATGTGCTGGTCTTGTCCTAAGCAATTTATGCACATTACCTAATCCAATTCTTGCTACCCCTCTGTGACGTCGCTGATCTTGTTATTGCCATTTAACAGCAGGGAAACTGAGGCACAGAGAGGGTGAATAACTTGCCCTGGGTTATACAACCAAAAAGCGAGGAAGTCCCCATTAGAGCCCAGGTGGTCTCCCATTTTGCTTGAGGGTCTGCAAGCTTATCCATTCAACTGGGTTGCCTCAGTGTGAGGAGTGAAACACCTGTGTAAATAAGACCTTCCTTCCACACTTCCCCACTGTGCTTCAGCCTTCAGTTTCCAAAGCACTTTCATAGGGTAAGTGCAAGGAGAGGGTGTTGTTCTGTGTTATGGAGGCTCAGACAGGTCGAGTGATTAGCAAGAGGCACACTGACGATGTTGTGTATGTGCCACCCCACACTCTTGGGGGCTGTCTGATCAAGCTGAAGGGACTTAAGAGCAAAGACCTCAAGTTGATAAGAGTGGCCACCAAGGTGATTACAGCACCACATGCACCTGCTGTGTCAGCCTTTGCTCAGTGAAGAGACCCTGGTTTCATGCTGAACAGTGCATGGGAGTGATGTTTAACACATCTCCAGAATAAACCAGTGGCTTAGCATGGAGCATCAACACTGCTAGCATCACGACACAAGAGACCAGAGACTCTTGATGGCAAAGCACACCATGGCTCATGAAGCAACCTTGCCCAAAACCTCAGCCCTGAACCTAACTGGGCCTCCTGATCCAACCACCAATTTTCAGGAAACATGAAGGACAGAAGCACAAGTTAAATGACACTATGATGATGCAGCCAGCTGCACTTAGACTATGGGGAGACCCTGTTGGACAAATGTCCTGGTTTCTTTAACACTTCTCTCTCTCTCCAAATATATATATATATATATATATATATACACACACATATATACACACATATATATACATATATATACACACACATATATATACACACACATATATACACGTATATATATACACACATATATATATACACACACACAGATACATGCACACACACACACACAAACTCACAGAGAGAGAGAGAATGAATAATCCATGTAAGAAAAAGACTTAAAAGTCATATCAAGCTATTATAACTTGGGGCCTTTATTTGGATTCTGATTTGAACTGTTAAAAATAATTCATAATGTTACGAGGGACTGGAAATTAGAACACTGCCTAGAAACTTGATAGCATTAAGAAACTACTGTTATGTTTGAGTGTGACAGTGGCACCGTAATCTGGGTGGATAGCGTAGGGGTGAAACAGGATTGGACAGGAGTTGATCACTGGCAAGGCTGGAAGCTGGGGAGAGGCACACTGGGGTTTGTTACATTGCTGTTTGTATGGTTGCATGTATTTGAATTTTTCCATAAGAAAAAGTAAATAAAGGACTTGTTTACTTGCCTAAAGCAGTACCGCTCTTGGAAATGATTCAAACAATATAAAAGCAAAGTAAAACATTAAAGTGTCTAATTCTTCCAGTTAGTTTCCCTTTCAGGTAACCACTGTCTAAGAGTTTGATGTAAATCCTTCTAGACTTTCTAATGTCTGTATAAACAATCACATACCTTTATACTTTTTTTACACAAATAGGATTATACTACACACATGGATCTGCAATGTGGCTTTTTCTCTGAGCAATGTCATGGCCAATCCTTCATGTTCTAGCTGCATTTCTTTCTTTTTAACTTCACCGTATGCCTTTGTATGGATGTACCATGATTTATTTCACCATTCCCTTTGGGTAAACTTTTAGATTGATTTGAGCCTTTTGCTATTACAAGTCGTGCTTCAGTGAATGTCCTTGCACATATACCTTGGTGCATTTTTGTGAGGATTTGTGTCAAATGTGGTCTTAGAAGGAGAATTGTTCTGTTGGAACATGTGCTGCCAGAATGTCCTCCATAAAATTGTCCTCTCTGATGCTAATGAAGTGGGCTATGTCCCTGCCCAGCCTTAAAAATGTGGTTGAGTTTTCCTCCGATCATGTAAGAAGTACATGCATTTTGAAGGAATTTGGAAAGTACAGAAAAGGAAAGAAGAAAGTAAACACCAGCCAGATTTCCACATGTCATACGTATTGCTGTTCATTGAGATTGTTTCCAAGTATTTGCTATTGGAAGTCATGCTGCAAGAACAGCCTTGTGTATAAATCTTTATCCACATTGTGCTCGTTTCCTTAGGGGCTATTCCGCAGCAGGAATTATTGAGTAAAACCTTTGGGCTAATTTTAGGATACCTGTACTATGCCATCCAAGCAAATACTAGGATGTTTGTATAAGTGGTGACCACCACAAGCAATGCAGTAGAGGGCCTGTCTTTGTATATCTTGTCCAGTGTTCAGTATTACCACCAAACCATTATCTTTTTCTTTATTGCCCATTTGCAATAAAATGTGCTCTTTCACTTTTTCTCCTTCTGATTTGTGATGCTCAATAAAGGCCATAGGTTAATTACTAATATAGTTAGTGACACAGGCTCTGAACTTGGGCTACCTGAGCTCACAACCCAGCTACACCTTGTGGCTCACCTTTTTGGAGCCTCATCTTCTGCAGACTGGGGACATCGTTGTATCTATTATGAAATGAGGCAACCCACATGAAGCACAGGGCCGAGTGTCTGAACACAGGGCAGCCGCTGAATTGTGATGACGCTGATACTGTCTACAAGAAAAACATGAGGTATGGGATTTTGGAGCTTAGGAAATAGCTGAGAAAACAAAACTTAGAAAGATTAGATTAGAGACAGGAGGTTAGGGCTATATGAGCGGTATCTTAAGGTATCTTCATTGGATGGAGATGGGAGAGAGCTCCCTGAGGGCTTCCTGGAAGAAGGGGAAGCTGAGCAGAGTCTTGAAGGGCAAGGACAGGGAGGCAGGGGAATGGAGCCAGCAGAAACAGGATGGATGGGGGCGTGCACGCTCCCCTCCTTCTCTCCTGCCTGTCATTGTTCACGCTGGGCATCCATCACCCTGATGAGGGCCGAGGGGAGAGCTGGGCCAGTGACTAACCACTGCACAGCAGGAATAAAAACACTTGACCCTCTGGTGGGAGGAATTCAGCTGGAGTGGGAAATTTTATTTTGAATAATTAGCTAATATCACTGGGGAGATTTCATAACAAAGACAGAGAAATATGGAAAAGTACTTCGCAGCAGAAAAAAATGAGCATTTCCCCCACCCCAATTCCATTAGCACCGACAGGAATAAAGCTCCTGTATTATACAATGCCTTGGTTTCTCAGAGGAAGCCTGCAGAGTGTGGAGTGCATCTGTAAGGCGTGAAGAATGGGCTCGGCTGACTGCATGGCTGCTCTTCCACTTGGGCTGGGTGGAGGTCCGGGAATGGCAATGTCATCTTGAGAAGCCTCCCAGGAGCTGAATGTGCCCAGAATTGGCGCACGGTGGGGGCAGGAAGAGCTTTGCTGGGAGGAGGCCCAGGGGGTGAGTAGAGTGACGCTCCCCAAGGGCTGGAGGCATTGATAGCGGAGGCTACAGTGGGCGACAGCAGTGGGTTCCTCAGTTCTTCTGACAATTCGGGGCCAGCTCACATGGGTCCAAGAAGCCCTAATGGGCAGAAGAAGGTTGACAAGACCACACGCAGAAATCCTGAGACACAGCTGGTGCTTTCTGAAGATCTGATAAAGAGTGGAGGGTCTGACAGTGAGGGTCCGAGGGAACTTGTGGGTTTGTCTGTAAATTAGGATGTTTTAGGGGTCCACGGTACTGGTTAGGCTGGTCTCGAGTATTTAGTGTGGTTTTGGACAACATCATTATTTGGAGTCTGTAAAATGGGTATCATGATGTCCACCTCACAGATGTGATGGTAAAGAAGGGGACGTATGTCAGGTGCTGTCTGGCCCTCTGTGCTGGGCGACAAGCCATCCCAAAACACAAAGGCTTATAACGACAACCTTGAATTGTGTCTCGTGATTCTGTGAGCCAGTGGGGCTTGGCTGGTGGTTCTCCCACTGTCTGTCTTGGGGTCTCTCATGAGATTGCCGTGAGGTGGTGGCTGTGGCTGTGGCAGGAGTGGCCTCTCTCTCTAGGGATAATCCATGTGGCTGTTCCCTCCAATGGCATGACCTGGATTTCTTGCCTGACTCTCCGAGAGAGGAAGCGACACTGCCAGGTCCTTTTAATACCTGCCGTGGAAGACCCAAAGGTCGCTTCCTCTGCGTTCCATTGGCCAAGCAGGCCCAGCCCAGAGTCAAGGGCAGGGGTGCAATCTCAACTTTCGATGGGTGGCCAGGGGCTCCTGTGTACAGGGTGGGTGGAGTCATTTGGGGTGTTTGGCGATCATCTTGCCCAGGTGCTTTACCCTGGGGCAGACACTCAGATGCAAGGCATCTTACCATGACTGTGGCGAAAAGATTGGATTTTACCACACTTGTTTGAAAATAACCTCTGCCCTGAGGTCCTGGGCCTTCCTTTTGCAGCAGCCATTCCCCAGTGTCTCCCCTCCAGATGTCCTCATAATCCAGCAATTAAGGGGGTAACGCCTGGCATAGCCGGGGAGAGGGCTGCTGAGACCAGTTCCAGTAAGTTCTGATCTGCTACTGCGTGTGGTTATTGAGTATTTTGAATATCACCTGCAGGGCAGTCTCTCTGTATAGTAGCTGCTCAAGTAATGGGAACGTCTTTCATTCCTACTCATGTTGCTATTGTTATTTTAAGACAGGGGTTTAGACATTGCACTTTGGGAACAAAAGAGAATATGCTACCAGCCTCCAGAAATTCTGCACCATTCAGTTTTCCTTTTGGAAAAAGCCCTAGGTGTCAAATAGGAAAATCAACTCTTTTGACTTGATTTTCTACTTGGTCAAGGTAATGAAAGCCCCAAGCTGCAAACTGAGAGTAGGACGATATCAACACAAAAACAACCTCTGTCCTGGCGGTCCCTTGGCTCTCCCTCCCTGACGGCCTGTTCCAGGCAGCCTGCGCGATGGCCCAGATCTGGGCCCCGGCCCAGCCTTCGGCCCCATTTCCTGAGCTTGCTGACTGAGCCGTCTCCTTAGCACTCGGGTGCACATTCCAGGGAATCTTGACGGCGAGGCCCTTTCTCCCAGCCCAATTTCAACAAACACAGGCAGACCACCACAATCCGGCTTGCAACGTGGGGCTGGCACCACAGGCCTTGGCAGTGGGGAACACACATCTCCGGGGCCAGGGCAGCAGATGTGGGCCTTTCAGGCCGCACCACCTCCAGGCAGAGCAGGAGGCCCTGGGGGTGGCCGAGAGGGGAGCAGAGCTACTGGGGGGGCTGCGGCCTCTGCAAAGCGACTCTGGCACTCCTCCCTCACTGGGGCGAAGCCGGTCTGTCAGGGCAGCTCATCGGAATGTCCAAATGCACTCTGCGATTCCCATGGCTGTGGCCCAAAAGCAACCTCCAGGCAGATGGGAAAGTCTGCCTTTTTGTATGAACGTGAAACATTCTTTAAAGACTGCTCATCTTTGTGTCCTGTTTGGAAATTGTCGGAGGCCTGAGAGAATGGAAACCGCCTGTTCCATTAGGGTCCCAGGTCTGGAGTTGGGAAGGATGGAATTTGGACTTTTCTTGGAAAGTCCACAAGAACTAAACCTGTTTAGAGAACATTTCCTGTTGGGAATGGCTAATGCCTGGAATATGTTACTGAAGGTCTCATTTTTTGGAGATTTTTATAAGGAAAATAACCTCACAGTTCTGGGGGGGGATGATCATATGCTGTTCTTGTGGGAGAGTTGACCTCATCTGTATAATCCAAGTTCCCCAACCTTTAACCACAGCAGGCATGGCTGATTGATCTCAGAACTTTGTCCCACTGACCTTAGATTTAGCCTCAGAGTCCTTCTTTTATTTATTTATTTATTTATTTATTTATTTATTTATTTAGACAGTGTCTTGCTGTGTTGCCCAGGCTGGAGTGCAGTGGTGCAATCTCGGCTCACTGTCAGCTCCGTCTCCTGGTTTCACGCCATTCTCCTGCCTCAGCCTCCCGAGTAGCTGGGACTACAAGCACCTGCCGCCATGCCCGACTAATTTTTTTTTGTATTTTTAGTATTTCACCGTGTTAGCCAGCATGGTCTCGATCTCCTGACCTCGTGATCCGCCCGCCTCGGCCTCCCAAAGTGCTGGGATTACAGGCATGAGCCACCGCGCCCGGCCTAGCCTCAGAGTCCTTCTTAACACAGTTCTCCACTTTTAATCCATCAAACTTAAGTGGAGACCTTTTTTGTCGTCTCTGGATTCCACTTTTGCTGTGTTCAAGGTTCCTTCCATGACCTTGTCCCTTGGGATGGTCTCTCTAGACCGTATTCTACCTGTCCTTGTCATTACACCAAAGGTAAGGATTTTTTTGGTTTTAATAGTATGTTATTAGCTTTAATTTATTATAGAATAAATAATTGGCTTCAAGGCATTGAATTTAATTTTTTGTAAAATAATGGTATTTTATTGGTTTTAATAATGGTTTGTGCGTTACCCACAGTTGCTCAGAACCTCAGGTCTATGCTGGAAGGACGTTTACGGAGGTCTCCTGTGTTCTTTAGTTTCAACTCCTTGTCACTGGCTTGCTTCCAGTTTCAGAGTTAACTATTAGAACCCTTATTCCTAGGTGGACCATCTCCTCCTGGGCTCTGATATGAGGCCAGTCTATTAAGAAATTTAACGAGAGGAGGCTTAGGATGCAGCTGAAAGCCACCAAGGCCTTTGTTATACACTAACTTTCCTTTGTGGGCTTAAAAATTACAGAAATATTGGAGTGTTGTCTCAGTAGCTCCAAGAATCACAGGGAAATTTAGGGAAACGGTTTATTTGTGTAATGCTTGTTCTTAGGTGTTCCATAGATGTGGGCATATTTTCAACCCAGGGATATGCATGGGTGAAGTGATACATTGCATGCATTTGAGTTTCTGTAAGCCAAACAAAAGTACAGGCCCTTGCTGTCTCTAAAACATACCATAATAAAATGATAAAGGGCAGCTGCCATCTACTGCACGAGAAACATGGAGTAGTGGAAGTATCTTTGGGATTGGACTTGGGGCGATCCAGGTTCAAATCCTGCCTCTACCATGGAGCAACTGTGTGGCTCTGAGAACGTTTACTTCTCTGAGCTTTGGTTTTCAAATTAGTGCAATGGAATGATGATATGGATTAAATGAGATAATAGCCACAAACATGCCTAGCATGGTGTAGATTATATCTTAATAAAGCTGTTACTTAAAAAAGGGTGATGGGGTCCTACTGAAAGGGAAAACATTAAATGGAAGAACACATTTTTCTTTATACATGGTGACCCTTCCGTTGGTGCGTTGAGTTGAGAAGGTGTTAAGATGCTTGGAGCATCTTAAGTTCTAGACTCTGTTGCTGTGAATGGTGAGCAGCTATTCTGTTTGTCATTTCTTTTAAAGGGAAGCAGATGTGGTTTTTGTCCAACGAGGGCCGCTGTCTTCATCTGCTGCATGTTTCAGGGACTATGACTTGGCTGCTGTCAGCTTTACCTATGAAGTTTACAAAATGGTTTTATTTTGGCTAAATTACCCACTTTGGTTAGGAACGATTGCTGTGAAGTTCAGACACATCAGAGTTGGAATTATCAGCTCTGCTTCTTAAAGGATGTGTGACTTTGGGCAAGGCTTCTTACCAGTCTGAGCCTCAGATTTCTTATCTGTGCAGTGGGCACAAGAGCACCTAGGACAGCGGGTTGCCTGGAAGATCAGTGGGATCATGTATATGCCCAACTGTATATAGGGAGGAAAATGTCAAAGGGTTTCATAAAGGGTTTTATATATTCTATCATGGTCATTATGTTTGCAGTATTTAAAAATACATGTGTAAAAGTTACAAAGTGCAGATGTCAAGTCATCTTATGCACCAGTAACCCAGCATTCCCCTGAATGGGCAGAGGGGATGTGACATTTGAATGAAGTTTTAATAAAATGAGTAAGAAAACTTGAATGGGAACCTCTGCGGAGAGCAGGGTCTTTTAGGAACTGATGAGCTGGGTTGAGACATCCTCCCCCTCCCCTGGGAAAGAAATGTCCAGCCTCTCTAATATGTCCATCCTCTCTAATGCTGCCTGGTGGCACTGAGGGGGAGAAAGAGGAAGAGGGTGTTTGAATGGACTGATGAGAGCAATAACTGACATTTGCCGAGCACTTTCTAGAAACACTGAATTGTGTTACCCTGCTGAATCCTGACAGTGACTATAGGAGGTGTGACTCCAGGGACCACACTCTTAGCCCCTTGCTCAACTGTCATTTTGTCATCTAGTTTTGCACAGACACTGTCCAAACTGCATGTGTTTTGACTTGGCTGAGGATGGAAGGTAGGGCCATTATGTATAATTATTCAGGTTGCGCACTGCACAACCTCAAGGGCTCCATTCTCATCACAGATATAGATAGAAATGCTTATTATGACACTTTTCTGGCAGATGGTAGTCAAATGACCTGTTCCAACAAAAAGTATGTTGTGGCCATTTTTCTGACAGATTGAAGAAGGAAAATCTTTCTTGAATTCACACCAAAGTTCTCTATGGGCTGGTTGTAGCACAATTATTGGATGGAATCACTGCCTGCTTCATCGGGAGGGAGGGAATTGTATTCTAATGGGGAAACTGGGGCCATAATGTTGTCTCTGTGTCTGGTAACAAAGTCCCTACAGTCCAGTACAGCCTTGCTATTATAACAGAGGCATTCCCAAGAGGCAGGAGAGCATAATGGTTAACAGCAGAGTGCAGAGATAGTTGGCTGGGGTTCAAAGTCTGGCTCTGCCACCTATTGCTGTGTGTCTTTGGGCAACTTGCTTAACCTCTCTGGGCCTCAGTGGCCACATCTGACATTGAATGACAATGACAGCACCCGCCTAACAGATCTGTGCTGAGTCTTAAATGAGTTACTGTATATAAATCAGTTAGAACAGTACCTGGCTTGCATTAGGTGTTAGCTGGTTTTTTTAAAGGTAGCCTAAGGGCTTTCTTACAGAAGTGTGGTTTTAAGAGCATGAGCCGGTCCTTGGAATTTTTGTGGATTGACTTTCACTCAATGGTATCTGATCATTTGTAAGTTCCTGCATTTCATGAAGAAGATGGGTTTACAACTGGGGCAACCATAAGGAAGAAGACCGAGATATTAACTCATGCAGCTTGTTCAAAACAGGACTGACTTAGTACATTTCAGGCTCCCTCCATCAGTGTCTAACGGCAACGACTGCACATTTTTACCTCCTAGCTTTTGCTGTAATTTTGTAGATGGAATTTCATAAAGGGTTTTATATATTTTATCGTGGTCATTAAGTTTGCAGTATTTAAAAATAGATGTGTGAAAGATACACAGTGCAGGCTATAAAACACCCTCAAACGACATTAAAATGGGAACGAATCCATTCATTTGGGTTTCTGCTGAGTTTATCTTGTATTATATATTTTTTAATATCCAAAGACCTGTAGAAATAGGTTATTGAGTAGGAAGTTGGCCAAGCCAGAGCTCTACACCATGTGGGCACTTGTGGGCACTGGCAAAGCCCTTGGAATTTGATCCTGATTGAAATGCAGTCATTTTCCACCTGCAAAAACAGTTTTCTCCAGCAAACCTGGGGTGGGGATGGGGTTTATGTACTCCCACCTTCTCCAGCATGGATCTTTCACTTTCCATTAGGCTCAATGTCCTCACATTGATGCTTATATGATGGACCTCTTAGAAAATATTGAATACATATTTGCATTTCTAAACTTAAAAGAAGTTTCCCCTGGTATTTGCCATCAGAACGCAATTAAATGAGCCATGTGAAATCAAACTCCAGGTCTCTGGGGTCTTGAACAACCCCTAGGATCTAGTAGGTCTTAACGAACTTTTGTGAAATGTATAGATGAATGTATTTGGGCCCACATGTGAAGAGGGTGGACTTTAAGGTGGCAGATCTGAAGTCATTTGGCAGATAACTCAGCATGACAGGCATAAGCCAGCACCTAAAGAGGACAGAGGGTGTGGGTGTGCACCAGTCCTGGTGTCAAACCCGCGATTTTCCAGCGGTGGTACCAGAGGTAGATCTTATAACCTCTGTGGGCCTCAGCTTCTCATCTACCAAATGGGAACAGTGATTCTACCTATGCCTATGAGGGTTTTTGTAAGAAATAAATAAGTGAATGTAGACAAAGTGCATAAGATTAAATGTGCATGGTAAGTGCTCAGTACATGTTAGTTGCTACTATTTCTAGAAATATGATGCTGATAGTGATAATGATGGTGAGGGTGATGATAATGGTGATGATGATGGTGATGATGATAATGGTGGTGATGATGGTTGTGGTGGTGGAGGTGGTGATGATGGCAGTGATGATGGTGAGGGTGATGATAATGGATCACGATGGTGGTGGTGGTGATGGTGATGGTGGTGGTGATGATGGTGGTGGTGGTGGTGATGGTGGTGGTGGTGATGGTGATGATGGTGGTGGTGATGATGATGGTGGTGGTGGTGATGGTGGTGGTGATGGTGATGATGGTGGTGGTGGTGATGGTGGTGGTGATGGTGATGATGGTGGTGGTAGTGGTGGTGATGATGATGGTCATGGTGGTGGTAATGGTGGTGGTAGTGGTGGTGGTGATAATGATGGTCGTGGTGGTGATGGTGATGGTGGTGGTGGTGGTGATGGTGGTGGTGGTGGTGGTGGTGATGGTGATGGTGATGGTGGTGGTGATGGTGATGGTGGTGGTGGTGATGATGGTGGTGGTGGTGGTGATGGTGGTGGTAATGGTGATGGTGGTGGTGGTGATGGTGGTTGTGGTGATGGTGATGGTGGTGGTGGTGATGGTAATGGTGGTGGTAGTGATGGTGATGAGGTGGTGGTGGTGATGGTGATGGTGGTGATGATGATGGATGATGGTGGATAATGGTGGTGGTAGTGATGGTGATGGTGGTGATGGTGATGGTGGTGATTATGATGATGATGATGGATGATGATGGTGGTGATGATGATGATGATAATGGATGGTGATAATGATGGCGAGGGTGATGATAATGGATGATGATGGTTGTGGTGGTGGTGATGGTGGTGATGATGATGGTGAGGGTGATAATGGATGATGATGGTGGTGGTGATGGCGATGGTGGTGGTGGTGGTGATGGTGATGGTGGTGATGATGATGGATGACGGTGGATAATGATGGTGGTGGTAGTGATGGTGATGATGATGGTGACAATGGTGATGATGATGGTGAAGATATATTATGGTAATGGTTATGATGATGGTTATGATGTTGGTGATAATAAGTGTTTCTTGATAGGCTGAAGACTTTGACAGAATATATTATTGCATTCTAGGAAGATGTGAAGGAATTCAGCCACTCCTGGATGTTTTCTCTGCTTACTGCTGAAATGCCACTATTGAGTCCTTTATTGGGACTCAGCCTCATAACCCTCAATCTCCAAATGTATTATTTTTTCCTTTATGATATTGTCTTTACCTCTTGTTTAAGAAATCTTTCTCAAAATTTATAAAGCTATTTCCTGTGTTTTCCTCCACATTTTTAATTTTTTTGCCTTTCATATTTAGTTATTTAATGTATCTGGAGTTTACTGTTTTTCTATGAGTTGAACTAGGAATTTAGTTTTTATTACTTTATAATGGAATTCCTACTTTGCCACACCTCCAAGTATCCTTTAGTGCTTTTTTGTTGATCTGAACAATTTCCAGATTGTTAGGGGTTTTTTTGTTTTATTTGTTTGTTTTTTTGAGACAGAGTCTCACTGTGTCACCTAGGCAGGAGTGCAATGGTGCAGTCATGGCTCACTGCAGCCTCGACCTCCCAGGCTTAGGTGATCCTCCCATCTCAGCTTCCCAAGTAGCTGGGATAACAGGTACTCATCACTATGCCTGACTAATTTTTTTTTTCTCTTTGTAGCGATGGGGTCTTGCTGTGTTACCAGGGCTGGTCTTGAACTCCTGGGCTCAAGAGATCCTCCCACCTCGGCCTCCCAAAATGCTGGGCCACCATGCCCACCCATGAGCCACCATGCCCAGCCCATTTGTGCTTTAAGACATTGACCATGTATCTCAGTATTGGAAAGACAGCTTGTATCTTGTACTCCGCTGTGTGACTTATTTGAGTAACTTTGCTTCTCTGAGCCTCAGTTTCCTCATCTGTAAATGGGGAGACTAATTGAGTCCTGTCTACCTTTCAGGAGTACACTGAGGGCCACATGACATAATATATGTGAAAGTGCTTTGCAAACTGCAAAGTGTTTTGGAGGCTTCTAAGTCATGTGCTGGTGACTTTTGGCGAACCTTCTCTCTATGAGATATGTGTGTTTCGGGCTAGTCATTAATCCCAAATGGCCAGAGGAAGGGGGCTTTGAGCTCCATGGGCTTTGAAATTCCTTCAAGAGTTCTGTGCACTTTGTAAGTTATAGGCTGGCTCATATTATGCAATGGTTGTGACTCGTATTTTTTTCTCATGGGCCTACGTGGAGACGGTGTGCAGAATCTCGAGTGATGTCACGTTGGGGGTTGCAGGAAAGATGTCTTACACACTCCAGAATCTAATCCTTCATTTCCATGTTGAATAATAGTGACAGTGTCTGCCATTCACTGAGTGCCCTTAATGTCCTAGTCACTGTATGTGTGTTAACTGCAAAGTAGCTACCATTATCCCTATTTTACAGATGAGGAACCTATGGCATGGAAATGTCAGTGTGAAGGGGCTTTCTCATGACCACAGAGCTTGGAAAAGGCAGAGTTAGGAGTGGGATTCATGTTCTGTGACCCCAAAGTCCATGTTCTGTTTAGGGTACCATGCTGGCTTATCTGGTTTTTGTTCTCTGCCAGCCAACTAACATCAGTAACCAACCAACTAATGAACAATGATCCACCCACCCAACCAACTACCCAACCAACCAATCAGCTCATCAACAACCAGCCACCAACAACAAGCCACCAACCACCAACCATGCATGTTAGCATCAGTCATGTGCTCAGCACTGAGCTTCGGGAGGGAGAGGACATTCTGTCCCGGTCCTCGAGGAACTATGGGTCTGTGCCCTATTGCACTGCATTCTAGAGGTGCGTTCAGCGTCCTCGGCTGGATCGTCGCTTCTTTGGGGTGGGAGTTACAACCTGGTGGCCTCTGTATTGTTAGTGCCCAGCACAGGGGCGTGTGGCCGTCTGGGACAGGAGTGGGTGTGGGGCTCAGTAAATATCACACACACACGCTCTCACACACTCACCCTCTCACACACACATGCACTGACTCACACTTACGCAGTCTTCACACATACACACACACCTGCACTCACACACATTTATGCATTCTTCACGTACACATATACTCACATTTACACATACACACATGCACTCATACACTCACACACGTGCACACAAATTCACACACATGCACTCACACTTATGCAGTCTTCACACATACACACACATGCACTCACACGAATTCACACACACATGCACAAACTCACATTCACACAGCACAATCTCACATTCACACACACACATGCAGTCACACAAACACACATATGCACTCATATGCACTCACATATTCTCACATACATATGCACTCACACACACTCAAAACACATTCAGCCTCTAAACATGTCTGCATGCATGCATTCGTCCAGAGTCACGCTCATACGCTTGCACACTCCCTGTCACACTTTCACACACACATTGATTCTCAATTTCACACCCTCACTCTCACACTCTCATACACACATTCATGCACGCTCTCACACATACTTTACCTCTGTCTCTCTCACACGGACACACATACACACCCTTCCTTGAGCATGAAACACAACACGTGACGCACTGTGGGAGGAAGGAAGGGGCCACACATCTTTCAGAGCCTTAATTGGACGTGCTCAGGAGTCAGATCCCTACTGGGTGTCAGATCTGCACTCTGACGGGGTCAGATCCGAGCTCAGGTCACATCTAAGCTTGGGGTCAGGTCCGAGCTCGGGGGTCAGGTCTGTGCTGGGGGTCAGATCCGCTTGGGGGTCAGGTCTGCGCCCGGGGGTGGGGCAGGTCTGTGACCTGGGGTCAGACTCTTGCTGGGGGGTCAGGTCTGCACCCTGGGGTCAGGTCCGTGCTGGGGGTCAGGTCCGTGCTGGGGGTCAGGTCTGTGCTGGGTGTCAGATCCGTGCTGGGGGTCAGGTCCGCGCCCTGGGGTCAGGTCTGTGCTGGGGGTCAGGTCCGTGCTGGGGGTCAGGTCTGTGCTGGGGGTCAGATCCGTGCTGGGGGTCAGGTCCGCGCCCTGGCGTCAGGTGCGTGCTGGGGGTTAGGTCCACACCTGGGGGTCAGGTCCGTGCTGGGGGTCAGGTCTGTCCTGGGGGTCAGGTCTGCGCCCTGGGGTCAGGTCCGTGCTGGGGGTCAGGTCCGTGCTGGGGGTCAGGTCCAAGCTCGGGGATCAGGTCCGTGCTGGGGGTCAGGTCCGTGCTGGGGGTCAGGTCCACGCCCTGGGGTCAGGTCCGTGCTGGGGGTCAGGTCCGAGCTCGGGGATCAGGTCCGTGCTGGGGGTCAGGTCCGCGCCCTGGGGTCAGGTCCATGCTGGGGGTCAGGTCCGTGCTGAGGGTCAGGTCTGTGCTGGGGGTGAGGTCCATGCTGGGGGTCAGGTCCGCGCCCTGGGGTCAGGTCCGTGCTGGGGGTCAGGTCCGTGCTGGGGGTCAGGTCCGTGCCCTGGGGTCAGGTCCGTGCTGGCGGTCAGGTCCGTGCTGGGGGTCAGGTCCGAGCTCGGGGATCAGGTACGTGCTGGGGGTCAGGTCCGCGCCCTGGGGTCAGGTCCGTGCTGGGGGTCAGGTCCGTGCTGGGGGTCAGGTCCGCGCCCTGGGGTCAGGTCCATGCTGGGGGTTAGGTCCACACCTGGGGGTCAGGTCCACACCTGGGGGTTAGGTCCACACCTGGGGGTCAGGTCCGTGCTGGGGGTCAGGTCCGTGCTGGGGGTCAGGTCTGCGCTGGGGGTCAGGTCCGCGCCCTGGGGTCAGGTCCGTGCTGGGGGTCAGGTCCGTGCTGGGGGTTAGGTCCACACCTGGGGGTCAGGTCCGTGCTGGGGGTCAGGTCCGTGTTGGGGGTCAGGTCCGTGTTGGGGATCAGGTCCGTGTTGGGGGTCAGGTCCGTGCTGGGGGTCAGGTCCGTGTTGGGGGTCAGGTCCGTGTTGGGTATCAGGTCCGTGTTGGGGGTCAGGTCCGTGCTGGGGGTCAGGTCCGTGCTAGGGGTCAGGTCCGTGCTGGGGGTCAGGTCCGTGTTGGGATCAGATCTGTGCTCTGGTCTGCGGTGGGATCCATGCTGGAGGGTCAGCTCCGCCTCAGGTGGTTGAGTGAAACGCAGGTGAGATGGTGCCTGCCTGGAGCCCTCCCCTTAGGGGAGCAGAGCAACCTCCCTAGGGCGGCCGCCTGGCTTGGGGAAGCTGTCAGGGGCTCTGCGCGGGTGGTGGGCTCGCCCTAGCGGAAGGAGCCCTGAATTGGGGTCAGGGGTCCGAGCTCAGCTGTGCCACTCACACCTTGGGTGGCCTGGGCCGGCCCCAGCCACCGGGATCGGCCCTCATTTTCTGCACACGGCCACTGAGGCCCAGGGCCCGAGCGCCCGCTCTCCAAAGCCCCTTCCTGGAAACTCTGGCGTTTCCCGTCTTTGCTGGCTGCTCATTAACAGGGCATTTTCATTTTCCAGTCCGCATTCCAGCTTCCTCCCGTGGGCCTCACCCCCTGGCAGGGAAGC
This sequence comes from Homo sapiens, assembly GCF_000001405.40. Lineage (NCBI taxonomy): Eukaryota > Metazoa > Chordata > Mammalia > Primates > Hominidae > Homo > Homo sapiens. Next base: position 87,217,138 of record NC_000016.10, on the reverse strand, counting down.
GGGCGCTGCGCGGATTCTCCGAAAGGCCCCAGGAAAGGACGAGGGGCCGGCAGGCGCCTTAAATGCCAGCCCCTCAGTGGGCACCAGGGACACCGCGCCTGGGTTCCGGGACTCTCGGTCCCAGTCTGCTGGGAAACCGGGTGTTTTCTTACCCAAGCCTGAGTCACCGCCGGTGAAGTGGACGGGCGAAAAGTCTGGGGCTCAGGGCAGACCACACAGCGAGTGTGCGCAGCTCAGCCCCGGCCTGGACGGCCCCTCCCAAAGCCCCGCTGCGGGAGGGGCTGTGGGAGACCCACGTGTCTTTCTCCCGTTTCTGGGGCCCGTGTGAGCTCCCTGGGGGCTGACAGATGCCGCGAGGCTCTGCTTCTCAGCCTGGCCTGGGGTCCCGTCGTCGAGCCCGAGAGAGTGAGAGATCCGCCCGCCTGTCGTGCGTGGCCAGCGGAGCCAGAGTCGGCGAGGAGGACAGCCTGGCTGCAAGGTCCTGTGCCACATTCGGGGAGGCTGTTCCCCATCCAGCGCCGGCCCGGTTTCAATCAGCCTCCTTCATCCGCACAGGCCAAGAAAAAGCTATAAAGTCAGAAGCCGCGCTGGCATCTGCTATGCGCCAGAACAGAGCAGATATTGTCCCCGGCTTCCAGTTCTCGGCGGCCCTCATTCTTGTTGGCCACACAAATGGTTCTAATCAGTTTTCAGAGGCTCTCCGTGGTGTTTTAAGATGTTTGCTCGCTGCATTCTTGGGCAAATTACCCTCCAGTCTTGAACGTCACCTTTCCACCTCCTTCCCCAGCTGAAGCGAAAGGGAGGATGAGGTGTGAGTCAGACGAGTGTGTGTACACGCCCGTGTGCCATGCATGTCCTTGGTAGATTTCAACTTCTGTGAGCTGAGAGGCAAGTCGGAGGAGCTGTCACCCCTGCCCGGGGAGAGGGCATGAGGCCTCCTGATTATCTGTGGGACATCCATGTGGATGTCTCTGTCCTTGGAATTTGGGTGTGTGGCGCAGCACCTTCGAGACCGCACCTCACCTCCCAGGTGACCCTTACCTGTCTGTGTGGCCACATCCACTTTCTGGCCTTGTCCCCAAGGATTTGGGGCCACTCTAGTCTGAGCCTCCAGATTGGGGGTGATCATGGCTGTGTCAGCCACCTTCCTTCTGGTGAGGAAACAGGGCCTCAAGGGCTCTCTGACGTTTTCCTCCTGCTGCGGAGAGCTCAGAGGGTGGCTGTCAAACCCAAAGGCCTTTTCTGCTGAACTGTCAATGGAAAGATGAACCCGGTGGGAGGGATGCAGGTCTCCTTGTTACCAAGCAAAGTGGGATTTGTTGACCCAGCCGCAAACCAGAAGTCAGGCCCTAAGACGGAGGTTGAGCTCTCTCCTAACACCTGCAGAAAGGTATGGGTTGAAGAGTGAGGTTGTGTACACGTAAGAGTTATGGCCTGACGTGCTTTCATCAAACAATGGAAATAAGCCTAGAAAATCAATCACGATGGGGCAAGAGCAGCTGCTGCTGCCACACAGGGCCTGGGTGCCAGGCTCAGCATTAAAGACCTCCGTGTTCCTGATCTTCTTCTGGTCTTTAAGACATTTTTCTTTTCAGTTGGGAAAAGGAGTGATACACTGATTGCCTGTAGTGTGTTCAGTCAGGAGGGAACTGTGGGGTCTGGGAAGGTGCTGGCTTCTTCCCTTTTTTTTCCCTCTCTCCCTTCCTCTTCCCTCCTCTTTTTTTTCCCTCTTTCCTTCCCTCCTTTCTTCCTTCTTCCTTTCCGTCTCCATCGTCAACCCACAGCCCTGACTCAGAGAACTGAGGGTATCAGAGGTGGGTATGGGAGGATGTCTAACAAATGTACCCATGATCCACCCACCTTGAGACTGTATAACTGAGGGGAAAAAGGACAAAATTCTTCACCGTATCTGTCACAGGTTGGGCTCTCTGGGAATCGATTCTAAGACAGTTTGGGGTACAAGTTTTTCTTTGGATCAATACCCGTGAAAGGAAGGCAGAACAAACAGGATTGGGCAGAGGGAGAAGTCAGACTTTGACGTAATCTGATAGAACGCTGGCCAGTCTGGTGGGATGCCTGGAGCAAGGACTATCTGTCCATCAGAGCATCTGCCTTGGACGAAATGCCAAGGCGCTTACACTCCTGCCTTTTAGACATGAGATGTGACTGCCCCAGGAAGGGTGTGGCTTGGGCTAAGTGGCTCTCTGAAGCTGGCACAGGCCCCCAAAAGGGGCAGACGGCTAACTGACCACATTCCCTGCAGCTGAGGACCTCGGTGGTACACCTTCATGGCTGAACAATTTTATTCAGATCAACACATCCCATACTGTACCCTAGGACCTTGAGAGCTCTGTGAAGGTGATAAAGAAGGGCCCATGAATTGTTTTAAAATTCCAAAACCCGTCTTTATACTGACATAAAGCCATAACCAAGAGTTGTCTTTGCTTTGGGCTAGACGTGATGAGCATATGCTGGTAGCTTCAGGTTACACAGTGGAGATGTGTGCAGGGCGGAATCCCAGCTCAGACATTCTCCAGCTGAGGGAACCGGGGCAAGTCACTTAACCACTGCTTTGTAAAATGGAGTTGAAAACCGCACAAGCCCATCAGAGCTATGTGGATGAAACTGGAGTTAAATGAAATGATACATGGGAGGCGCTTGGTATAGATCCTAAATGCATGTCTTTCGTTATTGTTATTTCTGTTGCCATCACTGTTACTCCAGCTGGAACTACATTTCCCAGATTTTTGTGTCTGTGGATCCAGGTCAGTGGGGGCTACAGGAGACCCTTCTTTATGCCCCAAAGGTGGCTACAGGGAAAGTGTTGTTGCAGCTTACACACATTGTCACCGATCTTCTCTCTCACCTGGCTGGTGTGGGGTGGCACACCTGGCTGGTGTGGTTTGTGGCTTCTCCAGCAACCTGGATTTCCCACTTCAGGTTTCAGAATCTAGGAATGGGGTGAGAGCAGCTTCGTGATGAAAGGCACCAGCTTTTCATGTGGGAGACCTGGATCAGCAAAATGGGAGGCTGTGAGAAGCAGATGTGGGGCCAACTTGTCTCTGCTCTCCCTCATTTCACATCCATCCTCTCGACTGTCTGCCCTGCTGACTTCAGGCCCAGCACCAGCCACAGCCCACAGCCTTCCATGGAAGTCTTGGGAGTTTAACCAGCTCCCATGAATGAGTGACATTGAGTACCTATAACAAGTCCCTTGTTCTATATTTCTCAGTGCTTCCACTTCCGTGATTAAGCCCCGACACAACATCACCATCACCACAATAATCCTTATTAGCACCATCACCATCATCATCACCTCACCATCACTATCATCACCACATCACCATCAGCACCGTCATCATTTTCACTATCGCCATCATCACCTTCACCATCATCATCACCATCACCATCACTGACATCCTCGCCATCATTATCACCATCTTTACCATAATCCTTACTGTTATTGCTACCATCCTTATCATCAAATAAGTACTGCGTGCAGAACCAACTGCACCACTGGAGCCCATCCTTATCATCATTTACCATCATCACTGTCACCATTATCACCATCATCCTCCTTACCATCACCATTCCCCCATCCTTCTTCTCCTCACCATCATTAATGTCACCATCATCATCACCAACCCTACTATCATCATAATCATGATCATTTTCACCACCATCACCAAAATCATCATCGTTTTGCCATTGTCACACTATCACCACCACCACCATGATCCTCATCATAATGGGAAAGACAACATCTATGTACAGAAAGTAGAGCTATATCAAGGAAGGCAGTTCACTTTTACAAAGAGCCACCTGACAATTAGGACTAGCATTTGGTCATGAACTCTAACACCTTTCGTAGCCAGGCAGATAACATACCTGATTGGAATTTGGGGGTACATGGAAATGTGGAATGCTGAGACTATGACAAGCTGCCCGAGGATAATTAAATCCAAATTCTTACCAAACAAGGTGGTGGCCAAACAGAAGCCACCTGAGGGGTGAATCCAGCTGAAGTCCCCAGTTTGCACCCACTGGACTGGAGGGTCGTTTTCTTTAGTTTCAGTGATATTTCCATTCCTAGGTGAGGAGACAGAGAAAAACCATTTTTCAGGTAGTGGGAGGCCGCAGAATCTGGTGGGAAGATTGCAGTTTAGGAATCAGACAGATTTGGGTTTGAGTCCCAGGTCCAGGTTGCAATGTTGGCCACTTTGGTCACCTTTTCTGAGCAGCAGTACTGTCGTCTGAAATAAATAACAACAATAGTCCATCCCTCACTTCATTTGGCTGCCCTGAGATCAAAGGAGACAAGATCTGGAGAGCACTCACTCAGTGCCTAGCGCATAGGACATGCTCAATGAATACTAGCTGTTACCATAATTAGTTTTAGAGGATTCGTTTCTAGGATGACCTGAAGTCTCCCTACACTCTCCCTCTCCCTACTCATATAATATCACACACACATACATACACACACACTCTCTCACACTCACATACATACACATTCTCACAAATACACTCAAAGTAAGGTAGATTAATAATCCAATGTGCTGAGTCTATGGATTACTGAGTAAGCATACAATTTATCCACTATGTAAATTAATGAAACTGATGTCAAGAACAGTATTTCATGCTAAAAGTCCACACTTAATTCTTTCTTCTTCTACAACACACTCACACACATTCATTCACACTCCCCTTTCAATTCTGCAGCTCCTATGATCTGCCTAATCTCAGAAACAACCTTTTGATTGTGCATTCCTGGGGGAAATACTTTCTTTCCTCCTCCAGAAGAAAGATGCCTCATGATATCACTTCAGAAGAATGAACTCAAACCAAGGGCTCTCAGGGGACAAACTTTGACCCGGTGGTTTGCTGGCGCTGGCCTTTCTGAGTAAGGAGACCCACCCAGCATACCTTGCCCTCAGGCCACCCAGTCTTTCCTGCTTTCCTACAGGAAGGCTTTGGTTAAACATCCACAGTCGTGGGTGGGCTCCTTCCCATCGCGCTGCCCAACTGGGCAGTTCCTCCCCTTCATTGTGACTTCATTGCTGTAATGGAAGAACCAAGGAAGGGGATGTCTTCTCTCATCCAAGGCCGTGGTGGCCCAAGCCTCTCTCTTAGCGGCTGGGTAAGAAGCCCAGTTTCTTCAGTTCTACTTGGGTCTTCTGCAGGGGATAGGCTGAAGAGCACAACACCCTTGCTTGGTGTATGGCAAACAGTCGACAGGTAAATAGATGTTTTCCCTATTGAGCAGGCTTGTCCAAGCCATGAACATGCAGTGCTCAGCTGTTGATTGTGCTCTCTCAGCACTCATCTCTCCTGTTACTAGCACCTGAGTTTCCCTTCAAAGAATCATGTTCCCTCCACTTCCAGTCAACCTGGTTTGGGGTGGGCATGTGACCCAGTATCAGCCATGAGATCACTCCATCCTAGGCTGGGTGCGGTGGCTCACACCTGTAATCCTAGCATTTTAGGAAGCTAAGGCTGGAAGATCCCTTGAGGCCAGGAGTTCCAGAATACTCCACCCTTTCTGACCATTGCGATTGGTCCAGAGATGTTATTTATCCCAAATGACTCGACTGAGAGCCCTTGAGGAATCTTTTGCTGTAGCCCCAAGAAAGAGAAATTCTCTTTGTCCTGGGATTGCTGAACTGTGAGGATTTGAACTTGAGGATGCCAGAAGCTCCTTACCACCCCCAGGGAGAGCCTACTTAAAACAACACTGGCTCAGAGAAAACCATCAAGGGACAGAGAGAGACCAAGATTTGGAGACATTGTTTGAGCCTCTTAGTCTATGTTAATGGAAGCTAGACCTTCTAGTTAAGAGAAGCAGTTAATTTCCCCAATTGGCATAAATCAGCTATTTACAAACTAAAGGGTCTCAGTTAATACAGGTCACATATTGAGAGATGCTTATAAATATACATGAAATTGCTTAGTCAGATTTAAAACCAGAATCTTATTGCGAAAACAACAGTCATCATAGCTGGCATTCACTGAGGGCTTAGTGCCAAGAATTGTACAAAGCATTTTTAATACTTTTCCTGAATAAATCATTAAGGCCACCCTGTCCCATGCATATTGTCACCGTCTCTATAATCATCATCATCATCATCATCATCATCACTATTATGGACTGAATGTGCCCCCACCCCAAATTTGCATGTTGAAGCCCTAACGTCCAACGTGATGGCATTTGGAGATGGGGCCTTTGACAGGTAATTAAGTTTAGATGAGGTCATGAGGGTGGAGCCTCTATGATGGGTTTAATGTCAGTATAGGAAGAAACACTAGAGTGTACGTGTGCTGTCTCTCTCTCTCTCTCTCTCTGCACCTCCCTCCCCCCCGCCTCTCCTTCTCTCTCCCTCTCTCTTTTTCTTTCTCCTCGCCATGTGAAGACACAGGGAGATGTAGCCATCTACAAGTCAGGAAGATAGCCTTCACCAGAACCTAACCATGTTGGCACTGTGATCTTGAACTTCCCAGCCTCAAGAACTGTGAGAAATAAATTTCTGTTTTTTAAGCCACCCTGTCTATGGTATTTTGTTGTGACAGCCTGAGAAGACCGAAATAGTCACCATCATTGCCATCACCACCATCACCATCAGCACCATCATCATCACCATCACCACCATTATCACCATCACCACCACCACCACCATCACCATCATCCACATCACCATCACTAACATCACCACCATCATCACCATCATCACCATTATCATCACCATCACCACCATCACCATCACCATCATAATCACCATCACCACCATTATCACCATCACCATCATCACCATCATCATCATCACCATCACCATCACCATTATCACCATCACCATTATCACCATCACCATCATCACCAGCATCATCACCACCATCAGCATCACCATTATCACAATCACCACCATTACCATCATCACCATCATTAACATGACCACCATCACCACCATTACCATCATCACCATCATTAACATGGCCACCATCATCACCATCATCACCATTACCATCATCACTATTATCACCATCATCATCACCATCATCACCATTATCATCACCATCACTATCATCACCACCATTACTGATGCCACCATCATTACCATCACCATCACCACCATCACCATTGCCATCACCATTACCACCATCATCACCATCACTATCATCACCACCATCAGCACCATCACCATCACCACCATCATCATCACCATCACTATCATCACCACCATCATCACCATCAGTGACACCACCGTCATCACCATCACCATCATCACCATTGTCATCACCATCACCACCATCATCACCATCACCATGATCATACCGTCATCATCATCACCATCATCACTGTCACCACCATCACCATAATCACTATCATCATCTCCATGATGCAAGTTTTGCATATTTCTGCAAACATACATGTATTTTAATTCTCTGCTCCTTTGCTCAGGTGAACTCTCTTCACCTGGGAGGTGGTAGAAGGAGTGAGTATGAGCTGGGGCTCTGGGATTAGGTTGCCCAGGTTCATGTATGAGGTATTAACTGTAACTCCTGGACAAGTGGTTTAGCTTTCCCAAGACTTGTTCATACAATGGAAATGAAACCAGGCTTGCAGTACAGATATTGACTCACAATTTCTTTATTTTATTTTATTTTATTTTATCTTATTTTATTTTATTATACTTTCAGTTCTGGGGTACATGTGCAGAATGTGCAGGTTTGTTACATAGGCAGACATGTGCCACGGTGGTTTGCTGCACCCATAAACCCATCACCTACATTAGGTATTTCTCCTAATGCTATCCCTCCCCCAAGCCCCAACCCCCCGACAGGCCCCGGTGTGTGATGAGTCCTGCCCCGCGATGTCCATGTGTTCTCATTGTTCAGCTCCCACTTATGAGTGAGAACATGCAGTGCTTCCTTTTCTGTTCTTGTGTTAGTTTGCTGAGAATGATGATTTCCAGCTTCATCCATGTCCCTGCAAAGGACATGAACTCATCCTTTTTTATGGCTGCATAGTAGTCCATGGTATATAAGTGCCACATTTTCTTTATCCAGTCTATCACTGATGGGCATTTGGGTTGGTTCCAAGTCTTTGCTATTGTGAACAGTGCTGCAATAAACATACGTGTGCATATGTCTTTATGGATTTATAATCCTTTGGGTATATACCCAGTAATGGGATTGCTGGGTCAAATGGTATTTCTAGTTCTAGATCCTTGAGGAATCACCACACTGTCTTCCACAATGGTTGAACTAATTTACACTCCCACCAACAGTGTAAAAGCGTTCCTATTTCTCCACATCCTCTCCAGCATCTGTTGTTTCCTGACTTTTTAATGATCACCATTCTAACTGACAAAAAATGTCACATTTCTTTATATCCCTATAACAAAATTCAATCTGCTCTGAGCCTTTCACCTTGACTCACAGTTTCTAAGTCAGGTGTGCACAAATGTGTTTTTCCTTAATGGTAAATAATTAAACTGAACTCTTGAGGTTCCATTTTCACTCAGAGCTGTGAGACCAAATCTTTCTGTTCCAAGGACTTCAGTCATATCTGGTTGAAAATTCTGTGTCTTTTTTGGGTGGGGGTCAGTTTTTTTTCTGCACCCTTTCTCCTTCTCTTTTTGCTGGGGGATGTAAGTTCCTGCAGGGCTTATGCATCCTTCTAGCATGCAGGATGGGACCCCTGGTTTGTGTCTTTCTCTGTCCTTGTTGGTGTTTCCTAAATGTAATTGCTGAGGAGGTATTTTAAAAATTGAGGCGACATTCATATAAGTGTACAAAATTAGCCATTTTAAAGCACTCAATTTGGTGGATTTAGTACATTCACAGTGTCCCCCAGGACTTTGGTGACGCCCTTCCACATCAGGGTGGAGGAAGCAGTTGCTTCTGACTTAAGCGTCACTCTCTTTTCCTGACCTCTTGAGCAGTCACTAATTGGGGGTGGTACCACCCAAGGGCTGTTTGGAAATGCACAGGATGGTTTTGGTTGTCATAGTGACTGGAGGAGCTGCTGCATCTAGGCCCTGAGCCCAGGAGGGCAAACTGTCCTGCCACGAGTGTGGCAGCTCTGCAGGGTCAAGAACCATCTGGTGATGGCAGAGGTGCCTGGTAGAAACAATGTGGAATTTTATCTATAATGTCTGCCCTTTGCAGCAGACATCCACCCCTACCCCCACCACCGCAGGGTTCAACAGTGCCCTGGCCGAGAACTTGCAGTCTTCAGAAACAAAGCAGCCGCAAGACCTCTGGTCAGGCTCACGTTTCCCAGTCCCGTTAGAACTTCTCCTCTGCTGGCTTTTGCTGGCGTTTCTCCTCCATGCTGTTCAGATTCCTCAGGCTGTATAATTATTACCTCATTTGGAGGTTCAGGATCCAATTGTCTGAGCAAGAGAATTATAGTTATGCAACTTCCAGCCAATATGCGAATTTTCTCCAGTTTGCAAGGGGAGGAGCTCTCCCCTTTCCCCAGACATCAGCCAGTGCAGCAGAGTCATTTTACAATCTGCTGGGCCTGACTCCCATGGTTTGGGGGACATTTCTGTTCATCAGCACTGGGTTTAAGGTGAGGGCCGGGGGGCCGGGGAGCTGTGATGCTAATCACTCTCTTCTGCTTACTTTGTTTTGTTTGTTTTAAAAATGACAGGAACATTGACTTTCTTTTTGTTGTACATGTTAACACATGTGTAGATTTGTGCAGCCCTCATCACAGTCAGGACGCAAAGCGGTTTCATCACTCCAAAAACTCCCTCGGGCCATCCCTGTGAAGTTCCACCCTCCCCTCATCACTCACTCTTGGCGCCCACTAATCAGTTCTTCATCACAAGAATTTTGTCTCTTCCAGAATGCCTTATGAATGGAACCCTAAGGGTATGGAACCTTTTGAGCCTCACTTCTTCCACTCAGCGTAAGGCCTCTGATCCAGCCAGGTCATTGTGTGTAATTCACACTGATTCATCCTTCTTCTCTTTCTGAGTAATATTTCATTGTTTGGACGTACGACATTCTGTTTATCCATTCACCAGTTGAAGGACATTTGGGTTCCTTCCAGTGTGGGGTGATTTCGAATAAAGCTGCTACAAACATTTGTGTGCAGGTTTGTGTGTGAACATTTGTCTTTATTTCTCTTGGGTAAATACCTCGGAGCGAGATTGCCGGGTCCTATGGTAGGTATATATTTAACTTTAAAAAAAACTGCCAAACTTTTCTAATGTGGCTGCACCATTTTACACTGTGAGCAGCATATGACTGTTCCTGTTTCTTCCTTTCTTCACTGGCACTTGGCATTGTTGCATTTTTCGTTTTAACTGTTTTAGTGAGTGTGCGATGGGGTGTCATCATGGTCTTAATTTGCAATTCCCTGACGTCTAATGAGGGAGACTTCTTATGTTCTTACTCATCATCCATGTATCTTCCTTGATGAAGCAGCTGTTAAAGTCTCTTGTCCATTTTGAATTGGGTTATTTTTCTTCCTGTTGAGTTTTTAAAAACGTCTTTGCATATAATGGACATATAATGAACTGCACATATTTAGATCATACAGTTTGGTGCTTTGACATATGTAGTCACCTATGAAGCCATCACAGCCGTTCAGACAGTGAACATGCCATCACCTCCAAAGTGTCCTGGTGCCCTTTTGTCTTCTCTCTCACTCTCCCCCCCACCTCCTTCCTGGGCAACTTTTTTTTTTTTTTTTTTTTTTTTTGAGTCAGAGTCTTGCTCTGTCACCCAGGCTAGAGTGCAGCGGTGCAAGCTCGGCTCACTGCAACCTCCGCTTCCCGGGCTCAAGTGATTCTCCTGCCTCAGCCTCCTGAGTAGCTGGGACTACAGGTGCCCGCCACCATGCCTGGCTAATTTTTGTATTTTTAATAGAGACGGGGTTTCACCGTGTTGGCCAGGCTGGTCTTGAACTCTTGAGCTCAGGCAGTCCTCCCGTCTCAGCCTCCCAAAGTGTTGGGATTACAGGTGTGAGCCACTGCACCTGGCCTAAACTTCTTTTCTTTATAAATTACCCAGTCTCACATATTTCTTTCATAGCAATGCAAGAATGGACTAGCACAGTAGTATTCCCTTATTACCCCTTTAGTGTCTGAGGGTCTCATTGAATACTTTCTTGAATTTCTAATACTGATAATATATGCTTCTATTTTTCCTTGCCACTCTTGCTAGAATTTTATTAATTATTTTGAGTCAGCTTTTTGTTTCATTGATTTTTCTCTATTATTTTTCTCTTTTCAATCTCATCGGTTTCTGCTTTTCTTATTGATTTCCTTTGGCTCGACTGGCTGATTTTGCTCTGCTATTTATAATTTCTGCTATTTATAATTTCTGAAGGTGGAAGCTCAGATGATCAGGCTAAGTCCTTTCTTCTTTTCTAATGTAAGCATTTGATGATATAAATTTGTCTGCCAGCACTTGCTTTAGCTGAATTCCACAAATTTTATATCTTGTAGTTTCACCCTCATTCAATTAAAAATATTTTCTAACTTCCCTCCAGAGTTTCTGTTTGACCCATGAATAATTTAGAAGTGTTTTGTTTAGTTTCCAAGGTTTTGGAAATTTTTTTGTTATTTTTCTGTAACTGACTTCTGTTTTAATTTCATTATTATCAGAGACCATACTTTGTATTATTACAACTGTAATTCTCTTAAATTACTTTAATTTTTTTTAATTAGTTGAGGTTTTGTGTTATGAACTAGAAAAACAGCTTTGTAATTTTGTTTGTTTGTTTGTTTGTTTTTTAGAGATAAGGTCTTGCTCTGTTGCCCAGGCTGGAGTGCAGTGGTGCGATCATAGCTCACTGCAGCCTCAATCTCCTGGGCTTAAGCTACCCTCCTGCTTCAGCCCCCTGAGTAGCTGGGACCACAAGCAAGCACTACCACACCTGGCTAACTTTTAAATTTTTTGTAGAGACAGGATCTCACTATATTGCCCAGGCTGGTCTCAAACTCCTGGCCTCAAGTGATCCTCCTGCCTTGGCCTCCTAAAGTACTGAGATTAGGCTGGGTGTGGTAATTCACACCTGTAATCCTGAGGCCCCTATCTCTACAAAACATTTAAAAACTAGCCAAATGTGTTGGTGTGTGCTTGTAGTCCCAGCTACTTGGGAGGCTGAGGCAGGATGATTGCTTCAGCCCAGAGGTCGAGGCTGCAGTGAGCCGAGATTGCGCCACTGCACTCCAGCCTGAGTGACAGAACAAGACCTTATCGCCTTTGTCTCAAAAGAAAAAAAGTATTGGAATTACAGGTGTGGGCTACCATGCCCAGCCTTTGTGAATGTTCTATGTGTACTCAAAGAGAAGGTTTTTCTTTTTCTTCCTTTTTTGCTGTTGTTGGTGTGGTGTAAATGTAAATGACATCCAGTTGCTTGATGGGGCCATTCTGTTCATTTTTATCTTTGCTGACTTCCTATTTGTTCTCTGAATTACCTAGAGAATAAGATTGAAGTCTCCAACTATAATTGATCATTTGTCTGTTTCTTCTTTTGGTCCTATCAATTTTTGCTTCATTATTTTCCTGTTACATTGTTTTTCTTTGGCTGCTTTCAGGATTGTTTCTTGGTCTTTGCTTTCAGCATTTTGACTCTGATGTGTCTAGGCATGGGTTTCTTTGAGTATACCCTTTTATGGGATTCACTGAACTTTTTGAATTTGGAGGTTTTGCTTTTTGACAAATTCGAGACATTTCTTTCCTCTGATGTTTTTCTACCCTGCATTCTCTTTTTTCTCCATCTAGAATTCCTGTGATGTGGACGTCAGGCGTCTGGTACAGGTGCTTCAGTCTCTGTTCATTTGTTTTTTTTCTGGTTTTAAAATTTTGCTTCTTTTTCCCTTTGTTATTCAGGTTGGACGATTTCTATTAATTTATCCTCACATTTAATGACTCATTGCTCTGTTATCTTGATTTTGTTATTGAGCCCATCTGGTGACTTTTAAAATTTTGATTATCATATTGTTTAGTTCTAACAGTTCAGTTTGGTTTTTCTGTATATCTTCTCTTTCTTTACTTACACTTTCTATCTTTCCATTTGCTTTACCAGTGTTTGCTCTTGCTTCTTGGAGTATTTCTATAATAACTGCTTCGAAGACTTTTCTGATACTTCCTTATTATTATTATTATTATTATTATTATTTTATTATTTTATTTTTATTTTTGTTTTTTCGAGACGTAGTCTCACTCTGTTGCCCAGGCTGGAGTGCAGTGGTGTGATCTCGGCTCACTGCAACCTCCGCTTCCTGGGTTCAAACTATTCTTCTGCCTCAGCCTCCCGAGTAGCTGGGATTACAGGTGCCTGCCACCATGTCTGTCTAATTTTTGTATTTCTAGTAGAGACAGAGTTTCACCATATTGGCCAGGCTGGTCTCATACTCCTGACCTCAAGTGATCTGCCCACCTCGGCCTCCCAAAGTGCTGGGATTACAGGCGGGAGCCACCATGCCTGGCTTTTTCTGATCATTGTAACACTGGTGTCATCTTGCTGTTGGGATTTGTTCCTTATCTTTACTTGTACAAGTTAAGATTTTCCTGTATTTTCATATGCTGAGTAATTTTGGTCTGTATCCTGGAATTTTGCATCCTATATTAGGAGGCTCTAGGTCTTGTTTAAATGCCATGGAGGATGCTGATAGTTTGGTTTCAGTGGTCAATCAAGGTGGTTGGATTCAGGCAACAGGTTCCGAGCAGCCTCTGCGAGCTGTGCTCCCAGTGGCCACTCAGTCGTCAAAGCAGGGCAGTGCTCTTCAGAGCTGTCCTGTGCGTGCGCCACCCAGTGGCCAGGCCTGGGCCTGGCGACGGTTTATCCTCGAGTTCCGTTCTCAATGTCTTGGGTCTGCTGTGTAGGGTCAAATGCGTGCCTGTGCAGTTTAAGGGTGAGCCCAGGATTCATGAACAACTTTAAACTGTCTCTTTCCTGATCTCTGCCCTCTCTGCAATCTCCCTGGCATTTTTCAGGCTCCCTGGGGCTTCCTTTTGGGGTTGTGCAGTCAGAAAGCTGAGCTGTCAGTTATTCTGTTTTGCCACATACTTCTCATAACTGTGGCCAAGTCCGGGACTAGGAGGTGGGAGCAGAGAGAGAGAGAGAGAGAGAGAGAGAGAGAGAGAGAGGGGGGGGGGGAGGGGGAGGGGGAGGGGGAGGGGGAGAGAGAGAGAGAGAGAGAGAGAACACACACCTGGGGTCCACTCTGATCTCGTGGAAACACAGATTTTTCTTATCAGAGAGGAAGGTTCTGCCCACTCTGAGTTTCAGGAGCCCATGGGCCATGCAGTAGTCACTGTCATTAGTAAAGCCACGGAATTGTTGGAGAACTGGGGTGCAACAGAACAGAAGAAAATAAAAAGAAAACTGAGATTTGCCTCATTGTCCCCCTTCCCTCTCCTGAAGCGCTCTTTCTCTGACCCTGGCACCTGTGTTCATTTTGAGGTCACTTTGAGTCTAGGCTGGGGATACTGGGGGAAATAATGGGAGACTCAGCTCTAGTTCAGTGAAACTGAATTTTTTTTTCTAGTCTGCCTGCTGGGTCTACAGTTCAGAGTCCTCACACAGCTGCTCCATGCATTCTTGTCGGACATCCCAGCTGCATTCGGTGGAGAAGAGGGTGGAGAGTGTTGACTCCACCTCATCCTCCATCCCAGGCCCTTCTGATGGCTTCTTCACTGTTTTAGTTGGGACAGTTATGGCTGCAGGTGGAAGCCTGCTAAATTCAAAGCTTAAGTAAAACAATGTTAATTTACTCACTTAACTGAACCGGGGAAAACGTAGGAATGGCTGGTTCCAGGGAAGTCTAAATCTGGAAACGCAAATGCTGTCATGTCCTCATCTCCCCCCTCCATCACAGGTGTCCACCTCTCTCTGAATTGTCATTCTGTTCCCTCCGTTGCATTGAGGCTTTCTTCATAAGGTGGGGTGCCTATGGCCAGGGAACACTCTGAGCTCTCATCCTTGCAGCATTTTCCTCATATTTCTCCCAAATTCCAGGATACAAATCAAAATTACTCAGCATACAAAAAAATCCAGGAAAATCTTAACCAACTTACTGCGTAAAAACAAGGAAGGGACAGAGAATGTCTGTCCTGTTCTATGATGGAAAATCCCAGGGCTGACTCTCATTGGACTGGCCTAGATCACATGCCTACCCTTTGGGCCAATCATGTGCTGAGGTGTGTGGGTGCCCCAAGGCTGGAGCTGGGAGGGGCAGTTTCCCCAAAGAAGGAAGCGAGGATAAAACACAGAGTGGAGTGCCTGTTACAATCCATGGTTTTACATGAAACTGAGTGTGCTTGGAGAATAAAAGTCACTAGGGGTATGGCAGTGCCAGCAACAGGGTGTGAGGGAACAGAACACAGGCAGGGGCAGGAGCTTGGAGGTCAGAGGTGGGTGGTAGGGTGGTTCTGATGGGTTTTGAGGGGCCAGGAGCTTTTAAAAGTAGCATGAGAGCCGGGACCGGTGGCTCACGCCTATAATCCCAGCACTTTGGGAGGCCGAGACGGGTGGATCATGAGGTCAGGAGTTTGAGACCAGCCTGGCCAACATGGTGAAACCGCATCTATACCAAAAAAACAAAAATTAGTTGGATGTGGTGACATGAGCCTGTAATCCCAGCTACTTGGGAGGCTGAGACAGAAGAATCATTGCAACCCAGGAGGCAGAGGTTGCAGTGAGCCGAGATGGCAACAGAGCAAGACTTTGTCTCAAAAAAAAAAAAAAAGAGAGTGAAAAAAGAAAAAGAAAAAAAAAAGTAGCATGAGAAATTCATCTGGCCTCACCTCCACAAACAGTTAAGACGGATGCTGTTCTGCTCCCTGGGGACTGACTCATTCCAGAGTGTGGGCTGCCAGTGTGACGTGGCTCAGCCTCATGAGGCTCCTGAAAAATGTACAGGCTTTGGAATCGGAGAGCTCAGGTCCAGCTGGACACTGCTGCTTATGAGCTGTGTGGCTTCAGTCTGCACCTCCTTAAAATGGGTGTAGTCCATAGCAAAGAGACCGAATCAACCTAAATGCCCGTGAATGGTAGACTGGATAAAGGAAATGTGGTACATACACACCATGGAATAGGACACAGCCATAAAAAAAAGAATGAGATCATGTCATTTGCAGCAATATGGGTGGAGCTGGAGGCCACTATCCTAAGCAAATCAATGCGGGAACAGAAAACCAAATACTGCATATTCTCACTTATGAGTAGGGGCTAAACATTGAATGCACATGGACACAAAGAGGGGAACAACCCACCTTCCTCCCATCCCATCTCCCACCCCTCTCCCTGACCCCTGGCAACCACGTATCTGTGTTCTATTTCTAAAATGTTACGTAACACTTTAAATGTTATTAAATGTTTTATGTAACATTTCAAAAATGTTACATAGATGGAATCATAGAGTAACCTTTTGAGATTGTCTTTTTTCATTTATCATAGTTTCCTGGAGGTCCTCCCAAGTTGTCCTGTGTGTCATTAGCTCCTTCTTTTTTCTTTTGTTCCTTTTTCTTGCCCAGTAGCACCCCACAGTGCAGATGAACCACAGTTCATACCTTCACCTGTTGAAGAGCAAGTGGGCTTGTTCTACCTCTCGGCTATTACAAGCAGAGTTGGTATGAACATTTGTTTACAGATTTTGCGTGAACCTCAGTTTGAACTTCTCTGGGGTAAATGCTCAGGAGAGCAAAGATCTGGGGGCAAATGTGATCATTCTCTCCACTTTACAGGTGAGGAGTCTGTGGTTAGGGGAGGTTTCTTGGCTGAGAACACTGCGTGGAGAGGTGACAGGTCAGAGTAGCACTTGTGTGTGTCTGACCCAGCACGTGAACTCTTAGTGGCCACACCTGATGGCCTTCTTCCATGTCTGTCCTAGCCCAGACCCAGCACTGGGGGATGGAGGGGATGTAGAGTGGATGGGACTGCCCCTCAATCACAGATGGCTCTAGTGTCCCCTCCGAGTCTTCCTCTCTGTCTCAGCTCTGGCTGTGGTAAGTGCATCCTCAACACTGCCTTTCTCATTTAAGTTGCAGCTCAGACTTCTCTTTGGCTGATCATTCTGGCTCAAGGACCCCCGCCTGGGCAGTGCGCCCGAGGGCCACAGTTCCAGTCCTGAGCAGGGCTACCCAAGGCCTGTCCTGGCCATTTGCAGATGTGCCTTTTGTGTCTGTTCCCTCATGAGACTGGGAGTTGAGGGCTGGGTCTCCATTCGCTGACGGGTCCCTGAGGCTGAGCACAGTGCCCAATACGTAGTGTGCACTTAGTAAGTATCTTACTACTGACCCGCAGCGTTGTTTAGGAAGATGCGTGTTCATGCTGGGAAGGCTGGGCGGGCTGCTCTGGAGCTCTGAGACTGTTTATTACTGAAAATGAGCCCAAGAAAGAACATTCAATAGTGGGAGTCTGAGGGCGAGACCTAGTGCCTGAGACTCCCTCACGATGCAACCAAAATGGTGTGGGTGTTTTGTTGTTGTTGTTGTTCTGGGTGTTTTTGTTGTTGTTGTGGGTTTTTTTGTTGTTGTGGGTTTTTTTGTTGTTGTGGGTGTTCTTTTGTTGTTCTCGTGGGTGTTTTTTGTTGTTGGTTTTTTATTGTTGTGGGTGTTCTTTTGTTCTTGTGGGTGTTTTTTTTTGTGGGTGTTTTTGTTGTGGGTGTTTTTTGGTGGTTGTGGGTGTTTTGTTGTTATTGTGGGTGTTTTTTTGTTGTGGGTTTTTTTTTGTTGTTGTGGGTTTTTTTGTTGTTGTGGGTGTTTTGTTGTTGTTGTTGTCATTTGGTTTTGAAGCAGGTCTTGCTCTCTTGCTTAGGCTGGCATGCAGTGGTGCAATCACTGCTCACTGCAGCCTTGACGTCCTGGGCTCAAGTGATTCTCCTGCCTCAGCCGCCCAATGGGACTACAGGTGTGAGCCCCCACACCCAGCCTGGGTGGTGCTGTTGTTGTTTTTAGAGACTATCGCTTGTTGAAATTATTAGATACTCTGTGGTGTTTGCGGGTCCCACATGGTCAAATACCCCTGTATTTTATCTCGTCAGTTTCAAGGTGCCCCCTGCACTGCCCCGTGGTCATCTTTGGTCATTTTTATTGCAAGGTTTTGAGAAGTAATTTTCAAGCAGAAATAGCACCCGCTGAACAGTCCATGGGCTTCCCGAGGGGCTGCGATCTGTCAGAGATTGAGCCTGTGATCCAGGCTTTGTCTCCAGGCATCACTGTCACTGCATCTGTTGCCAATGGGCTGGGAGAGGTAAAACCCTGGGGATGCTCTCGTATGGGTCCTGCAGTACAGACGCCGCCAAGCACCCTGACTGGCCAGGAGGAAGCCTGTCTTACTATACCAATGTAATCGGCAAAAGCAAACAGGATGAGGCATTCAGTTGATTGAAAAGCGGTGAGAGTTCATGCTGGCCCGTGGGGCTCAGGCAAGACTCTTCATTTGCAAGTCACACAAACAGCTTCGTTGTTCAGAATGGGCTGGGCTCTGTGGCAGTGAGAAACAGTCCCACGTATCAGGGTCACAGTGCAGCCAATGCTGATTTCTCACAGAGATATAGTCAACTGTGGGCAGATATATATATATCTGTGACTATATCACAGAGATATAGTCAACAAATGCTCACCAGGACAGCTACCGCCTATAAATGTGCTCAGCGTCCAGGTGGCTTTGATCTAGAGGCACCTCCATGTCAGCACGCACTTCCTCTGGGCTGGGCAAGGGAGAGCTAAAGAGCAGAGGTTCCAGCCACAGGATGCTTCTGCCCAGGGGGCACATGTCACTTCCATTCCCATTTGCTTGGCCAGAGCAGGTCATGTGGCCACACTTTACATCCAGGCTCAGGAAGAGGTGGCTCTGGCTGTGGGTTGGCAGTAGTGGCTCCCACCTTCGAGGCTCTCCTGAAGTGCAGAACACAAGGCAGCAGAGAGGCCTGGCTTCAAACCCTGGCTCTGCTTACTGGTTCTTTTTCTTCTTTTTCTTTTCTTTCTTTTCTTTTTTTTTTTTTTTGAGACAGTCTCACTTTGTCTCCCAAGCTGGAGTGCAGTGGCACAATCTTGGGTAACTGCAACCTTTGTCTCCCAGGTTCAGGTGATTCTCATGCCTCAGCCTCTGAAGCAATTGGGATTACAGGCATGTGCCACCACTCCTGGCTACTTTTTATATTTCTAGTAGAGATAGGGTTTCACCATGTTGGTCAGGCTGGTCTCAAACTCCTGGGCTCAAGTGATCTGTCTGCCTTGGCTTTCCAAAGTGCTGGGATTATAGGTGTGAGCCACTGCGCCTGGCCTGCCTACTTGTTCTTGTGAGCTTTGTGCCCTGGTGTGAGCTGTTCACCTTTGTGCTGATTAATTTAATGTCAACTTGACTGGGTGAAAGTATGCCCAGGTAGCTGCTTAAACATGATTTCCAGATGTGTCTGTGAGGGGATTACTGGAAGAGGCCAACATTTGAATTGGTGGACTGAGGAAAGCAGGTGGCCCTCCCCAGTGTAGGTGGGTGCCATTCAATCCGTTGAGGGCCTGAATAGAACAAAAAGGCAGGGGAGAGTGGGGTTTGCTGTCTGCCTGGCTGCTTGAACCAGGACATCCATCTCCTGCCTCAGCACTCCTGGTTCTCAGATCTTCAGATCTGGACTGGAATCTATGCCCTTGGCTGTCCAGCTCTCAGCCTTCCCACCACACCACCTGGACCAACTACAACTGGACCGACTTCCAACTACAGCACCACCACCAGGCTTTCCTGGACCTCCAGCCTGCAGACAGCAGATTGCGGGACTCCCCAGCCTCCATCGTGGCATGAGCCAATCCTTATAATACGTATATACTGCTTCTGTTTCTCTGGAGAACCCTGATGAATGCAAACTCTGCATGCTTTGTTTCATCAGCTATAAAATGGGGACATAAATAGTGTTTCCTCACAGGAGGGCTTTTGCGGGGTCAATTGCATTAATCCATGTGCACCACCCAGGACAGTGCTTGACATCTTGTAAGTGCTCAAGAAATGCACATGGTCAGAATTTCTTCAAGACAGCATAAGGGAAGCAGGGCACTGCCTCAGCTCATGGGAAGGGCAGGTGGGGAGGTGGCTTAGAGGCGCCCAGAGCTGGAGACTGCAGCCCTATCAGGACCCTGTCTCTGTCTTCCCTTTCTGTTTTTGTGTATTGGTTCCCTTCTCTCAGGACAGCTATCCCACAGGAGTTTTTTTTCCCCTAGATCCACATAGAAAAATCCCAGGGAATAACATGATTGGTCTAGCTTGAGTCACATGCTATTCTTTGGCCAATCATAATGGCCAGAGGGTGAACTCCTATGATTGGCAACCCCCCACCACAAGGGAGGAGGGGCCGTTCCACAAAGGAAGGGTTGTGGGTTGGAGGAAGGGGAAGAGAGGGGCTTGGCTGATAAGGAGCCCCCGGACTCAGTGGATTTTGCTCAGCTAATGGTCCACCTCATGCTGGTGGCTCTCTTGGCTCCTCTGTCTTGTTGGCAGGGCTCTGAGGAAGAATGGGGCTCTTCCTGGCTACTCTCCCCTGCCTATGCCTCACAGAGGCAGATATGAATGGCAGCCTCTCTTACAGGCTATAAAGAGGATGGCTGAAGCCAAGCTCACACATTCTAGGTTATTTTTGTGATCATGCAGGAGCCACGAGATCATGTAGAGGCCCAGACATAGTGCTGTGGGGTCTCTCCTTCCACGCCTGGTTGGACTTGGCGTAGACCTGCCCAGCAGGCTTGGGGTCAGGGCAGAGGCTGACTCACTGTGTCCAAGCTCAGGATTCACTGTGTCCAAACTCTTGGAATTCAGGCTGCAGGCCCACACCCTGCACCTGCTGAGCCCGGACGGCTGTCAGGCCCAGCGCCCGGCCTCATGGCTGCAGGTGCGACCTCGCTCTGTGAGGCCAGGTCTGCGAGGGAGCAGGACTGCCGAGGAGGTCTTGGCAGCCTCTGAGCCCCCTGTACCCAGCATGGAGTGTGGAGCTGCATTCCAGGACATGTGAGATGCTCTCTGCAGCAGGAGAGGGGGCAAAACGAGGCTCTAGTAGGAATGGGGTTCAGGACCTGGCCAGTGCTCGGAGTAGCAAGCCCTTGTGGACCCTTCAGCCCTGGAGAGGGGTGCTGGGAAGTGGCCGGGGAGGCCCCTGAGAGAGCACTGAGGGGGACAAGGGGGACAGCCAGCCCCACCCACTCGTGTTCCCCATCCACTTGTCTCTTACAGCTGCAGCATTGGTCCTAGCAGCATGACCGGCAGAAAGGGGGCCTTTGAGAAGTACTTGTTGAACACTAAATTTATTTAGAGCCACCCCAGGATCTGCCATTCCGACCATAGGACCTTAAGCAGGCCACGTTGCCATTCTGAAACCCCATTTTCTCATGGATAAAGTGGAACCACAAGGCTGATCTTTGCAATGTGCTTCAAAGCACATGGTGGGGAAGGTTGTGCTCTGAGTCCCTCACATGCACTGTGCATACCTGGTTGCCTCTGCCCTTTCCATCATCCTAGGGCTGTGGAAAGTCTGCTCAGAATGTCTTCTGAATCCTTTGTTAGTTGGGGGCTTTATAAGCACTCGCAAAACATTATTAAATACACAATACCCTGAAAAAAATTCAGTCTTGCTTTTGCCGGAACCTGTGGGATATGAAACCCACCCGCCCAGAGTGTGTGGTTTTTCCCAGGTCTTTCTATCTGGGTCCTGACTCTCCTCATCTCCAGCTATTCCCTGTTCTGGAGATGCCCCTGAGGCACTGGCATGAATCATCTCTCAGCCTAGCCATGACCACCCTGCTGAAAAGGGGGGTTCAGGGAAGTCAACAGAAGCCATGAGGTCATGAAGGTCTCTCTGTGACAATGACTCTGGCCGTTTTGTCCTGTGGGGTTTCTCTTTCCTTTTGTGGCATCCTTGATCTCAGGCTGCACTGTGGCTTTGCGGGTATGAAAATCCAATCCAGCAATGTCGCCAGAAATGTGTTGGGGGTGTTCATTTTCTACACCTTGAGCCAGGCACCAAGTGCGATAGAGCCTCCCAGCCAGGAGGTTCCACTCCATTTGTGGCGTGAGCCACATCCACAAGTGACAGGATACATCATGTGCTGTGAGATCCAGCAGGAATGGAGAGGGACAAGCCCAGGACACAGAGCCTGGCTTTGCGCTTGCTGGCTGTGACCGTGGACAAGTTCCTTAACCTCTCTGAGTCTGTTTTCTCATCTGCAAAATGGAGATTGGAATATGCCAATTAAACACAAATCTCAAATGCAAATTAAAGCCACAGTGAAGTATATGCATTTCTCACCTATCAGACTGGCCAAAATTGAATAACTCACCATATTGGTGATGCAGAAATGGGCATTTTCATAAATTGTTGGTGAGAGGATAAGCTGACAGCATCTCTAAAGAAAACACTTTGGAAATACCTATTGTGATGTACAGTCACTTATCCTTTGACCCCCAATTTCAGTTCTAGATATTTATATTAAGATTATACTCATACACAGATGGAATGATTATAACTATTTCAATTTCAGCATTGTTGGTGATAGCAAAAAGATAGAAGCACCCCAATGATCTATCAATAAAAAATATATTAAGTCGTTGTTGGTTTAGTCACACAATGATATATCAGGTGGCTGTAAAATGGAATGAATCAGAAATTTACGAAGTGACACAAAATGATTTCCATGTTGCAGACCGTGTGAGTGCTTTCTGCTACATCCTGCCAGCCCACTTCTTATTTCTGTGGACAGTTCCCGTGTATGCCAACTGCATCCCTTCCCAGGACCCTGCAGGCCTCAGTAATCTCCAAGCTGCAGCCAGAAGGGTGGGGAAGGTGAATTCCCCAGGAGGTATCCCTAGACCCATTAGGGGATGGGAGTCCATCCCTGCCTCCTGTTCTTTAGAGCAGGGGTCCCCAGTCCCCCCAGGCCGAGGACAATACTGGTCCATGACCTGTTAGGAACCAGGCCGCACAGCAGGAGGTGAGCAGCAGGCAAGCTAAAATTACGGCCTGAGCTCGGCCTCCTGTCAGATAAGCAGCGGCATTAGCTTCTCATAGGAGTGCAAACCCTACTGTGAACTGCACATGCACGGATCTAGGGTGTGTGTTCCTTCAAGAATCTAATGCCTGGTGGTGTAAGGTGGAACAGTTTCATCCTGAAACCATCTCCCCCAACCATCCATGGAAAAACTGTCTTCCATGAAACTGATCCCTGGTGCCAAAAAGACCGGGGATGGCTGCTTTAGAGGACAACTCAGGTACAGCTCGAAAAGTTCCTCGGAAGCTCCCAGCAGGGCTGAGTCCCAGCTTCCTGTGGCAATGATGAACTCAGTGACTGGGGCATGGGAAGAGCTCAACAAATGTTCCCTGAACTGAGCAACGGGTGATGAGAACTTGTTTTCAGTGTATTAATTTTTTATAGTTGATTTCTATTTATGGTAAGTGATAGATGGCTTCTATTGTTGATGGTAACATGAAGTTTCCTTTTAAGATGCATTTAGGCTGGGCCTGGTGGCATTTAGGTTGGAAGGCCAAGGCAGGAGGATCACTTGAGTCCAGGAGTTTGAGACTAGCCTGGGCAACATATACTAGTGAGACCCCTTCACTACAAAAAATAAAAAAATTTAGCTGGGCTTGCTGGCACCCGCCTGTGGTCCCAGCCACTTGGGAGGCTGAAGTGGGAGGATTGGTTGAGCCTGGGAGGTTGGGCTGCAGTGAGCCGTGACTGTGCCACTGCACTCCAGCCTGGGTGACAGATTGAGACTCCGTCTCTCTCTCTCTCTATATATGTGTGTGTGTGTGTGTGTGTGTGTGTGTGTATGTGTGTGTGTGTGTGTGTATGTGTGTGTATATATATATATATATATATATATATATATATATGCACTTATATCAGTTTGAAAAGTAATGACTGAAATAAATCAGTCACAAAGGGTCACATATGATAGAATCCCACTGATATGAAATGCCCAGAAGAGGGAGGTCCTAGAGACAAAAAGTGGATGAGTGGTTGCCAGGGGTTAGGGAAGGGGCGTGGGGAGTGACTGCTCATGGAGATGAAGTTTCCTTTTGGTGTGATGAAAAGCTCTGGAACCAGATAGAGGTGATGGCTGCACAACACTGTGACTGTGCTTAATACCAATGAATTGTGGACTTTACTGGGGTTAAAATGGTAAATTTTATGTTATGTGCATTTTACAATAAAACAACAATGACAAAGTAATGGATGGATGTGACGTAAATGCCAGTACAGGTGGCCCTTGGTTAGGCGTAGACCCGATGGGGTGAGAGGGTGGCTGAGGCTGGGGGGCCTGGGCCGGCCCCATCAATGGGCGGGCAGCTACAAGGTGCTCTTGCCTTCCAGTGCCTGGCTGTGCCCGCCCTGTCCCGAGGTTTCCAGCCAGGCTCCCTTTGATCTCCTGTCCGGGTTTCTTGTTGATGTTCTGAAACGGCAGCCCTGAGCGGGGAGCCCACTCTGTGAGGCTCAGTCTTGGAAGTTGGCCCTGCCTCAAGCCAAGTGAAGGTCAAAGAAAACAAGATTCATTTCCAGGGAGAAGCCAAAACTGTGTTTGCTGTAACATCAGAAATCAAATGACGATGTGGTCCCCCCCACCGTGGAAAAATACTTCCATCTAGTTTCTTCTATTAATAACGGTGGTCAGCCCGTAAAAATTAATGTGTCAACTGCTTCAGAGCTGAGCTGTCTCACAGCCTTTGATCCCCTCATCGCGGCTGCTGGCCCTCAACAATGTTTTCACTCCACATTTTCCCTTGATGGGTTTGCAGGAAGGTAATTAAATTATTAAAACTTTAATTGCCTTCCTGTATATAATTATCGCCTGCTAAAGGACACTTTTTATTCGCGGGCTGAAAAGCCCGATTTATCCCCCCACTTTTTCTCTCCAGAAGCGGCCTTGCATTGTGTCTTCTGAGGCATTCATGTGCTGTGGAATTTTTTTTTTTCTTGTTTTCCGTCTTTAACATGGGTGAATGGGAAATGGTGCTTTTTGATTCTAAGGATGAAGATGGAAGCTTTCTCTTTTCCTTCCCAGTGCCCAGACCTTTTCTCACCCTGGCTTTTGTATGGAAGGACCTGTCATCAACAGGGGCCAAAATACCATCTTCCGGGGGTTCCCCAAGGAAAGAGCATGATTGCTTTTTGTTAGGGATTTTGAGTCCCCTGGAAGGTGTTCTTAGTACAGACAAGTAAGCCAGAGCTCAGAGAGGGGCCTGATTTGCTCTGGGTCACACAGCAGTTAGGCAGTAAGGATGACAGCCAAAGTGTGCTCCGGGCAAGTCAAAGACATATTTTGTCAACTGATTTTACCCTGTGCATACAGGATTACAGTGTCTACAGGGCCTTATGATTTTTTCAAGAAACTTCCACCCTTCCCTGGATGGCACCAGGGACCCAAGCCCATTGTAGCACCATGGTTTTCAACCTTGTCAAACCCAAGGATCCCTTCTTTTTTCTTGAGATGGAGTCTCATTCTGTCACCCAGGCCAGAGTGCAGTGGCACTATCTCGGCTCACTGCAAGCTCCGCCTCCTGGGTTCACGCCATTCTGCTGCCTCAGCCTCGCGAGTAGCTGGGACTACAGGCGACCGCCACCATGCCTGGCTAATTTTTTTGTATTTTTAGTAGAGATAGGGTTTCACCATATTAGCCAGGATGCTCTCGATCTCCTGACCTCGTGATTCACCTGCCTCGGCCTCCCAAAGTGCGGGGATTACAGTTGTGAGCCACTGTGCCCAGCCCAAGGATCCCTTCGAATGCAACTATTTTATAACAGTTCCTTTTAATTCTGAAATGGAATTCATATAACATCATGTACCTACAGATGGAATTTCAAAAACAATGGTTTAACTCATATGAAAAAGAAATAAAAGGATCTTATCTATTTAAAATATGTATTTTAATATGTAAGGGCTCACGAACACCTATGCTAGAAGTCTTAACCAAGTAGTCAGCTGCTTCTACCTATCATGAGTGAATTTGGACTTTAAAGAAGATACTACTCGATGGCATATTGTCAGGCCTGTCTATTGATATTTAAGATTTTAAGATAGGGATTAAATAAGTATATTTGCATATGGACTCGCAGACTTGCCAAGAGAGTGGTAGCTTCAGAAGCAGCTCCTCTGAGTGCATGTGGGTGACTCAGATACCACAAGGGCTTGCCAACTTTCATTGTAATTTTCTGAACAATTTTTAATGAGGTTATGAACCAAGCAAGTTGTAGTCTTCCTTTGATTTATGTGGTAGTTACATATTTGAAATATTCAGAGTATGTTAAAATTATTAAAAAATGCTTTGCATCTGTATGTAAAAAGAGCTATGTCCCAGGCTCAGATAATTACTCAATGAACGCGTTCATCTCTGTGAATGTCACAAGTTGCACAGGGTGTGGGTCAAATTGTTGGTTGAATGAGGCTGTCTTGCCCATTGCAGGATGCCAAGTGGCCCTTGCTGCACCTCCTTCTGTAAATGCCAGTAATACTCCAGCAATATTTCAACCAATAATGCCCGTAGTTTCCAAAACACCCTCTAGGCAGCAGTATCACCCACACTGAGAATTTCCAATGCAAGGTAACACGGTGACAGGAATTTGGGTAGCGGGAATTAGGAGTAAAACATTTAATTCTGTATCTTGATTTTTTGGGTCAGGAATTGGACAGGGCTCAGCTGGGTGATTCTTCTGCTCTCTGTCGCATGGATGGAAGTCACTTGGTGATATTCAGCTGACAGATGGGTTATTATTCTGAGGGTCCCAAGGCTGCTTTAGTCTCATTTCTGGCACCTTGGCAAAGAGAGCTGGAAGACTGGCTCAGCTGCTGTCACCTACAGATGGCCTCTGCAGGGTGGTCTCAGAGTGGGTGAACTTCTTACGTATCAGCTCAAGGTTCCTTCAGTGTGTTCACAGAAAATACTGAAGGTGGAAGCCTGCCTAGGATCAGTCCTTGGATATCCCAACTCATCACTGCCACAGTTCATTGGCCAACCAACTAGGCCAATCTAGGATGGCCTAGATTCAAGAGGAGAAGAATTAGACTCTGCCTCTCAAAGGAGGAAGAGCAAAGACTTTGTGTCCATTTTAATTGTCCACAGCTCCTTCTTTTAGGCTATCTTCTGTAGAATGAAGCTGGCTTTTCTCAGTACAGCCATTCAGGTACTGGGCTAATGCAGATGAAAGGGTCTCACTAACGCTTAAAAACACAGAGTTAAAGCCATACACACACCTACTTTCCAAACACAGCTCCAAAGCCTGCATTCTCACTGCTGTGTTACAGCTCAACAGCAGCTTCCAGCTTTTTCCCAAAGGCCTACAGCTTCAGCTCATGGGGTGGCCAGTCTGGAACCAAAGAAAACAAGTTGCATTGCAGAGGAGCAACTGCACTGCGGAGCAGAATCCAAGCAGAGGCGATTCTCCTGAGGAACCCTAAGAAATTAATACCCAGCTGGTGTCATTCTGCAGAAACCCCTTGTACTTTGGGTTGTCTCTCCAGGAATCCGATGTGCCTGTGGTAGGGTAATGGCCACCCAGGAAACCTCGGCCAACCTCGGGGCCACCCAGGCACTGGAATTGCGGGGCCTTCAGCAGGGGCTCGAGATACTTGCGGTGTGGCAGCCAGCTATTTTTTTAAAAAGCCTGATTGAAATAAAATTCACCTAGCATACAGTGGACCCATCTGAAGTGTGTAATTCAGCAGTTTTTAGCATATTCACAGATTTGTACCATCAGCACCACTGTGTAATTCCCAGGCATTTTCATCATCACAAAGAGAATCTCTGCAGCTGGTGAGCAGTCGCTTCCCACTTCCCGCTCTCCCCAGACTGGGCAGCCACCTCTCTGCTTTCTGTGCTTGTGGATTAACCTGTCCTGGATGTTTAGAGAAATGGACTTGCACACGATGCGGCTTTTGGTGACTGGCTTCTTTCACTCAGCATCATGGCTTCAAGGTTCATCCACGATGCGGCCTGTGCCAGAACTTCATTTCCTTTCGTGTCTGAATCATATTCCACTGTGTGGAGAGACCTCATTTTATTTATCTGTTCATCAGCTGGACATGGGGCTTGTTCCACTGTGAGGCTATTAGGAATCATGCTGCTGTGGACATTTGGCTCATCCCTTGACAGACTGAGGTGTTTTGATGGGTGCCTGCCACTAATGTGGGGGCTGGTGAGCGGCTCACTGTGGACCTCACATGTGGGCAGAGCTGTGAGGCCAGGAATGAGAAGCAATGTCCGGTCCCACCGGGTTGGGACATGCCCTTGGGCTTCTAAACACCTATAGTTTTCCCACTGAGATATTGAGGGGGTATAAACAACAACATTCAGACCCCGTCCTCGTGATTTACTGCCTGCTTTCTGCTTAGGGAAGCTGGTGCCTCCTGCCCACACTCCTCGGTTCAAAATTCAGAACTAGCCATTCAATTTTGGAGGATGTGGGACCCAAAAGGAAGAATGATGTGGACTTTATTTTTTTTTCCCCATTGTAGTTTTTGTATAATATTTATTTATGTAATACCTTACAAATATGTATATATTATATATCTAAAAGTTATATACATATAAATATGTATAATAAATATACATATTTGTACATATTTAAAGCACGCAGAATCCATTAAGGAAGACGTATTTAATAAAAGTTGCTTTGAGAACTTGGAGGTCATATGATGAGCTCTGTCATGTCTACACATGCACACATGCACACATACACCCACACACATGCACACGTACACATACACCCACACACGCACACATGTACACACACCCCACACACATGCACACGCACACACACATAGAACCCCACATGCACACATGTACACACATACACTCCCCCACACGCACACATGGACACACACACCCACCCACAGGCACACATGTACACACACCCACAGGCACACATGTACAGACACACCCACACACGCACACATGTACACACATCCAAACCCCCTACTCACACGTGCACACATATGCACACATGTACACACACCTACACACATGTACACATACACCCACACCCCCCCACGCACACATGTACACACACATACACCCACACCCCCCACGCACACATGTATACACACCCCCACACCCCATGTATACCCACACACACACATGTACACATACACCCACACACAATACACACATGCACACATGTACACACGCACACCCCCTACACGCACACATGTACACCAACACACGCACATATGTACACAATACACCCACACACGTACACATGCACACCCACACATGTACACACCCACACATGTACACACAATACACCCACACACGTACACATACACCCACACCCACACGTACCCACATACAGCCCCCCACACACGTACACGCACACATGCACACATGTACACACCCACACATGTACACATACACCCATGCCCACACATGCACACATGCACACACATACACCCACACGCACACATGTACACATACACCCACCCACACGTGCACACATGTACACACACACCCATACCCACACATCCACACATGTACACGTACACCCACACACGCACACATGTACACACACACCCATACCCACACATCCACACATGTACACATACACCCACACACGCACACATGTACACAATACACCCACACATGCATACGTACACACGCACACGTATACACCCACACACATGTACACACATACATCCATACTCACACATGTACACACACGTACACCCACACACATTACACCTACACCCACATGCACACGTACACGTGCATACACCACACACACGCACACATGTACACACACCACATGCACACATGTACACACACCACATCCACACGTACACATGCATACACCCACACACATGTACACACAATACACCCACACCCACACACATGCACACATGTACACACACCCACACACATACAATACACCCACACACATACATGTACACACACATACACCCCCCACACGCACACATGTACACACCCACACACACGCACACGTGTACATACACATACACCCCTCCACACACATGCACACATGTACACACATACAATACACCCACACAATGTACACACACATACACTCCCCACATGCACACATGTACACACCCACACGCACACATGTACATACACTCCACACACATGCACACATGTACACACACCCACACACATGCACACACACATACATGCACACACGTGTGAAGTCTACCCTGTGTCCAGATCACACATGCATGAGGTATAATAATGTGGCTAACAGTCATGACCAGATGTGCAAGGTTGAGGAAAGCTCTGTGAGGGTCGTGGCTGGTGTAGGGCAACAGGGCTGTGGTTTTGTGACAGGGCCATGGTGTGCCCTCGGCTCTCGGCCTGGGTGACCTTGGGAAGGCCAGTCCCCTGAGGTCGTCCACCCCTACTAACGGTGTGGCTCAGGCTGTCCTGTGTGCCCCTGAGAAGGGGCCCCTGTGTCCGGGAGGGCTCCATCCTCCGGGAAGCCAGCCTGTGGCATAGGCTGGAACTCCTGCTGGGGGTGTGTGGGCGGAAGAACAGCTCACAATGGGAAATGGGCCGGACTCGGCGGGGAGAGAGGAATTGCCGTCCGCAGGCCCGTTTGGTCTCGGGGTAAGATTTCAAAGGTCTCTGTTTTGAAATTATGAGACCACCAAAAAAGCATGCCAGGGCCAAAAATGACTGTAAAAGGTAATAATTGTTAATAACTTGGCGTCCGCTCGGTCATTCGAGCAGCCTGGTTTTGGCAAACGTAAAGGACAACATTGTAAGCAATAGGAAGGCAACAGCCTGGCCCATAAAACCATTAACCGCACCATAACTGCATATTAAATATGAGTTTTAATTCAATTTATAGTTTAAATAAGGATCTTTGCACCGGCTTAGAGGGGAGGAGGGATTGCGAGGCTCATAAAACACACGGAAACAGCGCTCTGCCCTTGGGTCATCGCACAGCGTCCTCGACCCTGGCCCTCCTGGGAGGTCGTCCTGGGCGTCCCTGTGTGCTGGGGACATCTTCAACACGGAGGGAGCCCCGTGGTGAGAGGCGGGTGCCCATGCCTCCTGGCTGGTCAGGACGGTGGGCCTCGGCTCTGTGGCCTCCAGGTCCACCGTCCCTCCTAGGTGGGCCGCCAGGTGCCAACCACAGCCGGACTTTCTCTCTAGGTGGGATTTTGGTCTTGACCTTCAAGCTGCCCCAGCAGACCCCCCGCGGCTCACTAGGGCGGGATTTGAGGAGTCATGGAAAGAAAGAGTCCTCACTTTGGGTGTCGGCAGCATTGTGAGCTGCTTTCCCTGGGGCCTGGGAGGAGCCGAGGCTGACTCCTGCGGTCCTTTGCTGCGCGCTTTCCGGCCAAGCAGCGGAGTCAGGACTGTCAAATGCAATGGATTCCATCTAAAAAACTCTCAACTCGCTCCTTCGCGTTCCGTAAAAATTACATGTTGATGGTAGAAAATGTGGGCAATTCAGAACATTATCTTTAAGACGGTAAAAATCATGTGATTCTAACACTTAGGGGTAAATTTTGTTAACATTTTGGTCTATTTGCTCTTGTTCTATTTTAAGCAAAAATATCTTTATTTTACAGCAACAATAGTGGCCCCGGCCTGTTCTTACAGCGTGCCAGGGATTGTGCCAGCTGCTTTCTGGAACTGGCTGCTTTAACAATGGGAGCCCCCTTGTGGGGTAGGTTTTTATGGACCCATTAACGGGAGCCCGGGGAGAGCAGGCAGCTGGTTCATTGCACAGGGAGCATTTGATGAAGTTTGAATCCAGGTCTGCCCGATTCCAAAACTCATCCAGTCATTGTGCTCTGCAGATTCCTTAAATCCAACGGCTTGTTCAGGCCGGTCCAGCACTTAGTTGTATCATTGCTATATTTACCCGTGAATTTGTCCCTGTGGCTTCATGGGCTTGTTGAATGAACGAAGCGATGGATGGACGAATGTAGTCAACAGTGCACGAATGGCATTTCCAAGCTAGCCCCATGCAGGGAGCCATGGGGATAAATAGTGCACCCCGGAAGTCCTTTTGCGCTTGGGCAGTTCATTTTGTATGTTACTAACAAATATAATGCTTTACATCACTGTTTAATATTAACATTATTATCCAAGTTGCATTGCTCTCCAGCTTTTATCATATAAGGTTTTATTCCCAGCATTGGCTCAAATGTTTTACACACACACACACACACACACACACACATATATATATTTGAGACAGGGTCCCACTCTGTCCCTCACACTGGAGTGCAGGGGTGCAATTATGGCTCACTGCAGCCTCAGCCTCCCAGGCTCAAACAATCCTCCCGCCTCAGCCTCCCGAATAGCTGGGACTACAGGCACACACCACCACACTTAGCTAATATTTGTATTTTCTTTTTGTAGAGACAGGGTTTTACCATATTTCCCAGGCTCAAACTCCTGGGCTCAATCAGGCTACCCACCCCAGCCCCCTAAAATGCTGGGATTGCAGGTGGGATCCACTACACCCTCCCGGGCTCAATTTATATTTTTGACAGGTATGTCGTTTCATTTTATGAATAGTAATCCAAATAAAGAGATTAACATGTTAGAAAGGGAATTATCCAACTCCAGGGACCCTGGACCCCACTCCCCACCTTTCCTGCACCCACGGCCCCTCCCGCTTCAGATCTCCATGGGAAAATGCCCCACGATGGCGCCTCTGGCTTTCACTTCATTTGCGCCTCCCCTGCCTTGCCCATCAGTGTCTCAGTGCAACTCTTTCCCATCTGAGACCCCCTCCCAACACCTCCACACACACATATTCCTTCTGCCTGGAACACCCCTGGCCCTTTCCGTGGTCGACTCATTTTCATCCCCCATTTTTTGGCCTAAATCCCCCTTTCCTGACCATCCAATCCAAGGCAGGTCCTCCCCTTCCTCAGTGCTTTCTGTCTTTACCTCCTGTCACTTTAGCAGCTCCCATTGTGGTTTGCAGCATGAGTTTTTATTTGTCTAACATCTGGCTCCCCCATCAGACTGTGAACCCTGTAACAGCAGGGGCTGCAGTCTCTTGCCCGCTGCTGCATCTTCAGCATGTAGCACATGACGATAAAGATTGGAGGGAATGAGTGCATGAAAGGTCGTTTCCAGGGGTTACTTTTCTGCATTGGGCTGATCTTTGGGTTGGATTTTTACTACGCAGAATATTCTTGTAGATATTCGAGAGAAAAAGCTCATGAGAGCTCTGGGTGTCCCTTTAAGTGGACACCTCGGCGACAAGTGGACACACTGAGGCGAGTTTACCTGGACCTGCCCTGTGTCTCAGTGCTCTGTTGGGCGGGTGTTATGGCCAAGCAGCTGTCATCATGGATGGACACCAGGTGGTGCAGCTGGCAGAGGGCGCTCAGTGTTGGCGGCCTGAGAGCCCTCCCTCATACAGTCTCCCGTGGTCTGGGGGCCACGCCTGTACCCACCTTGGAGTTTTGCCTGCTGCCTCCTTCCTAGAACCTTCCCACCCCCACCCCAAGGCTCAGCTGAAGCCCACCACTCCAGCAACTGATGAGTCAAGAGAATGTGGCCTATCCACACAGTGGACTAATACTCAGACATGGAAAGGAATGAAGTGCTACAACATCGATGAACTTTGAAAACATCAGGCTAAGTGGAAGAAGCCAGTCACGAAAGACCACTGTATTAGACTATCCTTGGATTGCTGTAAAGAAATACCTGAGACTGGGTAATTTATAAAGAAAAGAGGTTGAATTGGCTCACAGTTCTGCAGGCTGTACCGTAAGTGTGGTGCTGGCATCTGCTTGGCTTCTGGGGAGGCCTCAGGAAACTTACAATCACGGTGGCAGGTGAAGGAGGAGCAGGCACCTGTCACATGTCTGGAGCAGGAGCAAGAGAGAGAGCCAGGTGCCACAGTTTTAAATGGCCAGATCTCACGAGAACTCACTCACTGTCTTGAGACCTGCACTGAGGCGATGGTGCTAAACCATTCATGAGAAATCCACCCCCATGATCCGGTTACCTTCCACCAGGCCCCATCTCCAATACTGGGGATTACAATTCAACATGAGATATGGGTGGGGACAAATGTCCAAACAATGTCAGCCATATACTGCATGAGTCCACGTATGTGAGTTTTCCAAAAGAGGCAAATCCACAAAGACAGCAGAAAGCAGGGGCCGGGAGGAGAGGGAATAGGGAGTGACTGCTAATGGGCATGGGGTTTCTTTTGAGGGGATGGAAATGTCCTGGAATCTGATAGTGCTGATGGTTGCACAATTTTGTAAATATACTAGAAACCACTGAATTGCATACTTTAAAAGGGTGACTTTTATAGTATCTGAATTTTATCCCAATAATAAAAAAAAGAATCCGTTTCTTCTTTGTGTCTGACTCCCACCCTTGGACTGTAAGGCTATTGTTTTTTTCTAGTGAAATATTCCCAAACTGTTGGCTCAAGAATAGCCAAGGAGGTTAACACATTGTACAGTTAAGTCTGAGGTCCTCCTGGGCAGAACAGTGGGAGTCTAATTAAAGGGGCTGGGGACTTCTGGGCTGTGGTTTTGTTTAGACTGGGAGGCACTGGTGAACTGGGGCAGAAGGGCTTCCCACTGGGCCTCCCAGTTTCTCTCTGGCTCCTCCAGAGGGGCAGACGAGTAAAGGGCCTGCGGCCACTTCTGTGCTGGGAGCAGAGTGTGGGGCAGGAGGCCTAAGTCAGGAGTTACCTGGTGCCTTCGAACTCTACAGGCCCAGAAAGCCCTGGGCTCCCTTCAGAGGCACCTGGAACTGTAAATCCTCGGGCAGGTTGTTGGTGTTTGGTTTGGATCTCTGCTCCACCACTTCAGCTTTTTCTTCTTTAACATGGGGATGGTGATGAGGAGGGCTCAGTGAGTGAAGATGTTTCACGCCCTCCCACCCAGGCTCGTGGCTGCAACTGCTGTGCCTAGAGGCTCTCAGCAAATCGGAGGGCAGTCACTGAAGGCAGTGGTCCTTACCCTCCTAGAGCAAGGGAAGATAAAGCACCAACGAGTTCCCCTTGCTTCACCACCCGGTCTCACCATGATATGCACTGGAAGGGCTCAGGAGAACTGGGGTCCACTCCTGGGTTAGCACTGGGGGAGCGTCGCTCTGTCCTGGGTTCTGGGATGGCCAGGTGGAGGATGCGATCCCCCCTCAGATGGACATTATTTCGTTCTTATCTACAATTGGTGAATCTGAATGGGCAAATATTCCCATAGGTTGAAAGTCAAGCCGGGATGGGCTCCTGAGACGCTCTGCTTCAGTTCCCATAGATCCACCCGGCCCCGGCCCCCTTCACAGGGCAGCAGCCTCAGTGGGATCTGCTTCTCTGGGGCCCTTCCTGAGCCCACACAGCACAGGTGGGGAGGAAGCAGAGTCTCTTTAAGAACAACTTGATTGTGGGATATTTTACTCATCATAAAGTTCACTCATTTCAGGCCGGGCGCGGTGGCTCACGCCTGTAATCCCAGCACTTTGGGAGGCCAAGGCAGGCGGATCGCCTGAGGTCGGGAGTTCGAGACCAGCCTGGCCAGCATGGTGAAACCCCGTCTCTAATAAAAATACAAAAATTAGCCGGGCGTGGTGGCGGGTGCCTGTAATCCCAGCTACTCGGGAAGCTGAGGCAGGAGAATCGCTTGAACCCGGGAGGCGGAGGTCGCAGTGAGCCGAGATCGCGCCACTGCACTCCAGCCTGGGCGACAGAGCGAGACTCCGTCTCAAAAAAAAAAAAAGTTCACTCATTTGAGGTGTGCAACTCAAAGATTTTTACTAATTTTACCAAGTGGTGCAGCCGCCCCCCAAGTCAGCTTGAGAGCATCCTTACCCCTGACCAAGTAACATCCCCCTGCCCATTGACAGTGAATCCCCGGCCCCCTGCAAACACCAAGCTGCCTCCTCTCTCTACCGATTTGCCTTTGATGGATATTCCATAGGAACGGAAGCTGCACTGCATGGCCTTTGTGACTGGCTCTTCCACTCTGCGTCGTGTTTTCAGGGCTCCTCCAGGTTGTAATGTGTGTCAGCCCTTCCTTCCTTTTTTTTTTTTTTATTCTGAGATGGAGTTTCTCTCTTGTCGCCCAAGCTGGAGTGCAGTGGTGCCATCTCAGCTCACTGCAACCTCCACCTCCGTGGTTTAAGCAATTCTCCTGCCTCAGCCTCCCAAGTAGCCACCACACCCGGGTAATTTTGTGTTTTTAGTAGAGAAGAGGTTTCACCATGTTGGCCAGGCTGGTCTCAAACTCCCGGCCTCGGGTGATGCGCCCACCTCGGTCTCCCAAAGTGCTGGGATTACAGGTGTGAGCCACCACACCCGGCCTCCTTCCTTCCTAGTTATGGTAAATAATATTGTGTGGTCTGAATCTGCCGTATTTTGTTTATCCATTCATCTGTTGATAGACACTTGGCTGTTTCATACAAGCAGATTCTTTTCTTCCCTTTCTTACACCCTATGTATCTGTGTATCTGTGATTACATATATGAGTACACATATATGTGTCTGTGTATGTAGGTGTCTGCATCTGTGTGTGCATGTATGTGTGCATATGTATATGTCTGTCTGTATGCATATATGGGTGTACTGTATGTATATATGCATATGTGCGCATGTATGTGTGCTCAGGTATGTGTGCATGCACACACAAGCACGTTTACATGCATGTTTGTATATATGGGTGCATGTATATGAATATGTACACAAGTGTGTACTATATGTGCACGTACATGCATGTTTATGTATGCGCATGTACACACGTGTGCATGTCCATATATGTGTGTCTATATCTACAATCTTGCACCTTGGTTGCTTCACTTAACAACACACATGTGATTCTTCTTCAAATTATTGCCAGCGCTGATTTACTGTCCTGCTTCCCAGCTGTGGGCACAACCCCCAGTGCATTTGCCTTCCTCCTGGTCTCTGTGTTGCGGGGGTGCAGCCTTTGTCCCATTCCTTGGCCATGAGTAATACACCCGGTATGACCTTGTGCTGTTGGCACAGCACCCTCAGGTAGATGGTGAGCCCTTGGGGGCAGGGGCTGCCTGTCTTTGCCCCCTGAATCTGTCTGGCATGTGAAGGAGCTCGGGGCTTGTCTGTTACTGATCAGAGGAAGATGGCTGTGGCCCCCACCCATGTTCTCCGAGGGCTTATCCTGGCTTGGATGATCTTGGCTTCTTTGGGAAGGGAGGGGTGGGGCTGTCTTCCCGCTGTTGTGCCACCATCTTGGGGACTCTCTGAGAAAGGACTCGTGTTGCTGGGGAGACCTCCGTGGCCCCTTGCTGCAGGTGCCCATGGCAGGCATGTGATGTCCGCCCTGGAGGCTCTGGAAACTCCGTGGGGGCCCACACAGAGCTTCACAGGCCTCCGATGGTGATGGAAGTGAGGGCTGTGGCGATGATGGCAGGAGCTCACATTGGTGGCACCTGTTCTGTGCCAGGCGCTCTTCTGAGCCCTGCACATGGATGGACCCATTGACTGCCCGAGGACTCCATGACGTAGGTGTTGGTGCAAAGCCATTTACAGACGAGAACAGTGGTCACTGAGCCGACACTCTGTGCACCTGCCGTGCCTCCTCCTCCCGCTTTCCAGCCTCACGCCTGCCCTAAAGTGACAACTGGAATACGGGTGACAACAAAACAAACCACGCATGTGCCAGGCTTCCTTAGGGACTTTGCACGTGCACCCACGGCAATGCTGTGCCTTCCCATTTACAGATGAGACCAGCAAGGCCAGCAGGGAGGATGAGGGGCTGAGGCTGCACGGCTGGAAGGGGTGGCTGAGCAAGGCAGGATTTGAACTCAGCTCCAAGCCAGAGGTCAGCAGTGTCCCCCTCCCTGTGTGCATTCAGGCTGTTTGTGGGGGTGGGGCAGGGACTGTAGTTCTGCCTCCCTGGAAAGTTCCCGTTTCCTGCAGTGGGCTCTGGTCAGTGACCGGGCAGGTTCCTGCCCCTGCCCTCCCGGCCCCTGTCCTGGCCCAGGGCCCAACACTCCAGTCTGTTTTCCAGACAGGAAACATGAATCAAAATAGCATGACACACGAAACCGTAATTGGGGCTGTGCTGTGAGGCCCAGGGAGGCCTAACGAGTAGAGGCCTCTGCCATCGAACCTGCTGTGGGTGCCCTCCTTCCGCCCTCGGAACCCTCTGGCCTGAAACAGCATTCCATCAGCCCCCCTCCTCACCCAGGAGACCAATGGGGGGAAGGGGGGTGGGGGTGGGGAGGAAGAGGGAGAGGGACGGAAAGGGAGAGACACACAGAGACAGAGGGAGAGAGAGAGGGAGAGGGGGGAGAGATGGGGAGAGAGAGAAGGGGAGACAAAGGGAGAGATAAAGAGGGAGAAAGAGAGGAGGGGAGAGAAAGGGAGAGCGGAGAGAGGTAGAAAAAGAGAGATTCATAAGAGAAGAAAGAGGAAGAGGGAGAGAGAGAGGGAGAGGGAGAGACATGGAAGGAGAGAGACGGAGAGTGAGAGGGAGAGGGAGAGAGAGAGGGAAGGAGGGAGAGAGAGAGGGAAGGAGGGAGAGAGACAGGGAAGGAGGGAGAGAGGGAAGGGGGGAGAGAGAGATGGAGGGAGAGAGAGAGGGACAGAGAGACGGGGAGAGAGAGGGAGGCAGAGAGAGAAGGAGGGAGAAAGGGAGAGAGGGAGGCAGAGAGAGGAGGGAGAAAGGGAGAGAGGGAGGCAGAGAGAGGAGGGAGAAAGGGAGAGAGGGAGAGAGAGGGAGCGGGGAGAGAGAGGAAGAGAGGAGGGAGAGGGAGAGAGCTACAGAGGGAAAGTGGGAGAGGGATGGGGAGAGAGGGAGAGTGGAGGGGCTCTCTGTGCCTGGTTTGGTTGTGCTGTTCCTGATAACTCTGACCCCGACTGACCGACCGGTGCTTACTCTGAACGTTTCCAGGGTCTCTGCGTTTAGGGCCCGTCTGAAGGTTTCTGTGACGGCCTCGGCGGCTCTATGGGCAGATGGCCCTATGGCTCCTCCTAGCTCTGACAGGATCCTCTCAGCCTCTGTGTGCTTTCGCCTCTGCTTCTGCCTCTGCCTCTCTGTCTCTGTCCCTGTCCTGTGCCTGCATCTTTCTGTTCCCTTCCCTATCTCTGTCATCTTCGTTTCTTTCTTTTCTTTTCTTGCCTTCTCCCTCCCCTTGTTTCTTGCTTCAAATAAAGGACAGGGGAGACAGAAGAAAGCTTCGGGGACTTTAGAGCTGCATGGACGGCCCCTTCCGACCCAGCCTCCTCCCTGCAACCCCCAATAGCTGCGCCCCTGTGCCCCTCGTCCCCTCGCTCTCCTCTGTCCAGCCTCCCAGCCCTTCCTGCCCGCCTCTCCCTCCCTTCCTGCCCGAGACCCCCCAGAATCCCCCTCCTGGAAATGCCATTGCCCCCCTGGGGCCTGACCCTCGCTGGCAATCCTCCACTTCCCTGGTGGTCTTCCCTCTGGTCAGCCGGGTGAAAGGTCGCCAGCTGTTGGAGGGGCGGGGGTCTTTGAGGGCATCTAACTGGGTGTTCCCCACATGGGGGCCTTGAACCCCTAAGGGGCCTCGAGGGCCGCCGCAGTCATGGGGGGAGGATCTGTGCGCAGTTCCTTCCTTCATTCATAATCCGTCTTCACTCTGCACACGCCATCTCTGCTCCTTGTGGGAAAACGCAGGCGGGCCCAGTGTGAAGTGGAGCCTCGTCCTCTCTCTGCCCAGAGGGGACCACTGAGGACCGTGGAGAGTAAGGTCCGATGGAGATGGGTTGTTTCATCCCCGATTTCCTCACTTGGCAACGTAGTTTTGTAGCTCAGAGTGTGGCTCTTAATGGTCAGATCTGGGCCAGGCTGCTTAGCCCCCTAAGCTGACGGCACTGCCGTGAGCAGGGCAGGCCTGTTCTTTACCCTCGAGGGCTTTCTGTCCAGTGGGCAGACATTGGACACCGTCCCGCAGGGACCTTCCCTGACCCAGCTCAGATCTGTGAGCGTGGCTGACCCGGCCTGCAGGTGAGGCAGGACTTTCCTGAGCAGGTGGTCACGGTGGTAGGATTGGCCAAAGAAGTCAGTGGGGGGCAGCAGGCAGAGAGATGACAGGGACAAGGGCCCCGTGGTGAGCAGAGCTTGGCGTGATCCTGGAGCAGGACCAGAGTGAGCAGGGAAACATGGAAGGTGAAGGCTGGGGTGGGTGGCAGAGCAGACCCTACAGGACTTGCAGGCCCCCAGGAGCCTGGTCTTCTCTAGGCTGGGGTGGCTGTGCCTCGTGCTGTGGTGCCCGGTCTTGCCATGAAAGTGCCAGGTGTCACCCCCTCCATTGGGGGAGGCGGTGGGGAAACCTGAAGCCCAGGCCTGCCTCGGCTGCCAGCAGCCTGGTGTCTGACAGTGCACCCAAGCTGGCTGGTGGGAGTCCTCTGAATGTCTGTCTTCACTGGCTTTGGGTTCTCCTGTTCTGATGAGGTCATGGTGGTCTTTGGGGGCGCTCAGCTCACGGCAGGCTGCCTGGATCAGGGATGCTCATGTGCCCGCAAAGAAGAGCTTTATCCTCATTGATTTCTAACCAGCTTTATTGAGGTGTGATGTACACACCCTAAAAGTCACTTTTTTCGGTGTTCAATGGAATTCAACTCAATAATGAAAAAGAATGAATTACCGATACATGTAACAGCACAACCAAGCCTCAGAAGCATGCTAAGTGGAAGAAGCCAGGTGTGAAAGGGCACATATGCGATGCTTCTACCTACATGACATTTCTAGAAAAGACCCTGTCTTTCTTTTGAAATATCTGATCCAGAAATATTCAACTGAATTCGAAGTCTATTCATATCAGCCCCAGTCCCTTTAACATCACTTTTGTCTGTGATGAAAGATGAAGCACAGAGAGTGTCTTTAAAACTCTCAGTTTTTATACATTTAAAACAAGTTGGCTGGGCATGGTGGCTCAGGCCTGTAATCCCAGCAGAGGCAGGTGATTATTTATTTATTCATTTATTTTTGAGACCGTGTCTCACTCTGTCACCCAGGCTGGAGTGAAGTGGCGCGATCTCGGCTCACTGAAACCTCTCCCTCACGGGTTCAAGCGATTCTCCTGCCTCAGCCTCCCGAGTAGCTGGGACTACAGGCGCTTTGGGAAGCCATGGCAGGTAGATTGCTTAAGCCGAGGAGTTCGAGACAAGCCTGGGCAACATGCTGAAACCTCATCTCTACAAAAAACATAAAAGTAACCAGGCGTGGTGGTGCATACATGTAGTTACTCTGGAGGCTGAGATGGGAGGATGGCTTGAGCCTGGGAGGTCAAGGCTGCAGTGCACCATGATTGCGCCACTGCACTCCAGCCTGGGCGACAGAGTGAGACCCGATCTCAAAATAAATATAAATAAATAAAGTAAAATAGTTGTCAAAGTTGGTTAAGAGTCTTTAAAATCACCTTTTTCTGGCCTGGTGGGGTGGCTCACACCTGTAATCCCAGCACTTTGGGAGGCCGAGGTGGCAGATCACTTGAGCCCAGGAGTTTGAGACCAGCCTGGACAACATGGTGAAACCCTGTCTCTACTAAAAATACAAAAATTAGTTGGGCATGGTGGTGGGTGCCTGTAATCCCAGCTACTCAGGAGGCTGAGGCAGGAGAATCACTTGAACCCAGGAGGTGGAAGTTGCAGTGAGCCAAGATCCTGCCACTACACTCCAGCCTGGGCAGCAGGCGACACTCGGCCTCAAAAAAATAAAAACATAAATAAATAAAAAATAAATAAAATAAAATCACCTGCTTCTGCAAACAAAATGTGTCTTTGAGAATGATTATCAAGAAGTGGAAGAATTCACCACAAAAGTGTCCTGACCGGGGCTGGACGCTGCCCATGCCTGTCCTGCATCCCTGGGTTGCCCAGGTCCCTGCAGCTCTGTAGGTTTCCGGGGAAGGCAGTGGGTGATTCGGGAGCATGTTCCACATGCCCCTCAGAGGCCCCCAGTAGGTCTGATGTCTGGTGTGCCCCTGGGCTTGCCTTTAATGCACCCCACAGGCTGGCCTCTTTTCTCTGCCTCAGTCTCCTTGCTCCTCCCTCGTGCTTGCTGGGGCCACCAGCCTCCCCAGCCACTTCCTCCCAAGGCCTCATCTCACCTCTGCCTGGGAGGAACACAGACCAGGAGAATCCCACTGGTGTCCACCCATTCTGGCATACGCCTGATTCCAAAAAATCGTACTCACAAAAGTAGGATCAAGAGCGTATTATTATTATTTTTAATGGACTTGCCTTTATTTGGAATTTTATGCCCTTTCAATGTTTAAAAATCTTCCCCGGCCGGGCGAGGTGGCTCACACCTGTCATCCCAGCACTTTGGGAGGCTGAGGCGGCGGATCACGAGGTCAGGAGTTCGAGACCAGCCTGACCAACGTGGTGAAACCCTGTCTCTACTAAAAATACAAAAACAATTGGCTGGGCATGGTGGCACGCACCTGTAATCCCAGCTACTCAGGAGGCTGAGGCAGGAGAATCGGTTGAATCTGGGAGGCAGAGGTTGCAGTCAGCACAGATTGCGCCACTGTACTCCAGCCTGGGCAACAGAGGGAGACTCCATCTCAAAAAAAAAAAAAAAAAAAAAAAAAACAAAAAAAAAACAAACACTTCCCCACCTTTGAATTGCATTTTTTTCCTTAGCTTAAGTAGAAAATAGGACATTCAAGAAGGGCCAGGCTGAAGAGGGCGGTAGGGTGGGTGCCACGGTTTAGGGAGTGGGTTTAGGAAAGCTCTGGGATGATGGTTTGTGACCTGGAGCAAGTGAGAGATGGAGCTGCGCTGTTGTCTCAGGGAAGAGCAGCCCAGGCAGAGGAAGCAGGACTGCAAAGGCCAGGAGGTGGGCGGGGCTGGGCCAGTAAGGAGGCCATGGGGACAGTCACTTCCAGGTGGAGGCAGGGGATGGGGCCGGGTGAAGGACCTTGCGACTGTGCTGTGGCCCCCAGATATGGGTTGCTTCAGGGTGCTGAGCATGGAGGGCGGGGGCTGCCCTATAGCACAAGGGATGCCCTGGTGTGTTGGGGACCAGGCTGCTGCCCTGGGAGGGGAGAGACAGTGTTGGGGGCCATGTGAAGTGCCCGGCTTCAGCATCTATTCTGAAGGAAGAGCTGAAAGGATCCCAAGGGGGTGCCAGGAAGAGAAGGCTGAGTTCATGGTGTCACACTCAATCCTTAGACCCTCAAGGCATGTGGCCTGAAAGGTTAGTGAATGCCACCCTGAGGATTAGTGCTGGCGACACTCCATGTACCGGGGACTCGACCCTTTACCAGGAAGCCATGGATGGGACCCACCACAGCAAACCCGAGTTTCCACCTGCGGGGGGAGGGGTGGGCAGTTCTCAGCAACCCCCCTTGGGGAAGAGGGGCTCCTTTCTTGAGGGGCATTCCCTATGATCCTGAGGGTAAAAGGGCCACTCTGTTGAACGCAGGCCTCCTCAGGCAGTGTAATTGCCATTTAACCTTTGTGGAGCTTAATTAAGGATGTTTAGTCTGGGCAGCCTGCACTTGACTCAGTAGGTCACACCCGTGGCCTTCCCTCCAGCCCACGGCGGCCCAGACAGACAGGCTATCGAGGCGTCCCAAGAGGAAGGGGAAAGGGAGGGTTTCGCCTCTGCACTTCTCAGCCCATGGAGGGCGTGGGCCGACAAGGGGGCCCTGGAGGGTGGGCTGGGAGGATGGCTGCCCCCAGATATGGGCACAGTGCCTGGGGTGGCAGGGAGAGCTGAATGCATGCTCAGTGATTCACTCAGATAATGTCTGACCTCAGTGTGTGTGAGTGTGTGTGTGTGTGTGCATGTGGGTGTGTGCCCACACCTCCCACCCTGCTCACGTAGGAGAAGGTCAGAACTAGGGGTTTCTTCTCCACAGGTGAAGGTGTGGAAAATGGCAACTCCCAGCAGATCCCAGAGGCTGTGTAGTGCAGGGGTTGGCAAAGTCTTTTTTTTTTTTTTTTTTTTTTTTGAGATGGAGTCTTGCTGTATAGCTCAGGCTGGAGTACACTGGCGTGACCTCAGCTCACTGCAACCTCCGACTCCTGGGTTCAAGCAATTCTCCCATCTCAGCCTCCCGAGTAGCTGGGATTACAGGCACGCGCCATCATGCCCGGCTAACTTTTGTGTTTGTAGAGATGGGGTTTCACCATGTTGGCCAGGCTGGTCTTGAACTCCTGACCTCGGGTGATCTGCCTGCCTTGGCATCCCAAAGTGCTGGGATTACAGGCGTGAGCCACTGTGCCCGGCCTGGGACCGTCTTTCTGTAAAGGGCCAGGGAGTGAATGTTGCAGTCTTTGCTGGTGTCTGTCCTGGTGTCTGCATAACTACTTGACTGCCTTGGGAACATGAAAGCAGGAATGGTGGATATGTAAAGGAATGGCTGTGACTGAGTTCCAGTGAAATTCACCGCAACAGGCAGTGG
Source organism: Homo sapiens (assembly GCF_000001405.40). Classification (NCBI taxonomy): domain Eukaryota; kingdom Metazoa; phylum Chordata; class Mammalia; order Primates; family Hominidae; genus Homo; species Homo sapiens. Next base: position 87,172,835 of record NC_000016.10, on the reverse strand, counting down.
CCAGATTTGGCCAGAGGGTGCAGTGTTGACCACAGGTCTAGCGCTGGCATGACTTTCTGTGAGGAATCTGAGGGTAGAAGGATGAAGTCCCTGGTTCAAAGACCCTGCAGGTTGATGTAGAATTTGCTCAGAATTCAGAGTGGCCCTGCCGTGTAGGTGTTCAAAACCCAGCTCTTGGAACCAGACAGGCCTAGGATTGAGACCTATTCTAAATTCCTAAGCCTCAGTGTCCTCGTGTAAGATGGTAGACAATGCCGTGTTATTGGATCCACTCATTCCATTCATTCAACAAACATGGTCTGAATCAAAGTAAACACATCCTTCTTTTCCTCCATTCCATGGCTATTTGTTGGGTGTTCTCACTGGCCAGGTGCAGAGCTAAGGTGGTGATGGGGACAGACGTGGTCCCCATGTTCTCCAGTGCCATCTTCCCTGGGGAGGCTTTACAGACCATCAGCTGTGCAGTTCCTGGTGCTGGCTACAAATGTGAATCTGGGCCCTCCCTGAGTTTGAGAGTTTAGGAATTCCACAATCTCCCTATCACAGTCAGTTCTGCTAGGATGCTTATCTAAAAACATGAATTTGTTCCAATATGATTGATATTTTAGGGAACAATTTGAACATCATGTGGATTTCAGCTGGCTTATACATGATTTTGTTGGCGAGAAACACTGGGTGGACACAGATGACTGCACTCAGCTGAGCCAGGCCACATAGGAACACGCAGGACATGCAGACACACACACATGCACACATGCATGAACACACACACGCACATACGCATCCACACAGACATGTAAACGTATGCACATGCACACAGATGGACAGACACACATGCACAAACATGCACATATATGCTCACGCACACAGTGCACACACGTGCACAAACACGCACACTTACGCACACATGCACACAATGCATGCACACACATGCTCATACATGAACACACACGTACACATATGAATGAACATGCACACATACACACATGCACACACACACATGCATGAACACACACATACACATGCATACACACACCTACTGGCCATCCAGTGCACCTCAAGTGTTACGGCCACACCTATCCTCATCGGAGTTACAGCTTTCTATTTCATACAACTCTCCTTCTGCCACTCATAATAACTCAAAAACTGCAGCCCTTCCTGACCCCCCTTCCCCAGCAAACTTTGCCTTTTTCAAGGTGAAACATTGTATCTGTTGTGGTCTTTATGTATTGTGTAACTATTGGTACCAATTTAATTAGATTCCTATCGTTTGTAATGTGACGTGTCGCTGTTACAGTTTCTGATTGCTGTTCTCCTAATCCCACTTTCTCCATAAGCCCTGTGACTTTGATGTGCAGTCTTGCACATAGTGCAGTGATTTTAAGGAACAAATACGCTATTTTGTAGTGACTGTATTTATCACTGGGGCTTCCTGAGTTGTAGTCCAGTATTTTTCCATCTATGTTAATTTTTGCTGCAGTAACAAATACGTCCTGAAATCTCAACAGCTTCATGCCGTAAAGGTTCACTTCTGTCTTGTACAAAGCCCAGTTCAGGTGAGTGGCTCTCCAGGTTGCTGCCTCCATGTTGAGACTCAGGGATCCAGACTGTTTTCATCCATGGCCCCCCATCCCCCACCATGCAGCCTCCATAGTGACTGACAAAGTGAAAGAGAGACTAGGGGGTCCTGCAGGATGTTTCCTACACTGGGCCTGGGAGGGGCCTCGAACACTTCCACTAGCACCCCATTGGTCAGAAATCAGTCTCACGGCACCCACTTAGCTACAAAAGAGCCTGAGAAATGCCATTTTCCTGTGTGTCCAGGAAGGGGACCAGGGTCGATGAATGCATCACAGTGTCTCAGCCACATCATGTTGTCTTGGTTCACTCACCTTCCAACAGTTCCCTGGCACCGACTCAGAGCCAGGCCCTGCTCTAGGCTCTGGGGATACAGTAGAGAAGATGAAAACCAAACTAAAACAGGACTATAGAAACAAATCCTCCCTCCATGGAGGTTACATTCTAGGGGATAGGTAGATAGGTAATAATCTTTAAAAAGTAAATGTGATGTTTGTCTGCTGGTGACATGGAGCCAAAAAGAATGCATGGAAGTGAGAGAGAGAGTTTGCGGTGGAGGGCGGGAGGTGAGGGTGGCCTTACAACTTTAAATAGGATGGTTGGCCCAAAGGCTTCTCGGAGAAGGTGGCATTTGAGAAAAATATTTAAAGAAGTTAGACAGGGAGCCATGTGGAAACGTGGGGTAAGAGTTCCACTGGGTGAGCAGACAGTGCAAAGGCCCTGGGGTAGGAACAGACCTGGAAAATCCCATGGGCTGCAAGGAGGCCAGTATGGCTGAGAGTGTCTCGGGGGCACAGCTGTAGCAGGAGATGAGATCAGAGCACCATCAAAGGGCATCTTGCTGAGGAACTTGCAGCCTGTTTTCAAGACTTTGAGTCTGAGGCTGCTGAGAGTCATGTGACAGCTGCCCTTGCACTCAGGGCACCCCATTCTAGCTCCTGGCTCCCCTACTGACCCCTGGGTGCCAGGTCCTTTGACAGATGGGAAATATGGGGCTCAGGGAGGTCAAAGATGGCCATTGCCCAGAATCATTATAAGATGAAAACGAGAAAGCAGCTATATGTGCTGGGTCCACCCAGTCACTTTAGTGTAACCTGCTTTGAATTCTGAGGCAGGTTCATAGTGGTGGGTGGGGGGGTTGGTAACCAAGGGAACAGCGAGTTACCCCTACTACCTCTTTCTCCGGCTGGAAGTTCAGCATTCAGACCCTCTGTCTGAGGATAGCATCTCTTGCAACACTTAGGGCCCTCGGAGGGCTGCAGCCCAGGTGAGGACACTCTGTGATAGCCCTTCCTCTGCGGGAAGATGGCAGGCAGGGAAGCAGCAAATAATTAAATTGATGTCGACATTCATTGCTTGTGAAGCCAGTAAAAGCATCACGTGGCCAGCTCTTGTAGCCGCACGGCCTATTTACAGTCTCACGTCATTTTTCTAGTAATCCAAACCAGCAAAGCGCTCTGAAGCTCCTGTGTGTTCAGCTGAGAACTCTCCGCCATGAGGAGCTGGTGGGGGATGCACCAAACCCTCCCTTTCCCGATGGGAGGGGGGACCTTGTTTACTTGGGTTCATGTGTTTTATTGATTGAGAGAAAATGCCTTTTGGCTATTGTCTAAAAGGTCAAATGCTGCAATCTTGGCATTTCGTGGGCAAATGGCAGGGATCCCGTGCCCGGGCTGTAGAAGCCAGCAATCCCGAATCAACAATTGCCCATGATGCCATCTCTCATGTTGATGCAGCGTAAACTTCCTCCAGATGTGTTTGAGTAAAGTGTGAACTGGGTAGGCTCTGAGGGGAACAAGTCGATCATGTTTCAAAATTTAAAATTCATGCACCTCTTCATCTGGCAGTTTTACCTCTAGGAATCCATGGTGCTAATTAACTTACAAATGTACCAAAGGCACAGGCATATTGCAACGGTCATTTAATTTGAAATATTCAAATGAATATATTTCATGTAAAATTTAATGAATGAATATATGAAGTGAATTGAACACTGAGATGCTGGCCGGGCGTGATGGCTCACGCCTGTAATCCCAGCACTTTGGGAGGCCAAGGCAGGTGGATCACAAGGTCAGGAGATTGAGAGATTGAGACCATCCTAGCTAACATGGTGAAACCCCGTCTCTACTAAAAATCCGAAAAAAAAAAAAAATCTTAGCCAGGCGTGGTGGTGGGCGCCTGTAGTCCCAGCTACTTGGGAGGCAGAGGCAGGAGAATGGTGTGAACCTGGGAGGCAGAGCTTGCAGTGAGCAGAGATCACGCCACTGCACTCCAGCCTGGGCGATGGAGCGAGACTCCGTCTCAAAAAAGAAAAGAAAAGAAAAGAGTTGCTGAAACTACTGGGAACAAAGGAAATGTCTGTTAGTAGATGATTATAAATAAATCAGGGCACATACCTGTAATGCAAGAATAGGTAGCCATTAGAAATCAAGGGCGGTCTCTGTGTGCACAGGCAGCATGATCTCTAAGGTACAAGGTTTGAAAGAATGAGGCAGAATAAAGACTGCATTTAGGCCCATTTATCTAGATTTTTTTAAAAAAGAATCTTGATGCTGGTATACATATAGACAAATTCTGCAGTAATACTCAGGTAAGTTTGTTTTTTTCTTTCTTGAGATGAAGTCTCAATCTGTTGCCCAGGCTGGAGTGAAAAGGTGTGCTCTCAGCTCACTGCAACCTCTGCCTCCTGGGTTCAAGCGATTCTCCCGCCTCAGCCTCCCGAGTAGCTGGCATTACAGGTGTGCGCCATCATGGCTGGATAATTTTTGTGTTTTTTGTTTTAATAGAGACAGGGTTTCACCATGTTGGCCAGGCTGGACTCAAACTCCTAACCTCAAGTGATCTGTCCGCCTTGGCCTCCCAAAGTGCTGGGATTACAGGTGTGAGCCACTGCACCTGGCCTCAGGTAAGTATTACAAGTGGTTTTGGTGATAAGGGAAACAGGGTCTTTAAAAAAAATAATATGCATGCATTATTTTTTGGTAATAAAATAATTTCCATCCTGTAAAGGCAACCATTATAGAAGAAAGAATACTGGTATTGAACACAGACCTTCTAAATCTGATCCCAGCTGCCCACCTAGGAGCTCTGTGGTCTTGGGCACGTGACAGTCTTAACCACTTTAAGATGTTATTTACTTGGTAGGGTCAGTGTAAGGTTTAAATAAGGTGCTATTTGCTGACACTGTTAAGTATGATATGACGTCACCCCATGGTCGGCAGTCTTGATATTATTTCATCTTTATAGTGTGTGTGTGTGTGTGTGTGTGTGTGTGTGTGTGTGTGTGTGTAAGAAATAGAAATGGGCTTGGCCAACATGAGGAAAAAAAGTGGGGAGTGAACAAAGGGAAGTTACTTGGAGGAATAAGGTGGGAACACAGAAGAAAAGCTTAACAATCAGGTCCTGGGAAAGACTGGAACTGGAATGCTGTTATGACTTGGGAACCAGGGAACAGGATCCATTAATGAGATGAATCAGCTGCGACCATTTCTCTTCTTCATTCACGCTACTCAGGATCCAAAGTCCCAGGACACAGCCTGATAGGCTTAGTTTGGATCTTTTGCCCACCCCCAGGCTTATGGAGGGTGGAGCACCTTGACTGACAGTAGGATTCACTAATGAGGGAGGAGGAAAATAGAAGAGTGGTCAACAAAAGAGAGATGGATTCTGGGTGAGCAGAAAGCCAAAATGAAACACATAAAATAGTGGCTGTTTTTCTTAAACAGTATTGAATTAGCCATGGTAGGCCAACTACTATAGTAAACAACCAACATTGCAATGGCTTAATTCGTAAGTTTATTTCTCACTCTTGCTGCCCTCCAGTGTTCTTGCTTCTCAGTTGGGTGGCTCTCCTGGGTGTCTGCTCCACACAGTCATTCAGGGACTCAGCTTCTTCCTGTAGCCTCCTCATCTTTCACTGCATCCACTGATCTGTCCCACAGACAAGGGAAGAGCTAACAGAGGGTATCCTTATGGGATAGAATCTGATCATGTGACCACACCTAACCACAGCTGGAAAGTTGTCTCATTGTGTGTTGAGGAGAAGAGGAAAAAACCTGGTGACTGACCTGCTGGGTCTGCTGTAGGCATCATAACATAGAACAAGTAATATTTTCATTCCAGGCCTGAGGACCTGTGAGTTTAATGCTTTCACCTAAGGTGAGTCATTTCTTCTCTCTAAATCTTATTTTATTCATCTCAAAACTGAGAATGTGGCTGGGCGTGGTGGCTTACACCTGTAATCCCAGCACTTTGGGAGGCAGAGGTGGGCAGATAACAAGATCAGGAGTTCAGGACCAGCCTGGCCAACATGGTGAAACTCCATCTCTACTTAAAGTACAATCACTAGCCGGGAGTGATCATGGGCGCCTGTAATCCCAGCTACTCAGGAGGCTGAGGCAGGAGAATTGCTTGAACCGGGATCCGGGAGGTAGGGGGTTGCAGTGGGCCGAGATGGCGCCACTGCACTCCAGCCTGGGTTACAGAGCAAGACTCCATCTCAAAAAAAAAAAAAAAAAAGAGAGAATGTTGCAGAAGATATAAGGTTTTAAACTTTTTCTTTGTCCAGATAACTTTCTCCGACTAAACCCAGTGAAGAACTAAACAGACCGCTGCGGAGCTGCTCCGGCTGATGTGGGGTGCAGCTGGGGAGCCCAAAGCCTGCATACTGACCCCACCCCTTGCTGGCGTGGCCCAACGCGGACTGTTTATGGCTCTGGGCACCCCATGTGCAGGCTGTTGTTGGCTTAGAGAGCCTCCAGTTAGGATGTGATCAGCCAGTATTTTGGACTCTTCAGGGAACTTTCAAAACTTTGCTCTGTTCTCACTTTGGAAAACTCTGAAGACATTTGAAACCAGGGCCACTTGGCACCCTCCCCGGCTGGCCCTGGGATGTGAATCCTCCCTGCTCAAAACCACCTGCTTGGCGCTGCAAACCTTACTGTACCACAATTTACTTATCTATTTATTTTTTTTTACGGAGGGGAAATGTTTAGCATCATAAATCATGCAGTTCCAGCGTTCCCTGAACCATTTCCATGAAGACGGGATCCAGAGCTGGTCAGGCTGTGGCACACCGTGGGCAGAAGCTCTCATGGTGAAAGGGAAGCAGGTCTCTCCTGGGCGTCTCCAAAGTCAGAGGAACATAACGGGCACATCTGCTTAGATTAGGAAAGAAAAGCCTCAAGGGCGAAGTGTTGATATCAGTTTACAGAGTGGGGAGACAGTTCCAAGCCACGGGACAGACTTTTTATTTTAAGTGACAATGATTTTGAAAGGGAATTTGTGTAATCCTGGCAATTTAGACATTAAGGTTTCAAAGCTCGAATGGACCCAAAGTAAATATATACACATTTTCCACCAAATTCAAAAAAAATAATCCTAAACCCCAAATGACTTTAGTCTCATTTCTTGAATCGGTTGCTTCCTTCCCGAAGTGGAAGAGGTCGAAGAATCAGAGGAGAAAAGGACAAGCGGACGCCCTAGTGGGTTCAGGGGCCTTTGGCCTCTCCCCTGAACTGGATTCCAAATGCAGCTTGTGCTGCACTTCAGGCTGCCAATGTCACCAACATCCTCTTGAAATCGACAAGCCTGTCAGTGTTTTCTCCTTGTAGAGATGGCATTAGAGTCCCAAGGGACCCCGAGAATTGCCCACTTGGGATTAAAGTCTTAAAAATCAGCCAGGAATTCCCTATTCTAGTATTCTCAAGCTTCCTTGGAAATAAGTGTCTATGTCAGTAGACAATGTCTACCCTCTGGGTTTATCTTAAAAACCAGCGAGACTGGACACTGCACTTAGTCAACTGGCCTTTCTTTAGATCAGGAGAAAAGGAAGGAGATGGCGATTAAACAAGTGAAGAGACCAGGCACAGTGGCTCACACCTGTAATCCCAGCACTCTGGGAGGCTGTGGTGGGTGAATCACTTGAGCCCAGGAATTCAAGACCTGCTTGGGCAACACGGCAAAACCTCATCTCTACCAAAAAGGAAAAAAAAAAAAAAAGCAAAAATTAACCAGACGTGGTGGTGGGACATGTCTATGGTCCCAGCTACTCAGGAGGTGGAAATGGGGTGTCACCTCAGCCTGGGGAGGTTGAGGCTGCAGTGAGCCATGATTGTATCACTGCACTCCAGCCTGGGTGACAGAGTGAGACTCTGTCTCAAAACAAAACAAATGAAAGATGAGTAATCTTTCTCCAGGTCTTCTGGAACCCTACCTTGCATCTAATGATGTGTCTCCAGGGAATCTTCTAGGGGCATCCACGTTTTCTGGGTTTGCACATTAAAAAGCTGGGGTGCACAGACAACACTGGCAGAGGTCTCACCAGGAGAAAGTGGGAGCGCTTCAATGAAGTGTTAAGAAGAGTGCTGGCCTGGGAGGAAGATAGATCTGAATTTAAATCCCAGATGTGCCTCTTATTTTCCCCCTGAACTCGGACACAGCAAAATTAGAAATGATAATGGTCATAGCTATCTCATACTGTGACAAAATGCCAGTGAAATGTTTAGCACTGTTCTGGAAGGTGGAGGTGCTGGTCAGTGGGAGCTTCTGTTATCTATGAATCTAACAGAAAAGTTCTTGCATCATGCAGAAGAAGAGGGGATTTAATACAGGGCATCAGGGTTTTTTTCTTTTTCTTTCTTTCTTTTTTTTTTTTTTGAGACAGAGTCTCACTCTGTTGCCCAGGCTGGAGTGCAGTGGTGTGATCTCGGCTCATTGCAACCTCCGCCTCCCGGGTTCAAGCGATTCTCCTGCCTCAGACTCCTGAGTAGCTGAGATTACAAGCGCACGCCACCACGCCTGGCTAATTTTTGTATTTTTAGTAGAGACGGGGTTTCACCATGTTTAGTCAGGATGGTCTCAAACTCCTGACCTCGTGTTCTGCCTGCCTCAACCTCCCAAAGTGCTGGGATTACTGGTGTGAGCCATCGCACCCCACCCAGGGGCTTTCAAGACTGTTGACGAGCTAGAGGAGTAAGGACCAGGGAAAGCTGTCACTCGTGCTCAAGGGTAACATGAAAGTTTGACAAACCAGGGTACTGCAGGACCACAGGAACTGCTGCGGATGGTACCAGCTGCCTGCAGCACTGAGGTGGGTGGCTGGCGGGACCCCCAGGCTGCCAAAGCTCACAAGTTCATCTGCTAGTGCAGTGCCAGGGAGCAATGGCTTCAGCCTTTCTTTTCTTTTCTTTTCTTTTTTTTTTAGAGACAGAGGAGGTCTCACTATGTTGCCTCAGGCTGGCCTCTGATCCTGGGCTCAAGCTATCCTTCTTCCTTGGCCTCCCAAAGTGCTGGGAGTATAGGTGTGAGCCACCATGCCCAGCCAGGCTTCAGCCTTTCTCCCACTTCCCAAATCTTGTATGGGAGGCTCTCAATGGCGAAGTCTAATCTAGAACCATCTGAATGGCAAGGGATTCTGGGAAATGTAGTTTCCAGGCTTCCAGCCCCTGCAGTAGTTGCCATGACATCCAGTATTAAGCAATAAGCTTGACCACTGATATTGTAGAAGAAATCATATAACTACACAAGAAGACCAAGAAAAGTCTCGAAAGAGCTGGAAACATCTACTTTGGACACTTGGATATCCAATGGAAAAGTGCTATTGAAAGTCAGAATATGCCATCACAGTCAAAGATGTTGGAAGCCTGGCTTTGAGATTCATTACAGGCCTTGGAAAGTGTGGGCATGAAGGTTGTCTGACCAAGACAGAGCCCTTGAGGTGTGGTGCTTGGGTGGCCAGGCCCAACAGGCCTGCTCTGAGAAGTGACCCTGCCCCAGGACTCACCTTCTCTGCGCTTCCGTAGTGCACTTTGTCTAAACCACGTGCGAGTCTGTTTTCTAATGGTTTGCCCTGCAAAGTATCTTGCTCCTAAATAGATTTTTTTAAAAATCATTTTGAGGGTAAAGAGTATTTTCACATCTTCGAAACCTACAAGGAAACGTTTCTTAAAAATAACAACAACAAAAAAATATGCTCATTAGGCAAAACTGAAAAACACAGAGAAGCGAAAAAAGGAAAAGGCAGACGTTCCAGAATTTCACCATTCCCAATTCTTCTGCACGACCTTCCGGAATTTCACCATTCCCAATTCTTCTGCACGACCTTCCGGAATTTCACCATTCCCAATTCTTCTGCACGACCTTCCGGAATTTCACCATTCCCACTTCTTCTGCACGACCTTCCGGAATTTCACCATTCCCACTTCTTCTGCACGACCTTCCGGAATTTCACCATTCCCACTTCTTCTGCACGACCTTCCGGAATTTCACCATTCCCAATTCTTCTGCACGACCTTCCGGAATTTCACCATTCCCAATTCTTCTGCACGACCTTCCGGAATTTCACCATTCCCAATTCTTCTGCACGACCTTCCGGAATTTCACCATTCCCAATTCTTCTGCACGACCTTCCGGAATTTCACCATTCCCAATTCTTCTGCACGACCTTCCGGAATTTCACCATTCCCAATTCTTCTGCACGACCTTCCGGAATTTCACCATTCTCAATTCTTCTGCACGACCTTCCGGAATTTCACCATTCCCAATTCTTCTGCACGACCTTCTGGAATTTCACCATTCCCAATTCTTCTGCACGACCTTCCGGAATTTCACCATTCCCAATTCTTCTGCACGACCTTCTGGAATTTCACCATTCCCAATTCTTCTGCACTGCTCTTATGTTCAGGTGGCTACACTTTCACTTTTTTCCCCGAATGCACACACATGTATAAATGTGTGACTGTGTTAACACATTCATAAAAAGCTTCCGCACGCCTACGCCTGCCAGGCACTGACTGCATTATTCATCATTTATAATAATCATAAACCTGACGATCAGCTGTTGTTGGAGTGAGAATAGGTTCCCACTCCTTGTGTTCCGAGGTGGAAGTCTCTGCAATGGGGCAGCATTCCTATTCTCTCTGCCTTGGAGAGCTCTTCCCTGCAGTTGGCCCCATCCATGGAGCTGGTGTTGAGGGAGGCGCGCTTTCCCAATCCTCCGTACCACAGGTCGTACAGGGACAGACAGAGGAGGCTGTGGTTTTGCTGCTCTGCTGGACTGTGGGGAGGTCTGTGTAATTTGGGGAGAAGTGTTAGCTACTCATCAACCAGCTGACCTAGAGGTATGTCCCCCAATTAGCCTTATCAGTAATAAACGTGATCCGTCCTTCTCCATCTCCCTGTCCCTGCACTCATCTCTCTCGCTGCTCTCTGCTTGTGGTGTGAAGAAAGGGGGATTGTGTATCGACCCCTAGGCACTGTGTTAAGTGTTCACGTGCGTGGCCTAATTGATCCTTAGAAAGACAAACAGTTGGTATCATTTTTAGACCGAGTCTCACTCTGTTGCCAGGGCTGGAGTGCAGTGGAATGATCTCGGCTCACTGCAACCTCCACCTCCCAGGTTCCAGGGATTCTCCTGCCTCAGCCTCCCGAGTAGCTGGGATTACAGGTGCCCACCACCACACCCAGCGAATTTTTGTATTTTTAGTAGAGATGGGGTTTCGCCACGTTGGCCAGGGTGGCCTCAAACTCCTGACCTCAGGTGATCCGCCTGCCTTGGCCTCCCAAGGTGCTGAGATTACAGGCATGAGCCACCGCCCCCGGCCATGACCATTCTTTTAAGGTGAAAAAATTAGGGCACAGAGAGGCTAGTCACCTGCTTCTAGGTCACACAGCTAGGAAATGGTGATGTTGGGTTTTGTCTCAGCTCTTTCCTTTGTTCCTTTCTTCGTTCCTTTCTCTCTCTCTCTTTTCTTTCCTCCCTTCCTTCCCTTCTTTCCTTTCCAGCTTTATTGGGAAATAATTCACACACTATATAATTTACCCATTTAAAGTGTACAACTCAGTGGTTTTTTATATTCACGCAGTTGTGTAACTGTCACCACAGTCAATTTTGGAACATTTTCATCACCTCAAAAAGAAACCCTGTCTTCACCCCCTCTATTTCCCTTTCCCTCTCCCCCGGCCCCTGGCAACCGCGAATCCACTCCTGTCTCTGTGGTTTGCCTGTTCTGGACGTTTCCTAGAAATGGGCTCAGACAATAGGTGGCCTTTTGTGTCTGGCTTCTTTCACTCAGCACCAGGGTTTCGAGGCTCGGCCGTGTTGTGGTGTGCGTCAGAACTGTATTTCTCTTTATTGATGAATAATATTGCCCCAGGCAGATGTACCTGTCTGTCAGCTGATGGCCACGTGGGCCTGTTGGCGATTTGAGTCAGCTCTTTCTCCTAAGACTCTTCTCCACACTCCCTCCCTCTGGGGCAGTGGATTTAGCTGAGGGCAACGCGATGCTGCTGAGACTGGCCAGCTTTGGGGCAGGCCCCCATGACAGTTACTTACCCAACCTGCAATTTAGGCTCAGCCCAGAGAGGGGAGAAGCATGGGGCCTCCGGGGCCAGACGCCAGGGTAGCCTCAGTGTAATGAGAGCTGTCATTCCCTCAGAGACGGGGAGGTAAGTGAGTGGGTTCAGAGGCAAGAAAGACAGTGTCATAGCTCTCTCTTCCTCCCAGAACCCCATCTCCTGGGCCCGACGTCGCGGCTCTGCTGGACATATCCCTAGGGACTTTGCGGTGTGATCTGGGCCACGGGTCAAGCTCTGTTCCTTCTGCATTCCAGCACCTGAGCAGCAGAAGGTCCAGGACAAGCCGGAAAGAGGGAAGAGCTCCCTGCAGGCATGACGAGCAATCCCAGAGAGGGCGTCTGGCTGGGCAGCTCCGCCCAGTGCCCCTGGGGCCGTGGGGTTTGCGTGGGACTGGCAGACAACACCCCAGAAGGGCCTCTGCCGCCACACGGATCTGTGTGTTCCTAGAGTCTGTGGTGAGCGGGAATGAGAGTGACCCTGTGTCGCCAAGGGATTTGCTGTGCTCAGCAGCCAGGGTGGCGGCAGAATGCATGCTTCTGGAAGAGTCCTTCCTGCTCATGACCGGCTCTGAGCGGCTCCCGAGGCCAGACTGGCTTTGTTTGCCAATCTTGAGAGTCAAAGGAAACGTGGCTCTTTCAGCTGCTTCAGCAAAAGAGAAGCTCTGAGCTCACATCAACAGGCTGCGAGGAACGGGAGCAAACACAGAAATGTAGCCATGGTGAGCCTGAGGTCAAGAAAGGAGAGGAGTCCATTAAGAAGAGGGACAGGGGCAGGAGGAGTCCATTAATAAGAGGGACAGGGGCAGAGGTGGGGTGTGTGTGTGCAGTGTGTGCACCTGTAGTCCCAGCTGCCTGGGAGGCTGAGTGGGGAGGATCTCCGAGTTCAAGCCCAGCCTGGGCAAAACAGCAAGACCCTCATCTAAAAAAAAAAAAAAAGGCTCCTGTCTCCTTCTCCTTCTCCTTCTCCGTGTGACAGCCAACTTATCAATCTGGAGGGAACAATTTATCCTATGAAGTGGGTAGTTTTATCCTCTTTTGTTCTTTTTATTTTTTATTTTTATTGTTGTATTTTTTGTGGGTACATAGTAGGTATATGTACTTGTGGGGTATGTGAGATGTTTTGGTACAGGCATGCAGTGCATTGTAATCACATCATGGAGAATGGGGTGTCCGTCCTCTCAAACTTTTATCCTTTGTGTTACAAACAATTCAATTACACTCTTAGTTCTTTTCTTTTCTTTTATTATTATTTTTTGAGATGGAGTCTCTCTGTTGCCCAGGCTGGAGTGCAATGGTGCGATCTCGGCTCAATGTAACCTCTGCCTCCCAGGTCCAAGTGATTCCCCTGCCTCAGCCTCCTGAGTAGCTGGGATTACAAGCACGCACCACTATGCGCAGCTAATTTTTGTGTTTTTAGTAGAGTCAAGGTATCACCATTTTGGCTAGGCTGGTCTCAAACTCCTGGCCTCAAGTGTTCCGCCTGCCTCAGCCTCCCAAAGTACTGGGATTACAAGTGTGAGCCACCATGCCTGGCCTCTCAGTTATTTTAAAATGTACAATTAGGTTATTATTGACTATAGTCACCCTGATATACTATCAAATAGTAGGTCTTAATCAGTCTAACTATTTTTTTGTACTCCCACGAGACCATTGCCCTGCTGACCCAGCTGCCTCCCACTCCCCTCCCAGCCTCTGGTAGCCATCCTTCTACTCTGTATGTCCATGAGTTCAATTGTTTTGATTTTTAGGTACCAAAAATAAATGAGAACATGCGATGTTTGTCTTTCTGTGCCTGGCTTATTTCACTTAACATGATGACCTCTAGTTCCATCCATGTTGTTGTAAATGACAGAATCTTGTTCTTTTCTTTTTCTTTTTTTTTTTTTTGAGACAGGGTTTCGCTCTTGTCGCCCAGGCTGGAGTGCAGTGGTGTGATCTGGGCTCACTGCAACCTCCACCTTCCGGTTTCAAGTGATTCTCCTGCCTCAGCCTCCCAAGTAGCTGGGATTACAGGTGTCTGCCACTACGCCCGGCTAATTTTTTTTTTTTTGTATTTTTAGTGGAGACCGGGTTTCACCATGTTGGCCAAGCTGGTCTTGAACTCCTGACCTGGTGATTCTCCCACCTCGGCCTCCCAAAATGCTGGGATTACAGGCGGGAGCCACCACACCCGGCCAGCTCTTGTTCTTTTTTATGGCTGAATAATACTCCGTTGTGTGTACACACCACATTTTATTTATCCATTAACCTGTTGGTGGACACTTAGGTTGCTTCCAAATCTTGGGTGTTATGAACAGTGCTGCAATAAACATGGGGGTGTGGATATCTCTTCAATATATTGGGTATCTAGCCAGCAAAGGGATGGCTGGGTCATATGGTAGCTCGAGTTTTAGTGTTTTGAGGAACCTCCAAAGTGTTTTCCATAGTGGTTGTTCTAACTTACATTCCCCTTAACAGTGTACCAGGGTTCCCTTTTCTCCACATCCTCACCAGCATTCATTATTACCCGTCTTTTGGATAAAAGCCGCTTTAATGGGGGTGAGATGACATCTCATTGTCGTTTTGATTGGCACTTCTCTGATGATCAGGGATGTTGAGCTCCTTTTCAGATGCCTGTTTGCCATTTGTATATCTTCTTTTGAGAAATGTGTACTCATATCTTTTGCCCATTTTTTGATCGGATGATTAGGTTTTTTTCCTGTAGAGTTGATTGAGCTCCTTATACATTCTGGTTATTAATCCCTTGTCAGAGGAGTAGTTTGAAAATATTTCCTCCCATTCTGTGGGTTGTCTCATCACTTTGTTGATTGTTTCCTTTGCTGTGCAGAAGCTTTTTAACTTGAGGTGATCCCATTTGTCCATTTTTGCTTTGGTTGCTTGTGCTTGTGGGGTATTGCTCAATACATTTTTGCCCAGACCAATGGCCTGGAGATTTCCCCCAATGTTTTCTTATAGTAGTTTCATAGTTTGAGGTCTTCAATTTAAGTGTTTAATCCATTTTGATTTGATGTTTGTATGTGGCGAAAGCTAGGGGTCTAGTTTCACTCTTCTGCATATGCATAGCCAGTTTTCTAGAACTATTTATTGAAGAGACTGTCCCTTCCCCAGTGTATGTTCTTGGCACCTTTGTCAAAAATGAGTTCACTGTAGGTGTGTGGATTTGTTTCTGGGTTCCCTAGTCAGTTCCATTGGTCTATGTGTCTGTTTTTGTGCCAGGGCCATGCTGTTTTGGTTACTATAGCTTTTCCTGTGTTTTTATGTTGACACATAATAATTGTACATATTTATGGGGAACAATGAGATGTTTTGATAAATAGATACATTGTATAATGATCCAATCACAGTATTTAGCACTGCCATCATCTCAAACATTCATAGTTTCTTTGTGGTAAGAATGCTTAAAATTCTGTCTTCTAACTATTTTGAAATATACTAAACAGTATTGTTACCTATAATCACCCTTCTTCCCATTAGCACACCAGAACTGATTCCTCATGTCTAATTGACCCGGTACCCATTAACTACACTTTCTCCATCCCCAGGCCCCCGCCCACTCCCCTCCCCAGCCTCTGGTAACCACTATTTTACGCTTCTGTAACATCTGCTTTTTGGATTCTGCATATGAGTGATGTCATGCGTCACCTCGAGTGTATCTTTCTGTGCCTGTGTCCTCCAGGTTCATCCATGTTGCCACAAATGACAGGATCCGTTTTTTTGTTTTTGTTTTTGTTTTTTAGACAGGCTCTCACTCTATCGCCCAGGCTGGAGTGCAGTGGCCAGATCTTGGCTCACTGCAACCTCTGCCTCCCGGGTTCAAGAAATTCTCCTGCCTCAGCCTCCCCAGTACCTGAATCATAGGCCTGCGCCACCACGTCCAGCTAATTTTTGTATTTTTTGTACAGATGGGGTTTCACCATGCTGGCCAGGCTGGTCTCTTGAACTCCTGGGCTCAAGTCATCTGCCTGCCTCAGCCTCCCAAAGTGCTAGGATTATGGGCATGAGCCACCATGCCTGGCCTGGATTGCATTCTCTTTTGTGGCTGAATAGTATTCCGTTGTGTGTATAGCCAGATTTTCTTTATCCATTCATTTGTTGATGGACACTTGGGTTGATTCCAGATCTTGGCTGTTGTGAATGGTGCTGCAATAAACATGGGAGTGCAGGTATCTCTTCCATATGCCAGTTTCACTTACATTGGGCATATGTCCAGCAGTGGAATTGCTGGGTCCTATGGCAGCTCTGTGTGGGGGCTTTGAGGAGCCTCCACGCTGTGCTCTGTCATGGCTGTACTAATTTGCATTCCCACCCCCAGTGTACTAGCCTCCCCCTTTCCCCACATCCTCGCCAGCATCTGTGATGTTTTGTCTTTTTGATAGTAGCCTTTCTAACTGGGGTGGGGTGATAGCTCACTGTGGTTTTGGTTTTATACATGGGGTGATCTGAGACTCAGAGAGACCGAGGAACCTGCCCGAGGTCACCCAGCTGGTTGGTGGCAGAGGTGAGCTGTGGGCCCAGGTGTCTGGTTCCAGAAGCAGCCTCTGCCCACTGTGCTGCATGTCTGGGCTCACTGCCTGCTGGTTCCTGGCCCTGGTTGGTTTCTGGTGCACTTGAAGAGAGGTCCTGGAGGTTCCTCTGCCCAAAACAGTCTTTTAAAAAACATTGTGGTAAAATATGCATAACATACAATTGACTGTTGTAACTGTTTTTAAGAGTTTAGTTCAAAGACATGAAGCACATTCACATTGCTGTGCAACCATCAACACCACCCATCTCCGTAGCCTTCTCACCTCCCAGACAGTAACGCTGTGCAGCCATCAACACCACCCATCTCCATAGCCTTCTCATCTCCCAGACAGTAAGGCTGTCCCCGACATTAACTCCCCATTTTCCATCGTCCCTCCCACTGACCCTGGGCACCCACCGTGCTTCTTTTTGTTTCTGTGATTTTAATGACTCTAGGTTCTTCATATAAGTGGAACTTACATATAGCTGGGACTACAGGTGTGCACCAACACACCCGGCTAAGATTTTATTAATATTTTTAAATTTTACTTTAAGTTCTGGGATGCATGTGCTGAACGTGCAGGTTTGTTACATAGGTATACATGTGCCATGGTGGTTTGCTGCACCTATCAACCCGTCATTCTAGGTTTTAAGCCCCGCATGCATTAGCTATTTGTCCTAATGCCCTCCTTCCTCTTGCCCCCTGACTCCCCGACAGGCCCCAGTGTGTGATGTTTCCCTCCCTGTGTCCATGTGTTCTCATCGTTCAACTCCCAATTATGAGTGAGAACACGTGGTGTTTGGTTTTCTGTTCTTGTGATAGTTTGCTGAGGATGATGGTTTCCAGCTTCATCCATGCCCTGCAAAGGACATGAACTAATTATTTTTTATGGCTGCATAGTATTCCATGGTGTATGTGTGTCACATTTTCTTTATCCAGTCTATCATTGATGGGCATTTGGGTTGGTTTGGCAGAGATGGAGTCTTACTATCTTGGCCAGGGTGGTCTGGAACTCCGGGGCTCAAGGATTCTCCTGCCTCATCCTCTCAAAGCACTAGGATTACAGGCCTTTTGCCCTTTTGGCTTATTTTAAAGAGCACAATGTCCTCAAGGTTCATCCACCATCCGGGGCTCCTTTCTTTTTAGGGCTGAATAATATTCCATTGTAAGAGAAATTGATTATACTTGCCAAGAGTTTTGTCTATTTTATTGGTCTTTCTGAACAGCCTGCTTTTTGTTTTATTTTTATTTTTTTTCTGAGCATTCCCGTATGCCAAATCCTGAATGCTCTTGTTTCCCTAATATAAGAATCTAGAGAAGCATTTTCTTCCTGGTCTCAAGACGTCTCGTTACTTAAGCCCTAGAAATAAATTAATTTTTTTTTTTTTTTCACAGACATGGTCTCCCTCTGTCATGGTGGCTGGAGTGCAGTGGTGTGATTATAGCTCACTGCTGCCTTGAACTCCTGGCTCAAGTGATCCTCCCACCTCAGCCTCCCAAGTAGCTGGGATTACAGGCATACACCACCACACCTGGCTAATTTTTAAAAATTTTTGGCAGAGGTGGAGTCTGACTTTGTTGGCCAGGGCAGTCTGGAACTCTGGAGCTCAAGCAATTCTCCCACCTCAACCTCCCAAAGCACTGGGATTACAGGGGTGAGTCCCTGTGCCTGGCCATAAATTGAATCTGAATTCCTATTTTGATTAGGTTTAAGTTCTATTCTTGGTGAAATATGAGCCTGAGATGAGCCACTTTCTCTCATAAAACTTGGCGATGCTCTCCCTGAGTTTTCTGAAATGGATTTTGTAGACATTTATCCCTTTTTTTGCTTGTATTTCAAGCAGAGACACATGAGAGTCCATCCTTGGAGTTGCTGCCCACGCTCTTCTGTCAATTGCATATCCTGCCCAGTGGTGCCAGCAGATAATGTCTCAGGAAGCTGAGGACATGGTGACAGCACTTTAAGCATCTCGAGGGACTGGGCACTTGGGAGGCCAAAACTTCATGAATCGAGTCTTGCTCGACTTTCCATGATGGGAATTCAGACCCCGAGGCTCAGAGGTACGATTGTTTTCTAAGGCGGTTGGTTGATTTTCCCACCTGGAAAACTGCCATATCGTGTAACATCTTTGGCGTTTTCCCTGGATGGCTGGAGAGACGTGGTTATAATGCTGTGAGTGCTACCACCCGAGGATGAGACCAGGAGCGACCTCTGAGGAGAAATGTGTTCTGTGCCATGGACGGGAGGGCAGCCATGATGCTGGAAGCATCCATTGTCCTCTGCCCCAGCTTCAGGGTCTATGCCAAGTTACATTCTTGACGGCTCACCCTGTCTACAAACCCAAGGCAAAGTGGAGGGTTGGAGGTAAATTCCCAAATGACTGTCCACACCCGTCAGCCAGTCACACTCCAGTCTCGGAAAAACAATTCCCGCAGGGCTAGCCACACTCTGCCCCTCCCCAGGGAGGGCAGCTCCAGGCCCCAACCTTGCGTCTCAAGTAGCACCTGAATTCAAACAGAATTCAGGTTCAAGTAGAATTTGGGCTTGAAGTGCCTGAACAATTGCTCCTGGATATCCCAATAAAGGACATAGACTGGAAAGGTAAATTGAGGCAGGCTCCCAGAGGTGGCCTCCTGACCCCTGGTCCCCCAGGAGACTGGGACCCTGGAGTCTGGGAGAGACAGCTTCCCATGCAGAGCCCCCAGGTGCCAGGTCAGGCCCTGCCATCCTCTCCGGTGGCCCTGACCAAAGAGGTCGCTGTGGTTCACCCCAGGGCTGGTTCCCTAGAGGGTCTGATCCCTCCGTGTTGCACTGACAAGGAACAGACATCCCCAGTGGGGTCTGGGGGGTACCTTGTCCTCCCCACTCAACCTGTGTCCTGGTGGCCCCTGCTTGGTGAGAGCAGCGCCTTCCCACTGGGCACTGCAGGAGCAGGGCTGCGTGAGGGCGATGAAGGGCTCTAAATAACCTGGGCTTCCTCCTGGAAAGGGGTCCTGGTCCCTTTCATTTTCAGGGTCTCAGGCTCCACCAGGCCGTGGAAACCTCTCCTTCTTCGCCCCCTCTGCCTTCCACCCTCAAGGCTCCCAAGGGAGATCCAGGAGGGCAAAGGGCTTAGATTTTCTGAGGCCCAGTTTCCCGCCTTTAGAAAGCAAGGGCTGTGCCGGGAGAGCCCGCGGAATGACCCAGGGCATGCATGGGGTTTCGGAAGGCCTGGGTTCCAAATTGCCCAGAGGCTTTCCTTCAAGAGACAGAGTCTGTCCCACCACAGCTTCCCTAGGGTTGATGTCAAGCAGTCACCTCCCTGGTGTGGCTGAGAGAGGCACAGTCTCTGCTCCATTGTCAACGGCCAAACTGCACCTTGACCAAACTTCAGTCTTCTCCAAGGACCAAAAGTTGGAGCCTCTTAATGACGGCACAGATCCCAGCCTAGGGGTTTTATTTTAAGCCCAGTGAGAGTGACTTGATGAGCTCCTTTCTCTGGAAGAGCTTGCTGAAGCTCAGGGTGAAGGAGAGTGCGAGAGGGCTCCCCAGAGAGGTCCCAGCCCCCACACTGTGCATGCTATTTCCAGGACAAGAGGGCCTTGGCGAGGTGCTTAGGGTTCTTGAGGGGAAGAGATTTTTCTAGGTGGACCCTAAATGAAGCCACAAGCATTCTTATTAGAGGGAGGGAGAGGGAGATTCTAAACGGAAGAGAAGAGGCCACGCACGGCTGAGCAGGGACTGGAGTGAAGTGGCCACGAGCCAAGGAGTGTGGCGGGTGCTAGAAGCCCAGAGAGATGCGGAAAGGGATTCTCCCTGGAGCCCGTAGAAGGAGCCAGCCCTGCCCATGCCTTGATTTAGCCCAGTGAGGCTCGTTTTGGACTTCTGGTCTCTAGAAGGGTGGGAGGACAAGTGTGTTATGTTAAGGTGCAGAGTCAGTGGTTTGTGACGGCAGCCACAGGGAATGTGTGCAGAAAAGCGGGGTCGCCGAGGGCCCAGAGGAGAGAATATGCGCCAAGGAGTGGGAGCTGGAGAAACAAAGCCGATCCACCCGGCACACGCACGGCATGGCACGGCACTTTCCCCCTGGAAATCTGTAAAGAAAAGCTGGGTAATTTATACAGAAAAGAGGTTTCATCAGCTCACAGTTCTGCAGGCTGTACAGGAAGCATGGTACCGGCATCTGTTCATCTTCTGGTGAGGCCTCAGGAAGGTTTCAATCATGGCGGAAGGTGAACAGGGAGCTGGCATATCACATGTCGAGAGTGGGAGCAAGAGGGAGAAGGAAGGAGGCCCCAGACTCTTTTACTTTATTTTATTATTTTTTTGAGACCGAGCCTTGCTCTGTCACCCAGGCTGGAGTGCAGTGGCATGATCTTGGCTCACTGCAACCTCTGCCTCCCGGGTTCAAACGATTCTCCTGCCTCGGCCTTCCAAGTAGCTGGGATTATAGGCATGCGCTACCATGCCTGACTAATTTTTTTTGTATTTTTAGTAGAGACGGGGTTTTGCCATGTTGGCCTGGCTGGTCTTGAACTCCTGATCTCAAGTGATCTGCCCACCTCGGTTCCCCAAAATGCTGGGATTACAGGCGCGAGCCACCGTGCCCTGCCCCAGACTCTTTTAAACAACTAGATCTTGTGTGAAGTCACTGAGTGAGAACCCACTCATGACCAAGGGGCCATTCATGATGGATCTTGCCCCCATGATCCAACGCCTCCCACCAGGCTCCACTTCCAACACTGGGATTCACATTTCACCCCGAGATTTGGAGGAGACACCCATCCAACCCGTATCACCCACTGGGTGCTAGCAACAGCATTATGCACTTTACTCATTTAAGGTATGTTGTGATGTGAACAAATCAGCCTGTAGAAGAGTAGATGACCTGCTGCAATCTGGTGAAAAGGAATTTACCAAAAACGTTTCTGGGAGGAGACACGGAGGAACTAGCTGGGTGACAGGGAAATGGTGGGCAGGGGGTTTCTACTGGATGCTCTGGTTCCTTTTGCGTTTTGAGTCATGTAAACGTCTTACCTATTCAAAAAAATCTACTGAAGATGAAAGACATCAAGTAAGAACCACGGATGAACTACTACTTTGGAGGGGAACCATAAAAAAATTATCCTCGACAAGTTGTGGTCTCTGTCTGCTCCTTTCCCTTTCAAATCAAACTGTTCCCCTTAAGTGGAATTAGGTAATGTTAACAAAAAAAAAAGAATGAAAGAAAGAAAACAGAACTCTCCCGTATAGTCTCTTCCTTGCAGCCCTGAAGTCTCCAGTACTTTCTGTTTTCCTAAAGACTTTTAAATGGACTGTAACATGACACCCAACAACTAAGAACTATGCCTCAGAATTTTGGGCAGTGGTACTATTGAAATATTACAAAAGGAATTGTTACTGGCATATTATTCACTAATGTTATGCAAGGTATATGATAGTAGCTAAGACATGGGGTTTGGAGTCAAACAGATCTGGGCTTGGAGACTGTTTTGAACAGACCTATAAGCTGTGTGACCTTAGGCAAGTGAATCACCATCTCTGACCCTCAGTTTCCTCATTAGTAAAGAGGGGAGAATAATAGTACCTGCCTTGTAGGATTGCAGCGGGTGCGTGGCTGATGATGGTGATGGTGACAATGGTGACCCTCATGACTGCCACAAATCAGACGCAGGGTGGTGCTCATCCCCCATCCCTGTGGTAAGATTGCCCTCTGATATCTGGAACAAATGTCCCTTGGGTTTCATGGTCAGACGGGGGATGGAGTATGGGGCATGGAGCTCTGGCCTCGACGTTCTCCTCTGGAGCACGGCGCCGTGCTGGTGGCCTCCTGTGGTGCTCACACCAGTCTTGCCGGCAGCGGCCCCTCCTTGCCCAGCCTTGAGCTTAATTCATCCACCGCCCTGCTTGGATCGCTCTCGGCTCCTCACGGTGTTGAATGTTCTCAATGTTTGCCTTGTGGAGCCCACATTCTCTCGCCCTTCCTCCCTGTTCACCCCTGGGAAGATCCCTCAAGGGAGCCAATTAGCACCACGTTTTCAATGGCAGCTCCTCCTGGAATATGTGCAGTTTTATTTGATTTTCTTGTTGCCACCCAAGCATGGAATCCTCTCAGGGCTGGGCTGTGCTCATTTCACTGATGAACAAGAATAAATGCTGAGCTCACTTTACACCCAGAGCCCACTGTTCCCATCCATAGGAAGAGAATCAGGGATCCTGACGTTATTGTTCTATGCAGAAAGGAAAAAAACAAATCTCGTAGGAGCAAATGCATTGAGAATGGGTGACTTTTTTTTTTTTTTTAATGTTTAGAATATTATGTTCACTTACAAACTGCTTCTGTGGGCCCAGGAGCCTAACTCATGTTTGTGGAACTAATTTAAATTTGCTACAGAGTTTCCATAGCTCCTGCACCAAAGGGAAAACAGAGCCCTTCCTGCTCCCTCCCCCACCATTGAAGAAGCCACATGTATAATTATCTGCTGCTGTAAAACAAATTTTTTTCTTAAATTTAGCTGCTTAAGACAACAATAAACATTTAGTATCTTACACAGTTTCTGAAGGTTGGGAACTCAGGAGCAGCTCAACTGGGTGGCTGTGGTCTCTCATGAGGCTGTAATACAAGATGGCAGTTGGGCCGCAGTCTCATCTGAAGGCTTGACCGAGACTGGCAGCTCTGCTTCCAAGGTGGCTCCCTCACATGGCTGTGGGCAAAAGGCCTCAGTTTCTTGCTACAGGGGCCTTTCCATAGTGCTGGGCGTTTAAAGTAATGTATTCCAGCAAATCTGAGTCCTAAATCATATTTCTTTTTTTTTTTTTCCCCTTTGAGATGGAGTTTTGCTCTATTGCCCAGGCTGGAGTGCAGTGGCATGATCTCAACTCACTGCAGCCTCTGCCTCCCAGGTTCAAGCAATTCTCTTGTCTCAGCCTTTGAGTAGCTGGGACTACAGGTGTGTACCACCATGCCTGGCTAATTTTTTTGTATTTTTAGTAGAGATAGGGTTTCACCATGTTGGCCAGTCTGGTCTCGAACTCCTGACCTCAAGTGATCTGTCCACCTGGGCCTCCCAAAGTGCTGGAATTATAGGTGTGAGTCACTGTGCCTGGCTCATGAATCATATTTCTGAGAGTTGTTTTGTTTTTTCTTCTTTTTTTTTTCTTAAGTAATGTTCCTTGACTCAAACTGCAAAGTTCAACTCTCCTTGTAATGTGCAGCCACTTATGTCTCTGCTCAGTCTTGCTTGATTCTTATTTTTTATTTTTTAGCCTGGCTTCCTGGTGTTTTCCTTTGTCTCTGCATAACTTAGTGTTCAGTCAATGACTTGGTTGATGTTGTGCTTAAACACCTTGAGCCTGAAGGCTTACATTATCTGCAGTAGATCTGTCCACAGGTTGGTGATATGGTTTGGCTGTGTCCCTGCCCCAAATCTCATCTTGAATTGTGATCCCCATAATCCCCACGTGTCAAGGGAGAGATCAGGTGGAGGTAACTGAATCATGGGGTTCCTTCTCCTTCCTGCCGTTTTGTGAAGAAGATGTCTTCCTTCCCCTTCAACTTCCACCATGATTATAAGTTTCCTGAGGCCTCCCCAGCCATGCTGAATTGTGAATCAATTAGACCTCTTTCCTTTCTAAATTAGCCAGGCTTGGGCAGTTCTTTATAGCAGAGTGAGAATGGACTCATACAGTTGGGGAGTGTGTTTAAAGCCCTCCAATTTTCAGATCTTCCTTTGCTTTCACTTCCCAGTGGGCTCCTTGGTTTCCCCTGGGCAGAAGCAGTTTTCTAGACAACCAGGGACCAGGGGCAATCTGTTATCGATCTTCTATGCCTCTCTCATGGACCTCTGACTGCTTTGCTGCTCAGCCCAGCTGAGGCCTCAGCCTCTGGCCACCAAAGCTGTGAGCGTTCTCTGCCTGTTTTCAGATCACCCCTGTTAGCTGACCAAGCCTTGGATTTTTATCCCCCGACCTCCGAATCTGCTCCATCTGGTGGCCCAGGCACTGGTTTTCAAAGCCAACTCCATGCTGGCAAAGCTGTATTTTCTGCTGATCAAGAAGGGTGGGGAGATGGGAGAGGATCCAGATAAGAAGGCAGCAACTCCCAGTGTTCTTACCCAAAGCTGAAGCTGTTTTTCTTTTGCTTTTTCTTTTTGAGATGGAGTTTCACTCTTGCTGCCCAGGATGATGTGCAATGGTGTGATCTCAGCTCACCAAAACCTCCACCTCCCGGGTTCAAGCGATTCTCCTTTCTCAGCCTCCCGAGTGGCTGAGATTACAGGCGCCCACTACCATGCCTTGCTAATTTTTGTATTTTTAGTATAGATGGGGTTTCACCATGTTGGCCAGGCTGGTCTCGAACTCCTGACTTCAGGTGATCTACCTGCCTGGTCCTCCCAAAGTGCTGGGATTATAGGCGTCAGCCACCACGCCCAGCCTGAAGCTGTTTTTCAAGCATAGATGCTTCTCAGTTTGTTGTCTGCCTTTGGTTAATTTCCAGAACGCTGACATGGTTGTTCGTAACAATTTTGTCCAGTTTTACACTTGCTTCTTCTAGAGAGAGTTTGCCATAGGCCTTGGTCTGCTCATGAAGCAACTCTGGCTTCCAAGATCTCTGTCTCCTCCCACCCTCTCATGGACTTAGGGTTCATTCCTTAGCAAGAGATAAGGACTTAGGACTCAAATCCCAATGGGGAGTTGAGTTTTCAACATGTTGGCTCTTCATAGTGTATCCCCACAGTGTAAAACCATCGGACAAGGGCAAGAGGGCCTGGGCAGAGCCCTTATTAGGCATGGAAGTTGATTCAAAGACTCAGGAAGGGATCCCAGGCTCCTGGTAGATGGCTTCAGACGGTAGAGCCAAGCGTGCTGCAGAAGGCCTGTGAGTGCCCTAGCGCTGCCATAAGAAATGATAACAAATGACCGCAAGCAGGGTGGCTTTAAACAGGCACTCTTCTCTCCAAGTTTTGGAGGCCAGAAACCTACAATCCAGGTGTCGTCAGGGTTGGTGCCCTCTTGTGAGGTCAGAAGGAGAATCTGTTGTCTCTATAGCCTCTGGTGTTGCTGGCCATCCTGGGACTTCCTTGGCTTGGAGATGGATCACTTTACTCTTAGCTCTGTCTTCCTGCCACCCCTCATCTGCAACTACCTGTCTCTGCTCTCCTGTCTCCTAAAAGGACACTGGCAATCGAGTTTCAGGCCTCCCTGGATAATAAAGCATGACCTCATCTCAAAATCCTTAACAGAATTACATCTGCAAAGACTCTTTTTCCAAATAAGGCCACATTCACAGGGTCCAGGTGAACATGTCTCTTTCCATGATCTGAGGCTTGGGGCCTGGCATAACACCATGGATGGGGTGGGGGCTGTCCCAAGTCCATGTCAGTGAAAGCGGGGAGAAAGCCCAGGTGGGAAATGAGAGGACTCGGCAAACCCCAGGGCAAGAGGAGTGAGTGTGGCAGGGAAAGGAGGGTTACGAGTTCTTCCCACTTCTCCCCTCAGGTCTGGATGGGCTCCGTGACTGCTGGGCCAACAGAATGTGGCAGAGTGACGCTGTCCAGATTCTAAGCCAGGCCTCAAGAGACAGGCCCTTCCACTTCTGCCTCTGGGAAGGCTCCCCTTTGGACACCTATTCAGGGTTAAGTCAGCCTCTGTGTAAGAAGTCCAGTTAGTCTGATAGTGTCTTCCAAAGGGGCCACATGTAGGTGTTGTGGCTGAAATCCCAGATGAGCCCAGCCTTCCAGCTAACCTGTCCAGACTCCAGACATGTGAACAAAGCCACCTTGGACCCTCCAGGCCTATGCACCCACCAGCTGAAGTCTCCCAGACCACAGTCACTTCTGATACCAACTACAAAGTTTTTGGGTCCCCAAGTCCACCCTTAGGTTTGATAATTTGCTAGAAGGGCTCACAGAAATCAAAGCCAAACATGGCCCTACTCATAGTTACAGTTTATTACAGGATGAGATTTAAATTGGCCAAGAGTGCTGGGCGTGGTGGCTATGCCCTCAATCCCAGCACTTTGGGAGGCTGAGGCAGGAGGATTGCTTGAGACCAGCCTGGGCAACATAGTGAGAGCCTCTCTTTACAAAAAAAAGTAAAAAAATTAGCCAGGCATGGTGGCATGCTACTTGGGAGGCTGAGGTGGGAGGATTGCTTGAGCCTGGGAGGTCAAGGCTGCAGTAAGTTGTGATTGCACCCCTCTATTCCAGCCTGGGAGATAGATTGAGACCCTGTCTCAAAAAATAAAATAAAAATAACTCAGTCAAGGAGAGGGACACATGGTGCAGGTCCAGGAGGGTTTCTTGCACAGGGCTTCCAGCTGTCCCTCTCCATGGAGTCGTGGCCAGCATTAACTCCTCATGACAACAGCGTGTGATGGCACACACAGAGCATTACCAACCAGGGACGCTCCCCCAGCCTCGGTGTCCAGAGTCTTTGTTGGGGCTTGGTCACGTGGGCACGGCTGACACCATGTGACTGACCTTAACCTCCAGCCCCTCTGCAGGTCGAGCTGATGCCACGTGGTCCAAGGCCCCACCATGAATCTCATCATTAGCATAGACTGTCCAGGGTGGCCAAAGCCCCAGCTAAACAAAGATACACCAGGGAGGACTCTCCAAGGGCCTAGAGGTGACACCCCAGGAGCCAAGGGCAAAGGTCAGACCTTCTGTGGGTCAGCTTAACCTTTTACTGCCCATCCCTTGAGGGCCCGAAGAAGGAAGCGTCACCCTCTGGGGCCTGCCCAAGCTGATGACTCACGAATTCAGGAGCTCTCCTAAAACCGCTGCTGCCGCAGCCATTGGCTGTGGTGTCATTTGTTACATGGCAGTGAGTCATCGGCGCAGGGAGGAAGTGTGAGGGTAGGGTGAAGTTCTCCAGGGGACCCGAGGAGGCCGCCCTGGGAGTCGCTGTCCCACCCCAGACGGACAAAATGGCTTTGGGGTCAGATTGTCACCGCTGTACGTCAACACTGGGCGGGGATGGTGACTAGAGCTGAGAATGCAAGCAGCGCCTCACCTCTGCCCATGATTGAAACTGATAATGTGAGCAGCACCTCACCCCTGCCCGTGACTGGAGCTAATGCCAGTAGCTCCTCACCCCTGCCTGTGATTGAAACTGAGAATGTGAGCAGCTTCTCACCCCTGCCTGTGATTGGAGCTAATGCCAGTGGCTCCTCACCCCTGCCTGTGATTGAAACTGATAAAGTGAGCAGCTCCTCACCCCTGCCAGTGACTGGAGCTAATGCCAGTAGCTCCTCACCCCTGCCTGTGATTGAAACTGATAAAGTGAGCAGCTCCTCACCTCTGCCTTTCTATTTGCTGGCCCTGATCTTAGACTTGTGGGATTGAACTCCTTGCTTTAGTGAAACATCTTCTGGTTATTTCCAAAGTTACTGTTGAGGTCCCATAGGCTGGGATAGTCACAAGGCGTAAGCAGAGTGAGAGGGACCTGCTGTGCTTCGGTGGGTGGGACATCCTCTGTGCATCCCCTATCGGCCTGACAATTCCTTGCCCAGGGTCTTGCATACATGAGGGGCTCTGTAAAATTTTCTCAAGTGGTTGAACGTTTGGAGGCCAGAAAACACTCACTCTTAAGAACAGATGTGGCCCCAGCCATGACTGTCAGAGTCACTGGGACAGGAATCCAAGCAGATCAGTACAGACAATATAAGTCCTGCATTTGGGTTGAAAAGGTCAGTTGCCAAAATACAGCGCCAGGGTGGATGGGATTGACTAAGAAAACCCCGCAAACTCCAAATGAAAGGACAGAATGGCACTGAAAACCTCCCCACAGCCTCTGATTGTTACATGCTGACACCAGCGGAGAGGATTACTGTCTGAAGTTGTATTTCCTGAAGTACACAGACCATCAGTCCATGAGATGCTGATTAATAACCAAGTTCAGGGGTCAGATCAGCAGAGGCCATGCTACATCCCACGTGCCCCTCTCAGTGGTTGAAATTCACAACGCACGCTGGCGCAGTAAATGCTCTGAGAAGGCCTGCGGGAAGACACGTGTCATTTTGTTTTACTCGGCGTTTCCCAGACTCATTGCACTGTAGGCCCTTGGTAGTGTAGTGCCCGCAGATATCCCAGAGGTCGTGTTTCTGTGGAACCATTGCTGGAGAATGTCTGTTCCTAAGGAAGATGCTTCTAGGGGAGGTTTCCAGGTCAGGATGCAGTGGTGGCTTGGGGCCAGGATGTCCAGAGCCCAAAAAGGCAGAATGAGCCAGATTCCTGAATGTAGCGAGAAGGCGAGCCACACCGTCTCAGAGCCTGCAGGGCTTGGGTGTGAATTTGGCCCATGTAAGAGGGTCAAGGGCACCCCACGGGGCCCACGCCTTGCCTGTGCCTCATCGTCTGCCAGCGGCCCCCATGAAGCCCTTGTTGTTCTTGGCCACTGCCAGGTCCCATGAGTCTGCAGCCTCCCAGGTCACTTCCCAGGAACAGCTGGCACAGACCCAGGAGCAGATGAGCCAGGGCTCTGGGAGGTGCGGGCAGGTAGGGCACAGTGAGGCCCAAAGGATGGGGGACGCCCACCGGCCAGGCCTGAGAGGGGCCCAATGCTGCTCACACCCTCTCCCCTCAACCGTCAGGTCCCTGTAAACACCCTCAGGCCAGCCCTGGGCAACCTGAGAGGCATTCATATGGAAACCTCCGCCCGGCCTCGCATGCTGGGCTGCAGTGGGGCGTGGAGCGCCATGGTTTTGGAAGCAGCGGGGACTTGTAACTTCCCTGGGATGTGTCAGAGCCTGCGTGATGGAGGGCGGCCTGCAGGCTCTGGGCCTGGGCCCTGCTCAGCTAGGGCCCAAGTAAACACATCTCCGATGATCACAGAGTGCACCAGCTGGAAAGAAGCCTAGAGGCTTGTGCAGTGCAAAACTCCTCAGTCCGACAGTGGGGAAACTGAGGCTTGGAGTGGGGAAGGGATTGCCCGTGGCTGAGGCAGGCCTGGGGCCCCAGGCTGCGTCTGGATTCCAGGACTCCTTTGCACCCCCCGGGGGGCATTCTGAAAGCCGAGCTGCCTTACAGTTGAACATTGGGCAGGCTTTCTTCCCCTTTGGTGCTGGTTTGTGTTAGGTGGGGAGTAACGACGATAAGTTTATTTATTAAAACTCCCTCAACTTATAAAACAAAAGGAGAACAGTGGCAAATACAGGGATTCTTTCTTTCTTGAGTTTTCAAAGCACCAAACTTAATTTTTCTAGAAACCTGATTACCTTCTGCAATTTTCCTTATTACTGCTTCTCCAATTCATTTTTCAAAATGGTGAGCATTTACAAATGTTTGGGCAGGGCGTGGTGGCTCACACCTGTAATCCCAGCACTTTGGGAGGCTGAGGTGGAAGGATCGCTTGAGACCTGGAGTTTGAGACCAGCCTGGGCAATATAGCAAGACACTGTCTCTAATCTTTAAAAAAAGAAGTTTGATTATGGAAAATTTCAAGTATATACAAAAGTATAACAAAGTTCTGTGTACCCACCACCCAATATTAACAGAGATCCCCTCACCGATCTTATTTCTATACTTCTACCCTGACAACCCCAAGTAGCACTATTTTGAAACAAATTCATGATCTATATTTTCACGTCTAGCTATTTCAATATGTATCTCTAAAAGATAAGGAGCTCTCTCTTTTTTTAATGCAACATTTTATGTTTAGCTAATTATAGACTCACATGCATTTGTGAGTAATAGCACAGAAGCTCTGTACACTTAGGACCTTTCCTGTTAACATAACCATAATATTATTATTACACCTAGAATATGTAACAATAGTTACTCAATATCATCCCATATGCAAACAATGTTTGCATTTCCCAAATGAGTCATAATTTTTCTTTTATAGTTTGAATGATTAGCTTTTAATTAATTAACAATTTGTCCAAGGTAATCACATGTCCAAGTTCAGTGTCCAAATCTTATTAATTAAACATTTTCAGTTGCTTTTTTGAGATACAATTTGTGGACCATACAATTCACTCACTTAAAGTATACAACTCAATGGTTATGTATTAGCTTTTTTTTTTGTTTGAGACAGAGTCTGGCTCTGTCACCCAGGCTAGAGTACAGTGGTGCAATCTCGGCTCACTGCAGCCTCTGCCTCCCGGGCTCAAGCATTTCTCCCATCTCAGCCTCCCAAGTAGCTGGGACTACAGGCGCGTGCCACAATGGCTAATTTTTGTATTTTTAGTAGAGACGGGGTTTCACCATGTTGGCCAGGCTGGTCTTGAACTCCTGGGCCCAAGCTTTCTGCCCACCTCAGCCTCCCAAAGTGTTGGGATTATAGGCGTGAGCCACAGTATGCAGCCTGTATTAGCTTTTAATTTAAAATGTAATATGCCTCCATTGTAGATCATCCAAACAGTACTCTTGTAGAATGTTAAAACGAAAGCTTTCTGCTTATAGTCATCACTATCTATGGAAGGCCCCCTTTTTACGCTACCAGTTTAATAATAAAAATGACATATAGATGATGAACAAAAAAGGAAAAAAAGAACTCCTCTGACTACTGTACTTAGAAATAACAACCAAATTTGTTTCAAGCTTTTCCCCTTCTCTGAGGGTGCCTTTTTTAAAACAGAAAATTTAGAATCTCATAGACTTCGTGTGCTCGCCTGAATTTTATTGCAGGTTTATTGCTGAGGGATTTCTCTTGTTAACTCACTGAGCAAGACTCAAATGACAGTCAGGAGTGTTCGGATTATCCCTGGAGTCCTAACCAACATATCCATGGGATAATTTAGGGGACTGGTGAAACTGGAGGGAAAATGATCGCATCTTTATCTTCTCTAAGGCCCAATTGAAATTTAGCTTTTCCTTCCATGATGGACATAGGCAACAAGCCAATCACGTTAGCAGAATCTGTCATTTTGTCACCAACAAAATCACAGATCTTTTCTCATCATATATAGCCATGGCTGCTTTTCCAAACTCTAATTTGAGCTCAAGTGCTACTTCGAGGTAAGGACGTTATTAGACTCTCTGTGAGATCCATGTTTCTAAAAAAGCACACATCTGACTATATCACAATTTAAAATATTTTGATAACTATTTCAATGTAATTGTTTCTTTTGTAATTTCACAAATTTTATACATTTGAAAACATTCTGAGAAGAGCTTATTGGCTTTGTAAGACTTCCAGAGGGGTCTGAGATCCCCAGAAGGTTAACAGTGCCTGGATTGGAGAGAAATGCTTTTTTCCCTGAAGTCGCTGATAATTTATTTTTAATTTTTAATTTTTAAAAAACCCAGAGCCCCTTTGCAGAGCTCAACTGCCTCCTGCTTCTCACCGAAATCCTTTCTTGTTTTTCAGAGCAGAACGCAACCGGCGCCAGGGTCCCGGGGAGAGAGGCAGCAGGAAGTGAGGCTGAGGGGCTGTCTGTGTCGCGCAGGGAGCCGGGCAGGGCTGTTTTCCATGGCTGCCGGCCCTCTCCTTAGATGAGTACACAGCTGCTTTTCACAGCGCTCAGCCTGCCCTCCTGGAGGGATCATTTGAGGAGAAAATCCATCTCAACATCCACATGTTGTGTATCACTTGAACGCGGGGCAGGGCAAGGAAGACCAAAGCTCCCCCACTTTCAGGAGGCGACTCCTCCTTCTTTGCTGGACAGGGGCGAACAGGAACCACGTTGGCTCTGGAAGTTCACAGGGCAGTGGATCAGGGCTCAGGAGGAAGAAGATGGTGCAGCCGCAGGCACTTCTGAGTGACGAGAGGCAGGCATGCGTTGAAGGTGATCTGCAGGGCACTCACACACAGGGCTTGGCAAGGTCCCGCAGTCGTGGGGAACGTGGAAGTTCTGACCCAGGCCTTCTGTCACCGGTCCCAAGCCCACGTCGTTTCTGCGACAGCGTGACTGACCAGTAAGTCATCTGCTTACCAATGTCCCCCGAGCCAAGGACAGCGATGGAAAGCCGTGCGGTATCACTCCGGAAGAGGAAAGTCGGTGGCCTTTTAAGCAGGATGAAGTCAATCCTACAGGCCACATGGTTTGCCACGTGGCACATGCCTCCCCCTGTGACCTCATTCAATCCCTGCAGAGCCCCTGGCGGCCATCGTCGTACGGTTGGCACCAGCATGGACTCCAGAGCCCACCACCTGGCTTATGGCCCCAGCTCTGCCCTCATTAGCGGTGGAACCTGGCCAGCAACTTAAGCTCTCCATGCCTCCGTTTCTTCATCCATAAAATAAGAATAGCACTGGTACCCCTGCGCAGGGCTGCTGCGAGAATCAAGTGAGTTAGTATCTGCTTAGAGAAAGCCTGTTAACAGTGCATGCTTCCCATGGCTGTGGTAACAAAGTACTGCAAATTTAGTGGCTGAAAACAACACAAGTTTTGGAAGCTAGAAGTCCGACCTGCGTCTCACTGGGCTAGAATCAAGGTGTGGGCAGGGCTAGTTCCTCTGGAGGCTCCAGGGGAGAATCCCTTCCTTACCTTTTCCAGCTTCTAGAGGCCGCCTGCATTCCTTGGCTCATGGCCCCTCCTTCATCTTGAAGCAACATTGTATCTTTCTGACCTCAGCCTCTGTCATCACATCGTTCTCTGATTGTCTATTCAGCCTCCTTCTTCCATATTAAGGACCTTGTGATTGCATTTGACCCACCTGGATAACCCAGGGGAATCTCCCTATTTTAAGGTCAGCAGATTGGCAACCTCCATTCCATCTGCTACCTGAATTCCCCTCTGCCACAGAAGGTAACATAGTCACAGGTTCCAGGGGTTCGGGTGGGGCCATTCTTGGGGCAGCATTAAACCCCCAAGCTCGTGGATGTCTGGGGGCTAGCTGCCACATGTTACAGCCATTTTGCCTGAAATATTTTCTGTTTTAGTGGTGCCTTCTGGAGGTTCCCTTTAAACATGGAAAACTTCAGGAAGTGAAACGCATTCATTCATTTTCCAAACATTGTGCCTCAGGGAGCCGTGCTAGGCTCTGGGGATGCAGTGGTGGGCAAAACACAGTCCCTGCCCTCATGGGATTTGACATGAGTGTAGAGACAGGGGATTAGAAAGGAAATAAATGAAAACTGAATGATCGATTGTGACGTGTGCTTTTGTGGAAACAGGGTGCCTCGCTGGAACTTAACGTGAGGGGAGCCAGTGTGGTCTGTGGAGGCTCCTTTGAGCAGGTGACATCTGAGCTGCCCTCTGAAGATAACAAGGATCCAGACATGACGGGGAGAAGGAGACGCTGCAGGCAGAGGACAAAGGTGCTAGATGGACCCAAAGGTGGGAATGGGCTTGGGTGAGAAAAGGCACGTGCAGCTGGAGTGCAGGGCATGGGGGTCCTGGGGGAGGTGGACAGGGGTCAGAGTTAGAGGTCGGGGTCAGGGGCCCAGATCACAAAGCACCCGGCCTTGTGCTTGGAAATGGGGGTGAGTTTGCATTTAATTCTGAATTTTGAGACCGGGCGTGGCATAATTGAAATGCTATGTTCTATGTGTTCACACATCGGTGGAGTGGGAGGGTGCGGCCCTGAGTTTCTGAGATTCTTAGCTTGTCTCAGCATCAAACCCTGCCTAGAATTGGAAGGTGGCAGCTGGGTGCGGCGTTCTCAATGGTACCATTCTACATAAGAGCCACCTAGTTATCCATTCCCTACTTCCTGCGATTGACTGTGCCTGAGGTTGCCACTGCCCTGCCTGTGCCCTGGGCACTCTCACGCTCAGCTTGTGATGGTCTGAATGTTTCTATCTCCCTAGATTCCTGTGTTGGAAACTAAGACCCCATATGATAGTATTTGGAGGTGGGGACTTTAGAGGGTGATTAGGCCGTGGTGGCCCCTCCCTTGTTAATGGGATCTGTGCCTTATAAAAGGCTCTGGAGAAATAGCCACATCCTTTGCCCTTCTGTCTCCTCTGTCAGTTAAGGACGCAGTACTCCTCCCCTCTGAAGGGCACAGCAACAAGGCGCCACCGTGGAAGCAGGGTCCAGGCCCTCACCTGACATGAAGCCTGCCAGGACCTTGATCTTGGACATCCCAGCCTCCAGAGCAGGGTAAGTTCTGCTTCTTATAAATTACCCAGTCTCAGATATTTTGGACTAAGACACAGTGCATGCTGGTGACCTTGTGTAAGTACCAAAAATGTCCCAATTGGCAGTTCCTGTCCCCACCTGATAGCTCCTCTCAGCCCACACATGGGCAGACCAGGGGTGCTAGGGGGTCCTCAGCAGCCATGGATGGGAGTTGGAAGATAAATACCCCCAATTCCTCACCTTTTGGGTGGGATATGCTGAGAAGTGTTCTATACCATCTCCTGAGGTTCCCAGCAGGGTTGAGCTGGTCAAAGGTCAAGTTGTTAAGAATTTCCAGATGGCAATGGCTGAGTGTTAAGCCAAGCCCGAGGCTCTCTGAGGCAATGTCCTGTGTGGCTGCACAGGGTGTGCTGAGGCCCCACCGTCTTTTCTTATAATAATTCAGCTTCTTTATTAACCTTATTTTATTTTTAAAAAATCGTTCTTAGCTTAAGCTAGCTCAAGTCGGTTTTATGTTACATACAACTAAAGAAGCTTTGACCAGGCAGGTGTGAGAAGACTCAGAGGTTCCCTTTCCTGGGTAGCATTTTTACATTTTAATGATGCTGTTTTGGAGATAGCACCAAAATGACTCTGATGGAGAAGACTTCAGGAAGGTCTCCTTTGGGAGACTTGGCAGCTCCAGGACTGCTGGTCCTGGCCCAAAGCACCATTCCAGCCTCTAGACAGTGATGTCCTTGTCTTATTTTATGCTGCTATAACAGAATGCCACAGGCTGGGAAATGTATAATGAACAGAAATTTATTTGGCTCATGGTTCTGGAGGTTGGGAAGTCCAAGATCGAGGGGTAGCATCTGGTGAGGAACTTCTGGCAGTGTCATCCCACAGCAGAAGTGTAAGAGAGCCAGAGATAGCAATGCGGCCAACTCACAGACCCAGGCCCTTTTGTAATTGTCATTAATCCTTCCATGGGGGTGGGGCCGTGATGACCTAAACCCCTCCCATTAGGCCCCACCTCCCAACACTGTTGCATTGAAGATTAAGTTTGCAACGCATGCTTTTTGGGGGATGGATTCAATACAGAGCAGTCTTGGATTCAGTTTTTCAGCAAGACTTACACACACCTTTCGATGGAAAGAAATGGGTCACAGAGAAGGCAGCATTTGGTCCAAAATCCCAAGGTTGAAAACCACCAAAGACAACTTGCGTCCAAGGTTCCAACTGCATAACTCAGAAAAAAAGACAACCTGACCATGGAGGTGTTACCCCAATGACTGGAGGGCAGCCTGGAGACTGCTGCAGAGGCCATGGAACTATTTGGTGGCCCAAAGGGTGGGAAATTATGACCATAAACAACCAAAGAGCAAATATAGAAGGG
Source organism: Homo sapiens (assembly GCF_000001405.40). Lineage (NCBI taxonomy): Eukaryota > Metazoa > Chordata > Mammalia > Primates > Hominidae > Homo > Homo sapiens. Next base: position 87,137,066 of record NC_000016.10, on the reverse strand, counting down.
GAAAAATCTCCTGGGTGAAGCAGGTATAGAAAATGGTTTTGTTTCAGGCACAAAGTCTCATCAGCTGGCAAAGACTTTCTAGAGGCCTGGGATTGATGATTGAGGTCTGACAAGGGCACAGAGTGGGGAGAATGAACGGCGAGCTCTTGGCATCCTGGAAAGGAGAGTTCTCCCTGGTATCACTGCCTCTGCTCCTATAGGGAGCTATGCACAACATTATTTTGAAGCTGGAAAGGTAGTCTGGGGCCAGTTACACAAGAAGAGCTTTCAATGCTGAGAATGAAGGAAGGAGCCTCGCTCTGTCGCCCAGGCTGGAGTGCAGTGGCGTGATCTCAGCTCACTGCAGCCTCCTTCTCTTGGGTTCAAGCGCTTCTCCTGCCTCAGCCTCCCAAGTAGCTGAGACTACAGGTGCGCGCCACCACACCTGGCTAATTTTTGTATTTTTAGTAGAGACATGGTTTCACCATGTTAGCCAGGCTGGTCTCGATCCCCTGACCTCAGGTGATCCACGTGCCTCAGCCTCCCAAAGTGCTGGGATTATAGGCATGAGCCACCATGCTTGGCCTAGCTTTGGTCTTTCAACCTTTTAACATCTTTTTTTTTTTTTTTTTTTTTTTGAGATGGAGTCTTGCTCTGTTGCCCAGGTTGGAGTGCAGTGGCGTGATCTCAGCTCCCTGCAACCTCTGCCTCCTGGGTTCAAGCAATTCTCTGCCTCAGCCTCCTAAGTAGCTGGGATTACAGATGCCCACCACCACATCCAGCTAATCTTTTTTTTAGTAGAGACAAGGTTTCACCTTCTTGGTCAGGCTGGTCTTGAACTCCTGACCTCATGATCCACCTGCCTCGGCTTCCCAAAGTGCTGGGATTACAGGTGTGAGCCACTGCGCCCAGCCTTAACATCTTTATTTTTGGCTTTGCTCTTCCCCCAAACTGATATCTCGTCCCCCCTTGTCTCTTCCCTGACTTGAAATCCCATTTCCTTCACCAATTTCAGTTCTATTCCCGCCCCACCCCCAACTCCTCCATGGGTCACCCTCATGCCAATGGCTTCTCCTCACTCTCTGTAGAAGGGGAAGTGTCCAGTGTGATCCGGCGTTCATTCCCAGGTACACTTTCTGGGCTGTGATGTCATTGATCCAGGTCACCGACATACTCTTGAAGCATGCGGATTCAGCACAGTGCTGGCCACTGCAGGAGACCCAGAGCAGTTGTTCACCCATGACTTGTTGGTGTATGCATCTCAGAATGTTCTAGAACAACCCAATATGGCTGGCCCCAGAGTGGTACCACAGTGCCCTCTTCCTGGACTGGGCTACCTTTTTCTTATGGGTCTCCAGCAGATGGGTGCCTGTTAGAGAATCTGGGAGGAGCTAAGCCTTGGGAGTGGCTACGGCAGAACCTAGGGCAGGGCTCACAGGGAGGTCTCTTGGGTCAAGGTCCGGGCACCTTCCTGTCCCCTGTGTTCTTGAGCCAGCTGGAATTCAACTAAAGCAGTAATGGTTGCCATTGTGATTAGTGGACTAGGAGGGGCATGGTCCCTATGTCTGGAGTGAATGCTCTTGACACAAGCTTTTGTGCTTCTATAAGTAAAAGCAACGACAGAAAGCCAGGTTCCTCCCACATCCTGTTTTTCTTCTCGATGCCAGAATTTGAAGTGCTCTTCATTCCCTGTCACCATCAAGCCTCTAGCCTGGCAGTTGGTGGAAGCAGAGAGAAGAAGCAGAGACATGAAGTGACATGAAGTGAAGGACCAGGCCAGCTTTCTGGGTTTGAAGCCCGGTCTGTGACTTGCTAGACTCTGTAACTGTGGACAAAGTACTTAAATTCTCTGGACATCATTGTCCTTTTCTGTAGAGTGGAATAATAAGAATCCCTCTCCTAAAGGGGTGCTGTGATGATTAATAGGTTTATATATGTTAAGGCTTAGGAGAGTGCAGAGGAGACACTCAACCATTGTCCCAGCACCAAGAACTCCACTCATGGGGACAACATGAACCTGGCTTCTGAGGAAGTGTCTCCCCTCTGTCCCCCATTCACTCACAGCTTTCCAAACAATTTGCAAGAGTCTGTCTTCCCCTAAAACCAAGTCCTGGGGACGCAAGATTCACAGCCTGTGTCCTAGAGAATAGAGAGAGGGGGGTTGCTTGGAGGGAGGCTGGTGTTTATGTTAGAGCTTCCATTACTCTCTCTGCCTCTGTGAGCTTGACAAGTCGCATGGGTGCCTGGAGACATTCGAATCTGAGTGGTTTTGTTCACATAAGAAGAATAGATGAAGGGCAACTAGCTGAGGTTTCACAAGGATTTCCATGGCATCGCTGGGGGACCAGGGAGCCTGCGGGTGGAACTCATGGCCTGGGAGTTGCTGGTGGATGTGGGGAAGTGCTTGTCTGCACAGTGCATGGACACGGCAGGCGGGTAACCAAGGCTTGTGGCTTGGGAAATGGTGAAGAAGCTCAGGAGCAACTTGGAGCTGACGTGGGCTCCTTCCCGGCTTCCTTCCCTCCTCCAGCCCCTGAAGGGGATGACTCCTCGTCACCTCCACAGGTGTACGGGCATGTGCTAAGGGCCTGTGGTCAGCGGGAGAGGAGGTCCAGCGCACCCTTGAACTTCCTGCCGAGCTTGTCACTAGCTGGCCAGGTGGTATAGACAGCGACAAGAGAAGGGGCTTTTTGAAAAACCAACTGTTGAAGTGAAGACACATGACCCCAGTGTGCACCCGTATGCTGTTGACCCTGGAGGGGCCTGGCTGCCTCCCACCCTCGCCCACCCATGCAGCACATTCCTGCTCCCTGTCCATGGCCCAGTTCAATTGTCACCTTCACCACACAGCTGTCCCCGACCATCCCCAGACACAAGTGCTCTCTTCCTTCTTTGGGCTTCTGAAACTCTTCTTAATGGGCTGTGTCACCGGCATCTGAAACACACCCCGGCACAGGGTGGGCCGTCTGTGAAGGCTGGCCGAGGCAAAGGACAGATGGCTGCTGGGTGTGCTGGGGCAAATTGTGTCCTCCCAAACTCATGTCCATGCAGAACCTAAGACGATGACCTTATTTGGAAAGAGGGGCCTTTCAGATGTGATGAGGTCTTATCGGATTAGGGTGGGCCTGAGTCTAATGATTGTGTCCTTATAGGAAAAGGGAATTCAGGTACACAGACACACACAGGGAAGCCGTGTGTTGAGGAGGCAGAGGTAGGAGCAATGCAGCTGCAAACCCAGGATTTGGGCAGCCACCAGGAGCCAGGAGAGGCAGGAAAAATCCTCCCCTAGAGGGAGCGCGACCCTGCCCACACCGTGATTTTGGACTGGGCCCCTAGAACTGTGAGAGAATAACTTTCTGTCGTTTTGATCTCCGGCTGTGGTCCTTTGTTTTGACAGCCCCAGGACTCATCCAGGTGGACCCTGCTCCAGCCCGGATGCCCGGCCGTCAGGGCAGGTGACCAGGGTCAATCACACAGTGGATGCCCCGGCCCCCTGCCCATCACGACCAAGGCCCCCACTTTAGCCCAGGCCAAGCACTTTGCTTCTGTCGATCTGTTCTTGGCTAAAACTAGGGATGACGGTGAGGGGTGACACACAGAGGCATCTCCACTGCAGAATGGGGAGGACCTTTTAGTTTCCGCAAGTGGCTGGGAGGGTGGGCTGTGGAGTCTGACAGACCCAGGTTCAGTTTCTTCCTCTGTTACTAGCTAAGCACAGTGCGCTCTGGGCTCCCTTCCCTTCTGTGAGCCTCAGTCTTCCCATCTGCAAAGAATGGGACCGACAACAGTACCGCCGTCAAAGTTGTGTCGTTAGGATTAAATGAGATGGAAGGCACATGCCACGGAGCCTGGTGCATCGCCAGGGCCTCTTGTATGTTCTCCATTGTTGTGATTGTTGTGTGGAGAGGTTGGCACCATGCTTGGTACATAGGACATGCTCCATAAACGGTCATGGCAGCAATTATATTGATTCATGATGACAGAGGGAGTATTTGCAGTGTAGCCTGCCCCGGAAGTCAGGGTGAACAGTCCCCTAAGGCTCACCCCCAATTTTGAGGTTAATTTCCCTGGGAGCTGGGACCAAGGAGGGAGAAGGGAGCTTTGTTTGGTAACAGAAGATCTGTCCAGCGGCTCCCAGTGATGGTGGCTGATCAGCCCGATGGGAGGCCTCAGCCCGGGAATGTTTTCTTTCCATCCGTCTCTCAGAGACATTTTCTTGCCAATCAGGGCATTGGGAAGGCGGGTGGGGAACAATGGAACGCGTTGTCCTCACTCCCTGCTGCCTTGGCTTCGCGGACAGAGTTCACTCAGCGTGTAATCCTTGAGGCATGTGAAGCCCGCGGCAGCGAGGGAGGAGGAGAAATCGCCCTGCATCAGGGAATTAGAAACAGATTGCTGGACGGGGCCAGTGTGTCCCAGGTGGGCCCTGCACGGGCACCGCTGGCAAGTCTTCCTGGAAAGGTGTCCAAGAAATGTAGCCGGCTGCTGGGGCTGGTGTAGACTGACATGGCTTTAATGATAAGGCCCCTTGTCAGGCTGGACTGACCCAGGGGGACACAAGCAGCCCCCAGCGTGGAGCCTTTTCCCTCTTACCTGTTCATCTGTCTTGACATCTGTATCTGTAAAGGAGGCTGCTGTCTCTGCATGCAGAGGGGAAAAACCCAGGTGGGTCAGGCTGGAGCTGGAGGTCGGAGGAAAGAGAGCAAGGCAGGAGCCTGCACCTGTTCCTGGCTTCACCAGTGAAGGTCACGGTGTGACCTTGGCCTTGTCACTCTTCCCTCTGCATCTCGGCTTCCTGTGTAGAATATACAAATGGGCACGAGAAGCTGTGCTTGCACTTCATTAAGGAGACAGCAAGGGCACCGTCTCCTCAGGAGCTAGAATGCTGGGGAGGGGACAAATGTGGAGACAATTTAGTCCAGTAGTTCCTAGCCCCGACTGCAAGGCTGGGTCCCCCAGGAGTTATCCAGCCCCCGCCTGGCTTGCTCAGGCAGGACCTGCAGGGCTGCATGTGGAGGATGACCCTTAATAACCTTCTGGATGGCTCTAATGCAAAGTGAGTGTGAAGGGATGATCTGGGCTGTTTTCTCCCGAGTTCACGGGTTCTCACAATTTCCACACGATTTGTTTGCTCACCTGCTCCCTGCACCTCCTGCTTCACTGTCTTCTTGCCTCCTCTCTCTGCAGCTCTCTGCACAGCGCACTGGCTCCAAGTACAGCCTCTGCAGCCTGACCTCGGATGGAGCCTGCGTTTGCCGTGTGCCATCTGTGGGCCCTCTGTGCCTCAGTTTCTTCATCTGTGAACTGGGCACAGTCAGCTCCCTAACTCTCAGAGTGAATGTGTAGAGCCCTCAGTGCCTGGCAGGCTGCAAGCTAGCCTGTCACCACGGGTGCTCCCAGTGTAGACCTTCTGTGGTATTTGCCAGGCTTGGAAGCTCCAGGTGGGTGTTTTCAACAGAGATGGAGAGAGAGAGTGAGAGAGACACACAGAGAGAGAAAAAGACACAGAGAGAGAACTAGAGAGAGAGAGGGAGAGAGAGGGAGACACACAGAGAAAAAGACACAGAGAGAGAACTAGAGAGAGAGAGGGAGAGAGAGGGAGACACACACAGAGAGAAAAAGACACAGAGAGAGAACTAGAGAGAGACGGAGAGAGAGGGAGACACACAGAGAGAGAAAAAGACACAGAGAGAGAACTAGAGAGAGACAGGGAGAGAGAGGGAGAGAGAAAGATTTAGTAGCAACGGCGCATCTTTTTGAGAAGCGTTCAGGACGACAGGTTGGGCGGAAGGGAGGCCAAGAGGACAATGCTCGCGTCTCCACCTCCTCAGGAGGGGACCCTGCGGGACATTGATGGGGCCACCCCTGCTTGGCTACACAGAGTTGGTTTCAAACCTCTCACCTTTTGGAGGTGGGGGTGGCTTTACTGCTATTAAGTTCAGGATAGACTGAGACTATTTGTTATTGGTTATAAGTATTAGCATTTAACAATAAAGATGATGGGCTGCCCCCAGGGCACAGGGGGCTCCAGGCAGGTGTTTTTTGCCAGGCTCCTGTCTTTATGAACAATCTGAATGACTCTAAAGTCATTTGGACTCTGGAGACCCAATCTCATGAGACCTCAAACAAGACACAGACAGTCCCCATCCCACGATGGAGTGAGGGGCAACAGGCATCCTGCATGCTTCTGCACTCACGATAGGGTTATATCTGGATGAAACTGTTGTAAATTGAAAATATTCTAAACCGACTTATGATAGTTTTTATGTATGATGGGTGTATCGGGATGTGACCCCATTGTAAGCAGAGGAGAATCTGTATGCTGCCCTGGTCAGTGGTGCCAGGCCTGGGCACTGGACTATTCAGGGTGACTCCATATGTGCAAGTCTTTTTTATTTTTTTCTTTTGAGGTGGAGTCTCACTCTGTTGCCCAGGCTGGAGTGCCGTGGCACAATCTCAGCTCACTGCAACCTCTGCCTCCTGGGTTCAAGTGATTCTCGTGCCTCAGCCTCCTGAGTAGCTGGGATTACAGGTGCATGCCACCACGCCTGGCTATTTTTTGTATTTTTGGTAGAGATGAGGTTTCACCATGTTGGCCAGGCTGGTCTCAATCTCCTGGCCTCATGTGATCCGCCCGCCTCGGCCTCCCAGAGTGCTGGGATGACAGGCGTGAGCCACCAGTCTTGAAGCTGCCCAGGGCACGTGGTCAACAACCTCTTGCAAAAAGTAGAGGTGAAGACTGGGGAGAAGTGAGAACTGAGGCTTACATGGTTCCCACCCTGACTTGAGGCATACCACTTGGATGGCACTACCCACCTACCTCTAGGAAGGCCTGAGCTCCCTGCCTTCAGCGCGGGTCTTTTTCTTTTAAATCGCCGTGGAGCTGGTTCTCTTTCCTTTGCGCTCTGTCTTGTTCTCTGGCTCCGGTTCCTCTCTCCCTCTCCCTCTGGCAGTGTTTCTGATTTGCTCTGCTGGAAAGTAGCAGCAGTGACCAGTGACCCTTACACAAGGCAGGAAGAGGGGAGCTGGGGGGTGCAGGTTCTGATGGGGGTGAGTGGGGAGGACAGGGCGGCCACACACCAGACAGGAAGGAATGCCCCTCCTCAGCCGGGGACTTGCTAGCTTTCCTGCAGGCTGTTACAGGCTATTTTCCCTAAGGGCGTGTGAGTCATACCCAGAGCTCACCTCTAACTCTCCCCTTCTTCCACCCCATGTGCTGCCTCCAGGTCCTGCTCAATTCAGCTGAAGGGCTATTTATCCAGCACCTCCCCTGTGATGTTTTTAGGAGAGTCAGCCAGAACAAATTATAGAATCAAAAATCTGAGTATTGTCAAGGCTCTGGGAACTTGTTGCCAATTTGCTTTGTGTTCTCGTGGGTTGGGTGTGAGGCTGCCGTTTTCATCACAGCTGCACCAGCACCGGATGTTCTGTTTTATCATGTTTTAAGAGATGTGTCTTTGGAGGGCCCTTTGTCTCGCAGGGAATTGTCCTCCAAGTCAGAATCAGGAAGGAGGAGGCCCTGGTCTTGGATGTGGAGGGAAGGCACTTTGGCTGAATGGAAGGAAGTGGAGACGTGGGGAAATAGGAACTTTGATGCTCTGCTGGCTGGAGCATGAACTGGAGCAAACCTTTTGAATCTCAAGCTGGTTCTGATGAGGCCAATGCACAGCTAATGTGGTTGGCACTATAGTGTTCCCAGCTCTACCCCAAAGACACCCACTAATGCCCAGAATCTATGAACATGTTACTCCACGTGGCAGAAGGTGCTTTGCAGATGTGATTAAGTTAAGGAGTTTGAGTTGGGAAGAGTATCCTGGATCATCAGGGTGGTCCCAGTGTCATCACAAGGGTCCTTATGAGAACCGGGCAGGAGACTTTGCATGAAAGGAGAGGGGAGAATAGAAACAGAGGTTGGAATGATGGGGCCACAAGCCAAGACATGTGGGCGGCCTCCAGGAGCTACAGAAGGCAAGAGGACAGCTTCTCTCCTGGGGCCTCTGGAAGGAGCCAGCCCTGCTGACTCCCTGATTTTTGCCCAGCAAGAAATGTCATTTTGGAATTCTGACCTTCAGAATAAATGGGGTGGTACTAAATTTGTGTTGTTTTAAGCCACTAAGTCAGTGATAATTTGTTGCAGCACCAATGGGAAGTTAATATACCCAGCAGCAATTTTGCTCCCTGTGCACATTTACATATATATTTTTAAACAGATGGGATCCCGCTTTGTTTCCCAGGCTGGTGTGCAGTGGCTATTCACAGGCGAGATCATAGTGATGTAGAGCCTCGAACTCCCAGGCTCAAGTGGTCCTCCTGCCTCAGTTTCCCAAGTACCTGGAACTATAGGTGCACCCTTTCCCTGTATACATTTTAAGACGTCCTCCCCATGTTCGTAAGGGGACACGGGTGAGGATGTGGTGCGGTGTGGGAGTGCTGTGTGTGTGACCCCTTGGGGGAGTGGTGAATGGGGAAGGGCCAGGGAGGCAAGTTATGGAACAAGATGCATCTTCACCCAAATTGGAAACTACAGGTCTGATATGCACAGAGCCCCCCAGCAGGACCCACAAGATGCTTAGTGGGAAAACAGGGCAAGAAATGATAAATAAAAAGCCCTCTTTGTTTGGTGAAGCAGGGTGTGGAAGGGGCCCCAGTGGGGTTCTCAGAAGCTGGGTAGACTTGGTCTTCCAATCCAGGTGCTGATTTTCTGGCTGTGTTCCGTTGGTGACAACTCTTTGAGTCCAGTACTTTTCGGTATGAATATTATCCTCAATAAGATGTTTTAAGCAATCCATATGCACAACATAGCACAAGAACACCTTTACATCTGTGGAAACTTGTGAGGCAGGATAAGATACTGCCCGTCAGGGCTGGGAGCAGGGCCAGGGAGAGAGGGGCCTTTGTGAAGCCTCCCCGGGCAAGGGTCTCACATGGTCCAATGACGGCAACGCACCCAGAGTTGAGCGGTGAGAGTTAGTCTGTGCAGCCTCCTGCCCTGAAGCCCCAGAACAGGAAGGAAGGGGTTTCCAGGAGCCCTTGAGAAGCAGAGGCTGGGAGTGCTGTGGGGAGCTTCCATTTGGGTGAAGGAGGCACACATCACCTGGTCTCCTGTTGGTAACATTAGGATTCAGCCGTCAACGCTCAGCTGGCCAGGTGGAGCCCTCGCAGCTGCCCAGTGGTGGGGATGCAGGTGTGATGGGGTGGGGACCTGGCCTGACCTGGTGGTCTGGAGGTCTGACTACGATCACCAGGCTCAGCACTAATGGAGTGGCAAGAAAGGGTCTGGATGCCCTGCTTACAGCATGCTGTGACAGGATGTTTCAAGGCTGGGCTGCACGGCCAGGCTGAAGCAGAGGAGGCCCAGGGCTTCCACCCGCATCCTAGTGAGCCCAGCCCCAGCTGGCCGTGTCCTGATGGCTGTGCCCCTCCCCGGATGGCCAGTGAGCTGGGGCTGGGGCCGCCCGTGCAGCAAGTCCAGGGTCCCCCCAGGCTCTCGCCTTCCCCCTGCCAAGCCCACCTCTGGAGAAGGGAGAGAGAGCCCCCTGCTTGGGAGGTGAGAAGCAAGTTCACTCAAAACGTCAGCCTCAGCAGAGCCTCTGCCTGCCGGCCTTCTAGATAAACACGGTGGTGTTTAAAGAATCCATGGGGAGGCGTTTTGGCCTGAAGGGAGGGAAGGTTCCAGGCCTCACTCTGAGCTGAGCTGGGATCTACCCATTCCCAGTACAAATTAAAGCCGCAGTCCACCATGTCTGAGGACCATTTCCAGGTTCTTCCGGGGGTCTTGCAACGGGAGGCAGCCACTTAGCCAGTCCTTGACCACGACGGAGCGGCCTTTGGGGAGGCTGCTGGGTCCCCTGCCGGAACGTGGGACTTTATGGAAAAATTGAGCCCACGAGCACACGCAGAGGAAATTCCAGGGAGCGAGGCTGACAGGCTTGTCTTGGAAAGCAGCTGGTTACTTTGGCCCCAGCCCAATTCTCCCGCTCTCCTCTCTGCACTGCCCTCCCACTCCCCAACTTTGCTTTTTCTCCCAAAAGAAAAAAATAACGAAACCAGAGAGGCACAACGGAATCAAACAGAAAAATCCCAACTTAAGAGAAAAGCGACAAATCCCCAGGGGCATAAAATCACTAGGGCCTTCACAGGCGCTTGTTTGTTTGCTGGTTAAAGACTGACAGGCCGGCGCAGAGGGCCACCTACAAGGACCAGGGGCAGGCAAGTTAGAAGCTCCCATCTTCTGAGTCCTCACTACCTGCCAGGACTTTCTTTTTTCTTGAGGAGTAGCTCAGCACTCACGTTAAGTGTGGCTCAGTGAGTTATCCCACGTGTCCTGGCATGACCATGCCCAGGTGGCAACACAGCCCACTCCCAGTGCCCTTGGGCTCCCTGCTCCTCCCTCTCAGCCAGTGGCCTCTTGCAGCTAACTTTCATCCTCAGCTTTATATCCACGGACTCTTAACAGCATGATCCATTTCGTGTGGGCTTCTTTCACTTGCGACGTCTGGGTGGTCCCTCTGTATGGCTGGGGGATGGCAGGGGCTTGCTCTTTTCCTTTGCTGGGCAGAATTCCATTCTGTGAACGTGTCCAGGTCACTGTGCCCCTACCGGTTGATGCACATGTGGACTGTTTTCATTTTCTGGGTGCTCTGGATAAAGGTGCTACGAGCTTTCTTATGCAAAGTCTTTTGGTGACTGAGTTTGTTATATGTGTCTCAGCATCAAAACAGTTCCAGGACATGCATCCAATTGTCAACATCCCACCTCATAGACAAGAAAACTGAGGCTCAAAAAGTTTTCATGCCTGGTTCCAAGCCCCAGAGTCGGGAGCAGGGCTGGGATTCAAACCAGATGCATGTGATGGAGACCTGCGCTCTGAGCTCTTGGTAATGTCTGCCCAGGGCACAGCGCTTCAGCGGCAAAGTGGCCAGGTTCTCCAGGGTTTCAAAGTGCAGGAGATATGTCTGGATGGGGGGCCTGGCTCCTCCTCCTCGGCAGAGGGGCAGCTGCCTTATTCCGACGAGGTTTCGAGCCTTCCCTGCTCCCATCCTCTCTGAACCCCACCTAAGCCCCAGCTGTGCCCATATGGCTGGAGGGAGCCCCTGACAGCTGTATTCTATGTCCTGGGGAAAGGCAGGATCTCTCGCCATGGGGGAAAATCCCTGTAAATCCTGTGACAAACAGCTCTAATCTGGTGTTTAATGCAGAGCCTGATGCCGGCTGCAGCGAGGGAGGGCACGCTGGCACTGGGGAACACGACCGTGCCAAGGCTGGAGGTGCATTTGGCCCCTGCAAGGCCATCGCCCTGCTGACCCTAAGCAGGCAGCCAGCAGGGCACGGCCGGAGGCTGCACGGCTTCTCCACTGCACGGCTTGCCGGCCTCGGGGTGCGTGGGGAATGGTGAGATAAGCACGTGAAACCACAGCTCGGCCTTGATGGTTTGTTAGCTGGCCTTAGTGTTTTCAATTGTCCGAAATTGGGACACTCTGTCCCACAGGCACCTTACCTGAATACCTTATCGGAGACCCTGGAGGCCAGATCCGTTTCAGAATTCAGAATCTGTTAGCTTTTAGAACGTTAAATCAGTGCTTATGTTGTATGTCATTAGCAGCCCTGTGGGATCCCGGGCCACACGGGGCAGTGAGACTCACGAAAGTTTCTGTAGCCGCCGCGTGGTGCACACAGCCATGGCTTGCCTCGCCTCAGCACGGGAGGCTTTGCTGACCACGGGCTGCGCTTACTGATGCCACTCAGATGCATGGGACCTCAGCATCCGCAAATTCAACTGCACACGCTCAGCACTGCATGGGTGGCATGGGGGTGAGTGCGGTGTGCGTGTTGTGTATGTGACTGTGTGGAGTGTGTGTTCTGTGTGTGAATGTGTGTTGTATATGCAGTGTGTTGTGTGTATTGTGTCATGTGTGCGAGTGTGTGGTATGTATGTGTGGCATGTTGTGTGTGCTGTGCATATATGTGTGTGTGTTGCATGTGTATGTGATGTGTGTGGTGTGCTTGTGTGTGTGGTGTGTGTCATTGTGGTGTGTGCATTGCATGCGTGTGTGCTGCATGTGTGAGTGTTGTGTATGTGGTCTGTGTTATATGAGTGTGTGTGCTGCGTGCGTGTGTTGTGTATGTGGTGTGTGTGGTATGTATGTTGCATGTGAGAGTATGTGCTGCGTGTGTGTGTGGCATGTGTGTTGCGTATGTGAATGTGTGTTGTATATGTGGTGTGTGTTGCATGAGTTCCTTGTGTGTGTGTTGTGTATGTGGTGTGTGTGGCATGTGTATATGTTTCATGCATGTGTTGTGTGTGTTATGTGTGCGCTGCATGTGTGTGTGTTGTGTGTTGCGCGTGTTGTGTGTATGTGTTGTGTATGTGATGTGTGTTGCACGTGTGTGTTGTGTATGTGGTGTGTGCTGTTTGTGTGGTGTGTGTGTTGTGTATGTGGTGTGTGTGGCATGTATGTTGCATGCACGAGTGTGTTGTGTGTGTTATGTGTGCACTGCATGTGTGCGTGTGTTGTGTGTTGCGCGTGTTGTGTGTATGTGTTGTGTATGTGATGTGTGTTGCACGTGTGTGTTGTGTATGTGGTGTGTGCTGTTTGTGTGGTGTGTGTGTTGTGTATGTGGTGTGTGTGAGTGTGTGTTGTGTATGTGGTGTGTGTGAGTGTGTGTTGTGTATGTGGTGTGTTGTGTGCGTGTGTGTTGTGTATGTGATGTGTGCTGGGTTTGTGGTGTGTGTGTTGTGTATGTGGTGTGTTGCATGTGTGTGTCGTGTATGTGTTGTGTGTTGCGTGAGTGTGTGGTGTGCATGTGAGAAGCTGCTGCTCTCTCAGTGGGTCCTGGTGAGCTCAGCCCGCCTAGTGAGCATCTTTCTCAAGGAGGTGAGAGTCTCACCCCTGGAGAGGTGCATTTTTCTTGCGCCTTTTCTGGCCACTGCTTGTGCTTATGTGAGGAAGGAACGGTCTATCCCCACGTGATAGTGAGAACCAGCTGCTCTGGCTTGCTGGGAAGGTCCCAGGGCTTGGTTTGGGGCGTGATTTAATTGGCTTTCAATGGGTTTTGCCCCATGTGCTGACTAGCGACAGTAGCGATGCTGGTGAAATGAAACATCCCCATGGCATCTCATTCCACCTTCATGACAACTCTGTAAGGTGCATGGAAGTTTGCATCCTGGCTGTCTAACCGACAGGGAACCAGGGGCTTATGGGGCCAAGCAGCCTGAGATCACGCAGCAAGCCTGGCAGGCCTGGCTGGGACTCACACTCGCCAGGCTCTCAGGGCTGCTGCGGACGCTGCGACCTTGTCATTTACCAGTGAGTCACAAACCACTCAGACTTAGGGGATGGGAACAACAACATTCTTTCATTTTCTGCTCGTGAACCGTACTTTGGGCAGGGATCTGCAGGCACAGCTCATCTGTGTCTTGTGTGGTGTTAGCTGCGGGGGCTCCAAGCTTAGAGGTGAGTTGATGGTGGGGTTCTGGAATTTGCTGAAAGTGTGTTTACTCATATGTCTGGTGTTGAGGCTGCTTGTTAACTGGAACCTTCATTAGGGTCTCTCATCTGGAACCTTTGCACGCGGTCTGCCTCGTGGCTGCTTGGGCTTCCTCCCACCATGGAGGCAGAGTTCTAAGCACACAGGGTGGACACTGGTGGCATTTCTATGGTCTAGTGTTGGCAGTCATTTCTGCTGTACCTTACTGGTTGAGACAGTCACAAACTTCCTCTTGAACCTGGGCACGGGTTCCTCACCACTTGACTGGGGGAGCATCAGGGTCACATCCTAAAAACAGCATGCGGCCTGGGATATGTTGTGGTGGCCCTCTTTAGAAAATGCAAATGGCCACCAAAGCTACTGCCTGCCTCAGAAGCGTCCAGTGTCTCTGGGGGATGTTCAGGTCCACTGCAGTCTTCAGAAGCCTCCTGCTGGGACTCAAACCACCGCATGCTGCCTAGGAGCCTCTGTGTGCATCTCAGACCTCCTGGACCCTTTAAGCTGAAGATACTTAGTGGCACTCTTATTGATAATAATCTTTAAAATAATTTAAAATATAATTTATAATATATTTGTTCATTTATAAACATATATATTACACAATTATATTTATCATAAAGCTCCCATATCAATCATATATATCTGTAGAATTTTATATTTTATTTAGGTGACACATTTTATATATGATATTTTTATTAATTTTATGTAATCGTTATATAGAACAAATTATATAATGAATATAAGTATATTTGTATTTATTAAAATGTTTATTTATATGAAAAATTTTACATTAAGTATAACATTTACCACGTTAATTAGTGGTAATATATTGCCTCTAAAGAAGATTAGACATTATAATCATATTGGGGATCTCTGTCTAAGTATTGGTTGTTCAAAAGTAATTTCAGTGAGGACCATGCCTTTTCCAGGAGGAAGGATTTTCTAGGGACACATCTGGGGGTATTTCTGGGGAGTTTTAGTCAGAGCTATAGGTTGTTTTCAGCACAATGGGAAGAGTTACTGGCTGTGAAAAGGGAGCGGTCGGAAGATCTGCTGTCTAAGGCTCCTAGCTAGTGAGTTATCCCACATTAGAATGGTTAATGGGGTGGGGGTTATCCCACGTTAGAATGGTTAAGGCTGGGGAATCCCATAACAAACATAGAAATAAACAAACAAAACTCCACATAGGCTCATGGATTGCCTAAATGCAAATGGACCATTTGGTTTAATTTCTTTAAAAAGTCATGGGCACCCAGAGCTGGAAGGAAGCGTGGAGACCAGGTAATCCTGTGCATCTTAAATTGGGAGGCGCACAGCCCCAAGGGGAGACGGAACGGGCAGGGGGAGCCACAACGTAAACACGCTAAGCTTTGATTTTTCCTAGACGCCAAGTAATCTAAAACATTTCCAATACTCAAACAAACATGGGTATTCTTTGGAGTAAGATGTAAAATCTCCATAAGTTTTTAGGATAAAACAGAAGACTTCAAAGAAATTCCACCCTGGCAGCAGGCTGGCCTAAGCTAAGATCACAGATGCCTGGCTTCAGCCCCTCTGAGGTACCAGTCTGCTCTCTCTGCCCGGGAAGCTGCATGCTTGCTGGGAGGCCCTACCCCAGCTCTCTGCAACACTAGCTTCTTGAGCAAAAAGTGCCGGGAAAAAAGAAAGAAAAAAGATGAAATAGAGGGGCTGTTGCTTGTCTACCTCCACGAGGAGTTAGGGCCACAGCTTCCAATGTTGGGCTGATCTGAACTGAGATGTCCCTTAGGTGTGAGTACATGCTGGATTTTGAAGCTGTAGTATGAAAGAGTGAAAAAATCTCATTTATATTGATTACATAATGAAATGACAATATTGAAGGTACATTGGGCTAAACAAATAAATTCCTTGGTTTCTTCTTACTTTTTGTTTTGTTTTGTTTTGTTTTTTGAGAAGGAGTCTGGCTCTGTTGCCAGGCTGGAGTGCAGTGGCGCGATCTCGGCTCGCTGCAACCTCCGCCTCCCGGGTTCAAGTGATTCTCCTGCCTCAGCCTCCTGAGTAGCTAGGATTACAGGCGCCCGACACCACACCCAGCTGATTTTTGTATTTT
Source organism: Homo sapiens (assembly GCF_000001405.40). Lineage (NCBI taxonomy): Eukaryota > Metazoa > Chordata > Mammalia > Primates > Hominidae > Homo > Homo sapiens. The sequence continues at coordinate 87,121,510 of NC_000016.10, read as the reverse complement.
TAGTAGAGACAGGGTTTCACCATGTTGGCCAGGATGGTCTCGATCTCTTGACCTTGTGATTTGCCCGCCTCGGCCTCCCAAAGTGCTGGGATTACAGGTGTGAGCCACCCCGCCTGGCCTCTCCTTACATTTTTAACACGTCTACTATAACATTTAAAATTATTTATGTGGCTCACATTGCATTTTTATTGGCTGCTTTGGGCTAGAACATATGGTGTTTCCTAATGTAAAGGATCATGCAACCCTGTCCTTCATATAGCATCCTGGGGGACCAGTGTTTGGCAGAACATGGGGTGGAAACATTGCTTTAGGTAAGAGCTGTCTCTTTATGGACCTCCAGATAAACACTGGGTTTTCTCCCCTCCACCCTTGTCCTGGTCCCTTCGTGCTAGGCATTCCCACCTCCCTTGAAGGTCTCAGACCAGCCCAGCCTCCAACACAGCTCAGAGCCCTTTAGGATCAAGAGCATTCTTTATCCCCCGACGCCCCACCCACCCAGCTCCCAGTGAATCCCTCCTTCTTGAAAGTCTTCCCACACTCACTCTTTCAGTAATTAATGTGATAAATCAATAATTCACTCCCCAACAACCTTAATTCTGTTTTCTTATGTTGTTAAAAATAGCAGTGACCTGGCCCTTTTGTTGTTTCTTTAGGAGGTTGCTCTAAGCCTCTCATTGTGCAGGGGAGGCTGAGAGGGGAGGTGCTTGCTCAGACTTGTGTCTGAAGTTGGCAGGAAGGCCAGACCCTGGTGGGGAAATCAGGACGCCTGGTCGTGCCTCACTTCTCCCAACTCTCAGTTCATTCCATGCGTGGGGCTAGAGAGCCCCAGTTTTTCATTATGGTCCAACACCCTGGGGCAGAAACTGTTGGTTACCAACACCAAAGCCCCGGTCAACACCTTTCTCCAGCTGCAAAGATGGGGTGAGCCAGATACGTGCATTCTCAGGCTTCCTCGCAGCCAGGGTGCCTAGTGACCCTGTTCTGGTCAATAACTCAAGGGGGAGTCAGCAGTGGCTTTCAGGGAAGAACTTTCTTCCTGTATAAAGGAAAGGAAGCCATGTGGGGGCTCATGCAAATAGGTCCTTTTTTGCTATCCCAGCCCTGCTCCACTTCCTGCCATTGAAAATAGTTGAGGTGGCTGGTGGTGCAGTAGCCACCTTGGGACCATGAGGTGATAATCCAGGGGAGAATAGTTGAGAACAGCAGAGCAGAAAGACAGAAAGGACCTGGGTAAGGATGGCACGATTTTGGTGCCAAGCCAACCCCAGAAGCACCTATTTACTGGCTTTTAAAATTCCGATATGACGCTTATGTTTTATCATCTAAGCCATCCTTCATCCTTGCACCGGAATGCCTACTAACTGATAGACACTCCACATTATTGCAGAGAGAAAGAACTCATGCAACAGCCAAAACGTGTAGTATAAATTCATGTTACCACTAAGCCGGAGAGTGACGGTCTCACTGTCCCAAAGCATTGATCGGTCTGACCTAAAAGGTCACAGCAGTTACAGCTTCTTGAGGCCAAGCCCGGGGGCGGTTCACGAGCAGTACCTCACTTAAACATCTCCATGGCTCTGTGAGCCAGCGTCTGTTCCTTCCTCTACTGTGCAGAGGAGAAAACCAAGGCATGGAGAGGGAGAGTAACATGTCCAAGGTCACACGGCTCTGTCATCTCTGAGCTGGAGGAGCCTAAATCTGAGCCCAGACCCTTAACAACTAACCTCTCAGTGCTTCCTGCATGTCTTTCCTTGGAGACAAGGCTGCTGTATACTCCCAGGATACCTGCTCTCCAAGAAATCCCAGCACAACTGTAAAAAATAGGAAAAGAAAAAAGAGGAAACCTCTTTTTCAAGCAACACGGCGGTTCCATTTTTCAAACAAGACACCCGTTCCCCACTCCCAGGCAGGCCGCCTACCATTTATCTGGGGCTGCATCAAAGATGTCCAGTGTTGTAAGTTTTTATTTGCTTCAGGTGGGCAGTTTCTAAATGGACAAATCACGTTTTTGATCGGAAAGTAACACATGAAAGACATAAAAAAGGAAAAAAATGTTCAGTAGGTTTATAGGCTTTCCCTTATGCCAAAAAACAAAGGAGGCAGGACAAGCTGACTAACCTCCAAACATGACAAGTGCTCATCAGAGAAGCTGGGGAGGGTTCCTGAAAAGGAACTTAGTTCTGCTCAAATTTAGCTTGAATGAAATACTGAGTCATTTTCTTGTCTGGGATAAATGTGGGGGAATAAGTCAGTCTTCTGGAGAGACAAGAGATGAATTTGCTCTTCCAGAAATATAACCCAGTCTTGTAAGTATCTTCCACAGTGTGGGTCTCTGTAACAGAACAGAGACATGAAATGGGATCTTTTCAACCATTGTTTCAGCATTTTTTCTCTTATTGGTACAATCAGAGTTCCCAAGAACTACCTCCCCAAATTGTTATTGGTTTTAAATGGAAACACTGATGAATTTAACACTCAAAGAACAAAAGAGTGACCATATATATTTTTTAAGTTTGATTTTTTGGCCTGGCACGGTGGCTCACACCTGTAATCTCAGCACTTTGGGAGGCTGAGGCAGGAGGATCACGCGGTCAGGAGTATGAGACCAGCCAGACCAACATGGTGAAACCCCATCTCTACTAAAAATAAAAAAATTAGCCAGGTGTGGTGGTGTGCGCCTGTAATCCCAGCTACTCGGGAGGCTGAGGCAGGAGAATCACTTGAACCTGGGAGGTGGAGGTTGCAGTGAGCCAAGATCGCACCACTGCACTCCAGCACTCCAGAGCGAGACTCTGTCTCAGGAAAAAAAAAAAAAAGTTTGATTTTTTAAGTTGTACAAGGAATGTAACTTGATTCTGAAATTTAATGGTGGTAATGACAGTAACATTGAGCATTTTAAGTGCTTTGCTGTATGCCAAGAATTTTGAAAAGTGACGTGGGCATTAGCTTACTACGTCCTTGTAAGAATTTTATAAGTTGGTTCCAGTATTATCCCTATTTTACAGATGAAAAAACTAAAGTGTAGGTGCCTTGTTTGAGATCACACAGCCAGCATTGGAAGAATTCGCATTTAATCTTAGGTCTGTCTGATTCCAGAGCTGTGTTCTTTAGACACCCATCTATTTTGAAATGAAGTGTCTTACTTCAGGTCCCCACAAGAGCGGACCCTGAGACAAGGATTTTGATGTAAGGGCTTCATCCGGAAGGGCCCCACAGGAAGTGCTGATAGGAAGCTGGGAACGAGAAGCAGGAAAGGGCCAAAAGCCAGTGCTGGGCATGTCCGTGAGCAGGTTATTATGGGCAACTGGGGCTCAAACCTGCTGGGGGCCGCTGGGGGGATGGCGTAGAAAGTTTTCCACCTGGGGGCTGAGGAAGCTGCGTGGTCGTGGTACTCTCCCACCCCTCCCTCTATTCTTCCTCGGTTGCAGGCTGTCCTGGAGCCCTGACCAGCCCAACAGTCCCCACCTGCCCCTGCGTGCCCTCCCATGCACCTTTGCCAGCAGTTCTGGCAGAGGATTGCATGTGCTCGTGGTAGAGAACTGTCAGCGTGCACAGGACGAGGTGTTCTGAGGAAACACAAGCCAGCGGTATCAGCTGTGTGATGCTACAACAGAAACTGCAGTCCAATTTACCTAGTACGAGGACTCACAATGCAACATTTTGACTTATTTTTGCAGAATTATAAGTACCGAAATAATAACAATTCACTATCACCAGAGTGTGTGTAACTTGGGGATGGCTCAATTTTAGAATGCTTATTTACATAATTGATGGATAATCAGATTACCTCAAGAGATGTTCACATAAACACTCATTCCTGTTAAAACTGGTAAAGAAGAATCCTCAGCAGCAGGAACGAGAAGTCTGTCTTCCAAATCAGGAGTTGTGTTCAGCTGAGCACCGCAGTAGTCACAAAATCAAATCACTTTAGACATCACACACATTCCCATTATTATTTAATATTGCACCTGCCCAAAATAAATGATGAATTTTGAAAATTTATAATGAAAAATGAATTTAGGCCAGACACAGTGGCTCACTCCTGTAATCCCAGCACTTTGGGAGGCTGAGGAGGGCAGATTACATGAGGTCAGGAGTTGAAGACCAGCCTGGCCAATATGGTGAAACTCTGTCTCTACTAAAAATACAAAAATTAGCCAGGCGTGGTGGCCCATGCCTGTAATCCCAGCTACTGAAGAGGCTGAGGTAGGAGAATCGCTTGAGCTCAGGAGGCGGAGGTTGCAGTGATCTGAGATGGTGCCACTGCACTCCAACCTGGGCAACAGAGAGAGACTCCATCTGAAAAAAAAAAAAAAGAAAAAAAAATTTAAATGAAGTTGAGACTCTCATAAACTTAGATCAATCCAAAGAAATCAACTAAGTTACCTTATTCTAATTGTTCTGAGTTCAGAACAAACTAAATATACCCTGAAATAATATTGGTACATACCACCAATAGTTTATAAAAACATACATTAAAATATATTTAAAAGTTTTGTTCAGAATCACAACACAAAATGAGAAGTAGTCAAGAATATAAACTTAACGAGAAATGTAAGTAGTTACATGAAGTACACTATACAATTATGGACAATAAAAATAATAATTGATTAATCTGCTTATGGTCATATTTTCAAAAATTAATGTATTTGTTAAATGTTGTCTTAAAACCAACCCCCACAGATATTAGATTAGACCTCATGAAATTTCCATTTTTGTAGGTCAAAGATTAGGATAAACATTGGTGATATCACATGGCTCCACTTAATATTCTTGAAATTTATTCTTCCAAATGAAATGCATATATTCTAAATAGGTAACAAATATACTTGATTTAGATATTCTAAAGAGATAATAGATATAAATAGTATATATAGAAAATACAGTCTAAATAGATAATAGAATATTATACTGTGAAAGAATATTCTGAAGAAGAATACTAAAGAAGAGGGGTTTGCTTCCCTAGGTGTTTTATTAAATTCTTTCATATAATAGGGTCCTTATCAGGTTTTCATGTCTAACAGTCCTGCCTTTTCCTGGATATGATAGGACAAAGAAAGCAGGACATGATTTTGAGGAAGAATTTTTTTTGTTTTTTTCTGAATAGCATTGTGAGGATTGGTTTGCTGTGTGTAAGAAAATCAATGTAGTAACCCATATCACATTATAGATTAAAATAATTTCTTCATTCATTAAGAATTAATTTGTACAATGAACAGAAAATGTATTAGAAAAGTGTCTGCTTGGCTGGGCGCGGTGGCTCATGCCTGTAGTCTCAGCACTTTGGGAGGCCAAGGTGGACGGATCACGAGGTCAGGAGTTTGAAACCAGCCTGGCCAACATGGTGAAACCCCATCTCTACTAAAAATACAAAAATTAGCCGGGCGTGGTCGTGGGTGCCTGTAATCCCAGCTGGTTGGGAGGCTGTGGCAGGAGAATTGCTTGAACCCAGGAGGCGGAGGTTGCAGTGAGCTGAGATCGTGCCATTGCACTCCATCTTGGGCAGCAGAGCAAGATTCCGTCTGAAAAAAAAAAAAAAGTGTGTGCTTTATGCTTGAGATCTGGTTGGAAGAAACAGGCATGTATGCACACGCAGAGACATATACACACACGTACACACACAGACAACACAGGCACACTCATACACTTGCTCATGCAGACGCAGGCACACACCACAGAGGAAAGAAAGGCAGGTTTGACAAGGTAAACATTTTAAACCTCAACCCAAAAGAATGGCCAGTTAATAGAACAGGGAAAACAAATATGACAAAGATCTCTTTCACGGATTCTTATCAGTTTATATAAATTGTTTACAATAGATGACTGGATGGAGGGTAGGTACAGAATATATATAAGTCCCAAAGTAGAATTTGGAGGCGGCTTTTCTTTGATCGCTGGGTAGATTGAATAAATTAAAACAATAAAACCAATTAAACAAAAAATTTACTAAGATGAACAATTTCACATGTATAAAACCAGTGAAAATTTAACAAAAATATATGAGTATCTGTATATTTATGCATATATACAAACCTGTATATATGTATATATGTGTATATATCTGTATGGGTGTATATTTGTACATATATGCTGATATATACATATAACATATATATTACACATGCCAATATGCTAATATACATGCTAATATATATACATGCTAATATATGTACACTGATATATAGACATACCATACACACACACACACACACACACACACACACATATCTCATACATACATACATATATCTCACTGGCATATAAATCAGTAACTGCAATGGCAATATTTTGTTTTAAACATGCTCAGTTTTTTTAAGTAATAAAATAGTTTCAGGTGAAATACATACAACTTGAAAACATTCTTGTTCTGCCATCTTTTGTCCAGAGTGAGCCAGGCCTGAGCTCATTGGATAGGGCATTCCTCTGGCCTTCCAATTGGCAGAGAGGTTGGCACATGCTCTACATTCGTCCAATCAGAACTCAGCACAAGGCTTTTTTTGGTGGTGTGTGAAGCGGGTTGCTTCTTCTCTCTGGGGATGAGCAGAGGAGCTTGGAGTCCCGTAGATTGTTGGCAGCCACCGGTGGCTTTGAAGAAAGCCAGGTTTGGGACAGAGCTGACACCATGAAAAGCCAAAGAGAGAGATACGCTATAGCTAACTGGTCTCTCTCATTTACAAAATGTGCGCTCTCCTCTTCCAACCTCCTGTTCAGATTCGATGTGTTTCAGATATCTCCTCCCATCGGTGGTTTACTGTTTTACTTTTAAAAATTGTATATTTGGATGAACAAAACTTTTAAATTCCGATGAAGCCCAACTTATCAATTGTTTCCTTTTTGGTTAGTGCTTTTTGTGTCCGGTTTAAGAAATCTTTGCTTATCCATTGATTTTTAAAGCAATGGTCTTTAAATGCTCCCACATTTTATTTGAGGGGTGTGAGTTCACTTCGCATTCATGGCAAACAGAATAGCTGGCTTATTCCCTGACACCCTCACTTATTCATGGATTTCAGCATTTTAACTTCCTCAGAGGGACACCTGTCTCTTGTGGGGCTTTGGGAGAGAGGTGTAGGTTTATGGACTTTGGATGACTGGGCGAGATTCCCACCTCCTCTGGAAAGTGGATTCATTCAGATGGAAATACTTTGAAGGAAGATTTGCTTCGGTTTCAGATATAAAAGTGGAGAGTAGTTAGGTTTCACCAGAAAAGTGTGTCTTTGAGCTACTGGAGTTTTCAGACACTGTGTCTCTGTTTATAAAATAAACAGTGAAAAGAGGACAGGAGAGAATGAATTTTAATGAGATTGTTGGCTGGGAGGGGCACCCAGTGTTCATTGTATCTCATTGCCCTGTGGAAAAAAAAAAAAGGAAACCTAAAGCCACCATCATATAAAAAACAGTGGCAATTTTCAGATCCCAAGATGACTTCACAACAGCTTCTTCAAAGAGAAGAAAAGTTTGCTGCATAAGAATCCAAATTTCTTTAACCATGTAACTAAAGAGAGCTAAAACATATAAAGCAGTTCCCTTTGACAGCGGAAATATCTACCTTTCCTGACTGTGCCTTCATCCTTTAAAAGAGAAACAAGAAAACATGGAAAGAAACTTTGTAGAAACCCTAGATGCAATTTGTTTTCTTGCTTTCCTCTCCCTCGACTTATTTTTGTGTCTTTTTTCTTTCCCCACACGTTCCATTCTCACTTGGTTACCTCCTTGTGTCAGAGGCATGTGAACCAGAGCAACTCCATCTTAAACAGGGGCTGTTTAAGATGGAGTAAAATAAGGCTAAAACCTGCTGGGCTTCATTCCCAGATGGTTAAGGCCTTCTAACTTATAGGAGGTCGGCACAAGATACAGGTTGCTCCTGGCCGATAAAACAGGTTGCAGTAAAGAAGCCAGCCCAAACCCATCAAAACTAAGATGGCCACGAAAGTGACCTCTGATCATCTTCACCGTGACAACTTACAAATGTCCTGGCAACGTCAAGAAGTTATCCTACATGGTCTAAAAAGTGGAGGCATGAATAATCCATCCCTTCTTTAACATATCATCAAGAAAAAAACCATAAAAATGGGCAACCAGCAGCCCCAAGGGTTTATTGGAGTCTAGGCAGTAGCCATTCTTTTATTCCTTCACTTCTTTTATTTATTTGTTTTTTTTGAGACGGAGTCTTGCTCTGTCACCAGGCTGGAGTGCAGTGGCGTGATCTCGGCTCACTGCAACCTCCGCCTCCTGGGTTCAAGCTATTCCCCTGCCTCAGCCTCCCGAGTAGTTGGGACTACAGGCGTGTGCCACCATGCCCGGCTAATTGTTTTTGTATTTTTAGTAGAGACGGGGTTTCACCCTGTTGGCCAGGATGATCTTGATCTCCTGACCTCGTGATCTGCCCGCCTCGGCCTGCCAAAGTGCTGGGATTACAGGCATGAGCCACTGCGCCTGGCCATTCCTTTACTTCTTAACAAAACTTGCTCTCACTTTATGGACTCACCCTGAATTCTTTCTTGAGTGAGATCCAGGAACCCTCTCTTGGGGTGTGGATTGAGACCCCTTTCCTGTAACACCTGGGCGCCTGGCTCTCAGTCTCTTCATCTTTAAGATGGGATAATAGCAACACTTACCTCCCAGGGTTGTGGAAGAATCTGATGAGTGGGCACAGGAAGGGCTCAGAACAGTCTGGAAGGTAAACCAGAAATAAAATTCTAGCTCCCCACAGCCATCGGAATGGACCCCTACCCCTCCTCTTGACAAGGGCATTGGAACCTATTCCAATTATACATTATGTTGATTATTTATTTATTTATTCATTTTGAGAGGGAGTCTTGCTCTCGCACTCAGGCTAGAGTGCAGAGGTGCGATCGTGGCTCACTGCAACCTCTGCTTCCTGGGTTCGAGTGATTCTCCTGCCTCAGCCTCCTGAGTAGCTGAGATTACAGGCACCGGGCACCATGCCTGGCTAATTTTTGTATTTTAGTAGAGACGGGGTTTCACCATGTTGGCCAGGCTGGTCTCGAACTCCTGACCTCAAATGATCCACCTGCCTTGGCCTCCCAAAGTGCTGGGATTACAGACATGAGCCACTGCACCTAGCCTGTTGATCTGATTTTTTATGAACAAGTTAATCCTTTGCCTTGGAGTTTTCTGGTTACCCATGGGGCTGACATTTGACCTGTGTGGCCAAGAGCCTTGGCCCCTTAAGGTTTGCTGAAAAATCACTGACATGAGGCAGATTGATTAGTAGGAGAAAAGGCATGCAATTATGTAATTATTTAATGTGTATATACACAGGAGGCTTCAAAATGAAGACCCAACTCCCCAGCAAGGTATAGATGCTTATCTATCATCTTGGGGTTATAGGAAGAATGAGGGCTGAGAGCATGGCCCAAACCGGGTTATGGTGGAGAACCAGGTTTCAGTGGCAAGACAGGTTATGAGAGGGAGAAAAGAAGAGGCTTGGCTGCAAAGGGGGACGTGTTATGTAGGTGAAGCCTCTTAGGCAGCAGCCTTTAGAGAGAATAGATGATAAATGTCTCTTTTCAGAAACTTAAAGGTGCCAGACTTTCAGTTCATCTCTCCTAGATCTGAGAAAGGCCTAGAAGGGGAAGGCCTGGCTACATTAATGGAGATTCTTTGCAGATGCAATTTTTCCCTGCAAAAGACAGCTTTGCAGGGCCACCTCCGTCTGTTGGCCCCATAGCAGCCATTTTAAAATATGTCAAAGAAATATATTTTGGGGAAAATATTTTGATTCCTTCACTTGGCATTTTTCTGTTTGATCCTGGAACTACTTTCCATCTATAGAAATGAACCAAAGACACCTTGCTTATGACTCTTTCCAGCAATCAAACTGTGTTTCCAAGAAATACCAACTCCCAAAGACAGGAAACAGTCTGAGAAGTGGCCAGTAAGTGGATGCCGTCACCAGACAGACAGACGCATGAGTAGGCTGCCCGTTTAGTAATATAAGTAAATAAGAAAAATGTCGTCTCTTTTCAACTCCTTCTTATGAAAAGCTGCATAAAATAAAGCAGCAATGAAAGCTAAAATTTAGCCATGACATTGGCCTAGGACATTTTATATCTATGGTCTCTCTCAAGCATAAATATTAATAGCCTCAATTTATGGATGAGGAAACTAAACTCGAAGACATTGTGTGACTTACTGAAGGACCCACAGTCATTTTCTGGGAGAAAGGTGACAAAACAGATTGTGATTTACATAAGTACATTTAGAAGCTGGCCCTTTTGATGTATAAAGTCTTCTAACCTAGAAGGTTCCAGGACTCGGTGTGACTAGAGTGCAAGGTTTATTACCCCGCTGGGAGTTTCAGAGCCCTCTTTGGTTGGGGCAAGTACAAAAGTCACAGCTGCTATCTGTGTCTGGATCCCACAGCCACCCCTTATTTGGGTCATGACATCATGACTTTCTCAGGGGAGACACTCCTCCCCACTTTCCTTCCTTGCAGTTGGGCTGGGCTGGCCTTGCCCCTTCCAGATCCAGGGTTGATTGCTTTTCCCAAGACCTGTGAATAACCATCGTTCATCCCACGAACACAGGGGTTAGCTTGGGGATGGGTGCATGACCCAGGTCATCAACCAGGGCAGATCATCAGGCAGCAGCCAGGAGTATGGGGATGCCACCAACACAGAAAGAGCCTCAAGAGAGGAGAAGGATGAGGCCTATGATGCCATTTGCACCTTTGGGTTTTTCTGCTCCTGAAGCCAGGGTAGTCATGAATAGGTCACGAGAAGAGTCCAGACTGGCACAGGTTTGATTTGGATAGTTGAACAAAGGGTAGGAGGAAAATAATATGGAATGTCTTCTCACTATGAAACTGTCAGAGGCGTGTGAACCAGAGCAACTGCATCTTGAATAGGGGCTGTGTAAAATGAGGCTGAGACCTACTGGGCTGCATTCCCAGATGGTTAAGATATTCTAAGTCATAGGATGGCATAGGAGGTTGGCACAAGACACAAGTCATAAAGACCTTACTGATAAAACAGGTTGCAGTAAAGAAGACGGCTAAAACCCACCAAAACCAAGATGGCACCGAGAATGACCTGTGGTTGTCCTCATTGCTATACTCCCACCAGCACCGTGACAGTTTACAAATGCCATGGCAATGTCAGGAAGTTACCATATATGGTCTAAAAAGGGGAGATGTGAATCATCCACCCCTTGTTTAGCATATCAATAAGAAATAACCATAAAAATGGGCAACAAGCAGCCCTCGGGCTGCTCTGTCTATGGAGTAGCCATTCTTTTATTTCTTTACTTTCTTAATAAACTTGCTTTCACTTTACAGACTCACCCTGAATTCTTTTTTGTGGGATATCCAAGAACCTTCTCTTGGGGTCTGGATTGGGACCCCTTTCCTGTAACAAAACCACCTTTGCAAACATAACTGAGGAAATATGACAGTGAAAGGGATCAGACCTAACCAACTCCATCTTGCTTCTAACCTTTAAGCTATTCCTTGTTCATTCCTGGGCATAGGCTGAACTAACCTTGGGAAGGAATTCAGTTTATGGTTTGACTCTGAAACAAAATTGATAATAGCCCTTTCTTAAAAACCACCCCGTTTTGCCTGGGGCCCAGTCTGCCTTTGTAGGACTAACAAATTAGCTACAAGATTAGAAGTTATGGTTTAGGGATCATGTAGCCTCTGGCTCTAAGAGTCTGAACCTCCCCAGATTGCTCCTGAGGATATCATCACTATTTTAAAACCAGAGACCAGGGCTTGAGATACTTTGCAGACCCTGGGCTCGATGGATAAGCTGACACCACCCAGACCTGTAATGTGGCTCACCCAGATCTGTGATCCTATCCAGGAACAAAAGACAGCAATTAAACCCCACTTTGACCCCCTATGATTCCATCTCCAACCTGACCAATCAGCACTCCCCACTTCCCAAGCCCCTACCCACCAAATTATCTTTAAGAACTCTGATCCTCAACTTCTCAGGAAAACTGACTTGAGTAATAATAAAACTCCAGTCTCCCGCCGTGCCGGCTCTGTGTGAATTACTCTTTCTCTACTGCAATTCCCTTGTCTTGATAAACTGGCTCTATCTAGGCAGTAGGCAAGGTGAACCCACTGGGCAGATACAACTATCCATCCTGTAACAGGGTTATACTGTAACAAGGTGATTAAAATCAAATGATATTCAGATAGTGTCACATTTTAGAGAAAATCCAGGCAATGTAAAAATGACCATCCCAAGAGACCCAGCGATGACAGCCTTAGACTTTGGCCTGTCTGACTCTTCTACCTCCTGGACCAGCATCAAGTCTCCTTGCTGAAGCCCAGTTCCTCCAGCTGTAGCATGGGAATCACAATCCTACCTAGAAGGGTTGTTATGAAGATTGAATGAGATGATACAGGGAAAGTCCATGGCTCTGAAGAGCTGTACAAATATTTGTGGGGGAATGGATGACTCAGGGTCCAAGCAGCCTGATTAATTCTGCTACTAATAAAATCACAGCAATAATAATAACTGCTAGCAATTATTGAATACTTCCTGTATAAATTAGCTTTTACTGCATAACAAACAGCTTAGAAACAGAGCAGTTTAAAACAATACCTTTGTTTAATTCGTAATTTTACAGCAGTTTGTGCTGGGACTATCTGGGTGGTTCTTCTGGCATCTGTGGTTGTCTTCTGGATTGCGTGGGGCTAGTTGGTCTGGGTGGGAGAGGCCTGAGCATGGACAGCTGACCTGTGCTTTGCATGGCCTCTCCTCCTGCAGCAAGCTGGCTGGGCTGCCCACTTGTAGGTGCAGAGTTCTAGAGAGAGGGAACAAGGCCTTTTGAGGCCTGGATTCAAGTCTGTTGCACCATCACTTGTGCTACTTTCTATTTGGTTAAAGCAGCCAAAAACGAGCTCAGATGCAGGGGGTGGGAAAATAGAATTTACCTGTAACTTCCTGGGAGGAGATGCAACATCTCATTTCTAAGGCTGTGAAAACTCAGGGCCATGTTTTTCAGTCTACCACATTTACTTTGGTTCACATGCTGTTCCAAGTGCTAAATATGCATCATCAGCTCATTTAACCCCTGTAATAATTGTGGGTAGTTATATTATTTATGTCATTGTTGTTGTTTTTATCATCCCGTGGTGTGTGGGGTATGTGGTTTTGAGATCTCAAGGTGTTTTCACGTGGACATGGGAAGAAGGGACCAAGACGTGAGCTCTTTTTCAATAACTAAGACTTTGATACTCCCAACCCATGGAGTCCTATGAATGACCAGGGGGGTATATTGACAGCAGCCATGAATGGCTGAAGGGCTGCTCTGTCCATCCTCACAGCAAAGTTTCTAGTGTCGGGGCCATTGTGATCTTCATTTGCCAGAAGAGAAGACTGAGTCACAGAGGTTAAGTCCTGTGTTGAGGATACACATCTAGAAAGCGACAAAGATGAGGCCACCTGTGTTGGATGTCCTCCGTGGGCCCTTTGGATCCAGTTTTCACCTTCTCACCCTGTCCTGTGCCCCAGGAGGCTGCCTTGCACAGGCTGCATTGGTGGCTTCCCAACTTCCCACTTTCTGCTTGGGTTTGGCCAGTGGGAGGCATGGCAGAGGATCAGAGGGTGGCAGAAATGAGATCGGGGCATTGTTCCCTCAGCCTTATTTCTGCCTAGCACCTCTGCCAAAGGCCATAGCTCTTGTCACATGACCCTCGTTCTGTAGCTTCCTTCTCTGGGTTCTAGCACCTGTCACCCTGGCCATCCTCCTGTAGATCTGCAGGTGGTAACAGCCACTGTGATACTACCTGGGGGTTCTGCACTATCCCTTGTTGGCTTCCTTAAATTCTGCCTACACCTTTGGAATTCCCTGTGTTAAACTTTCCTCAAATTACCTTCTTTTAATATATACCATCTGATTCTTGCTGGGACCCTGATTAAAGTGCCACCTGACTCAGTAGTCTCTGTGTTTAATATTGAAAAGGTGAAAAGACCGGAATACTAATGACAAAATTGCTAGATGATACTCAGAGCTGAGCTCCTTGAAGGATGAAATCAAAAGTCTAAGATGAAAATGAGACAAAGTGAGGTTGTCTCCATGCCGGCCAAAGGCACAAGGGCCTGTTTCTGTCTGGATGAACACCAAGCATTGAAGACTGTTTCTGTGTTATTTCCAAAGAGCTTGAATTGCATTTTAATTAATTTGCCTTGAAATTAACATACTCCACTTCTTCTTGAGCCAAACTCAAACTTTCCAGCATATCTTATTGCAAGGAAATGCTTCCATAAATCAGGGTGAATGTGGCATTGGAAACAGAGCAGAGAGGGAGATATTTATATATGAGTATTTCATATTCTGCTCTTGTGCAAAACTTTAAAAATATATTTGCAAAAGGCATATTCCAGACTGGCAGCCAGCAAATCCTCTGAGGACGTTCTGAGTGTGGCTGTTCCTCTACCTCTAAGTGACACATCCGATCCGGACACACCTGTTTATGCAGGATCGTGGGGACAGGAGAGGGAAGTTAAATTAGACCTGGGTTCTAGCCCAAGCTGTGCCATGCACTAGCTGTGTGACCTATGGTATGTTATTTAGCCTCTTTGAGCCTCAGTTTCCTCATATGTAAGCTAAACCAAGAGATTCAAAGGGGAAGCAAAGAGAGAAAAGTTCCTCATTGTGCTCAGGCAACCCCTCTACTCTCCAGCCACCATATTTTCCACTGGATGGTCTCTAGCTGGGACCTCAGCACCTATGAGGACCCCAGACTCTCAGATCTGCACTCATTGCCTGGATAGACTTGGAGTAGCTAAAGGGCTGTCCACAGAAGTGGATCTTCTTATGGAAATGGCCAAGAAATTTAATTGCAGAGTGATTGAGAGGATGTCTTGTGGAAGAATGCATTCACTTTTTTGTTTAAATTCTGACTCTATTGCTTATTATAATAGCTAAGTACCAGCAGGGAGGCGATCTCACTTCTCTGGTGCCCCCATTCCCGGACTGTGGGATGGGAACACTAATAGCTCTCTCAGAAGGCTGCCAAGAGGGTTCAGTAAGATGCGATGCACATGAAGCCCTGAGCCATTGCGTAGCACTAAGGAAGAGCTCAAAGTGTGGCAGCAGAAGCCAAGCCACAAGAGAAAAATATGTGTTCATGTACTCAATAAGCATTTACCGCACACCTGCCTAATGTTTAGATGCTGTATAAAGAAGGCGATAGGGTGATGAAGGAGGTTGACATCGTCTCTGCCTTTATGGGAAGACATTATAGGAATGACACAGTAGCTAAAGAATTACAAGTTTTAATAAGCCTAAGGAGAAAACAAATAAGAAGAAAGAGAATCAAGGGAGGGCTCCTAATTTAGGGAGAGAGTGATCAAGAAAGGAAGTGGCATTTATATTGGACATTGTATTAGTTAAGGGGATGGCAGCTTCTATGCAGGTAAACCCGAATCACAATGCCTAACACAAGATGAGTTTATTTCTTGCTCTTGTGATGCTTGACTGTATTTGTTTGGCAGGCATTTTTCCAGATGGTGATTCAGGAACCCAACTTCCCTTGATCTTGAGCTCAGCCGTAATAAGATGATATCAACATATAGAAATCAATTATACTTTTATACACTAGCTATGAGCAATCTGAAAATGAAACTAAGAAAATTATTCCACTGACAATCGCATCAAAAATAATACAATACTTAAGAATAAAGTTAGCTAAAGAAATGTAAAATGTCTACTCTGAAAACTACAAAACATTGTTGAAAGGTATTAAAAAATATCTAAAGAAATGGAAACACGTCCTGTGTTCATGGGTTGAAAGACTTAATATTGTTATGACTGCAGTACCCTCAAATTGGTGCAGATTAAATGTAATTACTGTCAAAATCCCAGCTGGGTGTTCTGTAGAAATTGATATGGGGATTCTAAAATCATATAGAAATGCAAGTCACCCAGAATAGTCAAAAAAGTCTTGTGGCCGCGTGTGGTGGCTCACGCCTGTAATCCAAGCACCTTGGGAGGCCGAGGAAGGTGGATCACTTGAGGTCAGGAGTTCAAGACCAGCCTGGCCAACATGGAGAAAGCCCATCTCTATTAAAAATACAAAAATTAGCCAGGTGATAGTGGTGCTTTCCTGTAATCCTAGCTACTTGGGAGGCTAAGGCAGGAGAATTGCTTGAGCCTGGTAGGCAGAGGTTGCAGTGAGCTGAGATTGTGCCACTGTGATCCAGTCTGGGCGATAGAGTGAGACACTCTCTCAGAAAAGGAAAAAGAAAAAGAAAAAAGTCTTGTAAAAGAAGATCAAAGTTAGAAGATTCACCATTCTAATTCAAACCCTGCTACAAAGCTACAGGAATCAAGACTCTGTGGCACTGGCGTGAGGGGAGGCATATGGGTCAATAGAACACATAGAATGCATTTAATGAACTCCATGGAATGAAATACATTTATGGGCAATTGCTTTTTAACAATGGGGAAAGAATAGTCTTTTCAACAAATGGTGCTGGGACAACTGCATACCCACATGCAAAAGAACAAAGTTGGACTGCTACCCTACACCACATAAAAAATAAACTCAAATGGATAAAAGACTGAAATACAAGAGCTGAAACTATAAAAATTCTAGAAAAAACATCGGTGAAAATCTTTACAACCTTGAATTAAGTCATGTTTAAAAAAAAAGACATAAAAATAAGCACACCATCCCCAACTGATAAATTATTCTTAATCAAAAATTTTAAAAAATATGCTTCAAAGAACATAATCAAGAAAGTTAGAAGAGAATCCATAGAATGGGAGAAAATATTTTTGGTGTATATGTCTGATAAGAGCCTAGTATACAGAATATATAAAGATATATTTGGCAAATATATAAAGACAAATACAAAGATAATGTACAGACAAATAACCTAATTAAAATGTGGACAAAGGGCCCAAATAGACATTTTTTCAAAGCAGATATAGAGGGGGCCAATAAGCACATGAAAAGATGCTCTACAGCATTAAATATTAGGAAAATGCAACTCAAAACAATAAGATAGCATTTTATATCCACTAAGATGGCTGTAAGAAAAAAGTCAAACAAAAACAGGTGTTGGTGAAGTTACAGAAAAATCGAAATCCTCACATATTGGTGGTGGGAATATAAAATGCTGTAGCTGCTTTGGCAAATGGTTAGGCCATTCTTCAAGGAGTTCAAGACCAGTCTGGGCAAGATGGCAAGATCCTATCTCTACAAAAAAATTTTAAAAATTAGCCAGGCATGGCAGCATGTGCCTGTAATTTCAGCTGCTTGGAAGGTGGAGGCAGGAGAATCAGTTGAGCCCAGAAACTCCAGGAGGCAGTGAGCTGTGATTGCACCACTGCACTCTTGCCTGGGCAACTGAGACACTCATCTCTAAAGAAAAAAAAAAAAAAGGCCGGGCACGGTGGCTCATGCCTGTAATCCCAGCACTTTGGGAGGCTGAGGCAGGCAGATCACGAGGTCAGGAGATTGAGACCATCCTGGCTAACATGGTGAAACCCCATCTCTACTAAAAATACAAAAAATTAGCCGGGTGCCTGTAGTCCCAGCTACTCGGGAGGCTGAGGCAGGAGAATGGCATGAACCCGGGAAGTGGGGCTTACAGTGAGCCGAGATTGTGCCACTGCACTCCAGCCTGGGCGACAGAGCGAGACTCCATCTCAAAAAAAAAAGAAAAAGAGAAAAGGATCCGTGGAAGTTCACAGTAGCGTATTCATAAGTACCAGAAGATGGAATCAGCTGCAAGTTCTTCAGGGGTAAATGGATGAAGATATGGGTAGGCACATCCGTCTAGTGGGGGACC
This sequence comes from Homo sapiens, assembly GCF_000001405.40. Classification (NCBI taxonomy): domain Eukaryota; kingdom Metazoa; phylum Chordata; class Mammalia; order Primates; family Hominidae; genus Homo; species Homo sapiens. Next base: position 87,103,730 of record NC_000016.10, on the reverse strand, counting down.
ACTTGCCAATGAAAAGGGATGAACTATTGATACACACAACATGGCTGAATTTCAGATACGCTAGATTGCTTGAAAGAAAGCTATCTCAAAAGACTACGTCCTCCATTATTCCATTTACATGAGATTCTGAAAAAGGCAACAGTACTGGGATGGAGGAAATGTTAGTGGTGGTCAGGGGTGGGGCGTGACTACACAGCTTCAGGATGGGAAAGGTTTTTTGGTGATGAAACTATTCTGTATTCTGACTATGAGGCTGCTCACACAAATTTGTGTATGAGTGAAAACTGGACACCAAAACAAACAAACAAACAAACAGAAAAGGGCATACAATTGTATTGTGTGTTATTTTTTAAAATAAATTTTAAAAATGAAGGAAGACAAAACATAAAGCGTAAACTACATTGCCAATTTTTTTTTTCTTTTTTGAGAGAGAGTCTTGCCCTGTCACCTAGGCTGGAGTGCAGTGGTGCCATTTCAGCTCACTGCAGACTCCACCCACAGGTTCCAGCGATTCTCCTGCTTCAGCCTGCTGAGTAGTTGGGATTACAGGGGCATGCCACCACATCCAGCTAATTTTTGTATTTTAGTAGAGACAGGGTTTCACCACGTTGGTCAGGCTGGTCTCGAACTCCTGACTTCAAGTGATCTGCCCACCTCGGCCTCCCAAAGTGCTGGGATTACAGATGTGAGCCATCGTGCCCTGCCTGCCGATTTGTTTTTAAGTAATGGTTTGGGGGAAAATAAATTATTTGGTAGATTTAGAAAACAAATAACATATGTACCTTGCTTTTGAGTCTTGGTTGATAGTTCAATTGGCCCTCACTAAGAGAACTATTGGAACGCCTGGCAGCCCAGGAGAAGGACTTTGAGTTTTGTCCTAAATGCCATGGGACGCCATCATCACAATGATTGTAAACATTCTCAGAATGCCATGGAGGGAAGGGATTCTTTGTTTAACAGGAGAAACAAAAACTCATTAATAGACAATGACTTCTAAGGACCACTTGTGACAGGCACCCACTCCCTGCTTGGGATTTCGCCTAAGGAAACAGGAAGAAGCTTCCAATGCCTTGTGGATTTGTTAACTTTTGTTACGCTCAAAAACAAAAGGAAAACAGAAGGAAAAAACCATTTGCCAGTATACTGGCTATATTACTTTCATTTGAGTAGGATCTCAAGGCCAAATATGGTCCTTCAGTGATCTGGGGGTCACACCCGTCCCTTTCCATGAGTGCAAATAATCAAAAGTTGGCCTGTTCATTCTACTTTATCAGCAAATATCTTGTTTTTAAGGGTTTCCAGGAATTGTACCTAAATTTTAATTCCTTTTCCAATTAGTCAGTACTCCAGTTGGAGGAACTGACATTGATTATAACCACTCCATCTATCAATGCCGCCTTCTCAATCCACTTTCCTTTCTTCTTTGTTTTCTAACTCACTGGCCTAGGAGACTAGTGGTGCTGCTAATTCTGCAGAGTTCACAAAGTTTCTTTCAAATACAGTTTTTTCTCCTTCGGATTTGTTGAATGAATGAATGAGTCACCATGAGATTTCAATCCAATAGATTTTTGTGTGTTTGCTTTATGAGGAATGAAATGGAACGTCATGACTTCAAGGGCCCCAGGGACATGTGGATGGGTTTCTACAGAATGTAATGCAACTTTGAGTGAGCGTTTCTGGGCTGAGAGTCCATATCTTTCAGAAGAATTTGAAAAGGCCCCAGGATCCCTTCAAAAGTTAATAACAGCTGACAGTTTCCCAGTGCCTTTTGCTGATGGCTGATTGGATGGGGGCCATATTTTAGGTGCCCTGACTGCCTCTTCTAGAGGTGGCGTGGGGGTGTCTGGAGGATGGAGTGAAGGTGGTCAGCTATGGGAGTGGGGGTGGGGGGTGGGAGAGAGCAGGGCTTTTGAAGATGCTTCTGTATTTGAGTCCTAGTATTTCACTTTGTGGAAATTGCTTAATCTCTCTGAGCCTCCATTTCCTTATCTATAAGATGGGATCTAGGAAAATGCACTTCCTAGCTCATACAATAGCTGGGGGGAAGGGAGGGTGTTCAGTAATACAATGTACAAATGAGATAGCTATACAATGTATATATATGAAAACTACTTCCTAGATCGTAGGGTAGCTGGGGGGTTCAGTGATACAATGTACATATGAAATAGGTATACAATGTATATATATGTGAAAACTACTTCCTAGGTCCTAGGTAGCTGGGGGTTTCAGTGATACAATGTATATCTGAACATATATACAATGTATAGCTTGGATTTAATGATACAATGTACGTATGAATACATAGGTACAATGTGTATGTATATACAATTATGACTGAAGCATAACAGTTCCTTTTCAGTGCAACTTTCTCTCGCTATGGTTATGACAGCTGTCATAGTAGTTGCCATTGATTGAGGACTTACTATGTCTTAGTTACTCTCCCAAACCTTTTTCCATGTCTTATTCCACTTAATCTGTCTAGGAAACCTTTGTGGTTGCTCCTGTAACACTGAAAGGCTCCGAGAGGATAGATAACTTGTCTAAGGTCACACAGCTAGTGAGTGGCAGAGCTGAGACTTGAATTCAAGTCTATCTGACTTGAAAGTTTGTGGCACCAGCTACCAGGGTGGAGTTGCATTCACTGTATGCCATGCTCCCTGCTTGAGCCCCAAGGGAAGTGGTGAGGGCAAGTGTTGGCGCATCTGCCAGATCTACCTTAAACACCCCCTGCCCCAAGTACAGGCATGTGCAAAGTGCCTGAGAGCCCAGCCATTTTGGTGGATGTGGGCCAGGTCAGCAGAGACTGTGCAATCTGTTCTGACTGTTAAGGTGGAGGTAACGCTAGGCTGAACCCCAGAGGACTCCCGAGGCTCTGGAGCAGGTGAGGAAGGGGGATGTCTGGAGCCACCCCCAAGGCCTGTGGCTCTCCCTGGCAGAGTTTTGCTGAGGCATATGATGCATACAAAATGCTCTGTGTACACTTGTGTAGGAAAAATCACCACCTCTGCAGAGGCTTGTTTACTAGGAGGGGAGGCGCATTCACAAATGAATAAACAAAAACAAGACCCCAGTCACTAATAAACATGGACCGCTGCACTGCAGGGTTCCCCTCTTCCTGCTGGGCCACCTCTGCCCGTCAATGGGTCTTGCAGCCCCGCCTGCCCCCCGTCGTGGTGTGTGAGCCCTGCAGGGTCAGAAACGCTAGGCTGAGTCTCCACCACCTACTCCACCACCTAATGGTTGAGTAACTTGGCTTTTAGCTCTGCAAGCCTGAGAGTCCTCACCTAAGTGTGACATGGGGCTAATCCTTCCCTTAACAACACCCATTTAGCACACTGCTGTGACCATGCAGTGAAATCGAGGACATTGTAAGAGGTTGCCACATGATGAGTATCTCCTTAATAAATGCTTTTCCTTCTAAGTGCTAAATAAATCTGAAAGAATAAATACACGTGAACTCGGAAAGGAAAGTTCTCTAGTCTCTCTGTGATTGGAACACACCATGTCTCTGGGCTCCCTTCACTGTGCTCTAGCGTGAGCGCTCTCTGCATGCTGGAATTGGAATTCACCCTTCTTGCCGTCCTGCTTGTCCTCCACAATGCACCCCTTTAGGCTCTCAAATGCAATCATTGCTGTGTTCTAGAACGGTGGTTCTCAAACTGGCTTCTTCCTTTGCAGTGTGCAGCATTCGGTGGCAGCCAGGGGTCATCTCAGAGAGAATGGGGGTTGGGGAGGTGGGCTGCAGACATGCTCTGGAGCCTGTGTGTGGTGGATTCCTTTCCTGGCATTGTGTTTATTCAACATGAGCCATGTTGCAAGGAATGGATTTCTACTAATTGTTCAAGCACCCACAGCTGCACATGTTTTGCTCTTAAAAATCTAAGAGTAGGTTCAGGCTTCTCCAGTTGTCTTTCCTACCCACCTCCCAGTGTGCTTTCTTGCCTGGGGCCAGTGCTTAGGACCTAGACATCTTAGGGGCCATTATTCAGGTGCCCGCAAATGGTAAAGAACACAGCGCTAGGAAAAGGTGAGAGCTTTACTACCCAAGCTACCTCCTTCTCCTGCTGTGCTTCCCATGGCACGGATCCATGACTGGCAGCTGAAGGGAAGGGGACCCGCTATCACTGCGCTGTGCTGGAGAGAAGGTTGGGGAGCAGCGCTGGAAGAGCAAATGCAAAAAACAGGTGTGAGGACATGAAAAGCTCCCAGCAAATGCTGTTTGTAGCCCTGGAGGGAGGGGGCAGTGACCATCAGGAAAACAAAAGGCTTCAGTAGCAGAGGTCACTCCTTGGCCCATTAATCCTTTGTGCTGGGGATTTTACAAGCTGTCAGCCCTCCTCCTTTGGGTCTGAGGGAGGGGTTGAACTCCCCCATTAGCTTTATGATGGCAGTTTTTCCTCCAGACACTACAGGGAGGTAATGCTTTGAGGATTTCTTGAGTTTGTCCCTTCTTACCAGTTAATAACATACTTGAAATGCTTGTTACCATGTGGGATGGGGACACAGCCTAACCAAGGCCCTTTCTAATCTGGGTCCTGCTTAATTTATGAATGCCCTCAGCATGTAACTCTGAATACCGGCCACATGGAATCATTTGCAATTTTCCTGAGCAATCCACACCCAGGCCTTTGCACAGGCGGTTCCTTCTGCCCGGAGCACGCACCTGACTGGTTCCTACTCATGCTTCAGAACCCAGCTCAAATATGGAGCTGGGGTTGGAATCTAGACCTGTCTCCACCTAGAACCCAGGTCTGTCTTCTTCTGGAATCCAGGTCTCTCTCCCTCCGAATGGCTTGGTCTTTACTACACAGTGGGACACACAGACCCTGGCCATGATCTGGGCTCCCCTATCCTACTTTTACCTCCTAGGACTTCCCGTCTAGAGCCCCCGGCCCAACTCCAGCCACTCTGGGCTCCTTCCTCACACCCAACGTGCGAGTCCCCTCCCTGGCCTTTTGCACGTGCCATTCCCTCTGCCTGGATGCCTTTCTCCCAGGTGTCTTGGAACTTTCTCCCTTCCTCGGGATATTTGCTCTGGGCGCTTTAGGACCGTGGCCCTCCCTGCCCATGCAAAGCGGCACCCCCAGTGCTCTGCAGTCTCCAGCCCTCCTCTGATTTTAAAAACCACACCATGAGGTGACATCACCAATATTGTTTGTTTTTCCTGATCTCCCCTGCCCCCACTAGTTGGCAAGCCCTACAGGTCCAGGACTTTATCGGGTGCACCTGCTGTATTCTCAGCCCCAAGATTAGCACCTGACACATGGCAGGTGCTGAATAAGCATCTGTTGGGTGAAATAATGCTGGACTCTCTCCAGGGAAGTTATTGGCCCAAGGTCATGCAGCTGTTGCTGGTGTAGATCCCAGTACTAACCCGACTGAGAGAAAAGTATGTAACAAAAGTCAGAGTGTCATTGCATCTGTGTGCATGATGGAATATTATTCTGCCACGAAAAGGAATGAAGCAGAGGCACTTGCTGCAACAGGGATGAGCCCCACAAACACGCTGAGCGAAAGCAGCCAGATGCACATAGCCACCCACCACCTGGTGCTGTTTAAAGGGAATGTTTAGAAGGGGCAAATCTACAGACACAGAACATAGGCTGCTGGTTGCCAATGGCGGAGGAAATAGGAAGCTTTTGCTTAATGGTGGTTTCTTCTTGAGGTGATTCAAATGCTTTAGAACTAGACAGAGATGGGGGTTGTACAACAATGTGAATGAACAAAGTGACATTGAATTGTTCACTTCCTTATAATTATTATGATTGTTATTATTTTAGACAGAGTCTTACTCTGTCACCCAGGCTGGAGAGCAGTGGTGCGATCTGGGCTCATTGCAACCTCTGCCTCCTGGGTTCAAGTGATTCTCCTGCCTCAGCCTCCCGAGTAGCTGGGATTACAAGTGTGCACCATCATGCCTGGCTAATTTTTGTATTTTTAGTAGAGACAGGGTTTCATCATGTTGCATCGGCTGGTCTCGAACTCCTTGACCTGAGGTCATCCACACAGCCACCCAAAGTGCTGGGATTACAGGTGTGAGCCACCACGCCCAGGCTGAATTGTTCACTTTAAAATGGTTAATTTTATGTTATGTGAATTTCTCCTCACTGAAAATAGCTCATGCACGCGCGTACACCCCCCCCCGCCCCCCCTGACACACACGCGAGAATCAATATCCTGGGTGTGACATTGTACTATATAGTTTTGTGAGATGTTACCATAGGGGTGAACTGGGTGAAGGGTACATGGGACCTCTCTATATTATTTGTTACAACTGCATGTGAATCTATAATGATCTCAAAATTTTAAGAACTGTTTCAAGGATTGTTATTGCAGATAGAAGATTGTAGATACTTATGTAAACTTCAATTACTTTGAAGTATAAAATTCAACAAATGTCTACCAAGCACACACGGTGAGCAAAAGGCAGAGTGGGGCTGGTACCTCCTGCCTGCCTATGCCGTGGGCTGGTACCCACCGCCTGCCTATGCCGTGGGGCTGGTACCCACTGCCTGCCTATGCCCTGGCCCTGCCCTGGAGTGTCTGGGAGTTTCCAGGTCTTCCCCTCAGACTGTCTTGGGAGCAAAACACAACAGCTGTCTCACGCCCCAGACGCCGGGGTTATCATGTTTATGCGCATGAAGCCACTGAAGATGGAAAATAGACAAGTTACAGGGTCTAGGTTATGCTGAGGAGTAAAATAGTTGATAAAAATGAAAATCAAGCCCAGCTTTCATCCAAACTGAAGCTGGCACGGGCTACAGAAGTTCGGTGTGTTTGCCCTGTAGCTGGCATCAGCTGGAATCAAGGCCTCCTAACATATGTTATGCAGCAAGAACGGATTGGATTATGAAGCTGTGTCTCAGGGTTGCCCAATTTGGAAGAAAAAGGGATTTTGAAGTTGATGGAACTTAAGCAGGGAGTTTGGCACAAACCCATTCTCACAAACTCCCTCCTGGGTGTTCCTGCTGAATAACCCCCTCTTGCCGCTGCACGATTGGGCATCGCTATTCACTGAGGGAAATGCCCCTCAGCGGTGTCTTTGGGATTGGAGGGCAGAGTTCTCAGTCCTCACATTTACCCACTGGGGCTCCGAAGCGCCCATTTTCAGGGGTTAGTTACAAAGGTAACATGGAGAAGGTCCCTGCAAGGTGCTCGTGAAGCCATAACCACTCTCAAAGGCATGAAAATTTCTCATGTTTAATAGAGAGCAAGCAAGCCTCAGCTCAGAGTCATGAGAAGGCAATTATAGCTAACATTTTTCATTATATTTATTTGTATGCTTATCTTCTTTTTAGGAAAAAATGATACTAGCGATTCATTTATAGTGGGGTATGTCATTACCATTTAAGATAATTAAGCAAAAAATGAGTGTATTTGGAGAAAACACTAAGTTGATGCAGATAGAAATTGTAGATGGATGCTAAAACCATGGGTGAAAATGTATTGGGAACCGGGCAGTTACACCTCTCTGTGTATGTCCCTGCAGATTAATGATGAATTACTAAGGAAAGATAAGAACCGTGGGGGACCCCACACCATAGCTAAGTGATCAAAATCCACATCACTGTTAATGGAACAAATGGCATCGTGTGCCTCTGATATGGGGCACTGAGAAGGGAATGCCTCCACTTCTGGGGTGTTCCTGCTGCAAATCATAGCCAGAGTCTCATCACAAGGACACAGCAGAATAACCCAAATTAGGGAAACTTTATAAAGTAAGTGACTCCAAAAATGCCAGTGATGTGAGGAACAGCAAAGGACTGAGGAATGTCTCAGATTAAAGGAGATTAAAGCGATGAGACGATTAAAGGCAGCACATTCTCCCCCACTGGAAAATGTTGCTGTGAAGGACAGTTGAGACGACTGGGGAAAACTGAATATGAGCTGTGTATGAAAGCATAGCAGATTATTAGTGATAATGTTCCTAAATTTCACAGTTGTAGTTCTTTCAGAGAATGCCCCTGTTTTTAGGAGATATATATTGAAGTACACATTTGATAGGGGTACTTGTGTCTAAAATTACTCAAAAATTGTCCAGCAATAATATAATTGTGTGTGTGTGTGTGTGTGTGTGTGTGTGTAGAGAGAGGAGAGAGAGAGAGAGAAGAGAGCACTGTCGGGTGTTGGAACCAAAGCAACTCCGTCTTGAGTAGGAGCTGGGTAAAATAAGGCTGAGACCACTGGGCTGCATTCCCAGGAGGTTAAGGCATTCTTAGACACAGGATAAAGTTACAGGTCATAAAGACCTTGCTGATAAAACAGGCGGCAATAAAGAAGCCAGCCGAAACCCACCAAGATGGTGATGAGAGTGACCTCTGGTCGTCCTCACTGCTACACTCCCACCAGCTCCATGACAGTTTACAAATGTCCTGGCAATGTCAGGAAGTTACCCTGTATGGTCTAAAAAGGGGAGGCCTGAATAATCCACCCCTTGTTTAATATATCATCAAGAAATAACTATAAAAATGGGCAACCAGCAGCCCTCGGGGTGCTTTGCCTATGGAGTGGCCATTCTTCATTCCTTTACTTTCTTAATAAACTTGCTTTCACTTTACTGTATGGATTCACTTCGAGTTCTTTCTTGTGTGAGATCCAAGAACCCTCTCTTGGGGTCTGGATCGGGACCCCTTTCTGGTAACAGCACTATTCCAGCAAACTGTTACTGGGTGGCTCTATGGGAAAGGCATACGTTTGTTCACTTACAGCTTTCCTGTAGGTTTGACATTTTCCAAAATAAAATCTTTTAAAAAGATAAATGAAATACCCGGTAAATAAGCAAAGATGTGATTTGCACGTGTGGAGTGGGCACAGCCCTACTCAGTCTCTGGTTGGGGAAAATGGGATGAGCAAATCTCTTGGGAGTCTCCCGGCTTTCACGTTCAAGGGTACTATCCCCACCAGCAAATGAACCATTTTCATATTTTCCACTCATAAAGCACATATGAAAATTAGCTGGGGGAAACAAACAAACAAAAAACCCGTGAGTTTCGGCAAGTTTCCTCCAGGGGCCTACAAACAAGCTCTTGTGCAGGTTCCTCTCATAAACAGGGTGCACAAAAACACAGGCTGACTTCCTCCTTCACCAAGAGCTCCTGCAGCTTCACAACCACTCTGCAGTGCATTCTTTTCTTTCGTTTCTTCCATGCTTCTGGTGAGGTTTACTGGTGAGTTCTGTTTGCTCCTTGCCACCTTGCAGTTAAGAGTTTTTCCAAGCGCCCATTGTTCCTGCTGAGTGCCTAATTGTTATTTCTTAGGCAGAATGAGCAGCCCCCTGAGACGTCTGGTTAGTTTCCAAGAGGGTCCTGGTGAGAGGTGGAGAATACCGGCCACCACCAGCAACCTTAGACAGCCAGGCAGCCCCAGGGAAAAATAAAACCTGCGCCCTGGGCCTTGAAATGAAGCCTGAACACGATATCCTCTGCCACAAACACCCATGAATAATGGCCCTGCCTGCAACAACGTCTGGCCCTGAGACCAACCAAGCCAGCCAGGAGTTGTAATCCCAGGACAAGACACGTTGTGGTACGCTGGCTTCCAGGGCTTGCTACTCACTTGGAGATGCCGTAGGAAGAAGCAGGCTTCCAGTGAGATAGACCTGGAGGGTGGGATCAGCCTCAAAAGCCTTCTGCTCAGCGACACCAACCATCCCGGGTCTCCCTGCCAGACCCTCTTCAGTTGAGAGGCCTGCTGCATGGGCCGGCACTGCGGGACGCCGTGGGAAGCCAGCTCCCAGGGTATTTGGGGAAAGGGTGTGCCCTGCTGCTGCATCCGGGGTCTGGGTGGGACCTGGGGGGCTGCATGGCTAACAACCTCCCTGCGGCTGCTGCGGCTGCTCCAAGGTCTTCATCCCATGGAACAGTCTGTCCCCAGCACAAACCTGAGTTGCAGAACTCACTTCTGACATGGGGGCCTCTGAGGAAGACACTGTTACATCTCATGCATTTTACTGTAAAACCGAGCTGCTGCAGTTTAGGACAGCCCCGTGCTGAGGTCAATCAAACCCACCATTTCCAAGCAGGGTTGGTATGCAGGCAGAGTGCGTGCTTGGACATCAGAGAGGAGAAGAATGTGCCAGTAATCACAAGTGCAGACAAACAGGGCACTGCCCAGAGCACCCCGATCAGAAGCAAATGTGTTCCCAGGGATGCTTGTCAATATGTCCATGTCCCTTCTGTGTTGGCTGCTCCCTTGGGCTATGGGATTTGCCATTTTATTCCACACTGACAGCGCCCTTCAGGCCAGAAGAGAGCACCACCCCAAGACGGCGCTCACCTTCCTGTGGCTCTTTCAGGCAATGCCCTGCCATTTGCCATGAGTGTGGGAGACCTGCAGGGGCTGGGGGTGGACAGGAGGCTGACAGGGCTCTGCTGTTGACAAAGGCCCACTTGAAGTTGAAAAGATGGCCAAGAGACACCCTGGATGTGGAGGAATTGGAGCCACCTACACTGCGGATGGGAGTGAGACACAGTGTAGGGCCAAGGAAAACAGCCAGGCAGCTCCATAGTAAGTGAAACACAAGAGTTCTAGGACCCAGAGATTCCACTCCTGGATATGTACCTGAAAGAACCAAGCACAGGTGTTCAAACAACAGCGTGCACGTGAATGTCCACAGCAGCATTACTCACAGTGGGCGAAAGGCAGACACAACCCACGCATCTATCAATGGATAAACAAATGTGGTCCATCCACCCAGTGGAATATCACTTAGCCACTAAGAGGGAATGAAGCTCTGACACATGCTACAACCTGGATGAAGCTTGAAAACATGATGCTGAGTGGAAAAAGCCAGAAACAAGGTCACAAGTTGGATGATTTTATGTCTATAAAGTGTCCAGAATAGGCAACTCCATAGACAGAAAGCAGATTAGTGGCTGGCTGGGCAGAAGGGAATGGGGAGTCATCAATGAATTGGGTACGAGGATTCCTTTTGGGGTGATAAAATCTTCTGGAACTAGGTAGTGGTGATGTTTGCACAAAATTATTAATGTACTAAATATCATTAGTGGTTAAGTTATGTGTATTTTACCAAATACAATTTTTTTTTCTTTTTTTTTGAGACAGAGTCTCCCCCTGTTGCTCAGGCTGGAGTGCAGTGGCGCGATCTCGGCTCACTGCAACCTCTGCCTCCTGGGTTCAAGCGATTCTACTGCCTCAGCCTTCTGAGTAGCTGGGATTACAGGCGCGCCACCATCCCCGGCTAATTTTGGTATTTTTAGTAGAGACAGGGTTTCACCATGTTGGTCAGGCTGGTCTCGAACTCCTGACCTCGTGATCCACCCGCCTCAGCCTCCCAAAGTGCTGGGATTACAGGCGTGAGCCACCGCGCCTGGCCGCAAAGGGGCATTTTTGATTCACAAAAGCATGGTGTAGATCTGCTTGCTGCAGGCATCCTGTGGACAGCTGGGTTGTTTAGTTTTCAGAAGAGGTTGCTGGAGACACCCAAGATGAACAGAGGAAGCACTGATCACAGACAGCAAATATTGACTGAACACTTACTAGACGCCAGGTGTGCTTCTTAGTGTTTTTGTGTTATGTTAAGTCTTTAAATCCACACAACTACCCCAGAAGGTAGGTTTTATTTTGTCTCCATTTTACATCGTAGGCACAGAGAGGTAAAATAATTCACCTTGGGGCACAGAGAGAGTCCCTCGAAGATCTGGGATTTGAATCAGAAGTCCAGTCCACCTGTTAAGACATTGCTGCTGCTGAAGAGAAAAAATGCCTGCAGGGCCCAGGATTAGGGCTCCCAGAGCCCAACATTGTTGGCAAGAAGACATCATTTTTGGAATTACCAAAAGGCCTTGTAGTTCTCATGCTGAAGGAACTGTGGATGTCAACTCCCTCAGCTTTGGCGTCTTCTCCCATGAGATGAAAAGCCTGGATCTGAGAAAGTATGTGACCAAGATGGCGGCACTAGGATGAGGGCAGGTGGGAGAGAGGCGTGGCCAGTGCTGCTCCACAGTCCTCCGAGCAGACTGCTGAGGAGGCACCATGACTGTTCCCGTTCTGTGCGTTAGGGAACAGAGGTACAGAGGGGCAAAGGCACTTGCTCAAGGTCACATAGCTCAAAGATGAGGGGGCCAGAATTTAGACTCAAGGCTGACTGAGTTGGAGAGTCTGCTCCTTGCATTGCATCAAGCAGGTCTCTCGATGCTCCCAGAGACACTCAGTGTCCTGTTTCTCATGCCAAATTCAGAAAGAAAGAGATGCAGAGGGGCAAAGGCACTTGCTGAAGGTCACATAGCTCAAAGATGAGGGGGCCAGGATTTAGACTCAAGGCTGACTGAGTTGGAGAGTCTGCTCCTTGCATTGCATCAAGCAGCTCTCTTGATGCTCCCAGAGACACTCAATGTCCTGTTTCTCATGCCAAACTCAGAAAGAAAGATACACAGAAAAAAATAGAAGGTCGCTCGTAGTGATGTCATCCAGAGAGATCTACCGTTGCCTCTTTGATGTGCTGTGTGCCATTTTAGTCTATGTTAATGCATAAATGTACATATTTACATATTCTTATAAAATTGGGATCATGACAAACATATGGTTGTCTCATACTTTTAATATTTTGTTTATATTTCAGATTAATTCATTAGGAGAAAATTTGTTTTTTAAGGCCTGCGTAGTCTTCCATCATCTGGATCCCCCAGAATATAACTATTTGTGTTATAACCGTATCTGCTGTTGACCACGTGGGTTTTATTTGTTTACAAATAAGAGTTTATTTGCTCTTAAAAATCAATGCAGTAATGATGGTCCTTGAACATAAGTGTTGAATTTGACATATAGTAGGTGCTTAATTAATATTTATGAGTGAATGAGTGATGGATGGATAAATAGATTTTTTAAGAGTGGGTCCTGGGTGTTAGCTTACTTGGTCTAAAGTAGGCTGTCTATACCACAGGTTTGCCTGCGATAGTTTCTGTTTTCTCCTGTTGTCCTGGTATAATTAGTCATAGTGCTCCCTTTTATCTTTGAAAATGTCCTTATTTGGATGGTAAATTATGAGGTCAGGCAATCAAATGGTAGGAACCTTTCTGAGGTTCTTTATACACATTACTAATATGCTCTACAGATAAGTTGTACCAATGTACACCCAACTGGTGATCTATTCCTGAAAGAGGAGGGCTGGATGAAAAATATCTTGATGAAAAATTTGAGGAAAGGAATTAGCCTTGTGAAAAAGAAACTTGCCTTGGAAAATTCAGAAATAGCTTACCAATGAGTTCAACTCCTCCTAAGTTCTTATATTCTTAAAATCCACCGCGGCACATTGAGCTTGTTACTTACCGTTCTTCCAGAATTTTAATAAAAGTTTACTGATTCTAAATGGTTATAGCTCTTAGGTGGGAGAACATTGTGATCCTGAAACTATTCAGATTTGAATCCCAACTCAACCACTCACCACTAGTTGTTAAACTTTCAGCAAATCCCATAACTGAGTCTTAGTTTCCTCCTCTTCAAAATGTGGATGGATGTATGTTCGTTTCAGAAGGCTATGAGGATTAGACATCAGGGCCCAACACCAAGAAAACCAGCCTCATGCTAACTCCATCTAAATTCATCCTTTGCCTAGGGAACTGCCCACCCCATCTGTCCAGAAGCAGCATGGGCTCTTTTCCCATTTTCCACACACATCTTCACTGTTCATTCTTGGGATCCAACTTGGTCCCAAGGCCTGAAGGAGTTGCCTTGCTGAATTAACTTTGTAGGAGGACTAGTTAGGCTTATGGCAGTTGTGAATGGTTCCTTGCTTTAAAATGCACCCATGTGCAGACTGTCATCCTGTCTGAAGCGCCCCTTTTAGAGGCTGATCCTCTCTATGTGTCTCCTCTTAGGCAATGCCCCTTAGAGCCAGTTAATTATCAGTTTCCCTCATCTTTCGGGTCAGTAGGAATTGCTTGATGTGTGGGAGGAAGATTTACAGAAAGGAAGGAAAAAGGAGCCAGGAGGTGGATCTAGCCCCCATCCTAACTCGCTGAGTTCCTCTCTTGGAGAGAGTACTGCTACCAGAACTGTTGTCCAGGCAGGTGCTCCTGTAAAGATATGCTAAACATCGAAGTGTGGAATGATCCCACATTTCTACTTGGCTGAACATGTGGCACTGGTTGCAAGTGGCCTCATGGCTGTTGACAGGAAAAAAGAAAAAGCAGGCCAGGTGCAGTGGCTCACACCTATCATCCCCACACTTTTGGAGGCCGAGGCAGGTGGATTGCTTGAACCCAGCCTGAACAACATAGAGAGATCCTATCTCTACAAAAAATACAAAAAAAAAAAAAAAAAAAAAAAAAAAACAAACAAAAGCTGGGTGTGGTGGTGCACGCCTGAAGTCCTAGCTACTCAGGAGACTGGTTGAGGGAGGAGGATTGCTTGAGCCCGAGAGGTTGAGGCCATAGTATGCTGAGATTATGCCACTGCACTTCAGCCTGGGCAATGGGAGTAAGACCCTGTCTCAATTTTTTTTTTTAAGCCAACTTTGTAAAATACGAAAAGGGGTTTATTTTGAGCCAATATGAGTGGCGATGGCCTGAAGGATGGTCTCAGTAGGTCCTGAGAAAGTGTACCCAAAGCGGTCAGGTTACAGCTTAATTTTATACATTTTAGGGAGACAGAAGTTACAGGCAAAGACATAAGTCAGTATGTGTAATGTGTATATTGGTTTGGCCCAGAAAGGTAGAACATCGCAAAGCAGGGAGGCTTACAGGTCATAGGTAGATTCAAAGATTTTCTGATTAGCAATTGGTTGAAAGAGTTAAGCTTTGTCTAAAGACTTAAAGTCAGTAGAAAGTTCAGATAAGGGGTGTTGTGGAGACCAAGGTTCTTGTTATGTAGTTGATGCCTCCTGGGTAGCAGTCTTCAGAGAGAATAGGTGCTAAAGGTGTTAGACTTTTACTTAATCTCTCTTAAATCCAATAAAGATCTGGCTGCATTAATGAAGATTCTCTACAGATGCAAAAATTTCCCTACAAATAACTGTGTTGCAGGACCATTATAAAATATGTCAAGGAAATATATTTTGGGGCAAAATATTTTGATTTCCTTCAGGCTCTGCTGTTATGTGATGCTATACTAGAATCATGTTGGGATTTGATATGTTATTGCCGCAAAGAATATGTTTTGTCTGTCTCACGATCTCTATTTTAATGTTAATGCTGGTCAGTTGTGCCTAAACTCCAAAAGGGAGGTGTGTAACAAAGTGTATCCAACCTCCCTTCCTGTTAGGGCCTGGATTCCAGTTTTTTTTTTTTTTCTTTTTTTTTTTTTGAGACAGAGTTTTATTCTGTCCCCCAGGCTAGAGTGCAGTGGTGCGATCTCAGCTCACTGCACCCTCCAGCTGGCAGGTTCAAGCAGTTCTCCCGCGTCAGCCCCCCTGAGCAGCTGGGATGACAGGTGTGCAGCACCACTGCCAGCTAATTTTTGTATTTTTTGTAGAGACAGGGCTTCACCATGTTGGCCAGGCTGGTCTTGAACTCCTGACCTCAAGTGATCCTGTCAGAAGCATGTTAACCAGAGCAACTCCATCTTGAATAGAAGCTAGCTAAAATGAGGCTGAGACCTACTGGGCTGCATTCCCAAACAGTTAAGGCATTCCAAGTCACAAGGTGAGATAGGAGATCAGCACAAAATACAGGTCATAAAGACCTTGCTGATAAAAACAGGTTGCAGTAAAGGAGCTGGCTAAAACCCACCAAAACCAAGATGGTGTGACCAAGGATGGAACTCTGATCATTCTCACTGCTACATCCCACCAGTGTCATGACAGTTTACAGATGCCGTGGTAATGTCAGATGGTTACCATACATGGTCTAAAAAGGGGAGGCAGGAATAATCCACCTATTGTGGAGTATATCATCAAGAGATAACCATAAAAATAGGCAACCAGCCACCCTTGGGGCTGCTCTGTCTATGGAGTAGCCATTCTTTTATTCCTTTACTTTCCTGATGAACTTGCTTTCACTTTACTCGATGGACAAGCCCTGAATCCAAGAACTGAGTGAGATCCAAGAACCCTCTCCTGAGGTCTGGATCGGGACCCCTTTCCTGTAGCAATCTGCCCTCCTTGGCCTCCCAAAGTGCTAGGATTACAGATGTGAGCCACTGTGCCTGGCCTGGAATTTAGTTTTTCAGGTTGCTATGGGGTCCTCTTGGCCAAGAGGGGGTGTCCTTTCAGTTGGTTTGGGACTTAGGGTTTCATTTGGGGTTTATGTGGCCCAACGAAGCAGGTGAGAACACCCAATGAAGAAGGTGAGAGCACCCTTGGGCGCCTGAGGGACAACATCTCCTTGCACCCTTCAGCTGGCTTGAGATCTCCACTCCATGGTGATTGAGCTCAGTCTCTTGGGTTTGGGTCTCAGAACTCCACTCTGCCTCCTGAGGGCTCTAATCCCACCATTTCCTCAGTGACTGGGAAGGTCAACCCCTTCTATTTTGTCCACTCTGCCTTCCCTGTTTGTTTTTAAATAGACTTAATGTTTTAGGGTTGTTTTAGGTTTACGGCAACATTGAGCAGAAGGTACAGAGATTACGCTGTTTTCATCTCCTGGTTTCTGTTGATGCGAAGGTGCACATCTACCTCCTCTTAGCTCCTGGATTCTACCCACTCAGAGTTTCTGTTTCTCCTAACCTCAGTTAGGCATGACTCCTGAATGTCTGTCTTTTAACTTTTCCTTCTTTGCTCCTGTCATCAACTGATTAATTCTTTCTTTTTCCCAAGTAAACACCCTGATGGGTGCCTCCTATGAATTGGCAGCGCTCTATTCAGGAGCCCAAAATTAACCCAGTAAATCATGGCCTCAGTGACTGCAGGATTAGGAACAGGGTTGCCTGGGGTCTGTGGGTATTGCATACCTTGTGATTGACTTTTACTGTAGCCAATTGAATTTCACATTTAGGGAGTTGTATGCTTCCTCACTCTAGCAGCATAGTAGCCCTGGGAAACAGTCTAGTCATGATTATCTGGATATGTGAATTTTGGGATGATCCCTTGGCTGACTTTCAGCAGTTAGAGGCAGAATTGCTGATGCCCAGGGGCAGGCTTTGGGTGATGGTGTTGTTGGTGGATGGGGAAAAATGGTGAACTCCTGATTCTTTCCTTCCCAGCCCAGGGAGCCAGAGGAAATATGCCAGGGGAGTTTGACTATCCAGTGTTGGATGCAGTCTCTTGTGTTTTGGTCTGTGTTGGCCACAGGAGCCTTCATTATAGCTGAGCTAAATCAGAAGCCCCAGAGTCAAATGAAGGTCATGTCTGAGGCTGCATGTGCTAGCCCACTAAAAAGCCATTTCCTGGTACAGAGTTGTAAACAGGCTTGCATGCACATATAAGCTCTTTCTTTCTGATCGCAGTAGCTGGCTGCACAGTCTGTGGCTCAGTCGCTTCTCTCTGGCCTGACCCTTCCATGGTGGGCCTGTGAGGTGAGTCATTGCTGAGACACACGGATATCCACAGCCTCTGTGGATGTCCGTGCCAAGCAGAATGCTCCTGGCCACTGTAAATCTGGCTCCAATTTGGACTTAAATTCATGCATGAGTCCTTTTCCTTGGGCTTGGATGCTCTGGGACCACCTGCTCCCTTCTGGGAAATCAGGACTTTTCCTTTTTATCCAAATCAAAGGGTGACTGAGCCAGTGGCCAAAAGGGTGTTTGCATTGGTATGAAGAGGAAGAGTGGTTCAGTCCCCCTGGAAGTGGACTCAGCACCCTCATCCAAATTCCAAACCCATAGAACCCAGCAAGGCTCCAGGGCCCTTGGCTGAATCTTATCCTTTGGAATTTGGACTGGGGTGAAATTCTTTTTGAAGGTAGCATGGACCTGGGTCAAGGAGAGGACTTGAACAGATCTCTGTCCAGCCTGGAAATTTGATGATTTACATGAAAGGAATTGAATGCTGGCATTGAATTTCTCTTGGATACCATGGGACCTAAAATGTAAAGGAAGCAAATTGAGCAAACACCAGCGTGCATTTGACTATAACGAATATACTCTGAAATGTCCTTCGGAATGTTATAGCAAAACCCAAATTGGGGCATGTCAGAAGCAACTCTGGATATAATCCTCAGCCACCTGGATTTTCCAGCTTGCACTCACCCCGAGTGGACTCCAGCCAAGTTCCTCTCTGTTCTAACACAGGAAAAAATTACTTTGGTGATTGGATGGGGTAGGTGTCTCCCACTCCAACAGCTAATTGTGGAAATGCAATTTCATCAAGTCTTGATATTTCTAAAACCAAACAGGGAAACTGTGATGAAAATGTGTTCCCAGTTCGTTCTCCATCCCTCTCCTGGGGAGAGAAGGGGATGCTGCATGGGAAAAGGACTCATGCATGAATGTGAGTCCAAGTTGGAGCTGGATCTATATTGGCCAGGAGCACTTTGCTTGGGAAACTTCTCTGTTGCTGAAGAGTTTGCTGGAGAGCAAACCTACCTGAAGCTTGTGCTTTATAGGATATAACTACGAGGTGACACAGGATATGATTATGAGGTGACTTCAAAAAGTTTGTGGAAAAATGGAATTAAAAGATACAAATAAAAAATATAAACTTTATTTCTCAACATAAGCTTCACCAAGGTCAAGACACTTTTGTCAGTGATGACACCAGCCATTTAGTCCATCCCTAAAGAACTGAAGCTCCTGGAAATTTAAACACATCAGTGTAGTCTTTTATATATTATTAACTAGAGAAAAATGGGTGCCCTTTAAAGATTTTTCAAGATTAGGAAACAAAAAGAAGTCCAGACAAGCCAACTCAGGACTGTAAGGTGGACGCCTAATGATGTCTCACTGACATTCTCACAAAATTGCCCTTGTTTGATGAGAGGAATGAGCAGGAGCATTGCTGTGGTGGGGAAGGACTCACTCCACCACCAAAGGATTTCACAGGCATTTTTCTGCTAGAGCTTTGGCTAACTTTCTTAAGCCACTTCCATAACAAGCAGATGTTATAATGCTTTGGCCTTCCAGAAAGTCAGCAAGCAAAATGCCTTGAACATCTCCAAAAATTGTTGTCACGACCTTTGCTCTTGACAAGTCTCCTTTTGTTGCGACTGGACCGCTTCCACCTCTTGGTAGCCATTGCTTTGATTGTGCTTTGTCTTCAGGATGGTACTGGTGAAGCAATGCTTTACTGCCTGTTATAATTCCTTGAAGAAAATGCTTTAGAATCTTGATCACACTTGTTAAAAATTTCCATTAAAAGCTCTGCTCTTCTCAGCAGCTGGTCTAAGCACAATGGTTTTGGCATCCACCAAGTGAAAAGTTTGTTCATCTTAAGTTTTCAGTCAGAATTGTGTAAGCTGGCCCAGTTGAGATGTCTATGGTGTTGGCTATTGTTTCTGCTGTTAATCACTGGTACCCTTCAATAAGGGCATGAACAAGATACATTTTTTCCTTGAAAATTGATGTGGATGGTCTGATGCTGTGGGCTTCATCCTCAGCGCTGTCTCATTTCTTCTTAAAATGAATTAATTATCTGTAAACTGCTGATTTCTTTGGGGCATTGTCCCCATGAACATCTTGTAAAGCATCAGTGATTTCACCCTTCTTCCATCCAAGCTCACCATAAATGTGATGTTTGTTGTGGCTTCAATTTTAGCAGAATTTATGTTGCTCTAATAGAAGCTCCTTTTAAACTGATGTCTTGTCCCTTCCTAGTGCCTCAAGCTAGATCCTGTTTAGATATGTTATAACCAGTTAACATGAGTTTATTTTTATGCAAACAAATTTGAAATTTATAGTTTTTTTCATAACACATAAGAAGACCTCTTGTATTTCTACATTATTTCAAACATTTTTTACTCTCAAAATTTGACTGGCCCCTTTCTTCGTTTGCAGAAGTTGGATTTGTCTCCTACTCCATAGAAGAAATAGAGGCCATCAGATAAGAATTTCCTCAACTTGGCCAGGTGTGGTGGCTCACTCCTGTAATCCCAGCACTTCGAGAGGCCGAGGCGGATGGATCACGAGGTCAGGAGATCGAGACCATCCTGGCTAACCTGGTGAAACTCCGTCTCTACTAAAAATACAAAAAATTAGCTGGGCGTGGTGGCAGACGCCTGTACTCCCAACTACTTGGGAGGCTGAGGCAGGAGAATGGCATGAACCCAGGAGGTGGAGCTTGCAGTGAGCTGAGATTGCACCACTGCCCTCCAGCCTGGGTGACAGAGCAAGACACCATCTCAAAAAAAAAAAAAAAAAAAAAAAAAAAAAAGAATTTCCTCAACTTGTGCTCCCAAAGATGTTCTAGTAGATTGATTATTGTCCCATACATGTTCACACTCCCTTCCCCATGCTTCCCATAGAGCATACTTCCCTGTCCAGTAACTTTGGCCTTGACCATGTGACCTGCTTTGACCAAAGGAATATGGCAGAAGTGACAAGGTACTGTTTTAAGAACAGGCTTTAGGAGTCATTTTGAGTTCTTGCTCCAGCTTTTTTGCTCCTGCCATTCATTGTGAGAAGAGCGTGCCCAAGTATCTGCTTCTCTTCCGCCTGGATCAGGGACATGGAGCAGACCCCAGACAAAGCCCTGCTGAGCCAAGCCACAGAACTATGATGGAGAAATACATGTCTATTAGTATAAGCCACTGAGATTGTGTAATTGTTTGTTATACTGATTATTCCAGAAAAAACTTGACTAATGATACAAATTCTACATATGGCAACACTCCTTCTTGCTCTTCTTGCTCTTCACTTCTTCTACAAGGAAGAATTGTCCTTCCTCACATTTATTGCCCATCTTCCCACTGGACTGTGCATTTTATCTTCCCTCATCTTCTCAGGAACCTTAATGATCAAATATTTTCTTTTCTCTTGAAATATCCTCTTAACTAGATCCTTCTCATCATTTTAAATGTGATACATTCCTTTTGGCTTCCACTCAGGGATAGAAAACTGGAAAGAGAGCCGTGCATACCCTAACAAAAAGTAAAAGTTAAAAAACTTACTAGAATCACACGTTTTCTTGAACCTATCGGAGCAGAGGTCACAAGGAAAACAAGTATTCTGAAATCTCAAAGAAAGATGAGGGCCTCCAAAAAGAGGTGGGACTTGAGCACCAGGCTACCTACCACAAAACACAGGAGGAAGACAGGGCCACCATACTAGTGGGTAAGAATATTTTAGCTGAAATTTTTAATGGATTGCTAAATGTTGGCTTGGGGCTAGTATAAGATATAGAACCCCTGAGAGCCATAGGAACAAGGGGAGTTCACATCTACTTGTAAACCTCACAACCTCACCAGGTGTTCATGAGAAATACTAGGGGAAGGGTGGAGGCTGAAGACATCTCTCTCATGGTAAGCCCTGGGGTAGAGAGCAGCCACCATATCAGAGCAGGCACAAGGCTCTGCCCAGATTCCTCTCAAGGAAATAAAAGCCTGGGGGTAGGACCAGCAATCCTAGAAACTCATTATGGTTGGGGGAAGGAAATAGGCAAACAACATTTTGGGAGACAGAGCAGGAAACCACCATGGGCCCAGACCATTAGAGATCCTCCTCCACTGCTGTGATAGGCAATATCACAGAGAAAGCCCCACCTCTGAGACCCAGGGGCTTAAGGTTTACTAAAGACTGAGGCAGAACCAGCCCAGCAAAGACCCCCTACCCTCATCGCAAGCACCAGTCTAGCAGGCACTGCTAACAATGATCAGCAGTCTTCTGTGCAGAGAGACAAAAGCATAGAGAGAGACTCCTTCTGTGATGCAGGCTCACAAGCAAAAGCTAAAGCCAAAGTGGAACAGCAAAACTGAGAAGCACCCCCTTGCAACCCAGTTCCCATCCTAAGCACCAAGTAACACTAAAATAACTGGAAACCAGCAGTTCCCTGAGGGTAATTATAATAACAACAGAACAGAAATCTATGCTCAAAGCCTAGAAAAAAGGAGGCATGCCCATTTTCAGACATAAATTTTATTTACCAAAGTATTGACTGTCCTAAACATGGTATATAGCTTTCAACCAAAAATGATAAGACACACAACAAGGCAAGGAAAGTGACTCACTGTCAAAAGACAAAGAGATCAACAGAACCAAACTTAGATACAATCCAGATGTTGGCATTATCAGACAGGGAGTTTAAAATGATTCATATGTTAAAAGGATCTATTGGAAAAGGTGGAAAATGTGTTAATTGATAGGGAATTAAAGCAGAGACATACAAACTGTAATGAAGAGTCAATTGGAAATGCTGGCTGGGTGTGGTGGCCCATGCTTGTAATCCCAGCACTTCGGGAGGTCGAGGCAGGCGGATCACTTGAGGCCAGGAAGTTCAAGACCAGCATTGCCAACATGGTGAAACCATGTCTCTACTAAAAATACAAAAAGAAAAAACAATTAGCTGGGTGGGGTGGTGCATGCCTGTAGTCCCAGCTACTCTTTAAAAAAATGGTAGCAGAGATGAAGTAAGCCTTGGCATAGCCAAGAAAAGAATCAGTGTGCTTAAGACTAAGTACACCATCCTCACTAAAACACATGAGAAATAAGAGGTGTGAACAGCAGCAACCACCACCAATGGAACAGAGCACCCAAGAGCTATGGGACAATATTAAACAGTCTCATAAGCAAAACTCAGAATCCTAGAAGGAAGAGAGAAAGAGAGAGAGAGAGAGAGATGGAGACATAGAGATAGAGCCATAGAGAGAGCTAGGGAAAGACACACACACAGAGATAGAAAAATAGGTAAAGGGGAGAGGAAAGAGGGAAGAAAAATATTTAATAAGCTAATGGCCAAAACTTATCAAACATAATGAAAGACATCACATTACAGAACCAAAAATCCCACAGAATACTAACGAGAATAAACACGAATATTTTTCATGTAGAATCCTAGATATAAAATATTTAAACTGCTGAAAACTGAAGATAAAGAGAAAATATTAAAAGTGGCCAGAGATAAAGGACATTTCTCATAGAGGACAGCAAAGGTAAGAATTACAGAAGACTTGTCCACAGAAACTATGCAAGCTATAAGACAATGGAATTATATCATTAAAATGCTAAAAGAAAACACAAAGAAAAATCTGGCAACCCAAAATTCTTTTCCCAGTGAAAATATCTTTCAAAAACGAAAGAGAAATAAAGATTTTTTTCTCAGAAAAACAAAAAAGGGGAGAATTTATTACAAGACGTTAAAGAGAGTGCATCAGGAAGAAGGTAAATGAAACCAGTCAGAATCTTAGATCTACATACAGAAATGAATAGTCATGGACATGGTAAAAATGAAGATCAATAGGAAGTTTATTTTTTGTATGTTTAATTGCTGTAAAATTACTAGACAGTTGAAAGTTAAAAGAGTTGCAATGTATGGTGTGTTTAAAATTGCACATAAAAGTAAAATGTAGAATAAGAGCAAAAACCAACATAAGGGGGGAACTGGGAGTATAGAGTTATATGCTATGTGTGAATCATATGATATTATTTGGAAGTAGATTGTGATCAAATAAAGGTGTATATTGCAAACCCCAGGGTAACTAATTATAGATTTGAACATCCGTAATGAGAAAACCCAAAATCCCAAACTTTTTGAATGCCAACATGATGCTCAAAGGAAATGCTGATTGGAACATTTTGAATTTTGGATTTTCTGATTAGGGATGCTCAACTGATGTGTATTTCTATGTATATTCCAAAATCTGAAAAAAATTTCAAAACCTGAAATACTGGTCTCAAGCATTTTGGGTAAGACATATTCAATTTGTATTAAAAATTTTTCAAAAAAGGTGTATAAATATGACCAATTCTCTGACATTAAGCAAAAAAAAAAAAAAAAGTCGTCCTCTAAGTACCACCTGATCACTCCCCTCACCTTTGAAGCTACATTTCCCAGGAGTGTTGTCTACATTTGCTACCTTCATTTTCTAACCTTCTACTGACTTTTCAATCAATTATAGTCTGGCTCTCACTTCCATTATTCTAATCAAATAGCTTTTTCCAAAATTACCAATGACCTTGCTATCACTCTATCCAATAGGCATTTTTCAGACCTAACTTCAGACTGCTCACAGCCTTTGACACTGATCTCCATGCCACCCCCCAGCACCCCTTCTTTCCTGGCTTTCCTGGTGCTGCATCCCCTATTTTCCACCTAACAGTCTGGGGTGCCTCTGCTCTATTTTTTTTTTGCAGGCTTATCTCCTCTATTTGGCCATGAAATGTTTCCATTCTTCAAAATTCATATGTAGGCCTGCTCTACTTCCTACTCGATACTTTCTCCCTAAGTGAACTTGTTCATAACCACACCTTTAACTGTTGCCTTCACCCAGAAGACAGATACAACTCTTTCTATCTACCCTGCACCTCTCCTCTGAGCTTCAGTCCACATCCTGAGCTGTAAATTGAGTATGGCTCAAAGGTAACTCAGATCTCAGAGCTCAATATAAATTTTATATACATATAAATATATTTTAAATACATATATTTTACATACATATAAAGGGATCATTTTATCCGTTTACCTGGTCTCTTTCCATGTGCCCTACCTCAGAAAATGTCACTCCTACATTCATTCCCACCGCCATTCATTCACTTTGAAAATGTTCATTGAGCACTTACTTTGTGCCAGAGGCTGGAGATATGGTCAACACATGGACAAGGTCCCTACCATCTTGGAGCTTGTACCCAGTGAGCAGGCAAACATAAACCAACAAAAAGCCAAACACCATAGAATTCTAGGCAAGGATCAGTGCTACAAGCAAAACTCAAGCTGGGTGAAGGGAGAGGCAGATGGCACTTGTGTGTGTATAATCTCCCTTGTTACAGGAAGCTAGTAATCAATCTCAACTTGGTTGACTACGGCTATGTTCTGGGGGACTTGGGCTGAGGGCTTTACCATGATGCTAATATGTTTTGGAAGAGTCCAGGTGCTCTCTGCCCTATCTGCCTTTCCAGCAACACCTCCAGGCACTTGCCCCAGCTTGTTCCCATTGCCTTGGCTTTCTGTTGGGTTCTTTTCTTTTCTTTTCTTTTCTTTTCTTTTCTTTTCTTTTCTTTTCTGTTTTCTTTTCTCTCTTTCTTTCTTTCTTTCTTTTTTTTTTTTCTGAGATGGAGTTTTGCTCTTGTTGCCCAGAGTGGAGTGCAATGGCGTGATCTTGGCTCACTGGAACCTCCGCCTCATGGGTTCAAGTGATTCTCCAGCCTCAGCCTCCCAAGTAGCTGGGATCACAGGTGCCCACCAACCCCCCGGCGAATTTTTTTATTTTTAGTAGAGACGGGGTTTCACCATGTTGTCCAGGCTGGTCTTGAACTCCTGACCTCAGGTGATCCACCCGCTTCGGCCTCCCAAAATGCTGGGATTACAGGCGTGACTGTTGGGTTCTTTCTATTGCTTTCTGTTGGGTTCTTTCTGTTGAGTCTGCCATATTCCCTCCCTCATGACGCCTTGGCGCCTGTGAGGCTCTCTACTCCCAAAGCTCTTCCTGGTTTGAATAATGAACATCTCCTGCTTCAGTTTGCCCCTTCAACATAATTTTGCACTTCCTCAGCAGGGAGGTCTCCTTCACCTTCTCAGATGAGGTCGGCTGTGACTTTCAGGCTTTGTAACACAGCTCACTTGGTTGACCCTAAAACGTATTACAGTCATCACTTTCCCTGCACTTGGTGATTTTATTAACATTTCTTTCTGCCACTGGACAGAGTTCTAGGAGGGTGGGAGATGGGTCTGTGTAGCAGACGCAGATACACGACATCTTGTTGAATAAAGAGATGCATGCGTGAACACTTGCAGAAAGCTGGAAACCAAATGGGTTTGGGAAGTGCTGACTTGAGTGCAGTGAAACAGCTCCCCCCCACAGCAGGGTGTCCCCCCACAGCAGGGTGTCCCCCCACAGCAGGGTGTCCCTCCACAGCAGGGTGTCCCCCCACAGCAGTGTGCCCAGAGCCTCTGACCTGTTGCAAAGCCCCGGGAGATGGCTGGTTAGTTACATTTGGCAAATTCTGCTTCCTCCAGGTAATTAACCGTGGAACATTTTAGTTGGAGTAAGGCATAACATTTTCTGGAACATTCATATCTTGGGGAGGGAAGATTTGGTTTGGGAAATGCTGACTTTTGGTATAGTTATCTCCCCTCTACATATGCTTGCATGTGTTCCCATTCCCCCATGTGTGCATGTATGTATATACATGTGTATGTGTGTGTTTGTATGTGTGTGTGTGTGTGTGTATTTTCCCCTTTTATTCCCATTGCCTGCAACTGCAGGTGGAAGTGACAAAGGCCATGTTTAGGTCAAGGACAAATGGAGCAGGTGCTGTGGGCGTCTTGCTAGGTCACACCAGCCTCTAGGGGGAGCTCCTGGGCCTTGGCAGGCAGCTAAGCACAGGGCCTCTGGGGCCGGTCTCCCTGGCTTGAATCCTCTCAGGCCAGCTTGTCAGCTCCTGGCCTTGGGCAAGTGATGTACCTGTGACTCAGTGGCCTCCTCTGTATGAGGGGCAGCAGCAGCAGCTACTCGTGGGATCATTGTGAGGCCTGAGTGGGTCACTACAGGCCGACAGCGGGCAGAGGCCCTGCACAGAGCACAGGCACCATGGGCACGGTGGGTACTCTGGCTGGGAAGATGACTCATTTCCCGGACTCAGTGCCCTCCCGGCCCTCAGGCCCGTCTCCTTGGGCGGGGAGTGTGAAGTCATGGATTGCTGCTTGGATTCAGGGGCAGATGAAAGGGCCTCCTCCGAGGAGAACCCAGGAAGATCAGTGCAACCACTTCAAATCCTCTGAGGAATGAGGTGTGTGGGGAAACAGACAAACCAGCACTTGCACAGGTGGCGTCATGCCTTATCCTGCAGCCCCGATTCAGCCACCAGGATCCTCCGCACGCAGCTGGGAAGGGAACTGGAGCCAGTGCCAATGGAGGGGGAAATAGATGTTTCCTTCCGGCTGAGATGCGACGGAGATAGGAATCTGGAGAGAATTCAGATGGGGAAAATAAAAGATCGATAACACCTAAGGCTGGGGGTGTGTGTGGGAAAGCAGCTGCTGGTAAGTTGCGTGTGGCTGCCTAAATTGCCGTAAGTTTGTGAGAGAGGAAAATCTGACCATTGTTTTGGAAATTTGAAACACGCGTAAAATTTGACCCTGCAGTCTGATGTGGAGGAATCTAACTTAGAGCGTCAGGGAGTAATGACACTGGAGGAGGCACTGACCACCTGATGAGCAGGGGCGAGAGCGGCCATCAGCCAGTCTTTAGAGTGACGGGGAATGGTAGGACAGATGGTGGCTCACTAGCCGCAATGCTGAGCAGTATGCTGCTGGCAGTGTGAGCGTGTTAGCGCTTTATGTGTTGGCGTTGCACACGTGTGTAATTGAGTAAAATGGCAAGTTGTTGAGTTTTTTTTGATTTTTGAGTTGGGGTCTGGCTCTGTCACTCAGGCTGGAGTGCAGTGGCACAATCTCACTCACTGCAGCCTCGACCTCCTGGGCCCAAGCCATCCTCCCACCTCAATCTCCTTAGTAGCTGGGACTACAGGTGTGTGCCACCACACCCTGCTAATTTTTAAAATTTTTCTTTTTGTAGAGATGGGGTTTTGCTTTGTCACCCAGGCTGGTCTTGAACGCCTGAGCTCAAGTCGTCCTCCTGCCTCAGCCTCCCAAAGTGCTGGGATTACATGCTTGAGTTACCTGCCTGGCCCATTGAGTAGTTTTGAAAAGAAGAAAAACACAAGCTATAGATGGGTTGGGGTGACCATAGGAAAGTGTGGAAGAATTCACAGCAGATAAACCCTGCTCAGCCTCCGCCAGTGGGGCTGGAGGAAGGGGTAGCAGAGAAACCAACCAACAAAAATATTAAAATGGGGGCAGGGAGGGGGACAAAAAATACTTATCCCTATAAAGAGAGAGGAGAAGAATCCAAGTAGCGGTATGGAGAAGTGGTCACATTAATTTGACAATTTGGAGGAAGGAAAAGGATTTGTTAGGCAAGAAGAAAATGTAATTTTGTCATTGTGGGGCCCCCTTCTTTCTGCTGGGGGCGAGGCCCCGGCATTCTCCTTCCGTCTCCTCACACCCTCTGAGGGTCAGAGCTTGTCCCCTGGCCTTCTATGACAATACTAGTCACCGCTGGCCACTGGCCCCAGCCGCGTGAGGCAGTGTCCACGCTCAGCCAGTGATGGGTGCTTTCCGACTTGCTCCGCAGCCATGTGGACTGGGGTCACATTAGGTCTAGCAGCCATGTGGACTGGGGTCTCCTCAGGTCTCACAGCCATGTGGATTGGGGTCTCCTTAGGTCTCTCAGCCATGTGGACTGGGGTCTCCTTAGGTCTCACAGCCATGTGGACTGGGGTCTCCTTAGGTCTCTCAGCCATGTGGATTGGGGTCTCCTTAGGTCTCGCAGCCATGTGGATTGGGGTCTCCTTAGGTCTCGCCATCTCTGTCTGGGCTTTGGGTTTTCCATTAGTAAATTCCCTTTCAGTGCTGTTTAAGTTTTCTCGTTGTTGTTATTTTGCTTTTGTTTGTTACTGTGGTTATTTTTAGCCCGGTGGCTGAAACCGGGACACTGAAGCGTGACAGAAAGAGACCCACCGTGAGTGAGGCGGGTCATCAACACATCCGCACTGTCTGCCAGAGCTGGCTGGGTCTCATCATCATAACCTGAGCTGCTGAAAACAAAGCAGAACAACAAAGAGACTCTGGGGCCCACCCGCTGGGTCCGGACCCAGCACGTCGCTGGGGCGTGCAGTTTAAATGAGTTTGTCTCCTGTGTACTCATCCGGAATGCTAGGTTGCTTTTGTGCACAAATACACCAGTTACATCACTGTCTGTAGATGAAAAAAAAAATAAGAAAAGAAGAAGGTGTGTAAAGCACCACACATGTTCCACGCAAGGGAAGGGTGAGCGGATCCCTGATGGTGGGAGGCAGTCAGGCAAAGCTAAAACTAGCTTCAGGCTCAGGGCTGTCTCCCCAAAGGGCCTCTTGGGCCATCTGCTGATGCCTGAAACTCCTGGTCCTTGCAGTAGCAGAGGGACGAGGCAGGAGTGGGGTATTCCTGAAGGGCTGGACGCTGGCCCCAAGCAAGGTTGGGAGGTCGCCTGAAACTCTTCTAACACGATAAGGTGGGCTTCAGTAGTCACCAGGTATGTGGAAAATGAGCGTCATTCAGGAGAAAAAGGTATTTATTTTCCTCTTATTTATATTTCTTTGTTTTTTCCAAATTTCCTCTATGTATTATCAAGGTAGTTACCTAATCATATTATGAATTGAAAAAAAGGGGTTCTCAGAAGTCTTATTACTGAAACGGAGTTAGATGTTTTGGTGTGTTTCCTTCCAGTATTTGTCTAAGCATTGGGCTATTTTATAAAATGCTGCACGTGCTATATACAGTAGGTATTTTCTATACACATTTCCCCATTGATGGTACAAGCTGATGTTACAATTCAGGCTGCGCTCTGTGATCCCAGAAGCACCATGTGAGGTGTTTTATAGTTATGTAAGGATTTATTTAGCCAGTCCCCCACTTTCTTTGACTCTTAGGCTGTCATTTCTGCCAGGCCCACTTTTTGCTTTTATTATAAATAATGCTATAATGGACATGTTTTGTGTACAAACCTTTCTTTTATATTGGTTGATATTCATATGTAATATTTATAAGTATTATTTATAATATAGGTATAATATAATTTTAAAAATGTTTAATATTATTTCTATACGTTAATTCCCAGAATTACAAAGACAAAAGTTTACATATTAAAAATATAAAATTTTATATTATAAAATTAATACATGGACATTGTAGAAAATGTAGAAAATGGAAAGGTAAATAAATAATAGTAATAAAATAAACGAACTTCTCAAATCAGATAACTATTGTTATGATTTTGGTAATAACTACTTAGTCTTTTGTTTCTGTGCATTTTACAAAATCAGACATTTCGTTCTAGGTAGTCTTTTGTAACACTTTTTTTCACCTCATGGAATATGAATATTTGATATTTAAAAAATACTCTTCAAATTACTTGATTTTTTAATGGCTGCATAATACTCTCCACAGATTTATCATAATTTCTTTTTTTACATTTCAGTCCTGCTCCTTCTGTAAGACTTATCCTCACACAGCTCCTACATTGCACTTGCTTCCCGTTTTTTCTTGCTGCAAAAATTGCCCAGTAAAGACAATAACTCTTGCATGAATCTCCACAGGAGAATGTAGAAAATGAATCAAAGTGTGCGATCACTTGTAAAACTTAGAAAATATGTTACTGAATTTCTTACCAGAAAGGCTGTTTGAATTTAAAACAACTTCGCTGTCATGAAATATTTTTTAAAACCCTCATCTCATCAATTTAAGGCAAAAAGTGGCAATCTAGTATTTGTTTCAATTTGCACTTCTTTGATTACTAGTCAGGATGGTGTGTTTAAAAACGTGTTTATAGGGCATTTGTATTTCTTCTCTTCATGTCCCATTGTACATTTTTCTCGGGGATTTGTAAGCATTATTTACAGATGAAGGACGGTGCTTTATATGTTATTTAAGTTGCAGATTTTTCTCACTTGTTCGTTTGTATTTTAATTTTGTTTTCTGACTTTTTGTCAAATAGGTGTTATAAATTGTATGCAGATGTTTCAAAGTGTACGATCTATTTATCTTTCGTTGTTTCTTTGGTTTTATACTTTGAAAGGCCTTTCCCACTCTAAAGTAAGAAATGTATATTTTATTTTATTTTTAATTTTTATTTATTTATTTATTTTGAGAAGGAATCTCACTCTGTCACCCAGGCTGGAGTGCAGTGGCACAATCTTGGCTCACTGCAACCTCTGCCTCCCAGGTTCAAGCGATACTCCTGCCTCAGCCTCCTGAGTAGTTGGGATTAAAGACACATTCCACCATGCCCAGCTAATTTTTGTATTTTTAGTAGAGATTGGGTTTCATTATGTTGGCCAGGCTTGTCTTGAACTCCTGACCTCGTGATCTGCCCGCGTTGGCCTCCCAAAGTGCTGGGATTACAGGCGTGAGCCACCATGCCCTGCCTGTTTTTTTTTTTTTTTTTCAATAGTTTAAAAAATGGGATGAGTTGCTTCTTGATCTAATGGAGTTCCCAGTCTGGAAGAGTGTAGCAGGAGCTGCGAGAACATTCACCAGGGGCCGACATCTTCATTGAGTGTCTCTTCTCTGCCTGACACTGGACGAGGCTTTTGCGTGTTATCGTACAAGCCTCCCATGAATTCGATATGAGGGTCCCCATTCTGCCAATGGAAATGCCAAGGCTCCTCTAGCTCAGACAGTCTGCTCAAAAGCAAGGACTCAGCTACCAAAACCAGGTGTTTTTAGCTCTAAAGCCTCTGGGCTTAACCTCATTTTATGTTGCACAAGTCCCTGTCACAGTGACTTTGGAAACTGTCCGTTCTCCTATAGAAGGGCCATAGGTAGGGGCTGTAACCCCTGGAGTCTTTCCAGGCTCTCAGGAGAGATCCGCTGCCAGCTGACATCTGGAAAGGCAAGTGGGATCCTGAGTCAGCATATTTCGTCCGACGGCATCCTGGTGTCCAGGTAGGAAAACAGCCCTCCCGTGACTGTGGGCTCAGCCAAGCCTATTTTCCAGTCAAGTCTCCTCTGAATCCAGCGTTTTCCCCTTAGGCTTCCTTTCTGATTCCTGTTTCCTAAAACAGTTTTGGTGAAGAAATGAATGGAGTGGAACGTGTTTTTCTTAGCTCTTGGGTTTTCATAACCAGCCTTAGCAAGAGGCGGCCCCTCAAGTCACCTCCGCTTACGAGAGGCAGTCATGGCCTAGTGGCCAGGTGCCCAGACCCAGGACCAGGTGGTGGGGTTAAAATCCCAGCTCTCCCAGCACTTTGGGAGGCCGAGGTGGGTGGATTGCTTGAGGTCAGGAGTTGGAGACCAGGCTGGCCAACATAGTGAAACCCTGTCTCTACTAAAAATACAAAAAATATTAACTGGGCATGGTGGCATGTGCCTGTAATCCCAGCTACTCGGGAGGCTGAGGTGGGAGAATTGCTTGAACCTGGGAGGCGGAGGTTGCAGTGAGCTGAGATCGTACCACTGCACCAGCCTGGGTGACAAGAGTGAAACTCCGTCAGAAAAAAAGAAAAAAAAGAAAAAATCCCAGCGCTGCCACTTATGAGCTAAACAGCAGTTGGCAAATCACTTCTCCTCCCTTGACTTGGTTCTCTGACCTGTAAAATGGGAATGAAACAGCCTCTGCCTTCTAGGGGACTTGGTGCAGTGTGGTGAGGGTTATAGGTGTTAACATGTGCTAGGTACTTAGACTGGCTGGTTGGAAGCACCATATAAACATAAACTCTGACAATTTTTTCTTGTTTATGGTTAGAACTAGCTGAAGTTTATTTTTAAATGCCACCACCAGTTAAGAAGTGCCATATAAACATCTGTGGCTCAGACTAGAAAATAACGAGGAAGGACTGTGAATGGGAGGATCCCAATGTGTCAGGCATTTCCAGCACTCTCACTGTGCCTCTTCTGGTGCCTGACCGCCCCCACCCGCAAGAGATGGTCAACAGCCTCACGGAATATGAACAACACCCACCTTTAACATTTTGAGTGTGTATTTCATGCTAGATAGCACTGATGACCTCTAATCCTCACAGCCTGGGAAGTAGGTGAAATTTTACCCATGAGGGGAGTAAGCAAGGATCAGAGGTTCAGAAACGGCTGAAGTTCTCTGAGCCCGGAAGGGCAGGAATCGGGCTCCTGTTCACAGGGGCCTGAGATTCCAAATCCCAGTGCAAGGAGTTCCCCAGTGTCCCTCCTTTTTTGGCCTTCTGTGAAATGGGAGCTGGCTGGAAATGCATCCCCCCATTGTGGAGGGGCCAGGATCTGCTCCCCCAAGCTGCAACTGGCCTGGGTTCCAGTGCAGAGAGGAATCCCATCGCACAGGGGTTGCGCCATGCAGGGCTGGCGCTGGCCACAGCAACATCCTCCCAGCCTCTCCCTGTGTGCACAGCTTCTGAAGTCATGGGACCACCCCCGTCCTCCAACCTCCACCTAGAGGAGCCGGAGGAGGGCGCCTGAGTTTGTCCCACCACCACCCGGTGGCATCCCCTTGGCTGCAGAAATGGAGGAAACTGCAAGAGGGCTGGGCTGACGCTTGGTGTGGAGCATGGTCCCAGGGTCAGCCCAGCGGCCATGCCCGCATCCACAGTGGAATGATGGTGTCTGCAGATGTCTCTCCCCAGGGAGGACACCAGGGTGGCACTGCTTCTGGTTTATATGCACTGCTGTGTCCGTCTCTCTCCCTCCCCATCTCTATCTGTCTCTCTCTCCCTCCCTCTGTTTCTCTATCTCTGCCTATCTCTATCCCTCTTATATCTGTCTCTGTGTCTCTCTTTGTCTCTATCTCTGTCTCTCTCTTCTCTGTCCCTCTCTCTTTCTCTCTCTCTCTCTCTAACCAGGGACAGGGCCCATCTCCTGCCAAACCCGGCAGGGGGGACCATCTCCTGCCAAAGCCTGACGGGGAGGCACATGTTGAGCCAGGAACTCCCAGGTAAACCATCACCCCGGAGTCCCCTCCCAAAGGAGACCTCCTCTGTAAACCTGTGGCAGGTTTGCAGACCGTGGGTGGGCAGACTCAACCCTTCTCTCTGGCCTCCGAGGACGGGGTAGTATTATCCTTTAATCCCAGTTGACAGGCTTACACTGGACTGTAAATTGGTTCGCGTCAACTGCGAAAGGAAAGCAGAATTTCAGTTTATTTAAAGTGATCTTGTCACTGCACTCAGCGCCATGGGACATTAGCGTAACAAATAAAAATGAATGAGAATACAGTTTAAACAACTTGGCTTTCATTGTCGTCACTGCAGCAGACGCTCCAAACACCCCTGTCTTTGCTGAGATCAGTCTCAGAAAATGTCCTCCGAGATGGGACCCTGCACGGAGTGGCCTCAGGTGGGAGGCAGGAATAGCTGCGCATTGGTGCGAGTTTTTTGTTTTGTTTTGAACGTTGCTACTTTCTGAAAGTCTTTTCCCAGGAAATACCAAACTGGAAGAGAACAGGCGAAGAAAAAAAATCCTATCATTTTAGCAGTGAATTTTTTAAATTACTAGACTTTATTTTTTAGAGTAGTTTCACATTTACAGAAAAACTGAGCAGAAATAGAGTTCCCCTCTAATCCTCCCCATGCCCCTATTATTCTCGTCTTGCATTGGCGTGTTATGTTTGTTACAACCCATAAGCCAAAATGGATACATTATTATTAACTAAAGTCCACAGTCTGCATCAGGGTTGACTCTTGGTGTTGAATATTCTATGGGTTTGGACAAATGTAAAGAAAATGTAAAGAAAAATATCCAGCCCTAGAGTATCATACAAATAGTTTTGTCACTCTAAAAATCCCCTGTAGTGGTGACATTTTAAAGCAACTTAAAAAAAAAAAGGAACAGTCCCAACTTTCAGAGCTGCATAAAAAGCCCAGGAGTTGGATGCCTGATGAATACACAAGTGAGGACCGACTTATTCCCATCAGTGCTCGGCAAGGACCTGAAACATGGCTGCGGTAGAGGCACTGCACCCAGAGGATAGAACACGGCTCAGGAAGGGAGCAGAGGACAACATGGGGACGTCTATAGAACATATGAGTGCATATATGTACATATGTACACGAAGGGACGGCCTGTGGGGAGGTGTGTGCTGGCCCATTGGGTCGGGCTAGACTTTCCTTTCTCTGCTGGACTCAGGAGGCAGCGGTTGTGGGTGCCGGGGCTTGTTGATTCTGTGGGTGCATTGCCACATCCGTGACCGTGCAGCGGTGCCAGCACTGAGGCTGGCGGGCACCTACGCAGGAACCAGACTGAAGGCAGAGCCCCTCTCCTGCGCGTGCTCTCACCGACGCGTCTGGCACTGGGCTGTCCTCCCTTCCTGTGCAGGGACACTGCAAACACAGGCCTCCAGCCGCCTTTGCCCGGGGATCCAGAGATCATAAATTGCTCTCTTGCTTTCTGGGGGTCCAAGGTGAGTAAGCGGGTGGCCTCGTAAAGTCCCGCGGACAAAGCGGGTTCTTATGTCCACACAGCAGTGGCCTGCGGGACATGGCCACTCACGGCTCCGGGAGCTATGCGGCCGCAGCTCCCACTAGCCAGTGTCCTAAAATAGACGCTCACAGGCCCTGGTTGGTTCCAAAGTGTAGGGTCCAGAAGGTATTTGTGTATAAAAGAAACCCTCTCATGCCTGTGTGCGCTTGATTTATTTGCTCTAATTCATGATCCTTCACTTTCTGAAAGGCAGGCGCTGGATGAGATTCCTGGGGGCTGACACATTCCCCTCCCCGACCTCGGACGGCTGGGGCAGGATCCCTTTTGTGCTCCAAGTTGCCGGGAAGACAGGCCTTGGCCACTTTCCTCTCGCATTCCCTGGCTTTGGTGTTAAATAAGATGAAAAAGCACTAATTTGTAACACATCCCTGTGGGCTGTTGTCGCATTTGCTCGCTGATCTGCCCAAATCAGACATTAGCGGCGCACGCAGGGTCTTCTTGGGAGCTGCTCCTGGCCTCCCATATAATTCTGAATATACTCAAAGACGGTTCACTGACTGCGCTCTCCTGCATTTATTCTTCCAGCTGAAATTTTCCTGACTTTTTTCCCTCTCATTTTATTAGGTTAATAAAACTTGGTTTTCGAGCATTTGGCTGCCCCAGGAGGGCCATCGGCCCCATGTCCAATTCATCAGGCGCTAATGAGTGGCCTCGCAGGCCCCGGCCCTCCAGCCCCGAAGCTCTCCGTGGCTCGTAAAGGGGAGGCCCACGGGCTGTGCTGTATATTTTGTCTGTTGGTTTCCCAAATTCTCTCGCCAGCTCGACCGTCACTTTTTGGGATTTATTTGAGGCCGACAGCACCGTCAGGGAGCTCCTCCGCAGCCGGACCCTCCTCCCTGGCCCGGGCTCCACACACCCCACACACTCAGAGCCGTAAAATAAAGTCTGCAATAAAACGAAATAGAAATGTGTCGATGCTGCATTTTAGAACATTCCAGCAAAAGGCTCTGGGAAATGCCTTCGTTTACATTAAAGAGGGAAGCTCCGTGGGAGCAGGGGTAACACAGTCAGAAAAAGGGCCTCTAGGAGGAAGACACGACCTGGTGTTTCAAATAAATAAAGTAAAAATAAAACGCAGTCGGGTGTGCGCACGCATGAAATCTCTAAACTCTTTCTGCACGTACATTTATGTCGTCCCTGGTTTATTTTTTTGGCATTTTAGGGAAAGACCAGTGAAAGAGAAAAGTGTATGGCGCCTGCCTTCTGGGTCAAGGAACTGGGCTCTGTCTCCCTTCTAGAACATTCTTGTTTTCTCTTCCCCCACGGGTACACCCTCTCTCTCGCTCTCTCACCTTCACCAAGCTGTCAGCTCCCTGCTAGCCCCAGGCGTGGGGTTGTGTCAGCCACAACACGGTTGAAAACTAGAATGTGAGCAGCCAAGAGCCCGGGGAGTATTCACTGGCGCAGTGGCCTAGGACCCGGAGAGGTGGGCGGGGGAGACGGCCGCTAGGTTATTGGGTCCCCGAATGTCCACGTGGCAGCTGGCCTTGTCAGCGTTTGTAACAAGTGTCCTGGTCCCTCTCCTCCACCTTAAACATCTAGAAAACGCCTTGCCTTCCCTTGCACTCCACCCGGGCCTGTGCCACCGCTAATAAATCACGCCCCAGGCCTGCGGCTCCAGGGAACGTTACCTTGCCCCCCTTGGCGCCTGCCTTGAGCATGGAGGGCTCTGCGCATTCTGCATGCAGCAAAAGGAGAAATGCCAAAGCCGCCTCAGACGGTTCTCCTTTGAAATTTTCAGCACCGTCCTCCGTGTGGTATTGTCCACTTGGCCCCCACGCCAGGCAAAAGACTGTCCATACAATTGGCTGGGTTTGGGGGAAGTTCTTTGGGTCCCTAGGACATGAACAGGCAGGGTGGTGGCTCCCAGGCTGTGGGGGGCATAGCAGGGATCACTGCCCCTCTGCTACGGGGTCCTTGCACTTGTGGGCGAGGGGGATTCTAGGGCAGTCTCTGGGGTCACGGGGACTGTTCTCTGCCTTGGTAGAGGTGAAGGTCCCCTCACCTTCACACGCTAAGGCCTGCGTGGAGATGCCGGCTGGCTGCAGAGATGACAGGGCACCTCTTCTGAGTCACTGGCCCGGCTGGCATCTCCTTCCTCCAACTGGAGAAGATGCCACACAAAGGGCGTCACTCTCAGTGGTGGCTCAAGATGCCCACGGCCCGGGATCTGCACCGCAGCTTCGCACACCGTCCGGGGTGCCAGGGAGGCCCTGTGTTGTTGGTGGCTTAGACGCTGCACGTGGGGGGCCCTGAGCAGCCATTTCCATGGGGGCTTGGATGGAGTCGGCCGGTTTCCTGTCCCTTGAAGAGCCTCAGCCCAGCCCTGGCTTTTCTTGGTTGTCTCCATTAAAGCTCTAGGTTCTCAGGGGTCCTTGTTCAGAATGTCCTACCCGGAGCCGGCCCTTCTCCCCCGCACACTCCTCTTAGTAGATTATCTTCTGAAAATATACTTTGAAGGGCTTTTGTTTTGTTTTGTTTTCCCTACTTGACACTCTTGAATAAAGTAGGCCATTTATCTTTCGGGCAGAAGAATTTCAACAGTGAAGCTGCGCGGTGCAGGCTCCGTGCGGGGAGGCAGTTTTACGTTTTTTTTTCATCACGGGTTTATTTCTGTCTTAGCTTCCCCTAAAGTTTGTAGCCTTCCTCCCCTCCTTCTAACGAATCCCCCCAACTGTCATCCTCTCCCCTCACCCCCCTAAATGCATCCAGCCCACCTCAAGCTACTCGAACTGAAAGAAGCACTCATGGCCAGGCCGCGTGTTTGTTTAGGCTCACCCTGTGTTAGTCCATGTGAAATGCAACAGAATGGAGAAAAATGTAATTCTTTGCCGGCTTTTGATCAAAGAGAGGACTTTAAAAAAAAATTCAAGATGGATTTCTGAAGGACAATTTTATACACATGCTGCGTGTTTCGGAGCTCCAGTATTTAGGTGATTTTGGGGAAAAAAAAATCTTTTTTCCTCTTTTGATCCCAGAGAGAAAACACTCGCACAAACACATCTCCACCCCACAAACACTGCAAGATGCCATTTTTCATAAGTCTAACCGGCTGAAAAGAGGAAGCATTTCTCTTCCAATTTATCAACAACACAAGAGAATGTAAAATACGGCCCTACTGCAACAGGCAATCTCTTTCTTGCTTTTGTGGGAATTCAGAGCAAAGTTACCCTTGTTGCTGAGGCTAATTGCAGGACCCAGGATGTCCGGTCTGGGTCCTTGAAACACACATGCGTCCACACTTCCTCCATCCATCTTAATTTCACAACCAGCATTAAACGTACGTTTCTCCTCTAACTCCCTCAGCTTCAGAGCAAATGCAAATAAAAAGTGCTTAAAATGGCAAACATTTCCTGTCATTGAAGGCCTTCGTTAGGGTGGGGGTCGCTGAGTTCTAAAGTATATTTTCATAGGAAAACTCATTTCAGATCGTCGGCAGGAGCTTAGACTGTTCATACAGCGAAGTTTGGGGTTTGCGATCAGCCTGAATTTATTGCAGTCAAGTGACCCTTTATAGGATGTAGATGTAGGAGAGCAAAGATTCCAGATTCAAACTTGGATTAACCTGGGGCCCAGCTCAGGTCACAGGAAAAAATTAAAATATACTGAAAACTGTCCTCTTCCCCTCCCCTCCCTTCAATTCATTTTCTGTTCCATTATGGAAAAAAAACCCCAAATTTGGAATTTTAATGTTGTTTTTCCTCCATTGGTTGTTTAGTTAGTGATTTTGCCGACTTCCTGGATGTTCATTTCTGGTTCTGCACAAAAGAGTCACATTTCCTTTTGGAATCAGGACCAGGAGACAGAAGCGGACTCGGGAACTGTGAGTGCCCCCCGGTCTTCCCCGGCGCCTCTGACCCCTTCCTCCATCTCGCCGCCTTCCCTGCCTTCAGCGCGGAGTTCCCTTTCTCCAGGGCTTCTTGTCTGAACTCACCCCCTCGGCTCTCAGCACCATTCTCCACTTTTAGGAAAAGAAACTCTACAATTTCTATGCAAACATCGGATAAGAAGGGGAGGGGGAGTGACTTTGATTTTCATTTTAAGACTCTGAAAGACGGAGAAAGTAAGCAGAAGCGGGCTGGTGTATTTCAGAGGCTCCCAGTGAGTCCCTACTAAATTTACCTAATAAAATGAATTTTTAAAATTTTCGTTTTCTCATTTCATTCCAGCAGAAAATGAGTTTGCCTTTATAATGTCCAGATCTTTCCAACTCTATTGAGTGAGAAATTAACTTACAAAATTTAAATACTTTGGTACACACATGCACACACACCCGAAATGAAGTAAAGTGTGCCTGTAACACAATAGCAAGCCTGATTTTAGGGTCCTAGGACACATTTTTTTTAATGATGTGTAATAAAGAAAAATCAGATTCAGTTAAAAAAATTTCTCTCTTAAAATGGGTGAATTGTAATACTCAGTAAATTTAATTGTAATTTTTATTTGTTAATATAAGTTGCCTTTTTAAAATCTTCTGCACGTCTTGTCAAATTATTGAGAGGACTGCAAAGAAAACATATGTTAATGTGCTAGGCCACAGTTGACTCCTTTCCTTTCCACGAAACTAGTCCAAGTAGTGTAGGAAATTATGAAACTATAGAGTTCTCTGTGAAAAGAATACCCTGCCTTTCATTTCCAAGATAAAGCAATTAATACTGGAATTTCAAGGCAAATCTAATGATCAGTTAGGAGGGAAAAGGAGGAGGAAGGCAGGATGGTTATTTGCGTAAGAAAGTCCAGAAATCGACATCGGACAGATGTATCGTGGAATGTGATGATATTTATAAGGAAAAATCACATAAACTTTAAAAATGAAAGTTGTTTTGCTTAAACGACTGAAAAAAAGAATTCAGAATAATATTTGGGTTATCCTAGTTTTGTACGCTTGTGTTCACCAAAGCGTTCAGGGTCCAGGAGGATTAAAGAGCTCCATCACAAGGAGTGTTTTTGTGTGTGTGCATGCGTGTGCGTGTCTGTGTGCGCGTGTGTGCGTGTCTGGGTGCATGTGTGTGCGTGTATGTGCGCGCGCGTGTGTCTGGGTGCGTGTGTGTGCGCACGTGTGTGTCTGTGTGTGCGTGTGTGTGCGCGTGTGTGTGAGTGTGTGTGTCTCTACCCAGCTCTCCTACACCTTAGCCCCAAGGATGATGGGGAGAAAAATGTGGGAGCTGACTAGGTGGAACCAAATCTTTACTCCAGAAATTTATAGCTAATATAAAACTCTTAAAAATGAAAAAAAAACAGTTTTCTTACCTTTTTAAAAAGTCTTCTCTTTGGGGGGTTATGTCAGGGGATAGAGGAATGGGCTTGAGCCAGTTTTCAAAATTGCTATAGGCCAGGCGTGGTGGCTCCTGCCTGTAATCCCAGCACTTTGAGAGGCCGAGGCGGGAGGATCGCTTGAGCTCAGGAGTTTGAGACCAGCCTGGGAAACATAGCAATGCCCTGTCTCTACAAAAAATTTAAAAATTAGCCGGGCGTGGTGGTGTGCGCCTGTGTTCCCAGCTGCTCGGGAGGCTGAGGCAGGAGGGTCGCTTGAGCCCAGAAGGTCCAGACTGCATTGAGTGGAGATCGCACTACTGCACTCCAGCCTGAATGACAGAGTGAGACCGTCTCAAAACAAAAACAAAAACAAAAACCAACCAAAAAACCAAAACCAACTCCCTCCCCGCCCCCGAAACAACAACAACAACAACAAAACCCCCAAAAACCAAATTGCTATAGACCAATATTTCCAGGTCCCTGTGATTTTGATTAGAGAGTTTTGTTCTTGTTCTTCTGTTCCGTAAACTATGGTATTCTACCTCTTAAACGCATTTTTAAGCTTTCTAGTTTGGATGGCCTTAAACAGAGAAGCCCGTCCCTGGGTGGGGAGGTTTGTCCGCTGTCCAGTAGATGGCGCTGTGACTTCTAGAGTGAGGGGGGTGGGGGTGGGGACGACACCGCGTCGCAGCCCGAAGTCACAGGGGCCACCCCGTCGCCTCTCCCAGGGTGTATCCATCGGGCTCTAAACCCAAGAAGAAAAACTTTTTGAGGCCTCTCCTGAAATGTGCTAATCTATCAAAGAGCATTTATAGTATTTAAGCCAAATGTTAATTAACAAATAGCTCACCCTCCTCAAACAGTCTGAGATAGTGCCCAGCTAGAGTTTAAAGAAATACTTCCTGGAAATGTTTGAGATAAAAATGGAATAACGTAGTAGCTATTTCAATATTTTATCAGTTGCCCATATTTAAAAAAATAAAAGATCCTCACCTTTCTCCTAGAGTAATCATGAAGAACGTACATTTTATGTTATATGAAATGTTATGTGCGTAAAAATGGTCAAATGAAACCAGGCAGGTATAGATAATGGTAGTCTCGCCTTCTCAAAAAGCGTTTTCCTTTTCATGCAGTGGTGGCGTGAATACGCACCCTGGACATTGTATTTCACTACATCAGCACCTGCTAAAATGGTAAACCAGCTTCTTAGACGCGTTAAACCTCCACCTCCCTTGAGTGATTCCAGGGTAATCTTCTCCTCTTCCCCACTCAGAAAAGTTTCTAGTTTATTTTAAAAACAAACATTTTTCTATCCCCATCTCTTGCTACAGAGAATCTCAACTAAGGATGGTGCTTATCACTCTTCAACATATTTGATATTAAAATTAAAATAATTTTAAAACAATTTTGAATAATTTCAATGTTTAGACTCTTCATGGGATGACGTGATTTCTTACTATGTTTTAAGTAATGATTTGCGATATCTTTTTTTAATTTAAAAAGAAGTAGTGTGCATGTTGACAAGTATTGTAAACAAACTGGCATTCAACAACAGCAACAAAAAGATTTATTCCTTTTCCTAAGAATGATGTTATCCTTTATTCTGGAAAAAAAAAATGAAGCAGTATTCATTTGCCTCCAGTTTGAAATACTACTTAAAGACTTAGAAATATGTAAATGTAGCTTAGGACAATGACTTCATCGAGCCTGGTAGTAATTAATCTTGTACAGTTCTTTAAAAATTTAATTGAATGACATGTTAGTTTTATAGTTGTATGAATTTAAAAATTGTGCAAGTCACTCACTATTCATAACTCGAGCCTATGTATTAATAAAATGATTGTGCAAAAAACCAGCTGTTTAAATAAATTCTGTTCTGCTTTAAAGATTTTGCCCTTTGGGGAGAAAGTCATTTAAGTATTGAGTGGCAGTGGCCAGTGAACAATAGTCAAAATGTAAATAAATCTTCCTGAAACTTAGTTCTAATTTTCTTGAGCAAGATACTAACCCATAAAAAATAAACATTGTTTATTGAACCACGTTTGCATCAGTGAACCTTTGTAAAATGATATGGAGAAAATATGAACTTCTATGTCCCAAGTACTTTACTTTGCTTCCTTAGCAGAACAGAGAGAGCTATTCGATAGGTATGAACTGAAGAAAATAGAATTAGTGCCTCTGGTGAGAGAGTCATTCAGATTTGTACAGTTGCACGGAGGTGATCATACTAGAATTAACACCAAAAAATTGTGTCATTTGGCATCTTGGCTTAAGGGATAATTTAATTACACCACCTATTAGTGTTGACTTACGTTTCTGCGCCAGCCAGCCTTCTTATAATCTTGTTTATTTCCAGAAATCACATTTGTGACAGCTCTAATAGGCCATTCAACAGCAAAGATTTTCTCATTTAGTTGAAAATATTTCAGGCTTCAGAAACTAGCAAGGAAGGAAAGGCATATTTAGACTTCATATGTCAGAGTAAACTGATTTGGGGCAAGATTTAAAAACTGAACTCAACATGCCTGTTTGACCAATTTCAGCCTAAAATATTTTTATGTTTTAATTTGACAACTAAGCTGACAAGACTTCAGCTGATGCAGAGATTATTGCTCCGTCTGACTTGTGTGTGTGTGTGTGTGTGTGTAAGGGTAGAAAGTGGATCAGGCACGGTCTTTGCATGTGGGTTTACAGAAACACCTCAGAGGTTTGCATTGCCAGCAAGTGCGTCCATCTGCACCTATCACTGACTTGGAGTAATGGTGAACTCTTTCAGATTCTGGGTCCTGTGTTTGTAAACTTCCCACTTTTCGTTTTTTGAGAACGTTATTTTGATCTCTGCAAACGAAGGTGGGGAGATGTAGTTACTTCCCTCTTAACAGCTGAATGCAATCAGAGTGCTTTTGGGTGTTGTTTTAGTTAAGAGGCAAAAGAGAAGAGAAAAACACACCCAAACAAACCAGCAGACACACTTGGCATCCAGTGTTTAACGCTCACCCTTTAGTCCCGTCAGTGGGGGAGTGAATCCTGCAGGATACACCACGTTTCACGTCCTCCCCATTCTCCCTGCACCCCGTGAAATTCTCTTGGAAGGAGATGGAAAACTGTGGGGGTTTCATTTAAGGGTCAGCTCACATGTTTAAGCTGCATGTCAGGAAGAAGAAGGCTGAGATCCTTTGAGCAAACAAGTGCCAGAAACTGAAACCCCTGCCTGTCTCTTGTGCAACGCCTCCCCAGCGGTTTGGAGACTTGAGCATTTGAATGGGAGGCGTCCCAAACATTTCAGTCCAGATCTCCTCCAGGAGAGGGTGCTGGGGACCCAGGTCTCTCTCTAGGGCTTTGAAAGAGGCTTGCTCGGTGGAGACAGAAAACATGGGAGCAGTCCAGGGGAGCAGTTGGGCTTTCACAGAGCAAAAGCTGCCATGGCCATCCGGTTCCAGGCACTTGCCATGCAGACATGGGCATGAGGCCTAGCCAGGCCAGGAGCTTGGACAGGGCCACACTGCTACTCAGTGACAGAGGCTCTCCTGACCACTCCAGAGCGCCATACTTTTCCTTGGAACGCTAATCTTGGTCATTCAGTCCTTTAACAAATGCCTTAGTTTTTAATTTGTTAGGTGACCATCTCCCATGACTAGAATCTTTGTTGTGATTGCTATATTCCCAGTGCCTTGAGTGATCCATGAGCTGCACTTATAAGAAAGCTCGGTAATTATCCAGAGTTTACAAGGGAGCGGGTGCGGCATGGGATAACTCAATGCTACCTCCCAACAAGTCAATGAGGTAGGAAATGTCATTACTCCCATTTGACAATCAAGGAAACTGAGTCCCTGAGAGGTTGAGTGAAATTTGCAAGGCCACACAGCTAGTGTGGAGAGTTGTGGGGCAACAGGGATTTGAATCCAGGCTGTCAGATCGAGGACCACACATTCTTAACTGGGCCTCATAGTGCTTTGGTAAATAAATATTGGTTGAGTGAATAAATAAGAAGATGAAATTGAAAAACAGTGGGGTGCGATGTCTGCAGCGAGAGTTTCAGAGGAGGGCAGATTTGGGTTCACACAGGCCTTTACTCTCGTTTACTGATGACCGGTAAATTCCTTAAATTTTCTGAGCCTCGACAGTTTCCTCCTACATGAAATGGAACTAACCATCTTTCTTTCTGGGTTGGGAAGACTTGAGCTTGTGAATGAAGGACTTGGCCCATAGCAAGTGCTGAATAAAGGGCTGCATTATGACTATCTCTGGGCCAGCCCCCAAAGCCCAGACGTAAGCGGGCAGAGGAGCTGCTGCCCGTAACACATCTCTGACTCCAACCAACTGGGTGACCCTGGTAAGTTTCTCAGCTTGCTGTGTCTTGCTTTTCTCTTCTGTAGAGGATGGCTCACTCTTAGTTCCTGCCTGGAAGGCTTGCATGAGGAAAGGGGGCCAGGCCCAAAGTCAGTACTGAATGATCGTCCACTTGGAGGTTCACATTAGGCACTTGTATCCTTGCGGCACTCACATGTTGGGATGCGTGGCCCACTGGTGGCTGGCGGGAATGCCCGCGCTCGGTCATGCTTCGGTGCTTTTGCACACGCTGGCCCTTCGCCCTGGAGTGTTTTTCCAACCAGTGAATCTCCTTTCACCACTTAAGTGCACTGCGTCGCTGAAGGGTAATTATCTGAGTGTTCCAACTCTCCCTCTTGCCCT
This sequence comes from Homo sapiens, assembly GCF_000001405.40. NCBI lineage: Eukaryota > Metazoa > Chordata > Mammalia > Primates > Hominidae > Homo > Homo sapiens. The sequence continues at coordinate 87,058,804 of NC_000016.10, read as the reverse complement.
TTCTGGGCTGTTCTATCCGAGAGCATATTTGTCACTTAGCGCTGGGTCACCTGGGTTACCCATCTCTCTGACTGTGGAGTGTGAGGGTTAACTCACGTCATCCCAGACCAACTTGGTAAAACGCCCCTGGCCACATTTCCCTACGGATACAAGATGTAAGGGTGTGACATTGTGGTAGAAGAAGGCATGAGTGTGATAGAAGAAGGCATGAGTGTGGCAAAAGGAAGCTTTGTTTCTAAGATCTCCAAACCCAGGCCCACGAGCGGCATCCATGCATTCACTCTTGCAGCTGGTTGCCGTTCAATCAGCAAGGAGTATTTATTGAGCACCTGCTATGTGCCCGGCACTTGAGTGGCTCTAGGTTTAAGGCTATGAACAAGAGACCAGGGCGACCCTTACCCCTCCACAGCTTATCAGAAGGACGACACCGCACGGGCGATAGCAGGCCTGGGTGTGGCAGGCTTGGTGGGGATGGTGGGTGTCTCAAGGAGGAAGTTTCAGGGAAGGCTTTGGAGACGGGGCCTCTGAGCTGAGGTGCAAAGGATTAGCCTGGTGTAGGGACGGGGCAGAGGCTTTGCAGGCACGGGGAGTGGAGGGTGCAAGACCGCGGCGAGGGGGCCGGCGAGGGGGGCGTGGGAGTCGGGGCAGGACCCTGCTGGACACCTGGTCTGTCCTCAGTGCCGCTTTCCCCAGGGCCACACAGGCTGGCTCTGGTTATACCCATTTTACAGACGGAGACACTGAGATCAGGGAGCACCGGTGGCCCTGGGAAATGGCCGGGCCTGCTCGTTAATCCCCAGGTGAGCGGGATTCGCTGGCCTGGGGGGCTCCTCTCCCAAGAGACCATCTCCAGGGACGTCATAGTTCATGTCCTGAGCAAGCCGGCAGGCTGGTTTTACCAAGAAAGTAAATAGGTAAATAAAACAAGTAATACAATAAAACAAAGAAACCGATCAACGACATCTTGACCTTAGTATGCCCGGGTGGTCTGCTTTTCGGTGTCCCCAAGGAGAGAGGAAATGTTGTAATTGGATGGCATTGCTGTCAATCATCTCAGATTGGCGGAGGCTGCGGAACCCCTGGGCCTGGGAGGTTGTTGCCATGGAGACGGCCTGCGGCCATGCGGGGCGGGAAGCCCCCTCCTCCTCTCCTGGCCGCCATGCCTGTGGCCTCAGGAGACAAGGTGAATGCCGCACCTGTGGACTCTCAGCCCGTCTAGGAGGAGGATAAAGCACAAATCCGAAATGCAGTGTCCCTGGAAGGGACGCCCTCTCTGGGCCCGCTGGCTCCCGTCTCATTGGGCTGAATGGGGTCATGTGACCACTCTCCGCTGCAAAGGAGTCTGGGAAATTGCATTTTGTTGTTGTTGGAACTCATTTTGAAGCCAAATGAAACGAGAATCGTGTCAACGAGGAAGGTTTAGGGAGGGGGTGGATGTGTAGGCAACCAGCAGAGGGCCCCGAAATCCGTGAAGATCAGGTCTGACGGTGGCTCCATGCTCCCTCCATTAAAGGGCTTCACAAAAACCCTTCCGAAAAGGTATTTCTTGTTTAATATTCGGAATATTTCACTCACTGCCTCATTAGAAAGACAATAAATTAATGTGTTCACGACTTAGAAAAATCAGGAGGAATTAGAGGAATCGGGATTTTTGGGCCAAGAGTCTCCTTGAAATAGGCGCGGGTCGTTGATGATTATCTTTCCACACGGAAGGAAATCCAGGCTCAGGAAGGTCTGGTGATTTTCCCAGAGTCACACAGGCAGAGGGACTCAGACCACAGAACCCCTGCCTGGCTCCAGAATCCCAGCCGCGATGGGCGATGCGGGGGAGTCATCGCAGGTGGGGGCCTGGGAGGCCTGGGAGGCCTGATCTCATCCTCCAGTGTGGCCCTGCCATGTTGCGCCCTGGGGTACCCAGGGCTTCCTCCCCCTCCTCCCGCCCTACCCGGCCCACACCTCTCAGGCTCCCGGTTGGTCAGGGATTTTTTGCAAGTCAGTTATCTGAGCTCAGACTGCTGGCCGTGGAGGGAACCCTTCTCACTGCCTCTGGCTGAAAGCGTTTGCCTCACCTCTCTAAGCCCCGAGGGGACAGAGGAGGCTCTATTGCAGCGGGCGGGCCTGACAGGTCACAAGGAGAGCCCAGATGTGCCGGCAGCCGCCTGTGTTTACACCCATCCCCAAGCATCGCAGCATCGGGGGCAAGACGCTAAGTTTCTCTCAGGTCGTGGCTTCCTCATCATGAGAGTGGGCAGCACACGGCCCCCCACGGGGCTCTTGTGGGGTCTGAGAGAGGAGTGTGGTCACATGGCGCCCGGCCTGCAGAGACAGCATGAGGGCTGTGGATGCCAAGGCCAGTATCTGCCGTGGCGGCCACAGCCCTCATGCCTCCCTGTCAGGAGGCACCAACAAGGCAGTGGGACAATGCGCCCCTTTCTCAGTCTGAGTCCTGTAACCTCTCAGCCTTGGATTCCCGGTCTGCAGTAGGGGAAAATTCCCCAGATCTCCCTCATAGGGGTGCTGTGAGCATGAGAGAGAAAAGCATTGCAATGATGAGTAGTTACTGAGCACCATGAGTAGTTACTAAGCACTGCTCACTTGCCAGGCTCCTGGCTGGCCCTTCTTCTCTCTTCTGCAGAGCTGGGCATCAGAGCACACTGAGCAGCAGGATGAAATGCCCACAGAGCTTCTGAGGCCAAGTCCTGTCTGACAGGTAGGAGGTGGGCCCATGACAAATGACCTTGCCTTCCTAACTCCTTGATTAACTTATCCATCCATGAATGCGCAAAGGCAGTCCCAACACCTCACTAGAACCCATTCCTGGAAACTCCGTTGTAAAGTAAGGAATAAAATTGGTCGGCAGGAATCAGCTTAGAAATAACAACACAGTAAAGTCACGTTCCTGAAAATGGACTGTGCACTGATGAAGTCATATTGAAGATAAAGGGCCTGCTGTTAAGGCAGAGCCCAGGGACACTTATCCTATGTAACCATTTCAACTGGAGAACAATTTCACCCAGTCTAGGACATGGCAGACTATGAACACACCTGTTATCCCGGACACCTGATCTGCCATAGAGCAGCCCTGATGCCTACACAAACCCACTCTCTTGTTTATTGCAATTAGCTTTTTCTATTTTTTTTTTTTTTTGGTCTTAGGTCTACTTTATGATTCAGTAAACATTGAATTAACAATCCATTTTTCTTCTTAGAATGTTGAAGGCCGTTAGGGCATTATATGGAAGGAAAATATTTTCTTAGGAAACCCTGATCTTATTTTCCCTTTCTCTGCCAGAAAAGGTTCCAAAATTCATCTTCACACCTCAGCACCATCCTAGGGGGTTCAACTCATTTAGCTGCTAATGTGGTTTCTCTCCCATAAAAAAAAAATTCTTCAAAAAAGAACTTTGAAGTAAAGTCCCCGTCAGGTGACACAGATGCCAAGTAGGAATGCACTGGGCTTCAAATCACAATAACCCAACTTAAGATGGCTTAAACAAGGGCAGGCTTGTCCTTATCATGCAGTAAGGATGTCGGAGGAAGGCAGCCTCGGGTATCTACTCAGCTATTCACCAGCGGCAGAGATGGCACCTTCTTCCTGCTTGTAGTGGTGTCCCGTGGCTGCTGTAACAAATGCCCATCAACTCAGTGGCTTAAAACACACATGCTTTTATCATCTTAGGGCTCTGTAGTGTAGAAGTTCAGTGCTGGTCTCACCGGGCTAAAATCAAGGTGTAGGAAGGGCTGGTTCCTTCTGGGGAGACCCCTCTGATGATGCCAGGGTCTGAAGATGAATTTGGGATGTCTCTGGAACCTTTTCTGGCAAAGGAAGGGACAGTAAGATCAGGGGTCCCTGAGTGTGTTTCCTGGGAAAATGTTTCCATGAATGTCATGCCGAGTCCTTGCCTTCTCCAGCTTCCAGAGGCTGCCTCATTCTTTGGCTCATGGCCCATTCCTTCGTCTTCAAAGACAGCAGGGTCCCATCTATCCCTCCACCCTCTGCATCCGTTTCTTCTATGACTTCCTCTTCCAGCTCTATTTTCCACTTTTATGGAGCCTGTGCTTACACTGGACTCACTCAGATAATCCAGGACTATCTCTTTATTTTAAGGTCAGCTGATTAGCAACCTACTTCCATCTGCAACTCCAGTGTCCTGGTTCTGGAGTTTAGGATGTGGACATCTCTTGGGGGGCTAATATGATGTCTACCACATTGCTATTGTCTGTTCTGTCATGGCCTCAACATGGCTGCTAGATCTCCAGACATCAGATCTGTATTCACAGAGGGAAGAGAGGAGAAGGTTACTAGCGCTGTGCCTTTTGATTAAGAAAACAAAAGGTTTCCCGGAAGTGTCCCAACAGACTCTGTTTGTATCCCATGGGTCACATGGTCACATCTAGCTGCAAGGGATGCTGGCAAGGTATACAATAGGCAGGAGGCAGCAAGGGAGAAGTTGTGTGCCAGTGACTCAAGGAGGCACATCCGTGGAATCTGTGCAGCCTCCTCCCAGATCCTTAATTTCAGCAAATCCTTGAGGACAGGCCACCCGTAATAGGAAGTGGTGGCTTCCAAAGTGTTTCTTTATGGCTTTCTAGTGGAATATAGTTTATAGGCGCTCTGGGAGTTCTAAAACAGAACTTTAATATCTACCCCTGGAATTGTGCGGGAGGCCATGGGCTTTGGAATGGGCTGACCTGGGTTCTAGCACCTTTTTGACTTGAGAACTAGAGAGAATGTGTGCATAAGTTAAGCTCTCCCTAGCTCGAAAACGCTTCATAACCTGGCATACATCAGTTTCCTCATGGGGTAAATGGTACTGGTAAGGGCGTGAGGCTTGCAGGCCTCTGTGAGGTGAGATGGGATCATACAGAAGAGTTCAGAGCATCTCAGGGTCCTCAGCCGCCAGCCGTTAACCAAACCCACATGATCACAGCGAGGCCTGGAAGAATGCAGAGGGGTAGTTTCCACCTGCAGCACCTTTTAGCAGGTGGGGAAACTGAGGCACAGAGACAAGCGGCCACTCTTCCAGGCCTCCGCAACCAGTATGTGTTAGGGTGGAGCTAAAGTCAGCCTGAGGAGTGATTTCAGGGATGAGCAAAATCAGCGACCAGGGTCCCCGGTCAGTGTGGGTCCCCCTGCCCTGACCCTGGGCCCCCTCCCCAACAAGGTCCTGTCCCAAGGTGGGTGAAGGGTGAAGGGGCCTGCGCAGCTCCCCTGCTGGCGGGCGGGTGCTTCCCTGCCAGGCTGTTTGTTTTGGGCATCTTTCTCATGTCCTCCAAGCTTGCCGCCAGCAGTGTGCTCCCCGGGGGGATGCCGGCGGTGAGAACCTGGGAACTGCCTCTTATCTCTGCAGAGCAGGATGTGTCCTGTGCTGCGCGTCCCCGGTGAGCTTTCCAAGCGCTGTGATGAGCTTGCAGATTTCAGCAGGCGATTGCTCCGGCCGTCCCCCGCCAGCCTTGGGGGGGCTGTGTTTTGTTTCCCAGGCCCCTCGGCACCGCACCAGGTATCCTGCCACCTCCTGCTCCCGTGTCCCTGGCCTTTCAGCTGCTCTGAGTCCATGATCGCCCCTGTAGGTCCGGCCCAGCCGACGGCCAGTGAGAAATGGCACGGGGTGAACTCCTGTTTCCGCCCATTCTTTGTGCAGGGGCAGTGGGTGGTTCCCAGCTGGGGAGGGCTGGGGGCGGGGGGAGGGGGGGCGCAGTGCCCCACATGGCCCTCGGAGGCGCTGTGCAGGCCCGGTTCCGCCCTCATCCCATCCCATCCATACCAACTTCTGAAAGGTGCTCCGACCCAGTGGTGAGTGGATGGAAACAGGTAATTAACCTAATTATACAATGGAGTGTGGGCAGGGCGTCTCAATCTTACCTCCAGTGATATTTGTTTAAAATGCAGATTCTCAGGTCCTGGGGTTCGGCGAGGCACATTCGAACTGGGGTAGGACCCATGATTCTTAATTTACACCAGGCCTCCAGCGATTCTTCTGATGTGGCAAATTTGGGAAAATACTGGCCTGGCAGTTTGGCCCAGGCTCTGGAAACAGGCTAAGTTCCAACTTCACTGCAATCCCCGGTCACTGCGCCTCTTGGAGCTTCTCAGACCACAGTCTCCTCTTCTGTTGACTGGGTCTGATGTTATCTTCCTTCTGTGATTGTTGGGAGAAATCCCAGAGTGCTCTGCACACAGCCAAGCATCCACTGGGTGTTCAGGAAAGGATTAATGCTTATTGTCCAGATGATATTCAAAGACAGAAATCTCCTGGCAAGGTTTCTGATAATCACAAAAACCAGACAGAGCAAACTGAGCTAATTGGGTTGGAGTTAAAAGTAGAGACCTTGAATGTTTTGAGCACACTTGGTGGCCTCGTTTTAGGCATGAACACAATTTCCATTGGAAAATTTTAAACATTGACAGCAATAGAAGGGACTCCATTTCTTTGCTGTCCTCTGTATCCAGGAGCCCTTAAGGAGATCACTGAGTAACTGTGGGGTTCTCAGAGCTGAAGGCATTGGGGCAAGAGAGGGGGTTGAGTCTTCTCAGGATACAGCACGTTGATGAAAGAACCAGCACAGTCGAACATGCATCCCACAAGGAGACATACAGCGGCAAGGAAGGACCCTGCGAGGCCATTGGAGACACTGCTGTCAGATGGGATGAGCAGGCCCCTTCTGGCAGCATCTGTTGAGTTAGCATCAGGCTGGACCACAGAGACGATGCCTGCAAGAGCTGCAAACGCAGGCCATCCCGCCAGCTCTCGTGCAGGAGATGCTAGCTCCTCATCAGGCTCTGAGCCAAGCACATCATCTGCCTTCTGCCCCTCAGTTTCCTAGTGTGTAAAATGAGGATGTTGTGACTCTTACTCCATCAGTCCTTAGGAGGATTCAGGGAGGTGAGGCATAGGAAGTGCTCTGCTTGGTCGCTAGCGAACATCGGTGTTGGTAGAGTTATTTCTTTTTTTACACGTAGGAGAACTGGAGCAGGCATGGCAGAATTCCTCACTAGCAGAAGACCCCCTGGCAGACGTGGAGAGATCTGAGCCACTATAGACACGGCAGCAGGACAGGGCTCTGGAGGAGGGACCTGAGCGGTAGCCTTGGTCCACTGCAGACATCAGCAAGTTCTTAGATCAGGCGGGGAACCGGTCCACCCACTCATGCTCTGGTTTAGCTCCCTACTCTGCTTTCTGAGAGTCAGTTTGGAAGGGAACCTAGCGGAGCTCCTCAGAGTCTCAGGGTCCTTGTCTTTGATGAACTTTCTGCTTGGTCATAGGCAGCCTCTGAATATTCTCTCCTCCCAAGGTTTCTGTTGATCCCAAGCAGGAGGCGCGTGCGCAGAGCTGGTTTATGCCGATTGGCTTGTGTTTTGCCAAGCAAGGGTGCAATGAAATGGGAAGAGTGGGGGCTGCAGGAACGGCCTCATGCTGTATTTCTGAGAGGTGTTTTTCTGCAACAGGAACACATATACACACATGTGCTCACCAACACACAATTCCCCTGTACACACACACACATTACATGACATGCATATACACACACTGTACACATTCATTCACATGCACAGAACATGCACCAACATACATGTACACACACACACACACACACACACACACACACAAGGGGACTGACTTTGGAAACCCAAGTCAAGCCCATCCTCCATGACCCAACCCGAGCTCCTTCCTCCCCTCCACCTGAGACGCGGCTGCTTCTGTGCATTAGGTCGTTCTGTTCCTGTTGAATTCAGGCTCCACCACTGTGGGGTCTTGGTCATATTGCTGAATGGCCCTGATGCTCAGCTTCCTTGTCTGTGAAGTGGACACAGTAACAGCGCTTACCTCATTGGGCCACGTGGAACCTGTGCAGAGAAAAGGGTTAGGAGAAGGCCTGTGCATTGCAAGGCTCCTGCTGCCTGATCACCTGAAGTCACATCACTGTCACTTGCCTGATTGCCCCTAAGCCACATCACCATCCCCTTTCCATGCTGACCTTCTCTTCCAAAAGGCCCCTGTGGGCTTCCAAAACTTTTGAATGTCACCAGCTTGACATTCTGTCTGGTTTGCTGGAGCAAGATGTTAGGTAAGTCATTTCATTTGCGTGTCTTCTTCGGGGTAACAAATGTGGCCTCATATTAACTTACGGACCAGTAGGGCTCAGGATCTCCAAGAGAGGTCTGCAGATAAAGGCTTATTGAGGGATGGAACTAGAATGATTCATTTATTCAAACACAGATGGCGCCTGCCCAGCCTGGGCAATGGGGACAGGGAGATGAATATACTCAGCCCCTGCTCAGGAGCTCACACTCTGGGGAGAACGAGAAAGGAAGGAAACAAACGACTGGTTGTGTGGCCAGGCATCCCCCGTGCGGGCCAAGTGCCTGCCCAGTACTCGGGGGAGATGAGCATCACAGCTCCCGACCTCAAAGGGTGGGGACACTGGGACCCGTGAAGTCAGCACGGACATAGCTGGGACAGAAGTGATGACGTCTTTAGTTATGAGCAGGAACCGTCCAGGTGGCCAAGGGGCAGACACGTTTCCACCAAAGAGAATGGCCACTGTCAGAACTCAGGCATGCGCTGCAGTGGGGACTGACAGTGGCTTAGGAAGGGGTCGGTGGACGGCAGGATGGGTCTGCCTCTGACCTACCAATGAATGAACGCTGGGTGGGTGGGAGGGTCTCAAGACAGGCTGGCTTTATGTGGGTGTCTCAATGCAGGTAGCTTCTGAGACCTGGAATTGTCCCTGGAAAGCCCTAGTTCATGCGTAGATAAATTGGTCACTCGCTGATGATGGCACCACTTGTGTAATTTAAGGCCTTGTTCTTCTATATTTCCTGTCAAAGAACTTCTAACAGAGGAGGATCCCCTTTCCAGGAGTGTGGGCCATAGACCAAAACCTGCCCAAGCACCAGCGTTTGGGCATTTCTTTATGTGAAAAGTCTGAGCCCATTTGTTCCATATTCCTGACTATATACACATTTATTGTTGAAAGCCATTGCTTCCTCTTCCCCCACTCTTATTTTGGTAAAAATGATAATATTGGATCATCATGTTGATCTTGGGTCTTGATATGGTTTTGCTGTGTCCTCACCCAAATCTCACCTTGAATCGTAGCTCCCATAATTCCCTTGTGTTGTGGGAGGGACCAGGTGGGAGATAACTGAATCATGGGGGTGGTTTCCCCCATACTGTTCTCATGGTACTGAATAAGTCTCATGAGATCTGATGGCTTTATAAGGGGAAACCCCTTTTGCTTGGTTCTCTGATTCTCTCTTGTCTGCCACCATGTAAGACACTCTTTTCACTTTTTGCCAAGATTGTGAAACCTCCCCAGCCACGTGGAACTGTGAGCCATTAGACCTCTCCCCAGCCACGTGGAACTGTGAGCCATTAGACCTCTCCCCAGCCACGTGGAACTGTGAGCCATTAGACCTCTCCCCAGCCACGTGGAACTGTGAGCCATTAGACCTCTTTTTCTTTGTAAATGACCCAGTCTCGGGTATGTCTTTATCAGCAGCGTGAAAACAGACTAATATAGGTCTTCTCCGAGCCTCTTGTTTGAAAAGCCAAATGGATCTGAAGGTGGTAACATGAAGTGCAATCTCCTCTTCCTCAGTATCAGTCATTTGCACCTTAGCAAGAATGGGACACAATCTTAAGGGCAAGTTTTCAATGACAACACGAGATGAGACACCCTAAAACCCAAGGTCCCTGTGCAGGTCGGGAGAAGGGAATACTGACCTCTAAAAAGAGTCAAATGTAACGCAGAGTCGGAATAAGTATATTTGTCAGTTTCTCTCTGGGGTCTTGGCCTCCCCATCACTCTCTGCTGTGGGAGCTGCTGTTACTAGAATCCTCTTGGCAAAGATTGGGGACGAGAGGCTTCCATGGAAACTTCCGTCCCCGGCCAGGCGCTCAGTGTTCGTCTCTCCTTGGTTTCCTTCTGCTCCAACCCAGGGCAGAGGAAGCTTCTGATGTGCTGCTCTTTTGTACCTGCCCATTTTCACAGGTTTGTCAGAGCATGAGAAGTATCAGTGCCTGGGCTCTTCTTAAAATATTTGGACTTTTCCAAGCCCTTACACAAACCTTTAGCTTGGCTTAGTAGGTACAACATGTCTACTGTGTATTAATAAAGTTTTTATCAAATTGTTTTTAAAAATCCAATGGAATCTTGGTTGTATACATTCAGAGTGTCTGCTTCCTCACTTAGTTTCAAATCCCATTCCCACTACTGGCCAGCTGTGTGACTTTGGGTAAGTTAGTTAACCTCTCTGTGCCACAGTTTTCTATAAATGGGGGAGAAAAACAGTGCTTAGGTTATTGTGAGGATTAATAAGTGAGTATGTGTGAAGTGCTGGAAATGGTTCCTGGTACATGTGACTTCCATAACTATTGGAGGGGTTTGTCCCCATCCCTGGAAAGAACAATGTGATTTTCAAAACAGACACTGGACTGTGATCCGTTGCAGTGCGAGACCACTCTGCCGTGTGCTGAAAGCCTCACTATAGTAACTCCAGCTCACGGAAACTCAAAGGGGTGAATTGACAGACAGTCACATACGGGTTTTTGGCAGCAGGTTGATCCCCATGTGGGGTGCCCCCCTGTTTGTGCTGATGGAGAAACAGTGCCTCCCGGGGGGCTGCCCCGGGGCAGGCAGGCCGCGGACAAAGCTGTAGGGGGACATGATGGGGTCTGAGCCTCTAGCTTGCTGTTTCCAGAAACAGCATGCTTTGAGCTTGCAGAACTGTCTGGCCCCCCAAATGCACTTGGGTCTCAGGGCCTCTGGGCCTGTGATCTCCCTAGGCAGGCCCCAGGGGCCTGTGTGCAGGGCCCCTCTGTTTGGGGTGGGACGCATGTCATTTGTCAGTGGCATGGGGTGACTTGCTGGGCACCCCTTGCAGCGAGCTTGCGGAGTTCAAGGCTGGGCGCACCTCAGCTCTCATTATCAGATCTAATTGTGGGCTCGGATTTCACAAATCGGGGCCTGTGCAGGTGGAGGACAAGCGGCAGAGGTCATGCCTAAAAGCTTATTAAGCTGCCGGTGTGAAAGGTAAGGCCATCTGGTTGCCATTTGACAACTTAAGTGGTAATTACACCATTTGGCACAGGAATTAGTGAGAGCTGGGGCTTGAACTGTGGCAGGGACCACTTTTTTTTCTGCAGGAGGGTGGCTTGGGGCAGTCCCGATCCTAGCAGCTCACAGTCCTAGCCGCTGTTTGTGGCTTACAGGTTCTCTGCCCAGCTCCTTGGATGGGCAGGCTTGATAACCAGGAACACCTGCCTTTTCAGCTCTCCTGTCCAGGGAAGGGAGGTGGGCAGCGGGGGCAGCTTCCAGCAACATTCCACCCCAGCAATATGGAAGTGCTTAAGCAGGGTTTGCACCAGGCAGGGTAGCTGAGATCTGAACCTTTAAATTACAGCCATTCCCGGGCTGAGGAAAAGTAAATAAACAGTTCACAGCTGCAGCCAACTCAACACAGAAACGGGCTATCTCTTCTGATTGCAGGGCAAGTAATTAAGTGAGAAATGTGAGCCCTGCAGTCAGGGTGAGATGGTAAAGGTCTGGAGCAGTAAGTCCACCCAACTCCAGAGACCTTCCGATTAACCCTCGCAGAGCCAGGAGGGGAGAGGGACGCGCAGGCTTGGAGGTGAAGCCCAGATGAGGGGCACTGGCTTTGTGATTGTCAAAAGCCAGCTAACTATAAATGACCTTACCTCGCTGTGCTTGGCTGAGGGAATACGCTGAGGGTGAGAATCCGCGTTCTCAGCAGTCCACCCATGGACGCACGTCTCAACAGGTACTGTCTCTGTTTACTCATTATAGGCTGAATTTTGTTCCTGATAAATTCCTGTGTGGAAGCTCTAGCCCCGGGCCCTCAGAATGTCACCATGTTTGGAGATAGGGTCTTTAAGGAGGTGCTTAACTTAAAGTGAGTCATTGGGCCCTAATCCAATGACTGGTGTCCCCATAGAACAGGGGATGAGGACACAGACACATACAGAGGGATGACCATATGAGAACACAGGGAGAAGATGGCTGCCTACAAGCCAGGGAGGGAAGCCTCGGGAGGAACCAGCCCTGCTGGCACCTGATCCTAGATGTTCAGCCTTGAGAATGATAAGAAAGTGCATATCTGGGGTTTGAGCTGCCTGGTCTCACGACGTGGTTATGGCAGCCCGGGAAAATCAGTTCACCCAGCTCTGCCTGCATGCAGAGAGCCACGTGTGCTTTAGAGTAAGGGCTGACAACGACGTGGTTCACGGGCTGTACCAGGGCCCAGCGAGGTGTGTGTGTGACACGCAGCTTCTCACACCAAAGCGGTAGCATTCCCATTTCACAGATGGGGAAACTGAGGCCTGGGGAGGTCAAGCAAGTATTCCAGGGTCATGTAGCTGGAATCTGTGGACACAGCAGGTGTTCTCAAACCTGGCTTCACAGTGCAGTGGCATGGGAAGCCTTAACAGGCACTGACTCCTGGGCTCCAGCCCACACTAAGGGAATCAAATTCTGGGCAGCAGTTTTCAGGGCGCCCCAGGCGATTCTCAGGTATAGCCAGGTGCATAGCTACTGCCTTGTACCTCATTCGTCTGGCTGGCCTTAAAAAACAAATAAAGTACGTTAGCAGTGCCTTCCGTCCCATGCGGCAGCTCCCGTCTCCATTTCCCCTGGCAAAGTGGGTTCACTGTGTCCCTCACACTCATGGTGGGGCAGCTTGTGTTTCTGAGACCATTAGCACGGGCTCTGGAGCCCAAATGGCTGGGTTTGAATCCAGTCTTTGCTACTCATTTGCTGTGTGACCTTGGGCAAGTGGCTTGGTCTCTCTGGGCTTCAATTTCCTCATCTGTAAAATGTGATAAGAGTACGTACCTTGTAAGGTTGTGATTCACCAAGTTAGCCTTTGTAAAGTGCTTAGAGCAAGGCCTAGCATGTGGAGAGTGCTGGAAAAATGTTTGTTACAAACAAGACAACTGTCTCCTGTGCGTACCCTGGATGATGAGAAGCTGGGGAGATGGGTAGGAGATGGGAGACAGAAGCCAAGCCTGAGTCCACGCCGTGTTCCCTGGGGACCCGCGGCATCCGACACAGGGGAGGCCTCAGGAAACTTTAGCGTCGAGGAACAGGTGTCGTTTGTGCAAGGTATTCGGCACCACCTCCCCGCACCATGCACACCCCGTCCCTGTGGGAGGGATGGCGAAAGCAGCCCCTTCTGTTCCTGTGGAGGTCGTAGAGGGAGGCGCACTGAACCTGTGATGACACCAGCGTGGGTTTCTCCTCCAGGAGGGAGGCTTGACACCGAGAACCGGGAGGTTCCCTGCCTGTGAGTGCTGGCGGCAGGATGTGGATAAGCCTGTTCTTTTGTACTTGGTATATTCTCCTCCTCTTCCTGCATGAATGAATGCATATCCCTTTCGTTATAACAACGTAGTTTTGGGTGGGGGCTTTTTGGTAAAAAAAAAAAAAAAAAAAAAAAAAAAGGATAATACAGAAGTTGACTGAGTTACTTCAGGCAGATTTTTCTCTGGGGCATGTTTTAGCATTTCCTTGACATCCTCTGCAGGCTGCTCCAGGCCTAGGCCCCATCCTCACCTCTCAGAGCACACACCTGCCTGTGTTCTGGCTTGTGGTTCAGGAGCGGACAGCCATGTGTCACCTGGCTGTGGGTCTCCAGGAGCCATTGCAGGGGACCGGCCACACGGCCATATTCCAGAGGCCCTGAGCCCGGAGGCACTGACTGCATGGAATCATGGATCTCTGGGCTTGTGGGGCCTCGGGGACCTTGTGCAGAAAGCACTTCTTCTGGGGGGTTGGGCGGGCAGGAACACATGGCTTCCTTACGTGAGCCACAGTTCGGGTCCAACTGGGAGGGGCTCCCAGAAGAGGCTTGGGGACAAGAACAGGAGGGACCCTGGACCCTCTGCACTGTGAGCTCCCTCAGCAGGTCTGTGGCCCGTGGAGACGGCCCAGGTTTCCCCATTCGCTGGCCAGAAAGTGCAGAAAGGGAACTGCCGGAACCCCAAGTGTGCCAGCTCCAGAGCTGCGTTCAGTCCCAGCCTGCCTCCTCAGCTGACTCAGTTCTGCCCCGTCTCCTCTTCTGTGAAATGGGAATAAGAGCAAAACCTGCCTTAGAAAGAAAAAGGCTGCTGGGCGGATTAAGCAAATTAAAACAGGGGATGGTGCCTGCCACTTAGTCAGGCATCTCTGGTGTCAGCCCCTGGTACGATCTTCATTTGCTTTGTTTGTTTGTTTTTTGAGACAGTCTCTCTCTCTCTCTCTCTGTCACCCAGGCTGGGGTGCAGTGGTATGATCTCTGCTCACTTCAACCTCTATCTCCTGGATTCAAGTGATTCTCCTGTCTCAGCCTCCCGAGTAGCTGGGATTATAGGCACACACCACCACGCCCAGCTGATTTTTTGTATTTTTAGTAGAAACGGGGTTGCCCAGGCTGGTCTCGAACTCCTGGGCCCTAGAGATCCACCTGCCTTGGCCTCCCAAAGTGCTAGGATTACAAGCATGAGCCACTGCACCTGGCCTAAGATCTTCATTTGCTTTCTTGTGACGGCTCTGAGTCGTGTCCACGTGCAGGGGACCTGGAGACTCAGGAGGGTGATACATTTACTCAGCTCTTCAGCCAGAGGGGTCAGCCCTGGAGTAGGTGCTGGCACCTAACAGGAAACGAGCTGACATTCCACCTTGGGACACATAACATCTTTCGAGGGAGGCAGCCGTCAGTCAAACGATCACAGGAAGGGATTATAAAAAAATTCTGAGGTGGCCAGGTGGGGTGGCCGAGTGACTGAGCTGGGGTCTGAGGGCAGTGAAGGAGTTAGCTAGGAGATAGGAGAGGAAGTGTCCTGGCAGAGGGAACAGCCTCTGTGAAGAGCTTGTTCCCCTTCAGAGGAACAGAAGGAAGCCCTCTGTAGCCGGCACGTGGAGAGGGAGGCTGACACGGCTGATTGTTTTCCACCCTCGTTTCCCCCTCCCTTCCACAGTGAGAGTGTTTAACTAGGCAAGCTACAGAACACGGAATGCTTTTCCCAGGCTTTTTGACGGCTGATGTGTGTGTAACAGGCTGCGTGTGTCTTGAAGTAAGAGAAGCCTTCTTGCAGTAGCTGGGTGGAGACACGGTACCGAATCGCTATTGTGTGGGTGGACACAACCATTAACAAGAGAGGAAAATCCTGGTGATTTCAGAGAGCACAGCTCAGACCCTTATGTGAAAAAAACAAATTCCACCAGCACTTTGTTGGAGCCGCTGCTCCCGTGGTGCCTGTGGGTGCAGCTGAATCCTGGCTGTAACGCAGTGCACTTGGATGCTGGGGCTGGAGGCGGTGGGCAGGAATCTCCGCTGCACCAGCTCTTGGCATGATCTGGGCTCCAACCCTACTCCCTGGTGCCAAACAACATGCTCTGAGGTTGTTTTATCACTTAGTTCAGCCCAGTCTGGCTTCAGTTATGCTGGGCAAATGCTCTCGTCTGATAACCTTCTAGGTCACAATATGAACTGTGATATTTTTCCAAAAAGCCATGGGAAGCCCGGGCGAGGTTTGTGGGACTAACCAGTCACAGGGCCCGTCTGTGACAGCACCAGGGCTCAGAGGCACGTTCATGGCCCTGGTCTTTTTACAGAGTTCATGTCGATGTGAGGAATGGTGTGGTTTGGGGAAGCTCGTGGTTTGGGGAAGCTCGTGGTTTGGGGAAGCTCGTGGGTTGGGGAAGCTCGTGGTTTGGGGAAGCTCGTGGGTTGGGGAAGCTCGTGGGTTGGAGAGGCTCATGGGGAGGCTGTGAATGCTCCGCTCACACCTCGCCTGTCTTAGGGGCCATTCGGCCTGCTGCTGCGTGCGGGACATGGCACCCAGGGAGCCCGGGTGTGATTCCTCCAGCCCTGGAGCCAGCTCAGCCTCCCAGGTCCCAGGGGAGATGGGGGCTTTCTGGGGAAAGGTTTCTTTCTTGCATGGAGGAATCCTGGGTACATGGTCTCCCTTCTGTCCCTGGCCTCTGCCTGTCTGGATGGAGGCAGCAAGTACACAGCTGGCTTGCTGCCAGGCGGAGCAGGAGGCTGAAGTGCCCCAGGCAGAGCAGAGAGATGGGAAGACCCAGAGTCCCGAGGTGTTGATGAGCCTCCGTCACCGTCCCTAACGTGGCCTGTCCTGGGGCATCCAGATGGTGGGTTGGTGCATCTCCTTTTGGCCTGAACCAATTTTAGCTGAGATTTCTGCTGCTTCCCAACACAGCGTCTTCACCAAGGCTGGTGCCAGCATCTGTCCTCTGCACGTGTCCTGACAAGACACCTGTTAGGTGTTTTCCTGGGGCTTTCGCTTCTCTGGACGCCCCCTCCTGGGTTCCCTTTGCTTTTGTTGATGGCTCTGCCTGTTCCTGCCCAAGACCCACTTTCTCAGGGCTTCCTGGCCGTTTCTGATGCCACCCTGTGCAGGCTGGGTGGACTTCGGAGGGGCTCACCCCATCATGGTGCTCACACTGACTGGGGAGGAGCAGACCCCATTTCTGTGGTCCTGAGAGCTCCTGCTGCTGCTTTTTTTTTTTTTTTTTTTTTTGAGACAGAGTCTCACTCTGTCACCCAGGCTGGAGTGCAGTGGCATGATCTCAGCTCACTGCAACCTTCTCCTCCCGGGTTTAAGCAGTTCTCCTGCCTCTGAGTAGCTGGGATTACAGGCACACACCACCATGTCTGGCTAATTTTTGTTTTTGTTTTTTTAGTAGAGTCGGGGTTTTACCATGTTGGCCAGGCTGGTCTCGGACTCCTGACCTCAAGTGATCCGCCCACCTCTGACTCCCAGAGTGCTGGGATTATAGGCATGAGCCACTGCGCCAGGCCTCTCCCTGCTTCTTCATTCATATGAGAGCCCCCTCTTCTGACGTCAGAGGCTCTCGGATGCCTTTGTGATGCTGTGGGACCCAACCCTCCTAGGCCGTGTCTTCAGGAAGGAGAAGTGGAATTAGGAGGGTCCCCAGGAACCCACCCGGTGCTCACAGAGCCATGGGACGTCACAGCACCCCTCTCTACCGTAGCCTCCTGCCCCTCTAATGCTCTCCACTGGGGCCTCACCTGGAATTTCTCTTCTGGAATAATGATCTGGGCCTTCCCCTTCCCCAACGAGGCCTTGCCCAGCAAGCCTGGCTGCCCCAGCTCTTCCCTGAGGCCTCTCCAACATGTGGGAAAGCAGGATGTGGAGGAGGAACCAGGGCTGGGGTTGGAGAGGCTACCTGGGTGCCCGTGCGGGGCTGCTGCTTGCCAGGGGTGTGGTCTTAGGGAATTACACGCTACTCATGTATCCCGGCTTCCACATTACACAACGGGCCTCCACACCGTTCCCCACATCCTGGGGTTGTTTGAGGATTCCATAAGAGACTATCTGGAAGCAGGGCATGCGGGAGGAGTTGGCGACGAGCCAGGCAGGTCCTGCGGGGCGTGGGTGGGACCGGCTGCATCACTGGGGGTGGGGGCGGCCCAGAAAGTCATGAAGAATCTCACGTTGGCAACAGCAGAGGGTTAGACCGAGGACGAGGTCCTCTGTACACTTGAGAAGCCAGCCCTGCATGTGGGGAAGAGAGCCCTGGTGGCCAAGCCCTTTTAATATTTATGTCCTGGCCCAGGTGATACTGGAAAGTGGCAGGACTCCCCAAACACCAAGGTGTCAATGGGCAGTGACACTCAACTGTCACTTCCAGGAGCCTTTGCCCTTTAATCCAATATCGCAAGCAGGGCAATATCCAGAGACATCATTCCCTCATGGTGGAGGGTAGGTGGTGTCTGTGAATGGCATAGTGTGGGAAAGAAGCGTGTGGGTTTCACAGGCACCCTAGGCTCCAGCCTTAGGACCAGCCTGAGGGTGACAGCCCCATGCAGCTGGAAACAGCTGATTTCCAGGTTCTGGGTTCCAAGGTGGGCAGCCCCGCCCACCACGGTGACATCATGTGCTAGGGAGGCCTCTGGACCTCATTACTCTGGCAGTTTTTATAGGATTGGGTGCCAGGCCATAAAGCTGTCAGGGAGGATGCTGCCCCTTGGCCTCCTTTATGCCAGTCCCGGTTGTCCCACGCTGCCAAGGCCTGGGCCTTGCTGACCTCTGGCTCTGCAGTGACCGCTCCCATATCCACGCAGAGCCTGCCGCACGGCTGCATCCCTGTACATGCTGCTGACTGCAGCTTGCCATTTGGTGCCAATGATGCTTCCAGGTTAAGTCTCGTTAGGATAATAAAAGGGATGAAAAAACAGTATTTGAGCTGTATTTTTTCCTGGGGTGTCATGACAGATTGAGGACCCATGGCTCCAGCACACCAGCTGATCCCAGCTCCTGTGATCCTGAGGGGGGGTGAGCACACGGACACCCCGCGGACTTCCTGTGCAGACCTGGCCTGGCCCCTCAGCCCCTGGCCCATCTCACTGGCCCTGCTCCCAGCAGTGCCTGTGGGAATGTGGCTTTTTGGAGGCCAGGCTGATGCCCCTGTCCTGAGAGCCTGTTCAGCCTCCTGGGTCCTGGAGAGCATCATTCAAATGGGTTAGCTGCCCCGGCCCTGCTGGCTGAGTTGCAGGGGACAGAATTGGCCAGGCTCTTCCTCTTGTACTCAGGACAGGAGAGAGCCTGAGATAAGTGTGTGTCTGGGTACCTGGTACCTCACTGGTTTGTCTAGAAGAGTGGCTTGTTCTTTGCTATCCAAGGGATGCTGCTCCGGAAAGCCAGGCTGGGTTCTGCCTTCATGGAGGAATTCCTGATAATAAGAATGCTGAAAAAAGGGTCATTGTACCCATATCCCCATCTATACACTGCCCAAACTCAGCAAATCCATCCAAATAGCAAGGGCCACGATGCACCTGTAATGAACATAACAGCACTCCCTCTCCGAGTGCTTGTGCTGTGCCAGACACTGTGTGTGGAGCATCTGAGCAAAGGTTCCCAGCAGCTCCAATGAATAATAGTAACAAAACACATCACACATGTTCCGTGCCTGCTAACGCCGATGATAGTCTAAATCTTTGCGGCGGTTGAGGAGGTGCTGTCGGTGCCCCCCCACTGCTCTTTACACAGAAGGAACACAAGGGTCAGGCAGGTGGAGTGACTTGGCCACAGTCACAGAGCTGGTGCATGTCCAGAGCTAGAACCTCACGTGGTCAGCCTTGCTCCAGGGTCCACTAACCTTTACCATGCCCATAACGTGCCGTGGGTCTTATTATTGGAGGCTGGTGCTCTGATGCGAGAGTGGCAGCTTCTCCAAGGGCTTCTGGATCAACTGATGAGATAATAAAACCCCCAAGTCTAGCATCTAGATTGAAGCAAAAGAAGCCTAAATTAACAAACAAAAAATATCCTCTAGAAAGCCCCTGAGATGGCAATTCTGGATTTGCATCTGACTGTCTAGACAATCATCTGTTCTGTTCTACATATTTTCATGGATCCCTGTTCTCTGCCAGCACTGCCCTTGTTTCAGTGATATATCAGGGCTCCCAGCCCTCATCTTTGTTATGCAATTTGGTATTTCTTTGAGCTCAGCCTGGGTTCATTCCTCCTCATCTTGCCCCACATCATGAACCCACTAGCTGACCTTGCAGATCCTCCCTGAATGCAAACTGAATTTAATATTGGCCCAAACCAGACATAAGCAGCAAAGTCAAGGAGGGGCAGCAAGGACCAGCCCAGCCCAGGTTCCCCAAAGCCACCTGAGTGTGACCTGAGTCTCCAAGGGAAGCTGAGCCCAGGGCATGGTGGTTGGTTAGTCCCAGAGAGTCTTGCCACTCCAGGGTCCTCTTTTTATAAAAATTCCTAGAATGATCCTTAACTCAAGATTTTCTTAAGAGGAATAATTGAGGATATCTGAGCGCACACTCTGAAAAAGACATATCCATTACTCATTGTCAGTGAGTTCTGATGTCAACTTTTTGCTTCCCTGCTGAGTACCTGGAAATAGGGTTTAACAAGCACGGGGCATAGAAGTCTGGGCACTGTTCCCCTTGCTGTGTGTTCCCTGCTGCTCTCAGTTTCCCTGGGAGGTCTTGTTTCAAAACCCTGAAGCCTATCTCACGTTAGTCCTTTACTTTTTCTTCTCCTTTCTTTTTTCTTTTCTTTTCCTTTCTCTTTCTCTTTCTCTTTCTCTCTCTCCCTTCCTTCCTTCCTTCCTTCCTTCCTTCCTTCCTTCCTTCCTTCCTTCCTTCCCTCCCTCCCTCCCTCCCTCCCTCCCTCCCTCCTTCCTTCCTTCCTTCCTTCCTTCCTTCCTTCCTTAGATGGAGTCTTGCTCTGTCACCCAGGCTGGAGTGCAGTGGCACGATTTTGGCTCACTGCAACTTCCACCTCCTGGGTTCAAGTGATTCTCGTGCCCCAACCTCCTGAGTAGCTGGGATTACAGGTGTGAGCCACCATGCCCAGCTAATTTTTGTATTTTTAGTAGAGCCAGGGTTTCACCATGTTGGCCAGGCTGGTCTTGAACTCCTGACCTAAGGTGAACTGCCCACCTTGGCCTCCCAAAGTTCTGGGATTACAAGAGTGAGTCACTGCGCCTAGCCCCTTTGCATTTTTTTATGAGCCTCTCAAAGCACTAACCTGAGGAATATAATGCTATGAATGGATTCCCTGGAAACCTTTTTCTTCCTCTCAAATGCTCTGTGTGGAGCTGGTAGTCAGCTCTCCTGCATAAGGAAAGTGGCTGCCTGGTGGTCTCTGTGCTGGTTCCCAGTAGGGTCTGCATTGTCTCTATAGGATCAAAATTATTTTGTTTTCCTTGGGAGTTGGAGAAGAGTTTTAAACTCTTTTGGTGGAAAAAGTTACTCCTGCTTGAAGTTCAAGCTGTAAATGGGCCCACCTGTGGTACATGAACTTCCCTTTGTAACACCGCTCAGTATCTCCCCAGTAACACAACCTCCTGGGCCTGGTCTGATTTCCATTTACTCCCTTATAGTGCTCCTGGATTGGTGAAATCCATGGGCCACTTTCATTTGACCTGATTGTCCTCACTGACCTTGCAGGCTCAGAGAAAAACAAGACATGTCATAAAAATGACAAGAATTCTTGAATTTGGAATCACCGAGGAGTTCATATAGTAAAATCCATCTATAAAGTTCCTTGTTCTGCTACTAATTTGGTCACTCTGTGGGTTAAAACATATGTACCCTGAGCCGGGCATGGTGGCTCACACGTGTAATCCCAGCAGTTTGGGAGGCTGAGGCAGGTGCATCACCTGAGGTCAGGAGCTCAAGACCAGCCTGGCCAACATGGTGAAACCCTGTCTCTACTTAAAATACAAAAAGTTAGCTGCTCATGGTGGCAGGTGCCTGTAATCCCAGCTACTAAGGAGGCTGAGGCAGGAAAATGGCTTGAACCCGGGAGGCAGAGGTTGCAGTGAGCTGAGATCATGCCATCGCACTCCAGCATGGGAAACAAGAGTGAAACTCTGTCTCAAAAAACAAACAACCAACCCCATATGTCCCCTGTCCTTTGTGGGTGTAGAGGTAGCTCAGGAGGGGCTATCGGGAGGTCTGGGCTGAAGCCCTTCCTCCACCCATGGGTGGGGTATGACCGTGTACAGGTTCTCACCAAGCCTTGTTTGTTTCACTCATGCCCTGGAGGAATGCCCTGGCATTCCCAGTCCGTGCTACAGAGCCCCGCACCAGGATCTGGTATCACCATTTCCACGTCGCGATGAGGTGTGTGCCTCTCTAAATATAAAACCAAGAGGAATATCACACTCTCTCAATGCCTGGAAAAACATTTCATTTCCCTCCCATCTGTGTGTTTCTCTAATCAGAGTGCATTTTGTCACTGATGAGCACATATAGGCTGGCATCTCTTTGCTCCTTAAAATCTCTTAGCCAGTTGATGGTGAATCACAATCGATGTTGCCTTAGGATAGAAGAAATACAGTAATCATGAGGAAGGCTGCTCATCGATGGCCCCTCTGTGCCACTTGGTTTTACTTCTATTCCCTCACTCAGTCTTCACCAGCAACCTGTGAGGAAGACTCAGGTGAAGCAGGTGCCGGTGTTTCCATTTTGTGGCATAGAATCGGAGAGAGTGAGTCGCGTCTCCAAACTCACACAGCTGGTAACTGTTTTGATTTTGAACTCAGATCTAACTGTAGGCTGAATGGAAGCCTTTTTCATAAAATGTAGCTGTACATTATCAGACATTTTCCATGGGTACTCTGTTGAGAAGCCTTATTAGCTATAATTGTGTGTGGGGCTGCCATAAAGTCCCACAGACTGGGAGGCTCAGACAGCAGAAATGCCCAGCTCCGGAGGCTGCAAGTCTGAGGTCAAGATGCCTACAGGGTTGGTTCCTCCAAGGCCCCCTCCTTGGCTCGCAGACGTACGTCTTCTCCCTGGGTCCTCACGGGGACTTCCTTCCGTGTCTGTGTCCTCCTAATTTTCTCCTCTTATGAGGACACACCGGTTCTATTGAATTGGGGCCCACCCTGATGACCTATTTTACTCTCATCATCTCTTTAAAGGCTGTGTCTCCAAAGACAGTCGTGTTCTGAGGGACTGGGGGTTAGGGTGCAACACGGGATCCTTGAGAGAATCCAGTTCAGCCCCTATTTGTGTTCTTTCTTCTTCTGCAGGGTGGTCCCTTCTATCTTTTTTTTTTTTTTTTTTTTTTGAGATGGAATCTCGTTCTGTCGCCCAGGCTGGACTGCAGTGGTGCGATCTTGGCTCACTCTGCCTCCCAGGTTCATGCCATTCTCTTGCCTCAGCCTCCCAAGTAGCTGGGACTACAGGCGCCCGCCACCACGCCTGGCTAATTTTTTGTATTTTTTTTTTAGTAGAGATGGGGTTTCACTGTGTTAGCCAGGATGGTCTTGATCTCCTGACCTCATGATCCACCCACCTTGGCCTCCCAAAGTGCTGGGATTGCAGGCCTGAGCCACTGCGCCTGGCGACTTCTATCTTATTTTATGGATCTATCTCTTATCCTCTGTTTTAGCAAGATGGAGTTTTCCATATTAGAAATAATCAATTATTGGTAATAAAACAATTTCTCTCCTGAACAAACGGAACCTTTTAATTTGGTTGTGTGGATGCGGTATTCTTACGTGTCTCAAGAGCTGGTTAAGTAACCACATGAATGACGTTCTTGTGCCTGCTGTGTCAGGCCGGAGGTGTCCGAAAATGGACACAGGGTGTTTTCCTCGTGGTGACTGTTCTCACACGTATTTCTTCCGTGCACATACAAGCACACATGTGCACACACACCAGTATCTCCCAAAATGTGTCCTAGGAAGGGCATCCTATGAGAGGAATTAATACATGTCTTAGAGAGGGAAAAGTTTTTTTAAAATTAAATGTAGTTGAGAATATTATGCTAGACCAAGTGGACTAGAGTTCCCTGTGGCAGGATCTCTCGGAGTGTTTAACGTGCTGACTCTCTAATTTGTGAATCTCTAAGGTCTTAGAGTTTGCTGACCCCTGCTCTGCTCTATCTCTAAAGGGCCAGCTAGTAAAGCTTTTGGCTTCGTGGGTCATCTGGGCTGTCGCAAGGACACACTGAGCTGTTGTGGCAGGCAGCTGCCATGGACAGTCTATAATCAAATGGGCATGGCTGTGTTCCAATAAAACTTTATTTATAAAAACACGTGGAGGGTCCAACATGGCCCCGGGACATGGTTGGCCAGCCCTGTCTTAGAGTACCTTGTGCTTTCCAAGCGTATTGGACCATGAAGTTCTTTGCCAAGTGTTGCTGATGTCCCACAGGACACTTCATTCAGCCAGGGCCTGGAATCACAGCCCTGGGGCATCGTCCCACTGTCCCATGCCCATCGTCCTGTTCCTGCCGATGCCATAGCATGAGGGGATGCTCTTTGAGTATGCTCATCTGAGGACTTGGATAAATCATCCAGACTCCTATTCGGAATTTCTCCTAAATGATCCAAACCACACTGGGCTGGAAAAATTGCCCAGATAGGGTTCGCATACGTGATTTTTTTTCAGTACTTCTTGGGATCGGCAGAACTTGAGGCATGTTTTGTTACAGTACTTAGTGACTCTGGAGAGACCATGCTTTATGGAGAGCCTGATTTTTCCTTCTTTCAAATTAGTCATTTTCGTGCTGTCCTTGGGGCCTGTGTGTGTATATTTGAGGAGGGTGAAAGCAGAGAAAGGGTTAAAGTGGGAAGGAGGTGTGAGTCAGGCCTCGCATTTGTCAGCTACCGTCACTTATATTTAAAAAGTGTTCAGTCTTTGTCTTTAAGCTGATGGCTTTGAATTCATTTTGGACAGAGAGTTTTAAGAAAGGGGGAACTGTTTGTATTAAGGCAGATGTGGATATAGTCTTTCAAGGTGCTAAATTTGTGCTGACTTGGTCCAAAATACAACCGCATCTGGTTATGTCTGGTGTTGACTACTCCAAAAATGCCCTAAATTCCAGACAACCTCTTGGGCTTAGAAATAGAAGTCATTAATCCTGCATTTGAATTTAATATTTGAAATTTTATCCTAATCTTTTTTTTTTTCTTCCACATGAATTAACTTTTGAACAGTTGGAAAGAAACGTGAAGTGTTTTTATTTTGTTTTTTTGGGTTTTTTTAAGGGCATATTCTTAACAAAAGGGTATAAAATTAAACTAGGTTTGACCTTTTGAGTTGAGCAGATTTTCCACCTGGTCGGAGCAGGGAATAGGCTTCTGGGTGGGACGGCAGCTGCCTCCCCCGCTTCTGGAAGGATACTGTGTACATTCGCAGAGTGGTGTGCTTCTTGGCCAAGCCGTGATGTGAGTTCCTTGTTGACGGTTAGTAGATAAGTGGTGAGGTTGTGCATCTGGGTAGATGATCCAATTCAGAGAATGGTTCCAGGCAGCTCCAGTTCAGTCTCATCAGAAATATTTAAGCTCCACTCTCCCCACCAAAAAATGCACATAATTCTGCAGGAATCTCACACGTGGGTGGATAGGGCCAGCTTGAGTTTCATCCGCTCAGGGGCCAACTTCTTTCTGGCATGAGGGGTGCAAGCTTGGGGCTTAGACCCAGCCACCTGGGGATTTCGACTGACCTGGTAAAAGAGAGAATCTGGAAAGGAAGGGTCTGGTAGCCTGCTGGTTGGGGGACGGGAGTCGGGAGGTCCATGCGGGAGGGAGGGGGATTACCCCTTGGAGCAATGGAGGATTTGGAATGTTGTGGCTCTCAGAGTCGGGGATTTGGGGAACATGACTTCTGGCACAGATGGCTGGGGGCCTCCTTCCAGCAGAGGAGGGGGCTTCCTCCGTGAGAGTCATCGCCGCCTGCTCATAAGGGCGTCTGCTGCTTCCGACAGCCAGGGTTTGAATCTTGGCCATGTTCTACTGAGTGAAAGACTGCAGAGAAGCCACTTAACCTCTCTGAGCCTTGGTCTTCTCTTGTGTAAAATGGGAATAAAATAGCACCTTCCCCCCATGGGCTGCTGTGGGGCTCACAGGGGATGACACGTTTACTGTTGGCCTCAGGGCTGGCACCCCGTGATGGGATTAAAATGCAACTCCCTTATGTAACTCGAGATTATTTTTACTCTTGAATTTATCGTGTTCGCCAAGGCAAAGGAGAGGGCCCGCCCGGTCCCTTTTACCATCCCCCGCCTGCCTTTTTGTGACTTGTTTTTCCTTTCAAGGGTGGTCTCTGTTCACTCCACTCTGATGTCACTGCCTAAAAATGTCGGGTCCTGGCTTGGGTGGTGGAAGTGGCATGCAGGGCGATCTCTCCCTGGCCAGCCCTGTGCCCCCCGGGGCCGCCCTGGCGTGGGCTCAGGAGTTCCAGGGCTCTTTCCCAGAGGGATTTATGATTCCTTCGGCCGGGGCTGGATTGCTCACTCCAGAAATAAAGCAAAGTTATGGAAAGCTGAGGCCATAGCCCTTACTTTTTTCTTCCCTTATTCATAAGATTAATGAAGCGACAGAAGAATCAGGTGCAGGCAAAGTGTCCGGACTGAACTGGGCTCCGATGTGAAGTTGTCATCAAACGGCTGTGGGGCTGGGGCCTGTCACTGCGACCTCGCTGGGCCTCAGTTTCCTCACTTGGGAGAGAGGGATTTGCACCAGCAGACATGAAAGGCGTCCTCTGCTTCACTGATTCTATTTTAGGCAGGTGAAGTGAGTGTTTCCAAAGTGTGGGACTCAAGAGGTCTCAGGTGACACGGGCATGATTATTTCGAGCTTCCACTTAAATAATTCTGCAGGACTGGAACTGAAGTAGGGCAGGTAAGATGCTTGCCTTGGGTGAAAATTTAAGAGGACATTAAAAACCCCCATAATCATTGAGATACATAATAATTTAATCCAATGTAAAACAATCAAAATGCAAAAATATTCCCGATGAACAAAATACTGAAATTTTGAACAGAGGTAGCATCCATATTATTGATGTTTTCCCTTCTGCCTCCAGCTCTAATATGGCCTGGCATATGCAAATATGCATTATTGAAACATTTCGAACACATTGCAACCCTCGACTTCACAGGTGCCACTGCCTACAAAATGGCCACATTCAAGTTTAAAAAGTGAGTTTATTAAAAGGAGAAAAGGAAAGGCTGTCTAGTGTATGGTTAATGGTAAATAGATACAGCAAAATATTATGACAATTGGAAGAAAAAGAGTATTGTGGGGGTGTGAGCTGGTGGGAGAGGGATGAGGTAGACTGCAAGCAGCTCTCTAACACCAGTCACCAGTACCTGGGAGGCTGTTTTTGTACCACAGAAGTCTGTATTAGTCTGTTCTTGAACTGCTATAAAGAAATGCCTGGGCTGGGTGTGGTGGTTCACACCTGTAATCCCAGCACTTTGGGAGGCCGAGGGCGGCAGATCACTTGAGGTCAGGAGTTGGAGACCAGCCTGCCCAACATGGCGAAACCCCATCTCTACTACAAATACAAAAAATTAGCCAGGCATGGTGATGGGTGCCTGTAATCCCAGCTACCTGGGAGGCCGAGGCAGGAGAATCGCTTGAACTTGGGAGATGGAGGTTGCAATGAGCCGAGATTGCACCATTGAACTCCAGCCTGGGCGACAAGAGCAAAACTCGGTCTCAAAAAAAAAATTAATAATAATAATGCCTGAGGCTGGGTAACTTATAAAGAAAAGAGGTTTAATTGGAAACTTACAATCATGGCGGAAGGCGAAGGGGAAGCAAATATATCTTACATGGCTGGAGCAGGAGGAAGAGAGAGAGGGGAGGGCCCCACACGCTTGTAAACGACCAGATCTCGTGAGAACTCTATCATGAGAACAGGACTAGGAGGATGGTGCCAAATTATTCCAGAGAAACCACCCCCATGATCCAGTCACCTCCCCGCAGGCCCCACCTCCAACAATGAGGATGACATTTGATGCAAAGTGTAGACAGGGACACAGACATCAAACCATATTATGGTCCACCCCTTTGACCTCAGTTAACTGGTCCCGGAGGTCACCCCACCCCCACTAGTATGATCAGAGCCTCCTGTGGGACCCAGGCTGCGCTGATGTCTTCATGGGGAGATGTGCACACGGGCGTCCTGAAGACTGCCCCTCTTGGCTCTGCGGATGGAGAAGCAGAGAAGGCAGAGAGAGGGCTGGATGCAGAAGCAGTAATTTGGGGTGGGCAACGGCCTTCCAGTTCCTGCTGCAGCCTCATCCTGGACTTCCACAGACACCCTGAGTCCTCATCACTACCCCCTCCTTTGGTATATGCCTGTTGGATTGAGTTTTTTCCTTTTAAAATGAAACAGCCCAACCAATGCAATGAGGAAGAAAAAGATAACCTACTTGGGTATTAGGGAGCAAAATCTGCAAGGTGATTTTTTTCATCTAATGTTCCCCAACTGTGGTTACATATTAGAAACATCAGAAGAACTTTTAAAAATACAGATGTCTGGGTCCCCCCAGATTCATTAAGTCAGAATCTGCTATGGTCTGAATGTTTGTGCCCCCCATTAAATTCATGTTGAGACCTAATCTCCAGTGCAATTGTATTAAGAAAGAGCTTTTAAGAGGTGATGTGGTCATGGAGGCAGAGCCCTCAAGAATGGGATTAGTGCCCTTATAAAAGCGGCCTGAGGGAGGCTGGGTGCAGTGGCTCATGCCTGTAATCCCAGCACTTTGGGACGCCAAGGTGGGAGGACTGCTCGAGGCCAGGACTTCAAGACCAGCCTGGGCAACATGGGGAAACCCCGTCTGCATTAAAAATACAAAAACAAATTAGCCAGCTGTGGTGGCATGCCCCTGTAATCCCAG
This sequence comes from Homo sapiens, assembly GCF_000001405.40. Lineage (NCBI taxonomy): Eukaryota > Metazoa > Chordata > Mammalia > Primates > Hominidae > Homo > Homo sapiens. The sequence continues at coordinate 87,030,641 of NC_000016.10, read as the reverse complement.
CTATTCAGGAGGCTGAGGCATGAGAATTGTTTGAACCCGGGAGGTGAAGGTTGTAGTGAGCTGAGATTGTGCCACTGCACTCCAGCCTGGGTGAGACTCTGTCTGAAAAAAAAAAAAAAAAAGAGGCCTGAGGGAGTTTGTTTGCCTCTTTTTCCTGTGAGGATGCATAGAAGGCACTGTCTGTGAGGAATAGACCTTGAATCTGCCAACACCTTGATCTTGGACTTCACAGCCTCCAGAACTGTGAGCAATACATTTCTTTTGTTTATAAATGGCCCAGTCTAAGGCATTTTGCTACAGCAACCTGAATGGACTAAGACAGAATCTCTGGGCAGTGGGGCCCAGGCACTTGCATTTTATTATTATTTTTTGAGACAGTTTCGCTCTTGTTGCCCAGGCTGGAGTGCAATGGCACCATCTTGGCTCACTGCAACATCCACCTCCTGGGTTCAAGCGATTCTCCTGGCTCAGCCACCTGAGTAGCTGGGATTACAGGCGCCTGCCACCACGCCTAGCTAATTTTCTGTATTTTTAGTAGAGATGAGGTTTCACCATATTGGTCAGGCTGGTCTCAAACTCCTGACCTCAGGTGATCCACCCACCTCAGCCTCCCACAGTGCTGGGATTACAGGTGTGAGCCACCACTCCTGGTGGCATTTACATTTTAAAAATGTTTCTTAGGCAACTCTAACCACAGTGGTTTAACCACTACACTTGTAAACACAAGCGTCTACCTCCCCTCTGGGTCACCTCTCACTTTTTACTCCACTCTTCCCCTCTTATCCTGGTGGAAACACCTCTCTACCTCCCCGGTAGGTCACCTCTCACTTTTTACTCCAGTTTTCCCCTCTTAGCCTGATGGAAACACCTCCACTGATGGTCTGGAGACAGGAGGTGGAGTCCTTGGTCTTCACCAGCTACTGACCATGTGCCCTTGGGAAGTCATTTTTTTTTCCTCACCATCCTTCAAGCTTCCTGACATGCAAATTGGCCCATCCACTTTGAATAATAGCATCGATTCTCAGAGGATAAGGCCGAAGCATTTTAATAGAGTCATCTTCTTAATTACATTTTAAGGGTACCTGCAGGTGTACTGGGGGTTCAGTGGGAGAAAATAGGCAGAAATCCTCACCCATCTGGAGCTTCCTGAAGCAGAGCCTGAGACAAGGACCCAAACCTCCTCCTCCAGGAGGTGATTGTGGGAAGCTCTGCTGGGTGTGGGGTGGGGAGACGAGGAAGAGGAGGGACCAAGAAAGCCTACGCAAAGGGGCAGCACATTGCTGGGCAGTTGGAGCTCATCTTTCTGGGGGTATTTGGGTCTATACTGAACCACCTCAGTGCTGTGCTCCAGAGGGCGAGAAAGCTGGGCCACTTGCCTTTGGGGAAGGCAAAGGAGGCTGCCTTTGGGGGCATTAGCTCCCGATTCACACATGTCCCAGGTGTGGCCCTGGAGGGAGCCTCAGCAGAAGCTGGTGGGCAAGAGTGGAGGGCCCAGGGCACTTGGGGGAGGCGTCTGCTTGGGGGCAGTGGGTGGCCGATGTGGCTGGAGTCAGGTGAGTGGTGGAGGATGAGAGCGGAGAGGTGATGGGGGGCCTGGAGCCTCGACCTCTTGGTGCTTCCTCCAAGAGGCTGAGGTGGAGCCCCCAGAGGTGCTGAGCAAGTCTGCCTGATGCCGATGGATGGGCCTTTTCCATGGGGAGCCACAGGTGGTGGTCAGTGGGGAGGAGAGGGGCGTGGAAGGGCCACCATGTGGGTGTAGAGGCCAGGATGGGGCCCAGCCTCCCTGCTGGCCACAGATGAGCTCCCAGCCCCGTAGTCAGACTGGTTTTGCAGCTGTCAGCTGAGTCCTCTCAAGGGGTGGCCTTCTCTGCCTATGGTTTGATAGGAGAGAAATGAAATGTCTGTGGACAGAGATGCTGGGGAGAGTGGTAGCACCAGGGTTCTCAGCTGGGATTCTGGAGGACAAATAGCAGCGAGGGCGGAGCTGTCATTCGGCATCCAGCCCCTCTCCTTGTGATTCTGTTCTGCAGGCCCTTCAATCCCAGCCGGGGCATTGGGTTTTGCTCTGATGTCTTCTCTCTGCCAAAGGATGTGGAAACCCACCCTTCCCTAGGGAGGCTCTGCTTTAGGCAGTGGACTTCGGCTCTTGGTTTTCTGTGGGATTCTCTACTTGCCACTTAAAGGGTGACCACAACCTGGACGCAGTGTTCCTTCTGGATGGTCTGGGTGGCGTCTTCTACCACAGGCCAACTAGGCACCCCCAGACCCAGGAGGTGGGGCTTCTTCAGACCCCAGGAACCCAGACGGCTCCTTTCCCGTTCAAGCTATCCAAGTTCCAAGGACCGTCTTTTCTGGAAGCTCTGTGACGACTCCATCTTCCTTGAGCTCTGACTTATCTCAGGATCTCCACCACTTAGACTGCGGCAGTCAGTGTGACTAGTCTCAGATAGGACCCTTTAGTTATAACTGGAGTAACCTTCTTTTTAGAGGAGGTTCATTTGTTAGGTTCCCTTCCTTGAGAGAGTCAACTCTTGGTTCCACAGTGATCTGTGTGACTCTGGGAAGGCTGGCCCTGCTTCTGGGGCCATGGACAGTGTATGTCCCAGGTCTGGATACCCAGAGTTTCCGCATCCATGGTAACAGGTCCCCAGGCAGATGTGGGACCATCCAGGCCAACCCGTCCCCCCCAGCCTCTCCCCAGGGCCATGGGGAAAGCTGTACCCCCTTCGCTGGGACCCCCAACTCTTATGGTCCATGAAGACCTGCGCTTCCAAGGTTCATTTTGACTTGAGAACGAAATCAAGACAGCTGGAGTGGAGAGAGAGAGAAAGAGGCAGATTCTGCATGGCTTCCATTAGGTCCCTGGACCCAAGTGCACCTGAGGCCAGACCCAACCCCATAGATTTTCTGGTTGTGGGAGCCAACAATGGCCTTTTTGGCTAAGCTGGTTTGAGATGGGTTTCTGGTACTTGCAGCTAGGAGTCCCAATTAATTCTCCATTTCACACGAAGAAGCAAGAACAAGCAATTATTCTGTGGAAGGATACTGGGACCCAGCTGATTCAAAGGAAGAGCTAACCCTTCTGCCTCCCGGGAGTAGGAGCCTGGCCGGCATCAGGCCTTATGCACCTGAGTCCAGTGACTGCACAGGCAGGGCCATCGCTATGCTGGCTCCACAGATTGCCATGCCCGTGCTGACGTCCGGGAAGAAGTGATCCAATGGGTCCAACGTGGACCCCATGCCCGACCTGCAGCTGGGAGCTGGGGTCCCCACTTCAGGGCCCTCCTGCCGTGGAGGAGCCATCACTGCCCCTTGGGGAAGAGGATATCGAGGTGAGGGATGCAAGAAGCAGATGTCCACCCCATGGCTGGGGAACGGCAGCAGACGACACACAGGAGCCCTTTTCTCTCTGGTTGGCTGAGATGACCTGGGAGGGCTTTTGCTGAACAGCTTGGCGGACAGAGCTGTGTGTGTGTGTGTAACACTGAGTGTGGATTCCCCGCAGGGCCCTCGCCTGAGTGTGGGCATGTCCTTCCACCTCGGGCTTGTCCCACCAGGACAGGAGACCATAATGATGCCACCTCTCAGAGCTCCTGGGATGGTGGAGTGAGACCAGGTCTTAGCAAGTGTACTGCAAATGATACTTAAGCCCGTTTATCACAAGGACCAATTTCCATCTAGACAATGGCCGTGCTAATTGTAAACATCTTTTTTCCTCTACCCACCGCAGCAGCTGATGGGGTTGCACTGGATAAGGTGAACTTGTCGCATGAAAATGTCCTGCCAGGTCATGGAATTCCATATTGAACAAAGGCATCTCCATGTTAATGTCCATGCTCTCTTTTGAGGAGCCTGAAGGCCTCAGTCTCGGATGGTAACTGAAATTCAGAAGAAATACTGTGATAAAACTCATCAGAAGGAGGCGGCTGAAAATGCGTTTGTCTTTCAGATGCAGGTGGTGCCGCTGGGGTCCCAGCGCCCGTCTGGGGAGGCACTGTCTCCTCCTCCATGGCAATCCTCTTTTGGAATTATTCTGTAATTCAGGCTCCCTTTTTTTTTTTTTGAATCGGGGTCTCACTCTGTCGCCAGGCTGGAGTACGGTGGTACGGTGGCACGATCTCAGCTCACTGTAACCTCCGCCTCTGGGGTTCAAGGGATTCTCCTACCTCAGCCTCGCGAATAGCTGGGACTACAGGTATGCGCCACCATGCTCGGCTAATTTTGTATCTTTTGTAGAGACAGGATTTTATCATGTTGGCCAGGCTGGTCTCAAACTCCTGACCTCAAGTGATCCACCTGCCTCAGCCTCCCAAAGTGCTGGGATTACAGTTGTAAGCCAGTGCACCCAGCCAGGCTCCCCTAATTTTTTAGTGTTGGGGGTCATGTTTGTGCTGAGATTCTAGCCTTGGCTTAGAGGTTGGACCCCATCGCTGCCGATTATTCCCTGAGAATAAGTCCCTCTCGGGTAAGTCCCCTTACCCTTTGGGCCTCAGTTTTGCCATTAGCAAAATGGGCATAATAATAACCTTCCCTATAAGGTTAAAGGAGTTAATGTGTTTAAAGCTGTTATGATAGCTTGGCACATATATCGTATGCAATAAATCTGGGTTATTATTACTGCTCCCAACTAGTAAAGATTTAGACACATTTCTAGCACTTCAAATGTCTACATTGTGTGTGCTCTCTCTGGAATAAGCTACATCCTGAATATAAAAAAGGTCCCCATGCTTAGGTCTGAGGCCATTTATAGCAATTCCTGTTTCCACTGTGGAGTTCAGTTTTGCTGATATGGAGGGAAAATTTCAAGCCCTCTGCTGTATAAATTTAGTTAACATTTTATTGCTTGTGACTTTTTTATCACATGACTTTTGTTTCTCATTAAGTTAGTGAATGAGATTTACTAAAAAGCCAAGTAAAATCTAATAAGGGCAGGGGCCTTTTCCTGCAGAATTAATTCTCTTGTGAACCCGCAGATGTCAGGAGCTCAGGCTGAGTCACACAAGTGTGTCCCTCACTGCTTGGAAACGCTGAACTGGGATACACTCACTTTGCAGTTAGCACAAAAGCTGGTATAACTGTTGTAGATTTGTTTCCTGAAAATCAATATTAGTTGCCTCAATGATCAAAAACAAAAATAGATGTGAAAGACAATGGAATTGCCCTGGCAATAAAATGCCTTAAATACAAATTTGTAGTCCACACTTGATGGGTGACCGTCATGAAAATGAGATTGAGATGAATTTAGAGTTTTTATTTCCTTTTTGGTTATTGAAAAGTTCTGTTTACAAGGCATGAGACGAGTTAATTTGCCTCAATCAAATGTTAGTATATCATTTAGACCTGTACAGGTTTGTTTTCACACACCTGAGTATCTGCTGGAAATACTGTTATTGTTGTGAGCGTTTCCAGAATTTGCGTGTTTCCTGCCTACTGAAAAGAGTTCTGATTTCTTTTTCCTTTCTAGGTTCTTTCCTTGTTTTTCACTCTGTTTTGCTGTTAACAGTCATCGATGCTTAATGTTTTTCCATTAATTACTTCCATTAATTGAGAGCTGCAGGATCGTGATATTCTAATTCTCTCATTGCGTTTTCGTTTTATGAGTGGAAGTAAGTTGACGTAGAGATGCACTCCTGTGATCATTTGTACAGTTCACATATGAAAGGGAAGATAAATAATTGACTCTTTCCTTTTACCCAGAATTTACTAAATTCTGAATATTATAAATGGATTCGTTCTCATTCTCAAAAGGTGACCCAGTAGGGTTTTGTTTGTTTTGAATTATCATGAACATGTAGATTTAAATATATTGAATGAATTTCCACCCACTGCAGTTGATATCCTTACTGAAGCTCAGGTTGTCTCATACTGACCAGCAGGGAACCTCAGGGTGTCTCTGGGTCTTTCTAATGGGATCCCAGCAGCGCTTGGTGCCTTATTTCTGAGTGGTGTGTCTGTTACTCCACACTCATCTGGAACACTTCTTCTCCAGATCTAGGATCGGCCATTTCTCCACGAAGCCCTGGTGTGTTTAATGAGAAACGATATTTTAAACCACAGTCTGGGTGTTAGGGATTGTTACTAAGTTAGTCTTTGTTTCTAGGTATTTCCTAAATAAATGCTTCTTGTGTTCATATGGATCGTTCTATTTCCAATTCAGGACTACAGAGTTTTTCTTAATCTCTTTTATATATTCTTTCTTCCACGTTGAAAATTCTGGTTATCATGGATATAAGAGTTGATATCATTGCAATATTCCATAATTGCTAATACGCTTTAGCTAACTTTACACATACAGTGATCTCAAAATAACAATATTAATATTACCACCACCAATTAGAAGACCTAAAAATGGTTTAACTTTTTGCTCTGCATGAGCTAGCCCTCTCTCTTCCCCTTTTCTTATTGGCTGTCTTCTATCTACCTTGTCAGAGCTTATAGCCATTACCCCTTTTAACCGTCATCTAATAAGGTTATACAAGTATAGCAACACTTGGTTTAACAACAGGGATACATTCTCAGAAATCTGTCATTAGGTGATTTCATCGTTGTGAGAACATCACAGAGTACATGCACAAAAACCTAGATGGCAGAGCCCACCGCACACCCAGGCTAGATGGTGGAGCCTGCCGCACACCCAGGCTAGATGGTGGAGCCCGCCGCACCCCCAGGCTAGATGGCGGAGCCCACCGCACCCCCAGGCTAGATGGTGGAGCCCGCCGCACACCCAGGCTAGATGGTGGAGCCCGCCGCACACCCAGGCTAGATGGTGGAGCCCGCCGCACCCCCAGGCTAGATGGCGGAGCCTTGTGCACCCCTAGGCTTCAGACTTGGGCAGCATGAGACTGTACTGAATACTGTAGGCAACTGTAACACAGTGGTAAGGATTTGTGTATTCAAACATATTTAAAAATAGGGTACAGTAAAAATATAATACAAAAGATAAAAATGACATGCCTCTATAGGGCACTTATCTGTGAATGGAGCTCACTGGATTGGAAGTTTGTCTGGGTGAATTTGTGGTGAGTGAGTGTGAAGACCTAGGACATTAGTACACACTACTATAGACATCATAAACACTGTACACTTAGGCTAGACTACATTTATTAAAATTTTTGCTTTCTTCAATAATAAATCTTACCGTAATGTTTTTACTTTATAAACTTTTTAGGTTTTGAAAAACATTTTGACTCTTCTGTAATACATATCTTAAAACACAAACACATTGTGCAACTGTACAAAAATATTTTCTTTATATCTTTATTGTAAAAGCACCACCACGAACATGTGAGTAACACGTTGTGTGCTATGGCAGGCAGGCGATAGGAGTTTTTTTTTTATCTCCACTACAATCTTATGGGACCACCATCACATATGCGGTTCATTGTTGACCAAAATGTCATTCTGCAGTGCATGGCTGCAATTCTATATTTACTGCTCAGCACCAGCCCTTGGAGAATGTCACTTCCACTATTTTACCATCTGAAGCCCATTCTCTAGCAGCTGCCCATTAAGAGATCATGGGAACAATATTCCCTGCGTTCTTGCACACTGATTATAGTTTATCTGTAATCTGTTTTTTTCTTCTTTTTCTTTTCTTTTTCTTTTCTCTCTTTCTTTTTCTTTCTTTCTTTTTCTCTCTCTCTCTCTCTTTCTTTCTTTATTTTTTCTCTCTTTCTTTTCTGTAGTGTTTGACTGTCATTGCTCAGGCTGGAGTATAATGGAGCCATCTTGGCTCACTGCAACCTCCACCTCTCAGGCTCAAGCAATTCTCTTGCCTCAGCCTCCCAAATAGCTGGGACTACAGGGCACATGCCACCACACCTGGCTAATTTTTGTATTTTTTGTAGAGACGGGGTTTTGCCCTGTTGCCCAGGCTAGTCTTGAATTCCTGAGCTCAAGTGATCCTCCTGCCTTGGCCTCCCAAAGTGCTGGAACTACAGGTGTGAGCCACCGCGCCCAGCCTCTTTATTCTTTAAGATTAGCTTTAGTGAATACAAAATCGTTGGCTTAGATTTTCTTTATTTGAATATTGCAAATACATTGCTCCATTTTCTTCTGGCACAATGTACTGCTGTCAAAAAGTGTGAAGATTAATTTTGTTTTTTTTTCCTTTGCAAGTCATCCTCTTTTTGCCTAGTTGGGCAAAGAGTTATTTATTTACCTCCAAAGTCCAGGGTTTTTTTTCTTTACTGGTCATTTGGATTGATATTATCAGGTATACAGTATGCTCTTTTAATATATAATTTCAAATGTTTTTAATTTTAGGGAAATTTTCTCGAGTTATGGGTTTACCACTTGCTTGCTTCTCTCTCTTTGGCTTTCTTCCTCAGGGGCTCCTTATCTGTATGTTGGCTTTTCTTTGCCTAACTTTGAAATTTTTTTCAAATCCTTACCAAAAAGGATTTTTAAAAGCTTCCTCTGTTTACCTCTAATGTATCAATTATGATTATTTTCCCCATGTGTCTCTAGTCTCCATTCATGAAGTGACTCTTTTCCCTCCTGGACTCCCATCACCTCCTTCGTGAGATTTCCTGATTCCAACGGATGTTGTTCTTTCATGACTTTAGTCATTTCATCAATATCTTTTAGCTCATTTTGAAGTCGGTCATTACAGTTCCTTTTTTTCAAAAAATTAAAGTTTGCTTCTGTCTGGCATGCTTTTGTTATTTATAGCAAGGGTCA